>NC_000007.14:38365242-38990242 GCF_000001405.40 Homo sapiens | reverse complement strand
TCCAAAATTTGAGTTAAGATATACTTTTTTTGGTAGAATCCTCTGACTTCATATCACCATAATCCTTAATGATACAATACAATTATTTCATAAAAATGAATTTAGAAGTGCCAACATATATTTGGCCAGAATTTTGTTGAGTTTTTGTGAAGAATGGATGGAGAAAACAAACTTATCTTGCAAATAAGTGGAATTTGATTTCAAATTTAGGCAAGAATCTTAATCAGTTAAAAGATGATAGATATACAGATGATAGATGATTGACAGAATGTTAATTTATCAAAAGATAAAAGAGTTCCTGAGGCTATGAATCTCAAATAGTTCAGACTCCATCAGCATTTTAAAGATATGAACCTGTTTTCAAGCCTTTCCTGAAATTACGCATGGGAATTTTCCACACACACACACACACACAAACACACACACACACACACACACACAAACACACACAGAACAGTGCCTAATATCCTACTACTCTCTCTCTGTCTCTCTTTCTATATATATATATATCTTACTTCTCAGGATATATTTTATTTGTATAACCTCTATATGCATTAATAGGTAAACTCTCATATGCAGAAATGAGAGTTAAAGAATACTTTTAACAGATATTTCCAAATCACTTCTTAAAGTCACTCAAATAATTTATCCCTAAAAAATTTCTTCCAGCTTTGAGAAACAAAGTGAAGCAAATTGCAAAAATTATTAAAACTGATCATGAAAAGGTGTGATTTCTCTCAAATGCTATTTTATAATCCCAAATATCTATTCTATTATGTCACTTATGAAACCATCTTAGCTTTTGATCTTATTTGTTTTATGGCTGCCCTATTTACTAAAGGTGATAATTTTAATAAAAGAATAGTTTTAATTATTAAACAATTAAATAATTATTATTTAACAAAAGAATAATTTATTTATTCAGAGAATTTATACATCTCTGTACTCAGATTACTTTATAAGTCTAAAGGCATCTGACTGTGACATGGGGCACTTACAAACTTATTTGTGAAAATAACTTGGGACACTGTATTTGAAGTCGGACACATCTAAAGGCATAGCTCATGGAGGATTGGGACATCAACTATTTGAGGCTAGTGTGGCTCCTAGCCTCAAAGTTAGGAGCAGCTCTTTGACGAAAGCTATCAAAGAGCACCGATTTGCTCCTCCACCCTTCCACTCCCCAACGGGTCTACCATTTTACATTTTACAAAAGGATCATCTTCCAGGACACCATTTGGAGCCCAAGTACAACAGTTATTGATGGCAACAGTAGGAGGAGGAAAAAGAGGAAAGGAAGGAGGAAGTCAGGGAGGGAGTAAATGAGATGTTGCTGTAATGAAATCAGCTTTCATAAAGAGATGACACTTTCCACAGGTAATGTTACGGCCATGTTTCAATTGTGTGATTTTGCATATGATTAAGGATTTATACCTGGTCTCCAGCATTCTCCGGACCAATTCCAACTTTGCCACTTACTGTCTTGCAGGGCCTTGCGCCACGTCCTTAGCCTCAGCTTTCTACTTGCTAAAATGGAAATAACAACAGTACCTACCTTACAGACCTGGCGTGAGGATTAAATTATACCAGCAAAGTGCCTGGCACCTAGTAAGTGCTCACTTATTGGTAGATTATTACTACTGTTGTTTTTTGGATGGGTAAATATTTAGCCCTTTTCTGGATGAAAAATAGTATTAAACATTAGACATTCAAGAAAGTTTACAACAGCCCCACTGAAACACACACAGACACACAGGGATACATGAAATGAATACCAGACTACATTCCCTCCATTCCTCTTCTGCTGTTGATTTATGATTGGCGGGGGGCAGGAGGGGTTACATTGTTCAATTTTCATAGGGGTATAGAGTGCACTAGAATCACCTGTAAAGCTTTTTAAAAATACTAATACCCAAGCTCCACCCAGATAAATAGAACCAGAATTTCTGAGAATGAGTCCTTCACATCAGTAGATTTTTAAAGGTTTCCCCTGGTGGTTCTAAAAGGCAGGCAGAGGGAAACAGTGAAACTTTAGAAAATGACATGAGTTCAAGTCTCATTTCTTCCACTCCTTAGCAATATGGCTACAAATAAGACACATAACCTCTCTGAGCCAGCTTCCACTTCTATAAAATGGGGATGATGATCTGTACTTACTTCTAAAGCTGTGGGGTTCAAAGAAGATCATTAATATTAAAGCCATACTCTGCAATTTGTTCTTAAAAGCCCGTTTTAAGCTCCAGGCAAAGAAGCCAGCTACCTTTAAATCTACAGATGAAGCATACTTGTCTTAGCATCTGGAAGGAAGAAACAAGAGGGAAAAAGAACACACCTACCCAATGGACAGTTCCATAGGCTCAATTCTGGAAGTCTGTGTAGGGAAAGATGGCATGGTCAGCTCACACTCCCATCTTTTATTCAAATATAAGATTTCATTACCACCTACGTTACTGTCTTCTTAGTATATGTGAGGTGACGTAATTAAAGAGAACGAGCAGAGACATATCCTAAAAGAAACGTAAAACATAACTTTTTACATTCTCTGGAATATTTCAATAATGTACACTTTGTCTACCTTCTCAGAACCCTAAATTAGTAGAATTCAAGAGCTAAGTCTCATTACATGTTTTTATTTAGCCCTGCTTGTGACTGCATTATTTAACTTATGAATCAGGGTTGAAGGATTGGTCTGACAATATGAAATACAGAAAACAGAAATTTAACTGACATTAATTACCATGAATTTCTTCTGGTCTCTTTTTCACTAATCTAGATACACTAACTGAATCATGCATTGGAAACATACATCTATGTCAATTATCTTAATAAACAGCATTGAGGCTCATGAAAGAAAATAACAAGCATTTTGTTCAGTTGAGTTTGGTGGCTTGGAGCAAACATAAAGGTTTTCAAGTCACAGTGTGTCTGACTGAGAACCAGCTCTTTACGCCATTCTCTGTCATTCTTACCTCTTTGTTACTAAATAAAATATTGTGATCTTTATTGCTATTTTAATTGGTTTGAGTATTCAATATATAGATGATAAGTATCTTTTCTTGTGGCATAAAGCTACTCTTCACTTTTAACATTACACTTAACCTTCTCTCAGGAGACACTATTTATGAGTTCTTCTGCTCAAACAAATCCTATTTGGAAAATTCTGAAATCTTTTATGTTAAGAGAAATGAAACTTCTCTACTTGTTAGACTGATTGCAGAGACTAACTTATTTTTAAAAGCTAGATCAAGAGAGAACTGGTTAAATAAATCACTGTATATCCATAAAAGGGAGTACTACAGAGAAGGATGCAGATCTATTCATAGTCACATGAGAAGAGGTTCAAAATATTTTTTATATGTAAAAGTAAGTTGCAGAACTCTATGTATAGTATAGTTCTACTTGGGTTGTGTAAGGATTGCATATACATGCACAGAAAATCTCTGGAAGGATATATAAGAAATAGTTAACAGTGGTTATTTGTGGCGAGTGGAATCAGGATACTTTACTTTCCACTTTATATTATTCTGTGCTATTGCAATGGTTTGCCATATGCAGAAATTACTGTTATAATTTTTTAGTAAAAAATTCAAAAATACTCATAGGAGTCTACCATGTAATTAACTCACTTCAATCACGTGCATATAAGAATTGCGTTCATGTACTGTCACTTTTACTCAGATGTTCCACTCTCTGCCTGAACTAGCTGTTTAAATTCTATTTGATAAATAAAGGTAGAAAGGGAGAAAGCAATTGCAGTTGATAGGTTTCAGCACTAGTACAAATGGCAGTACATTGCAAACCAAAGAGCCCCCCTGTTTTTGGAAGGAAATAACCACAATATTCATACGTTTGCAGTTTTCCAATCGACTATGTACTCGAATTCTTACCACAAACTTGATGTTTAACAGCTGCAAAGTACTACTCAGGAGGCTGAGGTGGGAGCGTCTCTTGAGCCCAGGAGTTCACAGCCAGCCTCAGCAACATGGCAAGACCTCATCTCAAAACAAAAACAAAAAAGTTGCAAAGTATTTTTCCATTCTCAACCAAGTTGAGAGGAGTATTTTAAGTAAACATCTGTCATAATTTTTTCAGGTACTAAGATTGAAAACAGAGACAAAATATTTTTAGATTATTAGAGGTTAAATAGTCAAGTATTCCCAAAATGTTTAAAGTATGTCTGTGAGTGTGCGTGTGTGTTAATGAATTAGATTGCTAGACTGCCTCATTTTCATTTTTACTCTAAATTCTTTCGTCACTAGGAATCTAGATATAGGTTTGTTTACAAATGAAAAAAGTTTTCAGAAAAGAAATCACAACTTTAGTTCTTGAATTGAGGATTAATATATTACCTAGGAACAATGTAGGACTGTTTGGGATTTGAGCCATATTAGCCTTCGTTCCCAGAAACCTTCTGAATATTACTACAAACACCTCTTGTATTAGCAGTTCTAGAAATACACCAAGAAATGCACCTAAGAATGTGTAAAGACTCACTTTGTTCAAGAAATATTGAAACAGAGAAAATGAATACAGCAGAGATTTACTTTTAAGACCCTGGAACACCATCTGCTGATATGAACAGAGAGAAATTTTCAAACTTGGCATTCTTATATCACAGCCAAACTTTCACAAAATCTCTTATTTTTCTCAAATTCTGACCTAGGGCATTTCATCCCACAATCATCACTTCTGCCCACCATTCAACCAGCATCTTGTCAAATCTGGCTGCAAGATTAAGTTTCCCGATTCGGAATTCAATATTGTAACCCTAAGGATATAAGATTCAAGCTGGAACATTCTGGATTTTTTTTTAATGGATAAAATTGTTTCGGCCCAAAGACCAGAGTTCGCCCTGACCATAATGATGAATCATCAGGACTGACACTAAGTGAAATGAGTTTGATGTTCTTGTTTTATTTGTGCCCATTAAGCAGCATTTTACATTTGTCCTAACTCTCAACCTTTTGGAGAAAAGGTTGAAAGAGGCTTGTTTTCTAGTATTATTTAAGACTTACAAAATTAACTAGCTGTGTCTGAAGCAAGTTTGGCGTGCCATAGTCCCTACTATTGTGTGTCCAGCTCCATTCTTGCCCATTCTGCCCTTCCAATTTGGAGGAAAAGAACTGAAGAATTAAGAAATATCTACTTTTCTCATATTTCCTCAGTATCAATTACGGCTTCTGGTATCCTTGCTTCTGTCTTGGTACAATATTTACCTTTTACTCTCAACAAAAACCTACTTCCTTTAAAAAAATCTGTATATGAATTCTGCACTGAAAACTAAGCTCCCTATAAATGTTGTGCTTTGTTCTTTTGAACAGGAATTTGCCTGAGTTCTGATCAATGCTAAAAACACCATTTAACAGGTATGTATTCTTTTAAAAATATACCTGTTTCTCTAAGTTTTTAGATGTTAGAGATAAATATTTTCTTCTAAAAATAGTTTTAAATTATTCATCAAAAATCAAAGTCATAAAATATGCAGGGTCAACATCATATTAAACTCCAGAAATAATAAGTACTATTTCACAGCATCGGAGCACTGGCTAACCTCTTGTAAAAACTCTAAAGATTTAAAGAAAAGTTTTCCTTAATATTGAAATTTGTGTACAGCACAAGCACTGTGAGGCCTTTTCTTAGACTTTGTTTTTTAATTCTAGTTTTCCTGTGCTAACGTATTATTTCACTGTATTTTTTGTGTGTGATTTGAATTGCTAGGTGAGATGAGGTAAGCTTACAAAATAACTTAGAAATATAAACTAAAGAAGCAAGTATATTGGTGAGTTTTCTGCTGCCTTTTTGCTTTGTTTTGCTCGAGGTCTTGTCTCTCTTTCCAGTGCCCTTTCCTGCCTGGGAAGCCCACAAAGATTTCGCTTTTCACTTATTACTCATCAAACTGACTCTGGTTCACAGTGGAAAAGAGAAGAAAAGCTGATGGAGAAATGGCAGTGAAGAAGGAGAACAAAATGTCAGAGCAATACTTTTGAGCGACTATATCCTTTTCATTAAAGGTGTCAACACGTTTATTTGCATCTTTGACCCTAGGACTAGGGAAGTGCTGGAAATTATGTGGGTACTTTTTCCCATGGGAAAAATGTACCTCCTGGGTCGGGGGAAGGCTGAAAATAGGTGAAAGTGAGAATACTCAGTTGATCTTCAATTTTTTTTGTCTTATAATTAAAAAAGTGCTGTTGAAAGGAATAGGGTTGCATTTCACCTAGAATCAGTGCCAAGTATCAACAGCTAATGTCTGTCTTTTGAAGAAAGAATCTTTCATACCATGGGGGTTTTAAAGCTACTGATAAAACAAAAAGCTATTTTCTGAAGACCAGCCAACCTGAAAAACAAGTGTTTTAAAACCTAGAGAATTTCCTTTAATGTAAATAATCAAAGATGTTTTCAATTATTTTGCTATTACTTACATACAATGGTTTTACGTTTATGAGAAGTGCTATCCCTGAAATAACAATAATATGATCATTTATAAGTGGGGTGTGGAAAAATAACACAAGCATACAGAAAACCAGGAAGGAATTTTTCCAGTAAAAATTAAGCAATATTCACCACAATTGGCTCACATTGTGGAACTGGGAAGAACAAGAAAATAATAAAAAGAAAAATAAATCTTTACTGAAATGTAGTGATAGTGTTTCACTCGCAACCGCTTCTTCAAATTGAGATGCAGAAGAAATGTGTAAAAAGCAAAACTGGTACAAATCTTGATTACAATTTTGGATCAGTTTAAGACAATATGGCTCAACAGAGCAATTTACATAGGCTAACAGAGCAAACTTGAGTTGGTAATTTACTTTATTGGATACACATTTCACCTACAAAAAAAAAAAAAGAAAGGAGGGAGGCAGGAACAAAAGCAGAAAGGAAGAAAGGGATGTAGGGAGGGAGGGAAGGGAAAAAGAACATAAATCCAGGTTTGAGATTATATATAGAGCAGCTATTATCTCCCAAGTAAAGATTTGGCCATAAATTACAAATTAATTTAGAAGTTGTGTAATTTGGATTTTCTTTTAGCGTTCAAATTAAAGTCAATATTTATCTTTTTGCACATTGTTTCTTCAAGTCTGATCCTTTCATGTTTGCACTTTATGTCCCAACTTTATTTTCTACTCAATCAAGCATTAGAAAAGAGTAACAGCTTGTACAATATCACAATGCAATTGAAAAGTGAAGTTTTTCAGTATTTGCAGACATGTTAATTATATTCCAATTTTTGTAAGCAATAAAGAGAAAAATACTTGAAACTGGTAATATGCAGTTTACATAGCAAAGAAAAGGTCAGTGAAGAAACATCCTTCACTGACCTCTGAAACAAATATTATAGATTTTACACGCAGGAAACTTATTACATGCAAACTTTCTTTTGTAAGCATTTGTATTCTAAAAGTTGCAGCCACCTCTCTGCATATGTTAGAGGTAAGAATAAAAAAGTTTTAAGTTCTTAAGCATTGAAAATGATAATTGAATGGTACAGAGAGTTTCATTAATTGACCTTAGAGATAGAAAAGAAAATTTAGTTTCAAGACCCAAGTTCATCTAATTGTTGTTTAGTATTAACATTATTGGATAGTAGTATTACTATATTGTTAAATTTTACTTAAATGGACAAAATTGACTTTACCATTTAAATGTCTGCTTTAATTTTTAAAAATTCTAAACATAATAAAAATTAAGTCCATCTGGTGAAATGTAAAATGTTAACATAAGACTTTCCTATAAGTATGAATGAAATATTAAGTGAAGTTTTTTAGGTCAATAAACAATACATAGTACAAATTCAATTTTGGTCAGTCTGGAACTTACCAAAAGAATACTAGCACCAGTATGTATAAGAAAGAATAATCCTTAATTAATCTGTATTTTTTCTAGTATACCATCCATCCATAATACCTTGGGGAAAAAGTATTCTCAATAAAATTAAAGCAGTAATAATTTCACACTCCCAAAATACATAAATTTGTTGAAGCAATCTGTCAGTTTCAAAAATACAGGCATTCACACCCACAAAAATGACTTTTTTTAAGAGTATATGGGAATTATGCTTCACATGAGTAAAACAGGGTTAGGTTAGCCCCAGTGTTTCATTTTTATATGTAAGGCACGAATATCAGTCTAAATTGACAGAGGGCAATCTTCAAATGTGTTATGAGAGCCAGTGTCCCCTCTCCCTAGACCACTTGCATCACACATCAATTTGAGCATATTTTAGGTAAGCAAATTATTATTAAATCTACATTAAATACTTTTTGGAACAAGGGATGGTATAAACAAACCTCTATGTAAAATTAATTGTTTTGATGCTATAACGGTGAAATATTTGTGTGTTTTAAAATCTCCATATAAGAAAACATACATGGAGATACTGTTAAGCCAAATGCATGCACACATACTGAGCACTGTCTGAGACATTTGCATTAGTTTTCTGATGTACAACTTTACAACACTTCACATGGTCGAAATGTACTTTGAAAAATAAAAGACCCATTGTACCAGTAAGGGAAATTGTAAACAGCTTTTTACTGCACTTCTAATGCTATTAAAATATAGAATGTGTGGTCTCTTCTCTCTTCTACTAGTACTTTAGCAATGTCAACTGGAAGTGCATCCATGATCACTTTATCCAGCTGTCTCTCTCTCACTCCCAGCAAACTCTTAGATATACTTGATAAATATTTTCATCTAATTTGGTTCATCTGTTGTTTTTATTAACAACTAATTTAATATCCTCTGTTCTGCAATATTTGCAAAAGTCAGTCTATAGACGTGAAGCCAACAGGGACCCTCAGGCCTGTGCATCAGGATGGTGGGCTGCCTAAGTCCTCTGGGGACAGCAGTGCCAGAAGGAGTATTGGACACAGTGACCCGACTGTATGAGATGAGAAAAAACAAAAACAGGAGGTCCGCAGTACTGATGAACTAATCTGTCACTCACAAGCTCAGGTCTGCAAAAAAAAGAAACGAAGCACTAAACATGGCCATAAGAGATGGAAATGCAAGTCTTCATTTCTAAATGATAATCAAACCAACGATCAGAAACTGATTAACTGTGTAATTGAATTGAATTGAAAATCATCCCATGAATAACAATCCATCCTACCTTCAAGGGGTTAGGAAGCTAACTACAGGTAATTGCTATCAGAAATCTGATTTGATTTCCAAAAATTGTGTGAATGAACCAAGTTTCTTCATCTTGATATACTAGGCAGGGAGTTTGTTCTTCCAAGTACTAGACTGCTTAATTGCTTGCTTGGGGGAGGAGAAATCCTAGGGGAAAGGCATATATGAGCAATTTCTACTCTGTGAAGCCAGCGCTGTGTCCTGAGCTGGATCATGGCCAGAAACAGAAAAGTCTACTCTTCCCTACAGTGGAAGCAACTGTGGATATTTCATCCTAGGAGTGAATGAAAAAACCTAAAGCTCATACTTCATGGGAATCTTTCAATATTCTGACTGAAAACTGGTTATTTGCTCCTCCAACCCAAAGCCATCTAGGAACAGCACTCAGAACAGGAAAAAAAAAAGACAAAAATAATAATTATTCCAAAACGTATTTGAGCAGAAACAAACACAAACATTTGCATTATTAAATGGGCTTGTTCACACCTGCTGAGTAGATATAAGACGATATTTAAGACAAGAGCTAAAAAATAAACCATCCCTTTCTGGTTTTGAGTGACAGCAGAGCAATAAAAATTATTTTCACATTCTTTTCCCTATTGTTAGAAGTAATCATTTGAGTAAATACACTTATCTGTGCTGTAACTATTGAAATGAATCCACTTCAAATATGTATACCACCTTTCTTTTTTATATTTCTAGATATGGTTTCAATATAGACTTTCTGACTTTTATGGTATACATATAGGACAATATTCTATTCTTCTTTCCTTTTAAATACTTACTGTTTCAATTTCAAATAAAAAATCAGCATTCTAGTTTGTACATTTTAGCACAGAAATGTTTACAACCTTCAGCACAATTGCTTTTGTAATTTACTGACTTGGCATTTTGAGGCGTTTTTAACAAATTATGAGAAATAACACCTTCAGAAAGCATGTGACTACTTTGATGCAACTATTTACAATGTATTCATAAGAAGTCATTAACCTGTAGAGTTCTTAGACATGTGGAACCTTTAACAATTATACTAAAGAGTACATACAAAATACAGAGCTATGTAATAATAACTAATTTTAAATCCTGACAAATTAGAAGTTAAGCCTACTATCTGTAAAAATATGTCCTGATTCATTTTTTTAAGTATATACCTGAGCCTTTAAAAAGTATATGCCTTTACAATTGATTTCCAATAAACAATACTGAATAACAAACTACAAGTGACTTTCCTGATTTTTTCACCAGAAATATATAGAAAAAGGAAATCCTATTCTTATTAGAGATTGAAGTACAGTAATTCTGCACGGTATTAAGAACCATAACTATGCCATACAGAAGACAGGACCTGCAACCTAAGAAAAGTTTTATTAAACAGGACAAGACAGTGATCAGGGGCTCAAGTTTTATTTCAATATGCAAAAGTCATCTATTGTAACAGATATTTATTTCATTCCCTACACCACAATTATTTTAGCTATATTTGATATATTTGCTCGTCAGTGAGTACTTACATTGAAACAGGTATTAAGAGTATATAAAATCAGTTTATATATTTTCTCCTGCCTAGAGACTTCACTTTATATATGCTTATAGAACAAAAATTAACTTGAAAGTTTTAAAAAATATTTCTCTGTCGAAGCAAATATCTACTTCTTTTAAAATAGTGTGAGCCTGTGAAAACATGGTATTATGTATTTGACATTTTCCATCTAAAAATACATTATGAAGCAAGCATGCTGGTATTAATAAACCATGTGCTTTCAGAACCCTGAAGTGCTTTTCTATAATTTTGTTGAAAACAGAATAAGATGATATATTTTCCACCATGCTATTAACATAAAGCAAACAAATTTTATGTCATTGCCTTGCCAGCTTGTCTTGATTGGAAAGTGTACAAAAAAAAAAACTTTTAGGAGTTTATAAATATTCGTGACCATAGTCTGGTTTATGAGTTAACAATCCATAAGTAAACATAGATAACTTAGAAAAATTTAGTCAAAAATACATTACAAAAAAGAAAAGAAACCATGTATATTTCCTTTTTCCTTACCCCACCCCCATCATAGTCAGAAAAATCACCCTCCCTTTGCAGGAGGGTACTATCCTTCCTTCCACCACTTTAGTTATCTGAAGGCAAATGAAAATACAATGATCCTTTTCGTTTTCTGATTTAGCTTACAACGCAAACATTTTAACACAAACATAAACTACTGACTTCACGGAAAGCACCAAACAGAAAGAGCAAGATTCACTGACCCATTTGGAAGACAAAGACGACAGAGCGGGAAAGCTCTAAAAATCAGCTTGTGAGGCCTCTGAGAGATATTCTTCTGGCATTTCATCACAGCAGCCCCAGACCAGCTCACCTCCCTAGATACAAGGAGGAGGCACTAAATGGAGCTGTTTATTAAAGCTGCTGTGCTGGATTGCATTAGGAAGCGCGAGCAGACCACCTGGACCTTTCAAGATTGTGACAGTGTTTAATTTGCAGCCTGCCCTTCTGCAGCAGCCAAGACTACTACTACATTTACCGGGCTCAATCACACATTATCTGGGTTAGAAGTCAAGGCACATGTATTTATATATTTATATTTCCCATATGGAGAAAGGGAGAGAGGGAGAGAAAGAGAGAAGGAGAGAGCACAGTCAAAATAAAAATATTGAACAGCATTAGAAAAATATTAACTACTACCTAGGAAACCACACTTGATTCTCTTCTCGCACTTTCTTTCAGAGATCAAAATCCAAAAAGAAAGCAAATTTCTAAAATAGATTTTTAAGAAACATTCAGACCAAATTATAAATTAGATTTATTCTCCAGTGTTTTTGTTGTTGTTTTAGTTTTTGTTTAAAAGGATCGCATTGAAGTTTTAAGCTGAGGTTTCCCTGGTCAGATTTAATGGGTGCCTTTTGCCTTTCGCACTTTCAGCACTACACTGGCAGGTAGCTGAAGATACAGATAGAAAGATGGTACTGTAAATATGAATTATGTGAATCATATGGTGAGACCCTTGTGGAAAAAAGGGGAGTTGAGAAATGGCTGACTCCATACCTGACCAATTACAGCTTGCATGGTCCCCGTGTCCTGCTGCGCTGAGAGATAGCAATCCATCATATGTTGTCTTTGAAAAGGAGAATGGGGGTTTCTGGCATGCATCTGTCAATCAACTTCTGCACTCACAACCATCACCAAAAGCAAGGGGAAAAAAAGTCAAGCTGCTCCACCAAATAGAATGAAACCGTCATGTGACCTCCGGCAGACACGCACACACACATTCACTACCTCCACAGAGCGTAAGAATTTTCTGTAGATATGAAATGACATTGACAAATATCCAATACCAAGTAAATAAAGTGAGACAAACAGCTATTCACCAAAGACAAAAACATGGGCTGTAATCTTCCGCTAAAGGTTTAACAAACCTATGAGGATTGTTTTTAATGCTCTAGAAATCTATGTTTAAAACAAAACAAAAACAAAATGAACTATCTCAAATGAGTGTCCATTAAGACTTTGATTTTTGTGCTATTATATACATTTTTAAAATTACAGTTCATTGCTCTACTTTTCTTAAGGGGTCCCTAATGATTTTATTTTTAAAATCTCTAAATGACCTTTTGATAATATGCAGTTATCTCTGTTGTTTTATATAAGGACACCTTTTCAGAGAAGCTTGAAATGTGAACTGCTACATAACAAACACCCTGATATTTGTGAATTGGAAGTGGACATAGAAAATAATCCGTGTAAATGATGATGACCACTGTAATATAAAATATTCAAAGTGTGTAAATAGCAGTCACTAAACTTTTTATCTTCTGAAAGGTAAGGGATGATTTACTTGCAGCTCATCTAAACTGATGTAATGTGTTTTTAATGTGATGACAAGTATTTTAACTTTCTAAATTTAATTTTAACTATCTGATTCCTCACAATCTAGGGACAGATTGCTAATGCATTATGGGTCAGTTATTGTTAAGGGTGAAAAGAATATAACTTACCAACTTTTTAACCTTCTTAGGCTAAAGATCGGAACCTGACTTTCAAGACAATCCTACAGGTATTGTAAAGTTGCTCTCCAAAAACCCAAACCCATAAACACCATCCGTTAACTTGGTGGCTTTGTGGCAGTGAAGAACATTCGCATTTGCCTACTTTTTTTCTTTTTTTTTTTCATTTGCCTACTTTTTAACTGAAGTTCATTAGTTAGTATACTCTCCCTAACTTTTCAAAACAAATTTATGGGAAAACCTTGTGTTAATATTAAAATGGAGATTTTTTTCAAGGCTCTAAACTGATGACAGGTCGGGTAGCAATGAGAAATATTTAATACAGAATATATACTATTATGTATATTATTGCATAATACCCACGGCTTGAAAATTAATCAAAAGGAACTTCAAGTAAGAAAAAAAAAACAAAACAATTTTCAACATTGTTAAAGAAATCTTTAGGAGCAAAGAATGAAGGACCGAAGCGCGCGCGCACACACACACAAACACACACACACAGACACAGACACACACACAGTTAAATCAGCATCCCCAAATAAAATGAGACCGTGCACCAACTGGGTAGCCCTCCTGGGAGCTGAGGGCTAACTGAGGAAAGGCCCTTCTCAACATCATTAAATGTCCCGTCTGCGCTGAAGTCCTACCCGGGGGTTTCTGCAGTTATCCCAGATCAGAACCTCAGGCTTCCCATCATCTCCTTTGGCCAGGGAAGGGGAGGCCAGGGAAGCCGAGCCTGGAGCATCGACAAGGACTGAGCCAAACTTGCCCGAAACCTGCGGGCTCACAGAGGGCAGGGGGCGCGACTGCTCCTGGCATCGCCTTCTTGGGACCCCGCCTGGGCGGACACTAGACAGAAAGCCAGGTGACGGGACCAGTGGGAAGTTGCGGAGGAGGGGCGAGCTGCAGTCCCAGGCCGCAGCAGCCGCTGAGCAGCCGCCCCCGCTTTCTAATTCTTGGGGGGTTTGCAGCCAAGCCTGGAGCGCACCCCGGCGGCACCGCCCTCCTGGGCGCCCGGGAGCCCCGCGCCCTCCGCCTGCGTCCTCGGACTTAGGCAGCAGAGCCGGTGCGCGGATGGCGTGAGCCCCGGGGTGGTTTTGGCGTCCTGCGTCCTCTGTAGTGCAGCCTGGGTTCCCCACGCGCTGCCACCCGATCGGAGGCTCAACTTCCCCTGGGATCTAAGCTTCTTAAGCGCCTTCCTATGGGGCTGGGGGCTGGGGGTGTGGGTGGAGGTGGGTGGGAGAGGCTGGCCAAGCTGCAGTATGAGGCCGAAGACCTCCTTTGAAGCTCTGTCCCACAAATTATGGTGGTTCCGATTGGCGTAGGGACAACACTCTTTGCTTATATTCCAGTTGTTTACATGACCATCTGGCCTGTATGAATTATAATTATTACTAGCCAGCGTTGATGGGAGGCTGAGCCAGGCACTGTGTCAGACACTTCACAGTATGTTACATGTGAAATAACAACTCAGTGAGGCAGAGATGGTTATTCCCATTTTGCAGATTAGGCTCAAAAAAAAAAAAAAGGTAACAACTCATGATTAATAGGAATATGATTTGAACCTGCTCTGAATCCAAAACTGGAGCCCCTTCATATGAAACCACAGAGTCAAGTAACATTCACAATAGTGACTATCACACATGAAGCACCCACTCTTCCGCACATATTTATGGAACCTGTACTAGGTGCCAAGTACTGTATTGGTGTTAGCGCAAAACAGCACAGATTGCTTTAGAAACATAATAAAAATAAACCAAATGGTTAAAAGATTTATCTGGGGGAATTGTTTGATGCTAGCTGGTGGAACATGCTGACACTTTAGGCACCATAATGCATGGGCTCGGGTTGGGATGGACTCCCTCCCTGACCTCTCAGAGAGTGTGGCCTTGAGAAAGTGCCATTTCTCTGAGTCATGGATTTTGTGTCTTATACCAGTGATAATAATCCCTCAAGGGTAGTGTAAGGATTTGGGGAGATAATGTTTTGTGAAAGCTTATTGAGCTATACTGTGTAAGTGCCCAGCAAGTGTTAGTTATTTTCCCATATGGGAGGTCTATGGAGGGCAGGAAAGATTAATTCTCCTGGGGAAGGGAGGAAGCCTCTATGCAGATGGTGAAAAGATTTGGGTTGTGATATAAACAGAGGGCAGCTCCTGTTCAGGGCAAGGGAAACAGCATGAGCAAACCATCTGTTTCTCCATCAATGTGGGTGGCAGACACTTCTAAGGTTTGATTAATGGAAAACAAATGGGAGAGAATGGGGGTATGCCAACTAATATTGATTCCCATTCCCACAGTAGCATTTTAGGAAAGGAGACTCCTTGAGTGAAATATTCACCATTACCATCATCTCTCTGTTTTCTTACCTCCCATCAAATTTCCATAATATTGTGCATTTTCTGGCCCTCTAAAGCCCACTCCTTGATCGCGAAGCAGCTAGATATGTCCTTTTCCAAGATACTCTTGTAGGCAAGGCAGCAGTGATGGCAAAAGGTCACCGTAAGTCAAACCAAAAGAGGTCCCACCATTGCCCAAAATCCCAGTCCCTAGCTTCTCAGGATAGCGATGTCCTTGATTTCTTAAACCACAGAGGACACTGATAGATAAATGGAGGACTGGGAATCAAGATAAAGTGCAGAAGTTGGTCATCTCCATCTTCCTTTGTTTTGATGAATGTTTTGCAATGTTTAGGGATGAGAAGAGCTAACATACCTGGAGGCTTCTTTAATCCAAGGACCAAAAGCAAAAAAAAAAAAAAAGTGAACAGATGGTTCAAAAAGTCATCAAGACACTCTTACTAGACTTAGTATATTTCTACTTATGCTATCATAACATGTAGATGTAATACAAATCGATATGACATGCCTTTCTCTCTGTTGAGACCTGTTCTTTTTGTTGTAGTTGTTTGCTTTTTTGTTTACGGTTTTACTCTTTTTTTTTTTTCATTTCTCTGTTACTTCTTGCTTTTGCGTACATACCTTTCCTGGTTTTTAAAAGACTAACTTACCATTCCTCTGACTCGTTTTATTTTTCATTTTAAATCTCCCACCCCTAGTTTACTAGACTCCAGTCTTCTTCCTACATTAAGCATCATGGCAGAGCACTCTCTACAGCATGACTCACCACATAGCTGTGTCATCACGTGATTTTTGAGGCTGACATGGGAATCAGATGACGGGGGGACAAGAATCAACATACCCTAATCAAGACTCCTCATTGACTGCCCTTTCCCTTCTTCAGTTGGCTTTGCTTCTGCCCTTCTTTTCAAAGTCAGTTTTTCCTAGAATTTCATATGCTGCCATCAGCCTCTGGAATGATCCATTGCTTTTTCTATTTTTACCCCCACAACACTACATTTTTGTCTACTTTCAAGTTTTGTAGAGCATTTCTCTGGAATGGTCTTTTTAATCACCATCAGTTTCCTTAAGCAACATTAGGGGTCTCTTAATTCCACAGGACATTGACCAGTGTAACTGATCTATAACCTGGGATCTTTTGTTGTTATTTTCATATTTCTAGGGAAGTTGAGGACAGGAAAAATACCCAAAACAGATTGATTATTTTTAAAAGAGAAGGGGAGAAGGGAGGAAACCTCACACATCAAGCCCAGGGACTACAGAGTTGAGAGGGGCTTGACTTGGCTGAGCCAAGGCACCGTTAGTCGTGATGACCTATGATTTACAGTTTTCTTCTACAACATAATTTGGGAGCACTGGTTTTCCCCTGAGAAACAGTGACAAGATATTGCCTTTAAAATGAGCAGCTGAGAAGTTCAAGAGCCTGTTGACTCTGGGCAAGGAAGACCTGTGAATATACTAATGCATTATCAGACCTCCAACTTCGTCATCCTTTCTGCCAGGGGACTTTACCCAGGATAAAAATAGAAAAAGCCAACACATGGAGCCAGTTCCTTAATTTCCATTTGCCCTCTTCATGAAATGTTTTGGCTATAGTTATGCATTTCTAGGTCTTCTAGAATATATTTCTTCTGCTTGAATATGCTTGGAAAAAGGCATTGAAATGCTCCTGGGTTTTACTGTACTTTGGGTAGTTTTTGTGTCTGAGCCCAAATGTTAACACGTAACTTCTCATGAAAATTCTCCACAATGGTGGAGACACACATTCTGTTTCCTTACAGCCACAGTACACTAGAGGACTTTTTCTATTTCATGGTTATAGCTTCACATGCCTGAAAAAGCTAAATACCACTGTCCTTTTATTCCTTATATTGATAGATTCACAACACATAGACCTAGTTCCACCATTTTAAAGACAAACGTTTTTAAATGGATGACTGTACAGAACGAAATTCATCAAGAGAACTTCAAAACTTGCAGCTCTTACATTGGAAAACCCATATCTATATCTATTCTGGATTTCTTTGTAATCATCATCATCATCAATAACAATAACAGCAATAATAATTATGGAAAACATAGAAGAGGATCCCAAGATGTAGTTTGAGTACTCTTGAGGGTTCATGAGGCCCTTTCAGGGGGTCTGGAAGGACAAAACTTTTTCAAAATAACACTAAAATGAGATTTTTTCCTTTTTCACTCTCATTTTCTGAAGAGCATACAGTAGCATTTCCCAAAGCTGCATGATATGTAATTTCATAGCAGATTGAATGCAGAAGCAGACATGAGACTCCAATCATCTTCTAGTAAGTCAGACACTTACTAGAGATTTGCAAAAATCTAAAACAAAGCCACTCTTTTTACTAGATATTTTGTTTGTGGTAAACATAATTTTTTTCATAAAACAAATTATTTATGTTATGTAGCTATTTAAAATAAATCAGTAAGTAAACTTTTAATTTATTGGTTTTAATTTCTAATATAGTAAATATTAGTAAACATAACCCACAACACAAAGGCTTTTTGAGGTCTTAAATAATTCTGTAATAGTGTAAAGAAACTAAGACTAAAAAGTTCGAGAGTTGCAGACATCCTAGGGTATTTACAATTTGCCATGCAACTGTTCTAAGCACTTCGCTTATACTAACACATTTAATCCTCACCCTGGCCCTAGAAAGTATGTGTTCTTTATCCTGATTTTATAGATGAGGACACTGAGGGCAGTATTATATTGAATATTATAAATGCAAAGGTTGTTAGGGATGAATGTCCAAAACAATAATTTTATATGAGAGTCAGCTGAGATATGCAATACCTTCTGGATGGAAGTGTTGGAAAAAAATCACTTTGTTGAAGTTTTTAAAGGTTTTTTAAAGGATACTCATCTATGATCAACATCAAACCTATGTCCCAGTAAATCAAATGTCCCTATCACATGCCACAAAGTAGAGGCAAATGAATTAAAGGCTGTCTGGTTCTACTCCCATCTCTACCACCCACTCCTATCGGACCTGAATGAAGGTGTTGGATTTTTAATGCCCTTCCAGTTACAATATTTTGTAATTACCAAATCCCCACGTTAGTTGGCAAACAGATCTATACAGAACATAGAAGATTAAAATATATAATTTTTAAGCATTCATTTCACTGTAAAACTATAGTTGAAGCACTAGGCAAAAAAAAGATATTCATTAAAGAGAACAGAGTTTATATTAATTGTTTAATTACCTAGCCATGGCATTCAAGATTATCATCTTGCAAAGCGAATTTTATTTCTTCAAGAAAATATCTGATACACAGCTTAGCCAGGCAGGTCCAAAGGGAAGGTAGAAGAAGACAAAGTAATAATGACGTAGCTAGATGAAATAAAATTATGGGTCAAGGAGAACAAAGAAGAAGGAGGAGGAGGAGGAAAAGCAAGACAGACCAGGCAGCTGGAGCCTGAGCGTGCAGGAGTGGATGAGAAATTCCCCACCATGTCCCATGAGGGCAGTGAGAGTCTCACAACTGGGAATAGCTAATATATAATGTTAATTGAATATATTGCTGTTGTTTATTTTTCCCTGCATTGTACATACCCTTTGAATCCCAAACCTTCAGCAAAATCGGCTACACATGTAAATTCTTGTGTGAGGGACATTTTTTCAGGGAAAGGAAGGCTGAATCCCACATCTGGGTCAACAGTAACAAACTGAGAGAAGAGTTATGGAAAATGAGATGTAATGTGTTCAAATATTTGGCGAAGTCTGAAGAAGTGACACAATATAAAATAGTATCTGTTATCATGCAAGGAATGCAAAACCAAACTCAGCCTTACTTGGACAACAAAGGGAATTTCCTGGCTCACAAAACTAAAAAGTGCAGAGGTTAGTGGGCCTCAGGTCTGGCTTGATCTAGAGGTTTTTTTCACATCTAATGAACGCTGTCTCTATCAAAAAATAAAAATAAAAATAGCCAGGCATGGTGGTGCACACCTGTAGTCCTAGCTGCTTGGGAGGCTAACACAAGAAGATCACTTCACTTGAGCCCAGGAGTTAGAGGCTGCAGTGAGCTACAATTGTGCCACTACACTCAGCCTGGATGACAGAGCAAGTCCCTGTCTCTTTAAATAATAATAATAATGGTAATAATAATAATGTAAATAGAGTTCTAGCTACATCTCTCCATGAATCCCTTTGCTCTGTTTCAATCTATCCATTGGTTTTGGCTCCCCTCGTGGTAGTGAAAGGCTGCAGCAACTCCAGGCCTTATACCATACCACAACCCATACCATCTAAAACAGGGGAGAGCCCTTTATTTCAAATATCCAGACAAAATCCAAAGATTCTCTTTGTTTAGACCAGATTAGGTCACACCCCTAACCCTCCCGGTCTGTGTTCAAGGGGATAGAATACACTGGATGGCTTAGCTTCCACGGTGTAATATACTGCAGGAGCTGGAGGCAGATGCAGGACCCTTGGAAATACATGAATCTACAAGCAGTGTTCGGGGGCTTTTAGGAAAGGGAGAATGAATGCTGGGTGGAAAGAAAGTCTACTACGACAACCCCTGAGAATTCACAGACATTTTGCAAATCCATGCAAGAGGCACAATAAAAGAGTTTTTAGTTCGTTTTAACTAAATCTCAAAGGATAGGTTGACCTGGTGGTTGATGACCTGGTAGTTATTTTGAGTATTAAGAGAAAATGTTCATGAATACTGATTACAGCACATGAAATAACAGTAGATCCATACACATCATAATTCCCTTCTTCTTCTACTTTCCTTCTTCTTTTTCTCTCCAGAATATAATATATATAATTTGAAGTTTAAACAATAGTGCCGAATTTTGAAGCACGATGTTCTTAAATTAGAAAGAAGATTATAAATTATAAAACAACATTTAAAAATGGGTGGCCATCTTGGTAGAGACATGGCTATGTAGTTGTGCGTACTTCAGCATATACAAATTTGAAGCCCTCATGACAAATAGAGATGATAAGAACAGAAATAAAATACTGAAGAGTCCTTGTTTTGTTTCACTTATAGCATTCGTGAATGCATTCAAATTTATGGATGCTGTTGGTAGGGACACTAAGGAGCCAGATATGGTGGGATTCATCCAAAGAAGGGATGCTGACGAGAGAGTGCAATAACAGGACTGAAAAAGATTGGCATTCATCTGGGCCCATAGTGAAGGGGAAAATTAATCTGATGATAACAAGAATGTACCTTAAGACACAAAAACCACACTTAACAAATAGGGGTTAGTCTAAATGCAGCTTTAAATGTTGAGTCCATGCTGTGATGAAGATTAAGCACATTTTTAAAAACATGGTCTCTGCTGTCAACAAGCTTGTAGTCTCATGATGGAATTGGATCTTAAACAAATAAGCCTGCAAATAAATATATAAATTATTAGTTGTAATAAATACTATACAGGAAAATAGGGAGATATGAGAGAATATTAGCTTTTTCTATCATTCATTTTAAAAATTATGTTATGTTTTATAAAAATTCTCAGCACAATTATTTAGAATTATTCTAGGGTTAAATGGACACAGGCTGTCCATGCATTTATTAGCAGTTTTTGTGCAGTTCAATAACATAAATTCCCCATTCATGGATTCCTGATTCTGATTAATCTTCAATTAGGCAGGATTATGTGTTCAAATAAGAGTTTAAGGCTATTACAGTTTCAGAATTACTGTATATTTAAAAGTGTGTTCTCTGTTGCCTTACCTATAGAGCTGTTCCTGATTATGTAAAGTATTTGGGGGTTACATGAGGTTTCCTTCAACTTTGTGGACATTTCTTCATGATCTCCTGCCATTTCATGTTTCAGAGGAAAAGTCTTTTGCAGGTAAACTGCTTCACATGCTAAAATATCTGAAAAGTTTTAGTCTTTATTTTTGAAATTTGGTGACTTTACCGTGAGATAAATCATTCTCTTGTTATTTTTTGTTAGGAAATGTTCCAAAAACACACGAAAGTAGAGAATATAATGAACCTCTGCGTAATTACCATCCAACCTCAACCATATTCACACTATCATACTTGTTTTTTTATTACCCCCACTGGCTTTCTTGGCTGCTGTTCTTTAACAAATCTCAGATGTCATGTTCTTTTACCACTAAACATTTCAATATGAATTTCAAAACATAAAGGACATTTTCTTACATGACCACAGACCATTATAAAAATTAATAATTATTATTACTTAATATTAGCAATCATTTAATAATTTTAATATCATCAAATATTCAGTATCATAATATTCATTCCACATTAAAACTCTCGAAGTTGATATATTATCCAAAATGTCTTTTTCTGTTTGTTTGGTTGAATTAAGATTTAAATAAGGTTCATTGTTTATATTTTCTTATATCTTTTGTTTCTTGTTTTTGTGTGTGTGTTTTGTTTTGTTTTGTTGACAGGGTCTCACTCTGTCCCCCAGGCTGGAGTGCAGTTGCACAATCTCGGCACAGTGACACGATCTTGGCTCAGTGCAGCCTCCACCTCCTGGGTTCAAGCAATCCTCCCAGCTCAGCCTCCTGAGTAGCTAGGACTACAGGTGCCTACCATCATGCCCGGCTAATTTTTGTATTTATTTTTTAATAGGGACGAAGTTTCACCATGTTGGTCAGGCTGGTCTCAAACTCCTGGCTCAAGTGATCCTCTCACCTCAGCCTCCCAGAGTGCTGGGATTACAGGCGTGAGCCACTATGCCCAGCCTATATCTCTTGTTTCTTATAAAGTAATATTAAAAATCCCCACTTCATTTAGTTTTTTATGCTTTAAATATTGAAGAGACTAAGTTCACTCCGTGTTCTGACTTTTGCTGATGGTTTTCTCTTAGTACGATTTAACTTGTTTCTCTGTCTCCTGTATTTCTGTAGACTGGAAGTTAGCTCTAGAGGCTTGCTTAAATTTCATCTCAAGTAATGCCTTACTTTCCCACTGCATTACTTTAGGAAGCACGTGAAGCCTGGTGTTCTCACTTACAGAGGTAAGAAAGTTCGGGGTTCAGGCGCTGACAACCTGTTTCTTCATTGCAAACATTTCCCTTGACATTTCATCTAATAGTTTTACAGCCCATTGATGACCACTGTCTGAAGTGATTTTTTTTTATAAGTTACAAAATGGTGACTTTTCATAATTCCTTCTGAATTTATTAGCGATTTTTGTACAGGAAAACCCACTCACTAAGGATATTTGTTCCTGTGAAACACAGTTTGTGCTTGCAAAGGCAGAATAAATGCTCAGTTCTTTTCCTTTCATTATCAATTTTCACAGTAATGAGTTTGTGCCCTAGCAACCTCCAATATTGTAACAATGAGTTATGTCTTATTTCTTTTTTATTCTTTTTTTAATATCACTAATAACTCATAGATTTTTATATTTTCAGTGAGTTTTAAACAATTGCAATCATTATTCTCATTGATGCTCAGATTGTCACATCTTTTGCCATGGAAGCCCATCAAGCTGGCTTGTGTACTTTGACATGATCCCATTAGCCTCTGATAGCTTCCTTGCTCTTTGTGCCAACAAGATGTTCCAGAATCTTTCTGTTCATTTCCTACACCAGTCCTAGGTTCTTTTTAGAGAAAAATGGTATTTAGAACCACTGATAATATGTCATTTCAGTGGTCAAAGCCAGAAAAAATAATTTTAAGGAAGGAAAAACCACAAGTTCACACTGATATTTCCAATTCAAAATGTAAGAGTACAGATTTTCCTTGACTTCTTTATTTTGTACTTCCATCTCTGGTATCTCTTTTCTCCTATGATTAATATTTAATTTCAAGATAAAATTAATATGATTATTTGCTTGTTTTAACTTAGAATTACAAATCTAATCGTTCATAAAATGAAACATCATTCTTGGTTTTACTTATTTATCAGTCAAAAACAAGATAAAAATCATTGTGATAAGTTTCATTTGTTGGAAGGCTACATTTTCCATCTTTGAGTATTTCTTGTTCCATTTATTTAAAATATGTATTATTTGAAACTTCTTTCTGTGCTATACATATTTAACATCTATTATATAATCATTCTTTCTTTCTTTCTTTTTTATTTTTTTTCGAGACAGAGTCTCACTCTGTCTCCCAGGCTGGAGTGCAATGGCACCATCTCGGCTCACTGCAACTTCCACCTCCCAGGTTGAAGCGATTCTCCTGCCTCAGCCTCCTGAGTAGTTGGGATTACAGGTGCACACCACCACACATGTCTAATTTTTGTATTTTCAGTAGAGACAGGGGTTTCACCATATTGGTCAGGCTGGTCTCAAACTCCTGACCTCGTAATCTGCCTGCTTCTGCCTCCCAAAGTGCTGGGATTACAGGCGTGATATGCCGCGCCTGGCCATGTAATCTTTTAAATCTATGAATCCTTTTCCTCTATATGCTTTTCTGCATATTTGGTCCAGCCCACAATTTATGGAGCTGTGTTTCAGGACAGAGCCCTTTCCTATTGTGAAGGTTGTTATTTATGTAAACACAAATGATCTTACAGGGTTTGAGGATAAACAAGGTGCTTTTGTGCCTAACAGATACGTTTAGGTGTCAGAATCTGAAAAACTTGGGGGTAACTGTGCAGTTGCTTTTGCCAATGGGAGAAGCACCAGTCCCAGCAAATGTGTGGGTCTTTCATTGAATAGGTAATTCTGACAGCTGGTTTCCACTTCAAACTCCATAGAAAAGTATGATCACATGGAATATAACATTATTTGACAATACATATTAAAGGCAAACCTGGTCTGATTTGAAAGGCGAATGTTTGGGAAACATATTTTTTTTTTAAAGAAAAGCCAACAAAGTAAGCACTCAAGTTAATACAAAAACACGGGGGATGGGATTTTAGGAATCTGTAATGAAGAGAGGCTGGGATTTTAATGCCCAGCACAGACAGGAATGGAGGCTTCCAGGTCCTCGTAGATATAAATTGGAATCAAGTCCCTTTATACTGCTCATATCCTCAATTGATTGGAACCCAAACCTACTCCTAGTATATGTTTTAAGTATGAATTTACTTTTTTGTTTGTTTACATTGCAATTACACTGTATGATGAAAATTGATCCAAGTTCATGATTTACTGGGGCATCTGACAGAAGCAAATGCAAACTATTGCAATTTTTGCCCTATGGAATTCTCAGAGCTTATAATTAAAAAAAATATGATAAAATAATTTGCCAATGAGAATAGTCATCAGAAACAATAAACAGGATCTTCACATTTTTAGATTTTAAAAAGATTGTAAAAGGAGTATGATAATAATGATAATTAAACAAATGAAAAATGGTACTAAACCTTAAAGAAAGAAGAAAGCCAGTGAAAAAGAACAATGTCAAAGAATCAAATAGATCCTTTAGTAATAAAAAATATAACCAAAATAAAAACTCAATGTATCACTAAATAGCAAGGTTTATGCAAAGAAAGTGAAGTGCAGAGAGGTGGATGAACTGAAAGATAAGCCTCAGACTCTTTAACCAGAATAGCTCAAGGAGACAGAGGGGTGAAAATTACATAAAGAGTTTAAGAAAGATGGAGTATAGCAAAAGACGTCTAACATATGTCCAATACATGAGAAGCCTTGCTGAAAGGGCTACTAAAGGGTGTACTTCAGGAAAAAGAAAGTTGAACCCAGACTGAAGGATACAAGAACCAATATAAGTAAAACAAAAGAAAACAATTTTTAAAAACCTAAACTGAAACAATATTAACAAATATGTCTATAAATCTAAATAAGCAGGGGCTGGAGGAGGGAGAAAGTAAGATATCATTAATGAGGTATAAAACTAAGGTGGAATTAATTACTAAATAACAACAATTTGTAAAATGAGAGGGATGGAGATTGGGGTTAAAATATTTAAAGGTCTTTTATTACTCAGAAGGAAGGTTTAAATATTAATAATCTCCAGAAATCTAGTATGCATGTTACATTTTTATGGGTAATCACTAATAAATAGTATAACTTCTTGAGTCAATAGAGAGATAAAAGGAAATAAAGTATAATTTAATAGAAGGCAAGAAAGGAAAAAAAATGAAAGGAGTGCATTGTAAGTATAAAGCAGAAAGTTTGACAGTAGAAATAAACATATATTGGAAAATTTAAAACAAATCAAATAACGTATGAATGAATCAAAGATAAAATTATTTTGGAAATTATAAAATGTTTGAAAATTAACAGTGAGATCATTAACCATGAGAAAAATCAATGTGTGAAATGCAACTAATATAAATTGCTTAGAGGTCAACGTTTATAACCTTAAATATTATGGTAAGCAACTTCTAAAATGATTTCCCAGAATTCCACCTCCTTATATTCGGGTCCTTGCATAATCTCTTCCACTTGAGTGTGAGCTGGACCTGATTGCCTCTTTGTAATTAATAGAATATGGTGCACATAATGAGATGTCACCGAGGCCAAGGTATAAAAGATGTTGACTTCCACCCTGCATGTACCCTCTCGAACTCTTCTTCCTTGCCCACTCTGTTGAAGCTGTCAGGAGGTGAGCTGCCCAATGTAGAGGCCCCTGTGGTAAGGAATTGAGCACAGCCTCCAACAAAGACCCAGCAAGAAGCTGAGGCCCTCAGTCCAACAACCCATGAAGAACCGAAATCTCCCAATTACCATATGAGTGAGTGTAGAAGTGGATCCTTCCCCTGTCAAGACTTGAGATGCCTGCAACCCTGGCTGGCACAGATTGCAGGTTTTTAGAGCCACAAAACTTGAGAAACCAGCTAAACTGAGCCCAGATTCCTGACAATCAGAAACTGGGAGGTTACCAAATGTCGTTTTCAGCCATAAATTCTGGGGTGATTTGTTATCTAAGAATAGATAACTAACACAAATGCATTTATAGGAAATAACAAAATAATTAAAAATTATAAGCTAAATATCCAACTGATGAAGTTATAAACAACAACAACAACAAAAAAAAAGAAAATGAAAGAAGAGAGTAAACCAAAAGAAAGTAAAAGGAAGGAAATAATAAAGATAATGACAGACATAAGGGAGAAACAAAATCAAATAACTTGGTTTGAGTGTTTTTAAGTTTTTATTTGAAATAATTTCAGACTCACAGAAAGGTTGCAAAAATATCACAGTTTCCCTACATCCTTCACCTGCTTCACCTAATGTTAACATCTTACATAACCATAGTATAATTATTGCAACCACAAAACTAACTTTTTATCTCATTTATTATTTTTTTAGATTTAGAGACAGGGTCTCATTCTGTCCTCCAGGCTGAAAGTACAGTGGTGTGATCATAGCTCACTGCAGCCTGGAATTTCTGGGTTCAAGCAATCCTCCCCCATCAGCCTCCTGAGTTGCTGGGACTACAGGCATGCACTACCATGCCCAGCTGATTTTTAAAAATCATTTTTTTAGAGACAGTTGCACTATGTTGCTCAGGCTGATCTCAAACTCACCTCAAAGCAATCCTCCCACCTCAGCCTCCCAAGTAGCTGGAATTACAGGTACAGGCCACCATGTCTGTCTTCAAAATTAACATGGATACAATACTATTACCTATAGGCATTATTGGAACTTTGCCAATTGTCTCATTCTTGTTTTTATTTCTAGCCCCAGAATTCCACATCTGATTTAACTGTTATGTTTCCTTGGCATTCTCCAACCTGAAACATTTGTCATTCTTTGTCTTTCATAAACCTGACAATTATGAAAAGTACTGATTTGTTATATTGTAGAATGTCTCTCAATTTGAATTTATTTAACATTTCTTATATCTCAGTTTAGTTATATATTTTTGGCAAAAATTCCACAAACAAAATATGCTTTTCTCAGGGGATCATAATGGCAAGTACATTATGTCAACACATTTCATTACTGGTGATGTTAATTTTAATTACTCAGTTAAAATGATAATTGCCAGGTTTCTCTAATGTAAAATTACTATTTTTATCTTGTAATTAAAAAATATCTTGTGGGAGAGACTCTAAGACTATTCAAGTATTCTATTGTTATACTTTTATCCATTGATTTTAGCATTAGTTAATTCTTGCCTTTAATTTATGACTGTGGTGCTTGCCAAATAGTAATTTTCTCTTCTATCATTCTTTTAATATTATATATAATATAATCACTATTTTATATATAATATTATATAATATAATCACTATTATATATAATTAGTTATAATTATTCTCTAAGGAAGAGATGTCCCTCTCCTGGCATATAAGAGCTGCTTAGTTGTCTTGACAAAACTAATAAAATAGACAATATTGGGCAATAATGATAATGTAAAAAATGAGAAAGCACAAATAATATCGGGGATAAAAATGTGAAGAGTGTCAGAGATGCAAGAATCATAACACTTTATAACACCTTATGCCTGTGAATTTGAAAACAACTTTAAAATGCTGTTGTATAAAAATATAAACAAAATATATTTATTATATATTATTATATATAATATGTTATATTTTATATATTATATTATTAAAAATATAAACAAAATATATTTAATTTGATGACATCAAATTAAATATATTAAATTAAATATATTAAAATTTATATTATATTATATATTACATATATTAAAATAAATATATTAAATTAAATAGTGTGATATATTAGGGTATGGAAGGATTGGACAGTAATGGGTGTGGTTTGAGCCGTATTTAAAGTGTTCAATTTATTTTGGTGCAAAATACATTAGAAGCAAAAAATGTAATGAATTTTATTTTTCTTTTCAATTTTTCAAAGGTCTAATGGTTCCATTTTCATGTCTTGCTTTTCTGTCATATTCTTTGATATTTTTGTTCCATGGAATTTATATCTTTTGAAATTCCTTAAGTTACTAGTACTGCCTAAAATTATTTTTCAAAAAATATTCTTAATCTATGTTTTGCAGCCTCTTTTCTAATTTCTTTTTTTAAAATTTTTCTTTTTTTAACTTTCATTTTAGGTTCAAGGATACATGTGCAGGCTTGTTATACAGGTAAATTCAGTTCACAGGGGTTTGTTGTACAGATTATCACATCACCTAGGTACTAAGGCTAGTACCTAATAGTGATGTTTTTTTGATCCTCTCCCTCATCCCACCATCCACCCTCCAGTAAGCCCCAGTGTCTGTTGTTACCCTCTTTGTGTGTATGTGTTCTAAGTGAAAAAATGAAGTATTTGATTTTATGTTCCTGCATTAGTTTACTAAGGATAATGGCCTCCAGCTCCATCCATGTTTCTGCAAAGGATGTGATCTTGTTCTTTTTACTGGCTGCATAGTACTTCATGGTGTATATGTACCACATTTTCTTTATCAAGTCTACCACTGATGCTGCATAGTATTTCATGGTATATATGTATCACATTTTCTTTATCAAGTCTATCACTGATGGGCATTTAGGTTGATCCCATGTGTTTGCTATTGTGAATAGTTCTGCAACAAACATGTGAGCATGTGTCTTTACAGTAGAAAGACTTATAATCCTTTGGATGTACACCCAGTAATGGGATTGCTGGGTTAAATGGTAGTCCTGTTTCTAGCGCTTTAAGGAATCACCACTCTGCTTTCCACAATGATTGCAGTAATTTGCATTCCCACCAGCATGGGAATGCTTATACATAAGCATTCCCTTTCCTCTGCAACCTCTCCAGCATCGTTATTTTTTCACTTTTTAATAATAACCATTCTGACTGGTGTGAGATGTTATTTCACTGTGGTTTTGATTTGCATTTCTCTAATGATCAGTGATATTGAGCTTTTTTAATATGCTTGTTGGTCACATGTATGTCTTCTTTAGAAAAGTGTCTGTTCATGTCCTTTGCCTACTTCTTAATGGGGTTATTTTTTGTAAATTTAAGTTTTTTATAGATGCTGATATTAGACCTTTGTCAGATGCATAGTTTGCAAAAATTTTCCCCCATTTTGTAGGTTGCCTGTATACTCTGTTGATAGTTTCTTTTGCTGTGCGGAAGCACTTTAGTTTAATTGGAATTCATTTCTCAATTTTTGCTTTGGTTGCTATTGCTTTTGGCGTCTTCATCTTGAAATCTCTGCAGTTCCTATATCCAGAATGGTATTGCCTAGGTTGTCTTCCAGGGATTTTATAGTTTGGGGGCTTACATTTAGGTCTTTTATCTATCTTGAGTTGATTTTTGTATATGACATAAGGAATGGGTCCAGCTTCAATCTTCTGCATATAGTTAGCCAGTTATCCCAGCAGCATTTATTGAATAGGGAGTCCTTTTCCGATTGCTTCTTTTTGTCAGCTTTGTTGAAGATCAGATGGTTGTAATGTGTGGCCTTATTTCTGGGTTCTCTATTCTGTTCCATTGGTCTATGTGTCTTTTTGTACCAGTATCATGCTATTCTAGTTACTGTACCCCTTTAGTACAGTTTGAAGTCGGGTAACATGATGCCTCTAGCTTTGTTCTTTTTGCTTAGGATTGCCTTGGTTATTCAGGCTCTTTTTTGGTTCCATATGAATTTTAAAATAGTTTTTTTTTCTAGTTCTGTGAAGAATGTCATTGGTAGTTTGATAGGCATAGCACAGAATCTGTAAATTTCTTTGGGCAGTATGGCCATTTTAACAATAATGATTCTTCCTATCCATGAGCATGGAATGTTTTTTCATTTGTTTTTGCCATCTCTGATTTCTTTGACCAGTGTTTTGTTATTCTAATTATAGAAATCTTTCACCTTGATTAGCTGTATTCCTAGGTATTTTATTCTTTTTGTGGCAACTGTAATGGGATTGCATTCCTGATTTGGCTGTCAGCTAGGCTGTTTTTGGTGTCTAGGAATGCTAGTGATTTTTGTATGTTTATTTTTGTATCCTGAAACTTTGCTGAAGTTGTTTATCAGCCAAAGGAGCTTTTGGGCCAAGACTGTGGGGTTTTTAAAATATAGGTTCATGTCATCTACAAACAGGGATAGTTTGACTTCCTCTTTACCTATTTGGATGCTCTTAATTTCTTTCTCTTGCCTGATTGCTCTGGCCAGGATTTCCAATACTATGTTGAATAGAAGTGGTGAGAGTGGGCATTCTTGTCTTGTGCTGGCTTTCAAGGGAAATGCTTCCAGCTTTTGTCCATTCAGTATAATGTTGGCTGTGGGTTTGTTATAGACGGCTTTTATTATTTTGAAGTATATTCATTCAACACCTAGTTTTTTGAGAGTGATTATCATGAAGTCATGTTGAACTTTATCAAAAGCCTATTCTGCATCTACTAAAAAAATAACATGATTTTTGTCTTTAATTCTGCTTATGTGATGAATCGCATTTATTTATTTGCATGTGTCAAACTAACCTTGCATCCCAGGGATAAAATCTACTTGGTCATAGTGGATTAGCTTTGTGGACTGCTGCTGGATTCAGTTTGCAAGTATTTTGTTTAGGAATTTTGCATCAGTGTTCATCAAGGATATTGGCCTGAAGTTTTCTTTTTTTTTTATTGTGTGTCTGCCAGATTTTGTTATCAGGATGATGCTGGCCTTGTTAAATGATTGGGGAGGAGCTCCAGCTCTAGTGGTTTTTTGTATCTCAATCTCCTTTAGTTCCACTCTGATTTTGGTTATTTCTTGTCTTCTGCTACCTTTGGGGTTGGTTTGCTCTTGGTTCTCTAGTTTTTAAAATTGTGATGTTAGGTTGCTAATTTCTGATCTTTCTGATTTTTTTGATGGTGTGTTTAGTGCTATAAATTTCCCTTTTAACACTGCATTGCTTGTAAACCGATTGAATCTTTTCCTTTAAAAATGAGTGGTGTGGGCCAGGTGCGGTGGCTCATGCATGTAATCCCAGCACTTTGGGAGGCTGAGATGGGCGGATTACCTGAGGTCTGGAGTTCGAGACCAAACTGACCAACATGGTGAAATACCCCATCTCTACTCTAAAAATACAAAAAAAAAAAAATTAGCTGGGCATGGTGGCGGGCGCCTATAATCCCAGCTTCTCAGGAGGCCGAGACAGGAGAATCTCTTGAACCCAGGATGCAGAGGTTGCAGTGAGCCAAGATTGCAGCATTGCACTACAGGCTGGGTGACACAGTGAGTCTCCATCTCAAAAAAAAAAAAAAAAAAAAGTAGTATGGGGGCTGGATATTGGTGTTTGAGTTTAATCACTTACCTGTTTGTGGCTATATGGGGAAAGAATTGGGACTTAAAACAGCCACAGCTCAAATCCCCCTAGGTGGAATTTTTGATCTACTGCATTTTAGCCTTTTCTTTAATGTGTTGTTTTCTTTGCTGAGGAGATTATATCCAGTATCTATAAAACCGATTGTGGCCTTTCTGTTTCCTTTTTCTCCAGCTCTTCAGTCTGCCACCATTCTCTTGGGAAGTTCATCAAGTAATTGAAAATAAAAATAGCGTGTGGCTTCTAGGTCTTTTCCCACAGTTGGGTAGATGATGGGCTCTAAGCTGGATGTTTCCTTTTCCTCCCCAGCTAATTTTTCCAAGCATATGGTTATGTGCTTAATCTTTTATCTTAGGTCAGTTTTATATCTAAATTTTTTTATAAGCCTAATACATTTTGATTCTTATCAATTTGCTTTCTTTTCTTCTCAAGGATACTTGTAACTTCTTTCCTTAATTTTTCATACATGATTTCTTTCTCATTTTTCCATCTCTTTATTAGTAATTTTGAGATATTTGGAAGTATTTTAAATTCAGATTGGCATCAGATTTTTATTCAAAATGAAAAAAGATATTAGAGTAATGCCTGCAGCATCTCTGCATTCAGTCAATATGGTGTTTTTCTCTGGGAACAACAGAGAGATATTCTCAGACATGTAAAGTGTCTGGATATATTTCATTACTATATTCGTGATAAAAAAAAAAATGACCCAAAGAAATGTTCTACAACTCACTGAAAGTAACCAAGATAGGAAATTCAAGCATTGGCACCAAGAGCTGCGAAAGAAGAAGTAGAGATCAATGGAACCTCTTAAATATGGGAGCTGTCTAAATAGACATGGTGCATGATTTAAACAGTCATATTTTACCAACAAGCACCAGACGTCCTCCTAAAGTAGAAACTACTTTTGTTTAGAACAATGCTTTGATAAGCGGTTTCAGATGGAAAGTAAAGACAATTATAAAACATATCTTTTTTGACAATTTACTCAGTGTTTTATTTTGCTTTTGTTTTTATTTTGAGACGGAGTCGTACTCTGTCGCCCAGGCTGCTGGAGTGCAGTGGTGTGATCTCGGCTCACTGCAGCCTCTGCCTCCCAGGTTCAAGTGATTCTCCTGCCTCATCCTCCTGAGTAGCTGGGACTACAGGCACATGCCACCACAACTGGCTAATAATTTTTTTTTTTTTTTTTTTTTTTTGAGACAGAGTCTTGCTCTGTCGCTCAGGCTGGAGTGCAGTGGCGCGATCTCGGCTCACTGCCAGCTCAGCCTCCTGGGTTCATGCCATTCTCCTGCCTCAGCCTCTCGAGTAGCTGGGACTACAGGTGCCCACCACCACGCTTGGCTACTTTTTTATATTTTTAGTAGAGATGGGGTTTCACTGTGTTAGCCAGGATGGTCTCGATCTCCTGACCTTGTGATCTGCCCGCCTTGGCCTCCCAAAGTGTTGGGATTACAGGCGTGAGTCACTGTGCCTGGCCACTAATTTTTGTATTTTTAGTAAAGATGGGGTTTCGCCATGTTGTTCAGGCTGATCTCGAACTCCTGACCTTGTGATCTGCCCTCCCCAGACTCTCAAAGTGCTGGGATTACAGGCATGAGCCTTTATGCCTGGCCTACTCAGTTTCTCTACTTCTGTTTTCTCACTTGTGAAATGGGGTCAATAGTACCTACCTCATAGGTTGTGAAAACCCTAAGTGAACACATAGCTAGTACTTGATGATGATTAGCAATTGTTATTTATCAGTGAGTAGAAATTTAAGTATGAAGACTGGAGCAGAGCAGTAGGAGGGAAGGGAAGGGAAGAAGAAAGGCTGAGCCCCTCATTGAGAAGTTGGAGCTGAGCTGGTAGAACTGAAGCTTCACAAGAACATGTATTTAAGCGCATGCTTTCAGTTCTCCACTATGACACTGAAATGGACCCAACACTACCTCCCACCTCCCCACCACCACCTTTCAGTTTTACACTCCCAAGACTTCGGGAAACATGACACCTACTCCTCCCTCAGTGAGTGGCACTTTGAAGGCTGGGTGAATTAAGGAGAAGCAGTCTTTTGTATGTTTGGGAAACACTGGGACAGAAATGTAAAATGAATTTTGAAAATTCAGCAGAAGACATAACTCAACCATGGGTATTTGGATGAATGCACACTGCAGAAGATTTTTTAAAATCTTGGTAAAACTGTAGAGTTTCTATAGATTAGAGGAGATTCTGACAAAATCTTAAAGGACAATGATAACCCAGTTGACATCTGGTATTGCAGCTTGTTAATATAGATGACAAAAGTAATTACTTACGAGATAAGAAATAAGCATAATATGGATTTTAAAGTTTTGGTTATTTTAACAAAAACAACAGACTTAGAAGAAGTAAAAACATATTACACGTATCATCCTACACAGTATATAGGTGCTATTTCATGCTTCACATTAATAGAGAAATACAAGTTTAATCCTGCAAGACAACGCATCAGACTGAGGATTGCTTGAGCCCAGGAGTTTGAGACCAGCCTAGGCAACATAGCAAGAGCCCCATCTCTACAATAAATAAATAAATTAATAAATTAAATAAATAAATAAATAAAATTAACTGGGTGTGGCAGCACATGCTTGTAGTCCCACTACTTGGGAGGCTGAGTTGGGAGGATCACTTGAGCCTGGGGGGTTGAGGATGCAGTGAGGCATGATTGTACCACTGCACTCCAGCCTGGGTGACGAAGCGAGACCCTCTCTCTTTCTCTCTCACACACGCATACACACACACACAAAGACATCAGACTGGTCCACTATCTTAATGACATCTTTTTGAAAAGATTTGGGTTGGTGAAAGGATCAGGAACCCTAGATGACTCAGTGACACACAGGCATGCTGGCACATGTGGGTAAATCTCAGGAAGTACATGATCTTAGAGGTGACCGGAAGTTTTTGAGTGTTCAATATTCTGGGGTATGTCAAGATGTTTCCTTCAAAGTAAAGAACAAACTGCTGCCACTTTCATCCCCTATTCATAAAAAGAGCCAAAATACTTGATGGGCATCTTTAGGTATTAGATATGTGCTACCCTAACTCATTAACTAGATGATCTGAAAAGTTGCTTACTTGGAATAGACCACCTAACGAGAAGACTCTGTGGCTGTTCCATGGGGCAGGGTGCATAGATACTCCAAGTGGGTGCTTTTCTGAGGAACCTAACCGATGCAGTCATTATAATAAAACCCTGTGTTTGGCTAAACCAGAAATCAGGGTTTGTAACTATTCTAGGATGGTAAGAGAAAATGCAAGCGATATAGCAGGAGAAAAATCTAAGAGTTTGAAATCTGTTGCTTCTGGGGAGCAGGACAGGAAGGAAGAGCTATTTCTCATTACTATTGACTTTTTAACTATACACTCATATTTTTGTGATACAGATTTTTAAATAATTTGAAAATTGATCATTTTTGTTAGTAAATTAATCAGCCAAAACATCTTATTCTTAAAAATAATTTTATCTTTTTAAAAATCTAAATGTTCAATAGGAAAGTTTGACATGGGAGATTTAAATCTCTTTTTTCCTTTAATGTACAACATTTACTCAGGCTTTCATTTTTCTAATGATGACATTACTGAAACATACTTCTGGATAATACATGCTTCCTAACCATTTCTGTTCCTCCAGCAGAATCAAGGAAATAATGTGTTCACTAAGTTAAAACTCTGATTCTATCAAAGAAAACATGCCCGTCCTCCATTGAACTCTATGTGGTATGCTTAATGTGGATAGGAGTTGCAATGTTGCTATTTGAAAGAATTATGAAACATTGTTTAGAACTTAATAAGATAAAAACTAAAATTTTGTACTTTATTACATATTAATTATATATTTAGATATTTAATATTACATATTTTGCACTTTACATGTTTCAATACTAAAGATTTAGACACATCTTATGTTACATATTTTGTACTTTATTACCTATTTGGATATTCTTGTAAAGGAGTATTCATTCACAAAAGCTAATGGTTTGGTGAGTTTCTTAAAACCGAAATCTGTCCTTTGGATAGCACAATCTGTAATCAATATTGGCATCATTGTTACTCCTAGTCAGCTGAGTGATGGGCAGCTAATGACTGATTTTCCAATAACACCAACCTCAAATTCCCCTTTAGACAGAGTTTTGGCTAGGGTTCAGAAACGTCCTGACTTCTTGCGCTGTTTTTGCTTTAATGCAGTGGAGAGCTTTGAAATACCTTCAGAACTTTAAGGCAACACTGTTTTTGGTCTGGTGAATTTTCTACATCTTGATTATTTGACTTCTCGGGTAAGTTTTAATATGTTGTGACCTCTCAGGTAAGGCATTAGTTATTCAAAACAAATATGTTTTTTGAGAAAGAACAGGAGACTTCCCTTGGAGTTGGGAAACAAAAAAAAGAACAAAAATTTCTCAATCTGCAGAGTCACCCCGACTAGCACCCTGCTTAAGTTGTGCACTGTCCAACTCCAGAGAGCGTTAGTTGCAAAAACTGTAAGAATGGAGCTCCAGAAGTGTGTATCACAGTGGCCCTGGAATCTCCAACAAAGACAATGGACTCCCAGATCGCAAGGTGTATCCTGCTATTCAGCATATAAAGGTATTTCAGCACTTAAAATAAACATATTAGAATTCTAATCCCCTTTTCAGGCTCACTTTAAAAAATGTATTATCTCCTGAAAAGCACAACCAAGGGAATAGAAATCATCAGAATCCTGTCACTAATATTTCTGTTAGAATCACATTAATTTTCAAATAATTGACACCTTTATTACATTTTCAGTCACTAAGATCCACACATAATTCACTTTTCTTTTTTTTTTTAAGTTTCCTTTAAATGTTGTAATTTTCTTGTTTTAACTTCCTCACAACTTTTGTTAAGTTTATTGCTGGTTAGCTTTTGTTTTTGGTTCTTGTTATGACCAGGATCTTTTTTGAGATATGTAAATCTTTAGCTTTTGGATATATTACACTCTTCTGAACTCTCCAAAACTCATGCTGTTTACCCGTTCTTAACTTTATCCCTTGACTCTCTACTTCTGAACCCTGAATATCTACTGCTTTCTCAGTACCTAGAGGGAACCCATATATCAAAATAAAACCTTTGATATTTTATTATTTCTTGTGTTTCAACCAGAGCAAATGATTAACATTGTGTTTGAAGTTGCTGATGCTATTCTGAAAAATTCTGATCCAAGACTTGTCTTGCTACTTTACTCAATTATTGATATTAAAGGCACAGTTCATGACACATGGCAAATCATTAACATTTTCCTCCAAATGAGACATCCAACTTGTTAAAGAACCCTGAAACCAATTTCTCACTGGATTTTCAGTTTGAATAATGTAATTGCATTCAACTTGAGTTCCTTTAAGTATATCCTGCTATGAGTACTTCCAATGCGCCTTCCTCTATGGGCACAATTATGTCTCAGTGAACAGCAGGCTGAAACTACATCAAAGAGAAGGACTATTTTAACAGTTCAACACAGTGAATTGGATGTCAAGAAATCTTAGTTTTGCAACAGCTAACCGGGACAATAGCATTTGTCTATAACTATGTATAAGTATCTGAAGGTTAATATTTCTTATATTTGCAATTTCAAAAATCCTTTTAGCCTTAATGTTGGGCATGGTAAAAAAGTAAATTAAGAAGCAGGAGAATCGGCAGGGCATGGTGGCTCATGCCTGTAATCCCAACACTTTGGGAGGCCAAGGCAGGTGGATCACCTGAGGTCAGGAGTTCAAGACCAGCCTGACCAACCTGGTGAAACCCCATCTGTACTAAAAATACATGAGGCCGAGGTGGGCGGATCATGAGGCCAGGAGATCGAGACCATCCTGGCTAACACGGTGAAACCCCCTCTCTACTAGAAATACAACAAATTAGCCAGGCATGGTGGCGGGTGCCTGTGGTCCCAGCTACTCCGGAGGCTGAGGCAGGAGAATGGCATGAACCCAGGCGGCGGAGCTTGCAGTGAGCCGAGATCACGCCATTGCACACCAGCCTGGGTGATAGAGCAAGACTCTGTCTCAAAAAAAAAAAAAAAAAAAAGAGAGAGAAAAACAAACAAAAATGAGCTGGGCGTGGTGGTGTGCTCCTGTAATCCTAGCTACTCGGGAGGCTGAGGCAGGAGAATCACTTGAACCTGGGAGGCGGATGTTGCAGTGAGCCGAGATCACGCCATTGCACTCCAGCTTGGGCGACAAGAGCAAATCTCCATCTCAAACAAAACAAAACAAAACAAAACAAAACAAAACAAACAAACAAAAAAAGAAGCAGGAGAATCCTCTAAAATTAAATTTAAAGGAAATCTTTGAGGCCACCCAGCCCCATTCCTCCAAAAGAGAGAATGTGATGCACAGATGCCTTTTTAAATATGAGAGCAAGTCAATACTGTAGACAGAAGCCAGCCCGCAGATATCAACTAGAACTTAGCTACCTAACACTTGGTCCTGTAACTTTACTAACTACTGTTGCTTCGTGAAATGTACTTTAAACCGATAGTCCAGAGCATAGGAGGTTAAATGCCATAGAGGTGTATTTTTCCTACCAAGCTCATCCATGATTAAGGGCAAAGGGAAATGTTCTCATCTGGTACTCCTCTACTATTTGAGAATTAAAAAGCCACTTTGGACTGTCTGCCAGTGACTTCTCCACATGGTGTAGCTCCTGGAAAGTTTACTTGACACACATTTGAATCTTGGTATGATTACCTGAAGGTAATAAAAGTTAAATTTTAAAAAGTAAATCACAATTTGTCACATCTCTGTATTAGTTTGCTAGGATTGCCATAACAAAGTACCACAGGCTAGGTAGAGACATTTATTTTTCATAGTTCTGAAGGCTGGAAATCCAAGATCAAAATGTGGGCAGGTTTAGTTTCTTCTCAGAGCCTGCATGTGGCCGTCTTCTGTGTCTCCATATAGTCTTCCCTTCTGTGTCTGCACCCTCATTTCCTTTTCTTATAAGGATACCAGTCATATTGGATTAAGGCCCAGTCATTATTGCATTTTATTTTAATGAACTCTTTAAAGGCACTATCTCCAAACAGGCGTATTCTGAGATACCAGGGATTAGGGCTTTGGCATGAATTTTGCGGGGGACACAATTCAGTCCACAACAGTTCACTACTCAAAAACTTTCCCTGACTAGTTTTGAAAACTCTTCCCTTGTAGCTCTCCCTCTTGCTCACTAATCTCCAGTTGAATAGGCTTCCGCTCAATTACTAAAATGTGCAAGACCTTTTCTGCAAGAGCTTTGTAAACACTACGCCCTCTTCCTGGAACGCTGTCTCCTCAGCTTTGCCTGACTAATTCCTTACTGTTCTTGGGGTCTCAGCTTAAATATTTCTTCTCCAAAAGGTAGGATATCAAATTAGGCATAAAATTCGATGATAGAAATATATCCATATATGTAAATAACTGTAATTACTGCAAAACAGACTAAATGATCCAGGAAAGTAGACAATATTTTCAGATTAGCTAAAAAGATCAAATTCCAGCTCTGTGTTATGTATAAGAAACATAAGTTTGAAAATAAAAACACAGACAAACATAACCTATGCAAATTATAAACAAAAGAAAACTGAGGTGTCTCCATTAATTATCAGACTAGGCAGTTTAAACACAAAGAAGAAAAAACAATCGTTATGAGTGATAAATTCTATATCAAAATTGTGACCTTCCATTTCTCAAACTTCACCAATAAGAAAGTAAAATGACAAGCCACAAAATGGGAACATATATTTTCAGAACTACAACTGGAAGAGAATTAAAATCTGTAATATATAAATAACTTTTTCAAATTAATGACAGTGAGAAAAACAGCCCACTAGAAAATGGGGATATCATTTCAACAAATAATTCACAAAAGAGAAAACTTACAAAAAGATACTTAATATCATTAGTAATCAAGGAAATGTATTTTAAATCACAGATGCCATTTCACATCTTTAGATTAGCAAAAAGGAAAAATGTTAACATTGTCAAGTCTTGCAAGGATGTAGGGTACCTAGAACTCTTCTAAAAAGCAGATGGGGGTATAAATTGATACAACTTTGGAAAACCCCTTGGCATGATTTATTCAAGTAGAAAGTAGATATACACTAAACATGACTCAGCATTTTACTCCTAGGTTTATAATCTGGACTGAGGGCCAATGAGCTGTGCCCTGAGGGCTCAATCTAGCCCAAGTCTTGTTATATTGCAATATATACATGTCCATTTGTTTATGTAGTGTCTACGGCTGCTTTCACAGTATACAGGCAGAGTCAAGTAGTTGCAACACAGACCATATGGCTCTCAAGCCAAAAATATTTACTATTTGGCCAGTAACAGAAAAAGGTTGCCAACCTTTGATCTAGAGAAATTCTTGCATTTGTCCACCAGAAGACATTTACAAAAATATTTATGGCAACACTATTTTTAACAAGAAACTGGAAGCAATCCAAATGTCCATCAATAGTAAATTGTTACACAGAATAAAAATATATGAGTTAACTAGAGTTTCACATAACAAAATGATGCATCTCAGGAGCATAATGTTGAACAATAGAAATGTCTCGGAAAAATTACAGTATGGTTCCATTTGCATAAAATTTATTATAGCATCTTATTATTTAGGTGCACAAACGTGGTAGTATTGTACATAGAAGGAAGACAATGATAAATTCAAAATTCAAGATAATGGCTAGCTCTGAGTGGGGATACAAAGGGAAGAGATTCTGAAAGGGTAGGGGCAGGTTTTTCAAGTTAAGGTAGGTAATGCTTTCCTCCTTAAACTTGGTGGTGGTTTCCAGGTGCTCATTATATTATTTTTCTTTATATCCTATTGTTATAAACAGAATTGTGTCCTCACAAAATTCGTATGTTGAAGCCCCAATCCCAGTGTCACTCTATTTGGAGATAAGACCTTTATGGAGGTAATTAAGGTTAAATGAAGTCATAAGCATGGGGCCCTAATCCTGTAGAACTGGTGTCCTTATAAGAAGATGAGGGGACATCAGAACATGTGTTTTTCTCTCTCTCTCTCTCTTTCTCTCTCTTCTCTCTCTCTCTCTCTCTCTGCCTCTGTCTTTCTCTCTCTGCACAGGCACAGAGGAAAAGCCAAGTTAGTACACAATGAGAAGTTGGCTGTCTACAAGCCAGAGAGAAAGTGCTTGCCAGAAATAGAATTTGCAGGAATCTTGATCATGGACCTTTATCCTCCGGAACTGAGAAAAATAAATGTCTGTTGTTTAAGCCATCTAGTCTGTGGTATTTGTGATGGTAGCCTGAGCAGACTAACATAAACATGAACATGTTTATAAATGTTTTATGCATTCAATATTTTTATTAAAATTGTGGGAGTAATAAGACCTCTTGAGGGGATATTTAAGCTGAGTTCTGAGGAATAAGTAAAGGTATTATATTGAGTACAGTATTTGTATCTCTCGAGTGATTGAATGTATCGGCATTAATTTTATCCTGTGTCAGTTTTGGTATTCTGTGTCTTTAAAGGACTTATTTAAATTATCCAATTTACTGACATGTTCATGCTATTTCCTTATGATCCTTTTAATGTCTATAGGATCTGTAGCCATGTCTCTATTTCATTCTTGATACTGATAATTTGTGTTTTCTTTTTTTTTTCTTTATGAGTCTATTTAGAAATGTATCGGGTTTTGATCCTTTCAAAGAACCAACTTTTGGTTTCACAGATTTTCTATTGTTTATTCATTTTCCATTTAATTAAAAATTCTATTATTATCATCTTTATTATTTCACATTTTCTGCTTATTTTGGATTTTACTTTTCTTTTGAAACTTCAATAAATGGAAATTTAGATCATTGATATTAACCTTCTTTCTTTTCCAATATAAACATTTAGAGATAAAAACTTTCTAAGGACTGCTTTTTGCACGTCTCACAAAATTTGATATGTTTTCAATTTCATACAAAATGTTTTCTAATTTCCCTTGCATTTCTTCCTTGACCCATTGATTATTTGGAGTATGTTACCTAACTCCGAAATATTTAAAGATTTTTCAGATATCTGGTTGTTTTTCTGTTCTAATTTGATTCTGTTGTGGTTAAAGAACATATCTTGTATGATGTCAGTCTTTTAATGTATTCAGACTTGTTTCATAGTCCAGCATATAGTCTACCTTGTTACACATTCCATGTACACTTGAAAGTAATATGCACAGTTGACCTTTGAATAATTCAGAGGTTAGGGACATAGATCCCTCACACAGTTGAAAATCTGTGTATAACTTTTGACTTTCCAAAAACTTAACTACTAATAGTCAACTGTTGACCAGAAGCCTTATCAATAAAATAGTCAGCTTACACATATTTTGTATGTTATGTGTATTATACACTGTATTCTTACAATAAAGCATGCTAGCGGAAAGAAAATGCTATTAAGACAATCATAAAGAAGAGAAAATGTATTTACTATTCATTAAGTGGAAGTGGATCATTGTAAAGGTCTTTATCCTCATTGACTTCATGTTGAGTAAGCTGAGGAGGAAGAAGAAGAGGAGGGATTGCTGTTTCAGAGGTGAAAGGGGAGACAGAAGAGGCAGGCACACTCAGTGTAACTCTTCTTGAAAAAAATCCGTGTATAAGTGGACCAAGTAGTTCAAACCCCTGTTGTTCAAGGGTCAATTGTATTCTTCAATTGTTGAGTGTAGTGTTCTTTAAATGTCAATTAGGTTAAGTTGGTTGATAGTATCATTCAAATCTTTTATATCTTTCCTAATTTTTTTGTCTACTTATGTTGGAGGCCGAAAGAGTGAGGGTCGTGACCGACTCAGTATACCACTGGAGGCTATATGAGCAAACAGCAAACTGTTCTCATGAACGCAGGTTGTTGGCAAACTGACAAACTGCCTCTGCCACCCAGAAGGAATGCTGAGGGCAGTCAACCCCCAGGGGCAGTGTTTCTTGTGATTATCTACAGGCACAATTGAAGCTTGTTAGCAATCATGTGAACCTGTGATCAATCAAGCAGCTGACCAATCCTTACCTCCTCCTCCCTGCTCTTTCTACCCAATAAATACAAAGGGCTGTAGAAGCTCAGGGCTGCCTTTGCTCACTAGAAACAAGGAGCCCCCAACCCCTTTTTTTTTTTTAAAACAAATCCTTTTTCCTTTGTTTTCATTTCTGCATTTGTCCCCCTTCACTCAGTCCTGTAGTAATGGTCACATACTTATGCTTTTATGAAAAGGTTATTAAATTACCATCAGTAATTGTGAATTTGTCAATGATGTAAGTTTTTTTCTTGTGCATTTTAAAGTTCCATTAAGTATACACACATCCACTATTGTTATATCAACACATATTTTTTCTCTAATTTTCTCCATACTTACTCATCATGGAATGATTAATTTTTAAAGAAATTGTATAAACAGTAATTTCTCAATGTAAAGAATTTTTTTTTAAATACAGAGCAAAATAGCAAAGCCTGTCTACCTTCATTCTCCTCCACTTATCCATCTCACGTCTAATGCTATTAACATTTTGATGAAAAAATCCAGGCTTAAAAAAGCTTTCTTAAGCTCCCACCTTCAAGCCATAGTTTTACCCCAGGGAAAGTTTGAGACTGAGCTGTGTATCTTGGTCTGATGTTCAAAGTGATCGTTTTCTATGCCCTCCAACATGAACCAGGTTGTAAAGGGGAGCTTTGTAGTAGTTAAAGCCAGAGAAAAGTAACTAGAGAATTCCTCAATCTTGTGGTGACTGGTTTTCAGAACACGCTTTAGCTGTTGGTGATGTGCACGCCCAGTGAAATATCCCGGCTGACCAAACTAACGCAGGAGCAGAAAACCAAACACCGCTTGTTCTTACTTATAAGTGGGAGCTGAACAATGAGAACACATGGACGCGGGGAGGGGAACAATACACACTGGGGCCTGTAGGGCAGTCGGGTCAGGGGAAGGAGAGCTTTAGGAAAAATAGCTAATTCGTGCTGGGCTTAACACCTAGGTGATGAGTTGATAGGTGGAGCAAACCACCGTGGCACACATTTACCTATGTAACAAACCTGCACATCCTACACACATACCCTGGAACTTAAAATAAAAATAAAAATTAATAATAATAATAAAAGAAATATCCTGGCTGACATATGTGAGAGGCATATGTACATGAGGTTTTAAAATTAAAAACCACTTTGTATCATTCTATTACACTCTGTTAGTAAATATATTCTAGATTTGGATACTCTATCAATGGAATCAGTCAGTCTCCAATACTTAAGAAGTAGCCGTGTACTCATAAATTTAAGGGATCAGGGGACTCTTTAGTGAGTATTCTGTTTCCTCTTTTTAAAAATTCTGTGTATGCTATTTTCCTCTCCACATTTTGACTAAGAAAAGTCCTTAAATGAAAGTTAACCACCAGTAAAAGTTCTTAAATGGCCCTAAAGTCACTTACCACTTACCCTCTCTAGTTCTATGCTAAAGTTTGTTTTGCCTTTCCCTTAGCAAAACAAATGATGTGGAATATTTCTCACAGGAAGATGTATCAGTAGTCCAGGACATGAAAAATAACATAGAATTTTACTTTGCACTCCTGAAGATTGAGTGCTAGCTAACTAATTTCACCATTTATTTCAGGATGAACTTTCAAGGTGAAGATAGCAAAATCTGGCGCTCTGAATCTCACCCATTTCCTCTAGGGGAGAGATATAAAAGAATGACCCGATCTTATAAGTAATAGGACTCAGATATTTATGTTCTAAAACATACATAATTTTCATTGTGGAATATAATGGCTCAGTAGGAATAGGTTTATCTTTTGAATCTATTTTCGATTTTATGAGGCAAACTTTAATGTGATGTTTCCTAAAGTCACTGCCCTCTCAAGTTTCTAAGGATAGCTCCTCATTCTCATGTGTCAGAATTGGACAAAAGTCAATCATTTCTGTGTATCCATCGAGCTCATTTATTATACATTTCAATGCATAAATAATAATAAGTAATATGTTTGTATAGTACTTTAAGGCTTACAAGACAGTGACATTAAATATTTCACTTGTTGTGTCTCATTGACTCAAACATTTTACATTTTAGCATCTCTGAAATCAGGATATATCTTACAGTTGATGGTGTTATAGTTCAACTGGCAGTGTTTTTTTTTCCTTAGTTGTACATAAAATAATGGGTGTCTTATAATCAATCATATCTGAGAGTCTATGAAGCAGAGTAATTCCGACCAAAATTTTCAATTTGATATGATAATTTTACTGATAAAAGAATTGAGGCTAAAAGAGGTAACATGTTTTTCACAGAGATGACATAGGAAGTAGTGGATCTTGAATTTGAAATCTGACTCTTAAACCCACTCGTTACTACAATGGTATTCATCCAGGGTGGTCAGATGGTGCAGAAAGAATATTACCATCAAAGAATGGTGTAGACAACAAACCATAAGTGAACAATAGAATATGAATCAGCTACTTCACATTTTTACCCAGAAATCTTTGCAGATCTTCCCCTGCATCCTCTGCCTCAACATACCCACTCAAATATTCATCCACAAATATCGTTTCAAAATTTCCAGTCTTCCCACTTCTGTTCTAAAAGCCACAACACTAAATGTTTACTCAGATTTATAGTATTAAATTGTCCTACACCTTGTAACTGACACATATCCCATGCATCACACCCCAACACTGGATATAACTTTCCCTGGCATTATTTGGATTATATCATTCACATCCTGGAAACTCAACCAAGCTTCCAGTTTCCTCCTTTTTTTTTTTTTGAGATGGAGTCTTGCTCTGTCACCCAGGCTGGAGTGCAGTGACCCGATCTCAGCTCACTGCCAGCTCCGCCTCCTGGGTTCATGCCATTCTCTTGCCTCAGCCTCCTGAGTAGCTGGGACCACAGGCGCCCACCACCATGCCCGGCTAATTTTTTGTATTTTTAGTAGAGACAGGGTTTCACCATGTTAGCCAGGGTGGTCTTGATCTCCTGACTTCATGACCCACCCACCTCACCCTCCCAAAGTGCTGGGATAACAGGCGCCAGCCACCGCGCCTGGCCCAGTTTACTCCTTTTTCATGTTGTGTGGGTGCTGAATTTGTAGGAGCAAATCTTGAGTGTACCTATAAGATAAAAACAATCAAATTTTATAAACAAACAAATAAGCAAATACAGTCAACGTAGTGTTTTTGTTTTTGTTTTGAGATGAATTCCCACTTTGTTGCCCAAGCTGGCGTACAGTGGCGTGATCTCGGCTCACTGCAGCCTCCGTCTCCAGAGTTCAAGTGATTCTCCTCCCTCAGCCTCCTGCCTCAGTAGCTGGGATTGCAGGGGCATGCCACCACTCTCAGCTAATGTTTGTATTTTTAGTAGAGACAGGGTCTCACCATGGTGGCCAGGCTTGTCTCGAACTTCTGACCTCAAATGATTTGCCTGCCACCTGCCTCGGCCTCCTAAAGTGCTGGGATTACAGGTGTGAGCCACCACGCCCGGCCCCAGTGCAGTGTTTTTTGACATGTTAAAACCCAACTAAGATCAATGGAAAGTCCGAAATGATCAATGACCTACAGAACAATCATAACACCTTGGAGTAGATGCCTAAAAATGGTTTGTTATGAATAAACTTTTGTTTATAAGGCAAACATGGCCTCCTCAGAATTGAAATCTAAGATTGGATCTTACCAGAATATCCACGGCGCAAAGAAGTTTATTGAGATACATGTTAGAGGGAGATGTATTTTATGATCTCGAAACCATCTTACTAACTTTTGGAAGGATGCCCATATTAAATAAAGACTAATCAAATTCCATGAAAATCAGTAGTACTTACCTTCCTGCCAGCAAGAGGTCCTGGCAGCAACTGTCTTTTCTCTGTATATCTTTAACACAGTGCCAGACCCATGGTCCTGGACAGAACATTAAGACTCAGCAGCTATGATTTGTGTTATGATCTTGCTTTAAACATCAGGTAATTTAGCATCAAAATATTTTTAAATAATAGCATATTTTTAATTATGGGAAGAATTTCGCTCCTGTTTTTAAAAAGTAAACCTCCAATGTAAGAAAGCAATTTACTTTCTTGGTTAAATAAACAAAAATTCCTTGAATAAACTTCCTGCATTTGGGTACAGTCAATGTTGGATGAAACTTTTCCCAGTATTCTGCTATAAGTTCAAGTTGCTTAGTTGTCTAAGACAAAATGTGACAAACAGATCAACTAGATGTCAAGAGATGCATTCTAGGTTTGGATCTGCTTTTATTTAATACCAGCTTCTGGGTCTAGAAGTCCCCAAGTCTTCCAGTTTCCTGGGGCCACTCTTTCCTTTAGTATGTGAAATAAGATGGCACCCGTCTATCTGATATGCACAGCAGGAAGTTCAAGCCTTCCCCAAGATTTTAGGGCATTTCCAGAGGGACGTTACCAGTTCATGTACACCTCCCATTCTGGATTTATGCTCCTTCTGGATTCTCAATCACTGTACTTATTGGTCAATACCTGGGCTGCTGTCCTCTCTCTGAACTTCCTTACGCCATGCCCAACCCCACCTCTCTTCCCTCGTTTTCTCAAAGGACCGCTAACCACAGCTGTTCTGTGTAGCAGACATTTTATTGAAGGCTTAGGCTAACAGAAGTGAATTACATACAGAGAGGTTAGAATTGGCAACCACATAAAATTGAGAATTAGATATCACTGTGCTGAGATCCGAAGGTCATCTCTACTGCAGATCATTTTTTGTGGGTCCTTCCCTCCAAACTTCACTTGCCTCCATCTTCCTGGGTCCCCTCCCTCAGCCATGACACATCTTTTCCATCCCTCCCTTTCTGCCTCCCACTTCCACTGTCAGCTTAGATTCTCCCAAGAACTCTTTTTACCAAGAGGAAAAAATTCCAGTTACTTTGAAAAGCAACATAATTAACTTCATTGGCCTTGATCTTAACTTTTCAGGCCATGCCCTTCCGACTTTTAGTGCCAAATAGTTTATTTGCCATACAAAACCAAAAATTTTACCCTAAGAGGAATTTGGACTTTCCACCAGGTCTGACAGCTTAAACTGAAAATAAAAAACAAAATAAATAAATAAGTAGGTTTACAAGAACATTTTTCTCATTCCCACTAGTGTTGTCATTAAGGAGTATATTTAACACAGATCATTCCAGAGAAAGGGCCAAAACTCCATTCTTCTGAAGGTTTTTTTTGCGTGAATACTATTTGGAGAAACGGAAATGTTACTAAAACTGTGTATATCTTCATTTACCCACATCACAAATCTGCACATCCTGTACATGTACCCCGGACCTTAAAACAAAAAGAAAAATTTTTTAAAACCCCACAAATCTGTGTATTTTTTACAGCTCTGTGTTATAATGTCTATAATTCATTAAAAAACACTTTAACACAGACAGCATGATGTAAATAAATGTGTGTATTAATTTTAATCTACACCTTCAGGGCTGTTACTTATCCTAATTAGAAATTTATACTGAGAAAGAGATCAGCTAGCATTTAATCAGAAAGGCCACAGCTATCCAGGGGCTACATATGTTTATCTTCAATCAAAACTAGAAACTTTGCTAATTTACATATTGAGTATTGAAATGGCTTTGTGTATATGAAATTACTGACTTGATAATTAGCGTAAAGAATGTTAGAAATGGTTAGATTAGTTAAACAAGTGGCACTAGAGATATGTGGATTGAGTAAATTACTTTAGATATATAGGCCACACTTGTATGCACCTGCAAGCCTTTGAGATGGCACCTGGGACATGACTCCAGTCCCAATTTTAAAGGCTAATGGTTGTCTGTTGCCAATTACTAGGTAAACTAAATTCTATTTTTGGACTGTTGCTATACTTGCTTCCAGTGAACCCTCCATTCAAGATGTTTGCAGATTGCACAAAAGACCCGAGACCTAGGCCTTTCTGGAACTCACAGAATGAGTTGTGTGATGGTTTATGTGCCTGCTTGCTAAAAATGTTTGTCTAATAAATGTATGTATGTAACAGAATTTGTTCTTAGACCTTGATTTCTTTAAAAACATATCCAGGGCCGGGCGTGATGGCTCATGCCTGTAATCCCAGCACTTTTGGGAGGCTGAGGCAGGCAGATCACAAGGACAGGAGTATCAGATCAGCCTGGCCAATATGGTGAAACCCCATCTCTACCACAGATACAAAAATTAGCCAGACATGGTGCCGGGTGCCTGTAGTCCCAGCTACTCAGGAGGCTGAGGCAGGAGAATTGCTGGAACCTGAGAGGCAGAGGAGGCTGCATTGAGCCAAGATCACACCACTGCCTCCAGCCTGGGTGACTGAGTGAGACTCCGTCTCAAGGAAAAAAAAAATAAAATAAAATCCAACTGGGCACAGTGGCTAATGCACATAATCCTAGCACTTTGGGAAGTCGAGGAAGCAGGATTGCTTCAGGCCAGAAGTTCAAGACCAACCTGGTCAGTACAGCGAGACTCCGTCTCTAAAAAAACAAATAAAAATAAAATAAAACAGATCATGGAGGAATAGCTAAAGCTCTGTAGGAGCTTTGATTTCAGTGAATACTAATATCTACCAAAAAGAACCTAATAGTTGAACATGACTAAAGTGATTCAGATGAGTTCCAAACTCTCTTGTAGCCAGAGCTCGACTGTGGTAGGGTCACCATCTGCTCCTGCAGCGCATTTTACATGTTTAGACATATAATGCATGATTAATAAATGTGGAATGAATGAATAACTAGGGCATATCATATATCTAACTAGGTTACTGAGGTGATAAGAAAGAAAAAGAAGATGCGTTCTCCTTGTTCATTTCATCATTTTGGTGTGTCATGTAGAAATTTGGATATGGACACAATAGAAGTGAAATCAGCCAGGCTGACTATTTCAGGACAGGGCCTTGCAGAAGAGTACCTGAATTATACACTCTTATCAGCAAGCAGGGGTGATCAGGTCCAAGAAACTATTTTGCAAAACTGAAGTGTTTGAAAACTGAGGTAGGCACCAGAACTGTCAATTTGTTGCTTTATAATGAGAAATAAAAATAATATGAGCCAAAATTCTAGCATCAATGTGGCCAAAGAAGCTCTAAAAAAGACATTAATGGACAGATAAGTCAAAATAAGAGTTACCTGGTAAACATGGGTGTTAAGCAAATGAGCTAGTAAGTCAAATGTTTAACAAACATTATATGATTTTGTCTTATTTATCTCTACATTAGAGATGCAATATTGACAATAGAGCACAAAGTTGATGGCCAGGCTCCCTCCCTCCCCTCCTTTTTTTTTGTTTCTTTTTGGGTTTTTTGTTTTTGTTTTCTGAGATGGGGTCTCACTCTGTCACCCAGGCTGGAGTGCAGTGGCATGATTATAGCTCACTACAGTCTCGACCTCCTGGGCTCAAGCAATCTTCCACTTCAGCCTCCAGAGTAGCTGGGACTACAGGCATGCACCGCCATAATCAGCTAATTTTTTAAATTTTTTATAGAGATGAGGTCTCACTATGTTGCCCAGGCTGATCTTGAATTCCTGGGCTCAAGTGATCCTCCCCCCCTCAGCCTCCCAAAGTTCTGGGATTATAGGCGTGAGCCACCACACCTAGGTATACCTTAAATCTTGTTACCATTGAATTTTGTGAGCCTGGATCCATTGTCAGTTTGGGTAAATTTTGCATTACTTTTTATGCATACTCTAAGGATATGCTAAACTTAGCACATATTTGGCACCCCCTAATCTTGGTACCAACAGCAGATAAACATCACCCTTGATTGTCAAAGGAGGGAAACACTCATTACAAGATCCTTCACAAACAGCCTGCTTTACTTTGTATACACTTTTGATAATCATGATGATCTGAATGATAAAGCTTGAAGAAATATCAGATGATGGTCTGCTCTAAGTGACCTTTCCTCCTTAGATATAAACATCTAAATTGTTCCATCCACATTTTTTAGTGCTCATTATTATGAAAACATAACATTAAGCTTTATGGACTATTTGAAAGAAGAACCAAAACTGTAGCCCTACTCATGAGAAGTCTTAAATTTAGTTAGAAAAATTTGATTCAGACACGCAGCACACCTAGAGAAGAGTTACTCTGAGATAGTCAAGTTGGTAGATGGTCTAGTTTTGAGCTTAAAAGCTTTATTCATCGAATGAATGCTACAATAAATGCTACTTTATCCCCAGAACTGAAATTACAAAAGGAAAATTAATGAAATAAGTTTATACAAATCAGTATGGGATATGCTGAAATAAGTTTATAGAAATCAGCATGGGAATATGGCAAGGAGATTTCGTGCAAAAAGGGAAGTGAATTCTATCTCGTTGGATATTTAGAATGGGTAAAAGAGATGGGGTGAACATTCTAGACTAGGGGTACAGCAAGAGGAAAGGTAGAGGATTAGAATGACCACAGTGAGTGAAGAGAATGAGAACATGTGATCAATTAGTGAGGCAGAAGCTAAGTGACTAAGGTACTCACCAAGAGAGAAGAGAAATAACAGGTCGGGTCTGTACATTATGGATTCAATGAGGTCTCACAAAAATTTGGGAGGAAGGTATTAACATCCCCATTTTACTGAGGAGACTAAAGTGCACACACAAACTCCCCGCAGCTACAAATCCTAGAACAAAACTCTAGAAATCAAGTACTATCGTTTCTCGAAAACAGTTAAGCAGACTGCTGTGTCCTTTTCAGGCCAAGGGACCCTGACATGACTTTAAGCAAGGGTCACACACTGGAAAGCCACCAGCTACATCTTAATGACAAAAGACCCACAATTTTTGTTTCTGTTGTTTACTTTTGTAGTCGTTCACGTCTAAATAACAGAACATTTCTCATAAGAACGCTGTGTGGCCACACAGGGTCTGCATTCCAGCGGGGGTGGCATCTGAGGATGAAAGCTGATCACCAACTGCTCCTTCCAGTGAGGCCAGCCCTCTCCAGTTCTCACTGTGACTGACTCCAGACACACCATTCACTTTTGTCCACTGCCTGACCCCTCTGGGTATTTGAGTTTGCAAGTACTGCATTCAGATAACTCTACTGAGTAAATAATTATGGAAGCAACAACAACAACAAAAGAGGTGACCTTACTACATGTTTCCCAAAAGGCTCTCTGTCCTCAGAAAGTCCCTTCCATCTCACACAATTCCCAACTCTGTGAGGAATCAGCCTTGGATGGAGAAGAAACACAGGCTCTTGGGCCAATGTGTTTTGCTTGCATAATTTATCTTGAAATACCTGTCACAGAAACTGAGCCTGGTCTGATAGGCTTCTGTAAAGACAATGTAAATGAGCACGGGTAGACAAATTAGAGCTATATAAGTCCTAAATAGTCACATTTGTTATACTCACAGGCATGCCTATTTAGGGAGGCAGGAAGATGCCAATGCCAAGTCTTAAATACAAAACAAATGGGCCAGAATCACAGTTATGTCATGGAAACAGGAAAATCAGTGGTTAGAGGACTGGCATAGCTGTAATTCTACTGTTGTTTTAATGTCATTTTTAGTCTCTGAACAGAAGAGTTTTTGATTTTTATTTTGAGATGATACAAAATTGTTCCACTGATCTTAAAATTGACTTCAAAAGACATGAGATACTACATTTTAGTCCTAAAGCAGCTGGTACACAATGCAGAAATTGCCATATACAAGTTTTCTGAAACCTTTGTGTATATATTCTAGTCAAAAAGACATGTATTTTTCTAAGTAGAATCATTAATTTTCTCTTCACTAAAAAGCGTATTTAGCATCTAATTAAATCCAATGCTGTGCAAGGCACTTTACAAAGAGAATTGCCTGTACTGGCAGAGGTAACATCAACAACAAAAACCCACACCTATAATCTCATCCCATGATCAAAGAATTATCACTTTTTTTAAGTACCACTGACATTTTTCATATGGACAGGTATTCATATCATTATAATCTGAGACACGAGTCTATGACTAACTCACACATGTTTGAGATAAATAAATTATAGAATAGATTTGTTTTATGAAGAGGAGTTAGCAGTTCTCTGCTTTGAGACTCCTGACTGTGAGGCATGTCCTGCCAGCCGCGCATGCCTTGACATTGTTCTTTGCTACTGCCCTGCTCCTTGCTGGTGTTTGCAAACTCTTAACTATCTTGTTTCCTCACCTAAAATGCAGTTCCGCCACTGATCTTCCCTACTGGGAGTATAAACTAAGTCTATACAATATTTAATCCTCAGCCATACCCAAGAGGGTTTTCCCTGAATTCATTCTGGTGTTGGGTGTTCACATGATAAAAATCCGTTTCCTACATGTCAAGCAAAATATAACAATTTTATTGTTATTTTAACTTTACATTTCTGTGAATACAAAATGTTACATTTTTTTCCCTGTAGGTTTATATGGCAATTTCAAGTTCTCTTTTGTTTTCCCCCTTTCCTTTGGAATGGTTTCCTACTAATTCGTGAGTGATCTTTTTAAAGATTAACACTTTCTGATAGATCTCTGGGATTTTTTAAAAAGAATTTTGGATGCACATAATTTTTATTTTTTATCAAATCTATCATATCTCTTTTTATGTGCATATATAATCAGAAAGTCCTTCTCCATACTAAGATTAATTAATTGCATTTACCTGTACAGCATTGCATTTAATTTTTTAATGTTAAAAATTTCATTTAACTCCACTTGTAATGTATTGTATTTTGTTGTACTAGATAAGAGATAAAGATCTTTGTTCTCCATTTTCCAAATAGTTAACATACTCAACATGGACTTTAATGTTATACCATATAAAAAATTAACTCAACAGGAATGAAAGGCATAAACATAGAGCTAAAACAAGGAAACTATCCGATAAAAACATAGGAGAAAAGCTTCATGACATCAGATTTGGCAATGATTTCTTGGATACAATACCAGAAGCATAGACAAGCAAAGAAAATAGAATAGATAAATTGAACTGCATCAAAATTTAAAACTTATTCATGCATCAAAGGATACAATCAACAGAGTCAAAAGACAACTCATGGAATGGGAGAAAATATTTGCAAATCATCTATCTGATGAGGGATTAATATCCAGAATATACAAAGAACTACAACTCAACAACAAAAAATAACAGCTAATCAAATTTAAAAATAGACAGATGACTTGAATAGACACTTCTCCAAGGAAGATATACGAATGGCTAATGACCACATGAGAAAATGTCCAACATCATCATTAGGGAAATGCAAATCAAATCACGAGGAGATACCACCGCACGCCCATTAGAATGGCTACTGTCATCACACACACACACACACACAAAAACCCAGAAGATAACAGGTGTTGGTGAGGATGTGGATAAATTGGAATCTTTGTGCATGGTTAGTGGGAGTGTAAAATTTTGCAGTGACAATGAAAAACAGCATGGCAGTTCCTCGCAAAATTTTAAATAGCATTACCAATTTCACTTCTGGGTGCATACCCAAAAGAATTGAGAGCAGGATCTAGCTGGGTGCAGTGGCTCATGCCTGTAATCCCAGTAGTTTGGTAGGCCGAGATGGGTGGATAACCTGAGGTCAAAAGTTCGAGACCAGCTTGGCCAACATGGTAAAACCCTGTCTCTACTAAAATTACAAAAAATTACCTGGACATGGTGGCACGCCTCTGTAATCCCAGCTACTTGGTAGTCTGAGGCAGGAGAATTGCTTGAACCCAGGAGGCAGAGGTTGCAGTGAGTAGAGATCGTGCCACTGCACTCCAGCCTGGGTGACAGAGCAAGACTCAAAAAAAAAAAAAAAAAAAAAAAAAGAATAAAAAAAAAAAAAAAAGAATTGAGAGCAGGATCGCAGGATCTGAAGAGATGTTTGTACACTGATGTTCACAGAAGCATTATTATTCATAGTAGCCAAAAGGTGGAAGCTACCCACGTGTCCACTGGCAAATGAATGAAGTGTGGTATATACACACAATGGGAAAGAAATTATGACACGCAAAGGTAATAAATTATGACACTTTCTACAACATGGATGAACCACAAAGGTGTTATGCTACACCAGGCCAAAAAAAAAAAAAAAAACACAAATACTGTACAATTCCACTTACATGAGGTACCTAGAATAGTGTAATTCATAGAGACAAAAAATAGAATGGTGTTTGCCAGGGGCGAGGATGAGGGGATGGGGGAGTCATTGTCTAATGGGTACAGAGTTTCCATTTTGCAAGATAAAGAGTTCTGGAGATTGATTACACAATGTGAGTGTACTACCCAGAATTGTATTCTTAAAAGTGATTAAGATGGTTAATTTTACAATTTAACAATTTTTTAAAAATTAAACAATTTTTTAAAAATTGGATATATGGAAGACAAATGAGGGTGAGTAGAATGAAAGGGCAGGAGAGATGTGCCTGATTCTTCTCACCCGTAGTATCTCAGCTCCTGCTCCTGCCGGGACACCAACCTTTCCCTGCATACAGTGCAATTGCAGTGCTTCGGGTTTTTTTGGTTTGGTTTGGTTTGGTTTGGTTTAATTTCATGGATACTTCAGTGGGAAAATGAGGCAGAATGAATCAGTCACTGTTAGCTAACCATAATTTTAAGAACCACCCTCCCTTTAAAAAATATACATATAACATTTTACAAAAATACACACATCCAAAATCATGTTGGATCACACAATGATACTGCTGCAGGAACAGGAAAGAATGCACATTTATTTGAAGGCTAACAATATGCCAGGGCGTTTTTGGTGCTATGCCTTTTCATCTGAGATCTTCTGATTCTAAACCTGGAGATCCATTTCAAAGTGCAAACACCCATATATAGAGCAAGAGTCCATGGACAGGACTGTGATTGAAGGCATTGTCCTAAGAATGCAGGCTTAGGTTAAACCCCTTTCTTCCAGGAGCTGTGTGTGTGTGTGTGTGCGCGCGCGTGTGTGTGTTGTAATTGCATCTGATTCACCTTACTGGCAAATAGGGGATCTTCTCTGTGGGGAGGGGAGCTTGCGGTTAAGTGAGTCAAAGCTGTTCCAGTTTTACCAGATATCAAGGCAGTACATAACATTGAACCTTAATTTTAGTCCTTACACCACCGTGTGTGTGTGCACGCGTGCACGTGTGCTGGGGTGAGGTAGGTGGAAGTGTGTAGAGATGTGCGGCCACTGAATGTTTGGGGAAACAAAGGACACTGCAGGGTAGGCGGGACCCACAAAACCAAATGACAAGCACTTTTCCCTTTGCTCTTTTGGAGCACTCCAGGGGTCCTCGAGTGTGGTCCACAGACCAGTGTTGGTCTGCAAAGTACTTACCACCCGGATGTAATGCAATAAGTACAGAAATCCAGAGTAAGCCTTTAGACACTTTTACAGCAATTTGACACAGATCTAATACCACACAATTCTAGGCCCATGTTTGAAACAAGCACGCCACACTGGTTGTGGTTTCACACCAAGCAGTGTTCAGGCATGTTGCCAACCAAATTGGAAGCATGAATGTTGGTTGAGAGGAGTCTTATTTCATTAATGGTTAATTCTGCTCCTGTGCTCCTATCCCCACTCCAATTAAGTATAAAATACACATTTCAAGATTTGATGCCAAACCATAAAGGCTAGAGACAAGCCCTGCCACCCAGCAGTAAATATGAAGGGAAAGATTTAATGTAAACGGCAGCGTATGGCAGTGCTGATGATTTCTCATAAACTACATGGACTAATTTAGAAAGAAAAAAAAAAGTCAGAGAAGCCTTCAAGGAAGTAATAACCCAGAGGTAAAAAATATTGATTAGGGAAAAATATTATCTTAATCAAAATATGTCTTTTAGCTGGAAGTTGTTTGGGCTTCAGAAAGAGAACAAAATATGTTTCTAAGATGCACATTTTTCCTGTGGTTTTTGTTGAATAATGAGCAACGCCATCACTGTTACTGAAGTCTTTGCTGTGTAAATCAAAAGGAAGGCTTTAATAATTCTATAGGAAACCTTATTTATTAGTGTGATCAACAGTAAGCAATATTAACTATTTTTAAAAATCTCAATATATACCCATGAATTTGGGTATATCTTAATGTTAGATCCTGATAAATTTTACAGGGCTTGCCATATACTATATTTTCTTCTAATGAGAGCTTGTTATGTCTGATCTCTTTTTATCTGTCTTTAGAAGCAAATAATTCAAAATAACTTGTTTCTGCTAGCATTTGTTTGGAGCTCAAACAACTTCTTTTTAAACTCCTTTCAAGTTTAAAGCTTGACCTTTTAAACATGAAAATCAAACAATATTTGAATAGGCTACATGTTGTTTTATTTTTAGGAATTTTCTCAATTGAAATCGAATCTGAATCAAAGTAGATAAGAGTTACTTTAAAATTCTAACACCTCCCCAGCTTTTCCTTGATCTTATAATGTATGACTGTTCTTAAAATTTTATATACCCCGAAGTGTCATTATTATTTTCGTTTGCCATTTTGACACCGAGAAGTTTATTCTTAGGAGAAACTGTCGGTGGGAATACAGGATTCCATTCTGCATCCTATACATGGAGCAGCCTAAACTAAATGCTAAGAGACGCTCCAGAGTAACGGGGGGAAAGCAAAATTAGAACATATTTTCTGACTATTCAGTCTGTGTCCAAGTACACAAAGTGAGAAGTTGATAAATTGCCCAATAAATTTAGTCATTATAGCCCAGAAAATTTAGGTGTAATTGATGATCAATGACCCAAATCATTCAGGGACCCAAGTCCCTAGGAACTTCAAATCCCCATTCCATGTATAAATACTGGCTCTCCCTAAGGCCTCCTTCCCTGACCTAGACATTTCCTCACGTTGCTTCTGAACACATTTGCAAAACCTTTGTGTGTGAGAACTATAGTCTTTACTTTTGCATTGAAAGTGCAAGGAAAACTGAAGATTATTTTGAATCCAATCGTTTTTCCCCTCATCAAAATATGCAGTGAGCGCCCCCTGTTGGCTGCCTAGCAGCAGGCAATACACAAACACTCAGCCTTGTTAGTACACAAAGAAGGAAGTAAACAAAAAGAGCCAATGGTAATTTGGACTCCCGTATCTAAGGGGGGTAGAGGTGGGGAAGGAAGGAGAGGAAATCAATATTTGCTTAATGGAAAAGGACAACATTGATAGGGAAGGAAGTTTTATTCCCAAGCTTTTAATGGGGTATTACAAGCACTGGGGAGGAGAAAATTCTCTTTCTTTTCTCTTTCTTTCTTTTTTTTTTTTTTAAGCTTAAAGCTGTATATTTTTTTTTCAGTGTTAGATGAGTAAGAGTTCCTGAAATTATAGTGGGCAGAAAAACCAAACAAATACATTTGCTTTTGCTAAGGGCACACTTGGCTTTTTAGGTTGTGCCTTTCCTCTATTCTACTTAAGTCAAGCACTAAGAAATCTACTGTAAATTCTGGACTTTCCACCATGTTTTCAGGTAGGTGATCTGGGCATTGAAGGGAGGAAAAATGGCTAGGAGAATAATACACAAACATGCACACACATATATTTTCATTCTGATATCCTAAGGATTGAGTCAATAAACATAGATTTCCTTTATATTTACCTGAAGTGTCTTAAATTCTAACCCCTTCTAGTTTACCTGTTAAAATCTAGCTTTACTAATCTACAGGGAAGCATAGATTTTATTTAAAAATCCTGTTTAAAAAGTATGATAGTGGGTTTAAAAGTATAAAGGATATTTTTTCAATCCTGACAATAGAGGAGTAAGATGAATTTCTCTCCAAGAAATCTCTTCTCTGATAGGGCATGGTGGCTCATGCCTGTAATCCCAGCACTTTGGGAGGCTGAGGTGGGTGGATCACTTAAGGCCAGGAGTTTGAGACCAGCCTGGCCATCATGGCGAAACCCCATGTCTGCTAAAACTACAAAAATTAGCCAGGTGAGGTGGCATGTGCCTGTAATTTCAGCTGCTTGGGAGGCTGAGGCACAAGAATCCCAGCTAATTGGGGGGCTGAGGCATGAGAATCACTTGAACCCAGGAGGTGGAGGTTGCAGTGAGCCGAGATCACACCACTGCACTCCAGCCAGAGCAATAAGAGCAAGACTCTGTCTCAAAAAAAAAAAAAAAAAAAAAAAAAAAAAACTTCTTTTAGAAAATTTAAATATTCATGCTTTTATTCTCAATTATATCTCTCCCCAGTTATAAATTTTAAGTATATGATTAGTATATGGCATGGCCAGCACACTAGACTAAGAATCAAAAGATTGGGGTTCTAATCCTGGCTCTGCTGCATTTCATCCCTATAACTGTGTGGCCTTGTAACTTCCCTGAATTTTAGTTTTCTCATCTGAGAAATGAAAGTCATTAACTTGATCATTAATCAAGATACATGGGGATGCTAATTATGTAGCAATGCACTGCCAGATGCTTAACTCTGGAGGCTGTGTTTGGAGAGGGACTCATAAAACTAACAATAAGCTAGATCCTAATTTCTGTAAATTTCAGTGACTTGACTCAGGAACAGAGAGGCGCTTGATTCTGGTGTCAAACAGATTGGGCCTCAATCTCATCTCTGCTCTTTTCCATCTGTGTAACCTTGGAAAACTAATTGTTTCTAAAACTGGGTTTCCTTATGTGGAAACATTGAGTTGTTTCTCCCAAGTCATGTGAATGAAAAATGGCAGAAACAAGACAGGACTACAACCGTGCCCTTAAGGACCACTCCTCTAGAAGGGAAATGAACACAAATAAAAAGTTACAGCACTGAGCAACTTGGTTCCTGAATTATTTTTATTGTACTTCTTGAAGGGACCTCAATGACATGCCAAAGAATTTAGATTTTATCTTGTGGATGAAGGGGAGTTAGTAGAATATTTTAAGTAGGAATGGGGTAGGATCATGACTAACTCAACAAGATGTTAAGAGAATTTGAGAAGCAACCATATGTGAATGTGATACATTTGTAGAAATTTTTATGGCTATATTTATCATCGGTGATCATGCAGGGAAAAGACCCAAACACTGTATCTCTCACTCTGATGTTGGGCATTTGTGTTCTAATATAATGTCCTATGGGAATAAGGTAAGACTACTCCTCTATAGGAAATTAGAACTTGGAAACTGAGCCTTGATTAATGGTTGCAGGTCAGCCTTTCCTGTTTTCACTCATCTCTTCCTTTAACCCGGATTCCAAGAAAGCTTGACAACTGTCTACACTGATGTGTAAAAATGGCCTCTGCCAAGGGAGGCAGCCAGGGCTGGACAGCCAGTCCTTCCCATTTAAATATTCTCTCTTCAGTGCCAACCTTGGAACATATTAAGGTGATAAAGTTGCTGCCAGATATGTGAAGAGAATAAGGTTAATTTTGTTGTCTTAAAGGAGAGGAGCCATCCGGTGTTGCTATAAAGCAAATATAAATCAATAAGGCACTCAAATAAGCTCAATATCTAGTCCTTGACAATCAACAGGAATATGTTCCACTTAATATGGCATCTCACCAGTTAATTTATTGCCAAAATGTGACAGGGTTATGTGAAACTTTGGTTATAAATTCTAGTGCATGTAGTTCCTGCTATCTAAATTTTCTGCTTTAGAGTTCATTCTGGGGCTGGGGGCGTGGAAGGATAGAGCATGCTTATTATGAAAGGTCAGCATGCGGTGATTACAGCTTTTCTAAATCTGGGTCATGGGTTTATAAAAGGCTTATGATCCATCAAAAGACCTCTCTGAGTCCACAGAATGAAAAGAATGTAGAAAAACTATTGTTCAGGGAAATGCTTTGCTTGTTATTAAGATGTGGTCATTTCAATTATTAACTTATTTTGTAATGCAGTCACCCAACTAGAATTCTCTACTTCAAAGTGTATGTCTTTGGAATGTTACATAATCTTTTCAAAATAGTATGTCTTCCTTTCTGAAAAATTCATTTCTCCAATGAATTAGGAAGCTGAGTCACTTCCTTAATCAGGACAGGCCCCTCCCCCAGGAGTGCTGTTCGGCTCCATTTTAACTACCCTGGCAGGTGGCGGCCTGGTTTTTAGTTCCTTGAAATCTACAAATATACCCTTCACTTTGGAAGAGGCTCTTAGCTCAAAATGCATTTCTTTAGAAAGATTCACTGAGAAGAAGTAGGGGAAAAAAAAAAAAAACACCACAAAGCCATGTACTTAAACAGTCTCTTTCAAGCACCACTTAGTGGCGTGGAGCTGAACTGAAGAGATTAGGATTTGACGTCTGACGTAGTCACTCTGTAGCTCCATAATCAAGGGCTGTCCAAGGGTGAGTATGGGGCCTCGGGTCTCTGGGTTAGTGCCAATTATTGAAGGAGTTTGGGGAGAAAGGGAGGGAATAGGAAGGGCAGCCTATTTCTATGAAAAGGAGAGGATTGATACCAGCACTGGAGTGGAAACTGTAATGAAGGAAGTGGCTATCTGGTTGGCAAGGCCATGATTGAAGGGGTCAGATCCCGTGAAGAGCACCTGCAGCAGATGGGACCCGCGCCACACTTCTGTTGGATTTTGTCAATGGGGACAGGGGGAGGTTTAAGGGAGTGCTCTTTCAGAGGCTCTTACGTGCATCATTCACTCTAGGGGTTTGTTTTGTTTTGTTTTTGAAACAGGGTCTTGCTCTGTTACTCAGGCTGGAGTGCAGTGGCACCATCACAGCTCACTGCAGCCTTGAATTCCTGGGCTCAAGTAATCCTCCCACCTCAGTCTTCCCAGTAGCTAGGACTACAGGTGTGAGCCACTGCACCTGGTTTTTATCTGTAATTAATGCCAAATTTTACCCTTCAGAAAACAGTATAGGAAAACTCCTCCACTGAACTCTGCAGGTTGAATGTTTATGGCTAAACCAGAATGAAAGTTATGATAATGCAGGGTAATAGTTATTAAACAACAAATAAAAATTCTCCAATGATAGAAGGGGCCTTGAGAGGCCACCTAGCCCAACCCTATTCCATCAGCCCTTTGAACCTGACAGCACTTACCATATATAATGGGATGAACTACATGCATTTCTGCACCGCCTGACGCATGGTGAGAGTCACATGAGGACAGGGAACTTAGCATTGGGCTTAAGTAATACTGGTTTGACGTTTGTTGAGAAGCCATGAAACAAAAATGTATAAAATAGTGTAGTACTAATGGACTGAATCCCTATTTAGAAAAGTGTATAGTAATCAAGTAAAGGTGGTGGTGGTCATGGTGTGTGTTGGGGGTGGGAATGGGGTTAGAAGTCAGATAGGGTTTTTTTTATGACTACCTAGCCTAGAGCGATTTCTGGCTGGTAACAGTTTGTTTCATCTAAGTCTGTATGCAGTGGACTTTAATGTCTTCCTGTGCATCAAAGGCCTCACACTGTACTTCGGGGGGCTTTTGTGCATCCTGGTGGGTGCTGTCTACCCAGGGTTAGAGGAGATACTGGGACACCAGACACTCAGCAAGTGATGTGCTAGCTGCTGTTGCAAGAAAATTCTTACTGAGCCTCAATGCAAAAACAATTAACAAAATTCCTCAGCACAGGGGATGTATGGTCCTCACCTGAATGGAGCCAGGAAGTCCCTAGGCATCAGCATTGGACTCTGTTCATGGGACCAGGAGCTGGAGCAGAACGGGAAAGCTTTGCCTCTGGCTTCTCCCAGCTTTCTCCCACTTCATGTTCCCTCCATTCTTCATACTCCTCAACCTAGGGATTCCTTTCTGGTCTTAGAGTTACAAAGATTTTTATTCATCAAATCTCTTTCATGTTCTCCTGACGCCTGCGCAATTGAAAATGAAAATACAAGACTTTGCATTTCTGCTGTATCATTCCTTTCCTGAGGAAATGAGTAAAGAATGCCAAGCTGACAACACGGGAGAAGACAAGGGGTAAAAGAACTGGTGCAGGAAGAGGGAAGAACATATAAATTAATACTTACATTTTAAAAAATATACTATCCTGTCGTATAAGTCACTAAACAGCCCATTTACTCAGGGATGATAGAAGAGAGACAGAAGATAGGCTTTATTAATATTTTCAGTACGGACACAGTTATGTGGTCTTCTCACTTACGTCACAAATATCAAGCCCTCTGTGTCCATCTCTGTTACCGTATTATCAGGACTCTTACACTTGGCAAGTGAGAAAACTGAAATTAGTCGGACGTGGTGGCGCATGCCTGTAATCCCAGCTACTCCGGAGGCTGAGGCAGGAGAATTGCTTGAACCTGGGAGGTGGAGGTTGCGGTGAGCCGAGATCCAGCCATTGCACTCTAGCCTGGGCGACAGAGCAAGACATTGTCAAAAAAAAAAAGAAAAGAAAAGAAAAGAAAAGAAAATTAGATCGTCTCATGTACCTGGTAAATAAAAGATGATTTTAGAATTCTTCACAGTTTGGTCCAGTTGCTCAAGCATTTATCCCAGGGCTCTCTCTCTCCCTTGCCAGTCCTCAGCAGAGCAGTCCCGATTGGCTTCATTATTCAGTCAGGCTTTCCCCACGAAAGCAAGATGAAGGTGGCGGCAAACAGCGCAGACTCACATTCTTTCAGGTTGGTGAGCCCAGAAGAAAGAGGTTCTCTTCCATGCTCATTTCAGCGACGAAGTTTTGATCAGCACACCTTGAGTTAAAAGTCCTTACCTAGGGCCAGGCGTGGTGACTCATGCCTGTAATCTGAGCGCTTTGGGAGGCTGAGGTGGGTAGATCACGAGGTCAGGAGTTCGAGACCAGCCTGACCAACATGGTGAAACTCCGTCTCTAGTAAAAATACAAAAATTAGCTGGGCCTGGTGGCATGCACCTGTAATCCCAGCTACTCAGGAGGCTGAGGCAGGAGAATCGCTTGAACCCGGGAGGCAGAGGTTGCAGTGAGCTGAAGTCACACCATTGCACTCCAGCCTGGGTGACAGAGCGAGAATCCATCTCAAAACAGAAAAGAAAAGAAAAGAAAAGAAAAGAAAAGAAAAAAGTCCTCAGAAGAATTACTGTGTCCAAAGGAAATGTATTATAATTGGTTCAACTTGCTCACATGCTCACCTTGAAGGTAGGAAGTCCTGGTGATTGAGCCCAACCAGCAACACCTAGAAATTAAAGGCTACAACGTCACGAAAATGTTCCAGAAAGTAAAAAACTAATTACTCCACTCTACTTCACTTGCCTTATTTTTGTATTTTTTTTTTAAAACATGATCCAGTACTTTTCAAATTGCAGATTGTTCCCCAATTGCAGATTATGAAATCAACTTAATGAATAGTGACTAGAATGTTGTAGGGTAGTATAGTATAGAATAGAATAGAATAAAAAAAATTAGCAATGTCAGTTTGCATCACTTATACTAAAGGTAAGTATTATTTCATGGATATTTTGTTTCAATTATGTCTCTCTGTGTGTGTGTGTATACTCTTTCAATATACATGTCAATATCTAGGTTATGATATAGAGCAAATTTCTTACTGTGGGGTGCAGTAAGTAAAAACAAAACAAACAAAGAAAAACCTTTCAGATACACTGAGATGATCTACCTATCAGTAAGACTTTCAAGTACTTTTAATTCTTTGGAGGATAAAATTAATTCTACTTAGCACTTGGAGTGATTAACCTTTTCTGTTAAGAATCCAAATTTGCTCTGCATATTTAATGATTTTTTGCCAATTTGTTTTGTAAAGAGTTTGGCCATGAAAACAATAAAACAAAAAGTCCTAGGGACCTAACAATAAGTGCCTATAGTTTGAATGTTCTGAGATTGGCACTGTACATTCAGAAAACAGAACCTCAAAGGCAGTTCATATAAGTGGTTGTAGAACAACGTAAGTAGCATGCTCTGTCAAATGACTGTAAGAATCTGAGCAGAGTGGTGCCTGCCTATAGTCATAGCTACTTAGGAGGCTGATGCTGGAGGATGGCTTGAGCCCAGGGGTTCAAGGCTGCAGTGAGCTATGATCACACCACTAGACTCCAGCTTGGACAACATAGTGAGACCCTGTCTCTAAAAACAGCAACAACAACAACAAAAAAACACTTTAAAATAACTGTAGGGAAAGCAGCATCAGAGTTGAATGTCTTTCACAAAGCAGGTCAACAATTTGCAAAGATTCAAGAAAACTAGTTCCAAGAGTCAGAATTGCCTTGTATTTTTTTAAGTTATCTTACAACTTACTTATGGAAGATATATAGTAAAATATTAAGTTGTTTTCATTGTCAAATGATAGCCTGGAAGCAGGAAAAGTTGTTATAGGCAATATTAGTCACAGAAAGAAACTGGCTTAACTCAGAGTTAAATCATCACATGTCTGTGGAATAATACCCCAGTGGCTTAAAAGAGCTCTAGCTTCCAAAGATAGAAGGACCATCCTATGTTGGCAAAAAAAAGGTTATAGTCTCACTGTCACCAGGTATAGATACACTGGCAGCTTGAACTGCCTAAAATCTTAGGGAATTTACTACAAATACAAACCAAAAGTGAAAATTTCCTTTAGAAGAGATTCATGGGCAATTCGTTATTGATACATAATAATTGTACATGTTCATAAGATACATGCATACAATGTGTAGTGTTCAAATCAGGATATTTAGGATATCCATCACCTCAAATATTTATCATTTCTTTGCGCTGGGAACATTTCAACTCTTCTCTTCTAGCTCTTTCAAAAAATACAATAAATCATTGTTAACTAGTCATCTACTATGCTGTTGAACACTGGAACTTACTCCTTCTATATAACTGTATGTTTGTCTCCATTAAGCAAACTCTTTTCATCCCACCATACACTCATCCCAGACTCTGAGAACCATCATTTCTACTCTCTACCTTCATCAGATCAACTTTTTTAGTGCGCACACATGAGTAAGAACCTGTGACATTTGTCTTTCTGTGCCTGGCTTATTTCACTTAACATAATGTCCTCCAGTTCCATCCATGTTGCTGCAAATGACAGAATTTTATTTTTTATGACTGAATGGCATTTCATTGAGTATATCTATCACATTTTGTTACCCATTCATCCATTAATGGACACTTAGATACACAAACTGTGAATGATTCCCTATCTTGGCAATTATGAACAGTGCTGCATGGGAGTGCAGGTATCCCTTTGATTACTGACTTTCCTTCCTTTGGATAAATATCCAGTAGTGGAGTTGCTGAATTATATGGTAGTTCTAGTTTCAGCTTTTTGAAAAACTTCCATTCTGTTTTCCATAATGGCTATACTAATTTACATTCCCACCAACAATGTATGAGTTCCATTTTCTCCGCATTCTTGCCAGCATTTACTTTTTGTCTTTTTGATAATAGTATTTGTAACTGGGGTGAGATAATACTGCATTGTAGTTTTGATTTGCATTTTCCTGATGATTAGCAATATTGAGCATTTTTTCATATACCTGTTGCCCATTTATATGTCTTCTTTAGAGAAGTATCTATTCATGTCCTTAGCCCACTTTTTAGTGCGATTATTTATTTTACTGTTGAGTGATTTTAGTTCCTTGTATATTCTAGATATTAATCCCTTATCAGATGAATAGTTTGCAAATATTTTCTCCCATTCTGCAGGTTATATATTCAAGCTGTTGACTGTTTCCTTTGTCATGCAGGAACTTTTTAGTTTGATGTAGTTTCATTTGTCTCTTTTTGTTTTGGTTTAATAGGTAATTTTTATTGCCATTGTTAAGGCAATAATGGATGACAGTTCTGAAGCCTGAGGCTTTATCAATCAAGTATGGAGTGGGATGGCAGAGAGGGGAGAGTGAGATTCTTTTAGATAAAGCAAACCCTCAGATATTAGAGATAGTTGGACCTTTAGGGCAGGCCAAGTGATTCTGTGTGGCTGGAGAAGAGAGTGGCAGAAAGTGTGGTGGCATATGGGGCTGGAGAGGCAGTGAATATAAATCAATTGTATTTTAACCTAACAGCAATGAAGAATCAATGAAAGATTGTAGGCAGAGAAGTTTACAATCAAATATCTTTTCTAAAATATCATTCTAGATGCAGCATGAATAAACAAGGAGAGGCATGGGGATGGAGAGACCAGTTAAGAGGTTGTTATAATAGTCTAGATGAGGGTCGATAGTGCATTGAACTAGGAAAGATGTGAGAATGGAGGGAAGGGTACAGAGCAAGAAGTTAACAGGTGAAATTAACAGAACTTGGGGACGTGTTGGGATTTGGGAGTATATATGAAGGAGAAAAATCTGAGAAGACTCCCAGCTTTCTGACTTGGGCATGTAGGTGCTGCCAATCAAGAAGAAAAGAAACTCAAGAGAAGATTTTAAAGAATGGATAATTAATTCAGTTTGGGATCTATCCTCAAAAAGGAGAGAATAAAAGAGAAAAATATACAATAATCAATGGCAGCAATCAATTTGAGTCTCTGTGAATTTAGTGAGTATTCTTACACTGTATGTTTAGTTGAACTCTCAATCTTTGCATTCATGTGTTTACTCTTAGTAGATGCTAATTGTTAAATAAATGAATACCATCTGTGTAAATGAGTAGGAGAAAACATGCCTTTTGAAAAATCTTCAAAATAAATTGCATAGTAATAATGTATTATTAGTATTTCTGAAAGGTAAATTAGGATGTTGGACACATTTCATAGATGAAAGAATCCAGTAAAGGGCCCAAAAATTAAATCATGGAACCTCCAGGAAAAATAGCTGCCCCAGATAATCTTTTGCATAGGTGAAATAAGTCTTCCCAGAAGCCTTCCTGCTACAGCCAGTGAGAAAAAACATTTAAACAGACTTTATAATGGCAATATTAACTACATGCCTCCAGCTTTAGTGCACATGAATGCTCAGAGTAAAGGATAGCTTCCTGACACCTAAGTGGGGGCAATGTCAAGCAGGGAGCCAAAGATTCTTTGCTTTGCAAAGAATCCTCATCCTATTTAAAGTTGAGAGAAGACTTTCTGGTTGAAATACATGATATCCACAAGATAGCACAGATCTTGACAGTGGAATTGGGAGTCACTCTGACATAATTTTTTTTTTTGACTCACTCTATCGCCAGGCTGGAGTGCAGTGGCATGATCTCTGCTCACTGCAACCTCCGCCTCCTGGGTTCTCCTGCCTCAGCCTCCCGAGTAGCTGGGACTACAGGCGTGCGTCACCACACCCAGCTAATTTTTGTATTTTTATTAGAGACAGGGATTCACCGTGTTGGCCAGGCTGGTCTCAATCTCTTGACCTCGTGATCCGCCTGCCTTGACCTCCCAAAGTGCTGGGATTACAGGCATGAGCCACCACGCTCAGCCTCTGACATGATTTCTAAGAGGTTCGATGAGGCTAGCTTAATTCGTAGAATTTAGTGTGTGCAAACACAGAAAAGAGCCATTATTGTAGGATGAAAAGACTTTTTGGGTTTGTAGATGCTCTAAAGGCATTGATCTTCCAGCCATTTCCAGCAATGTGGCATTTGGAGCACAGCTTGTAACTTGTTACCAATAAATCCTTTCCCAGATATAAAATTACACTGAAATTACACCAAGTCTGCAAAGAGTATCACTATTTAAGTCTGAGTATTTTCTTCAATCCTGCAGTTTAGCATAAGAGTCTTACATAGTATTTGTAAATTGTGGACCACAGTGCAAACTTAGCAACATTTTAGATCACTAGAAAGAGAAAAGTCTGTAATGCATTCGTTTGTTAGTAGAAAAGGACCAACCATTACAAAATGGGAACTCAAAGGAAGAAGAAATTTAATGCTCTGAGAATAGACTGTGCCTTATTTCGGAAAGGTTGTATTGCAAAAAGTCATCTTCAAGTCTTGGTTTTTCAGTGTTTTATTCCTTTCTATTAAAAAGCAAGAACCTTATCTTCCAACCACATGCCACTTAAACATGGGGAGATGTATTACTTTTAACTCGAATAATACTTATTATATTAGGAATACTCCCAGGGTATTGCAGGTAGGGTTTTTGTTGGCTGGCTGGTTGGCCTCAGGGTTTTTCTCAACACTCTCCGCTTCATAGTGATCCCACCTCCAACAGGGAGTGGGAACCCAAGGCCAGTCCTCTACTGACCTACTCCTTAAACTAGATACTTGAGCCAGTATCTTTGAGGGGTTCAGTATTACAGTTTTTCCTAACTTGAAACTGAACTTCAAAATGGCTCCTGACCCTGAATCTGGCTGATCTGTGATTGCCCATCCAAATCTTGCAAAGAAGGCATTGTAAAGTCAGTTGCTGGCTGGAATTCAGCTAGCATTGGAAGAATGGCAAAGTCCTAGCCTTTGTCAGTGCCACATGCAACTGAAGAAATGTGGCAAGGGAAGATGGGAGTGGCAATTCTACGCATCATCCAATGAGCAAGGAATTCAGCCCTGCTGCTGTCTGTTCTTTTTTTTTTTTTTTTTTAAGACACAGTCTCACTTTGTCACCCAGGTTGGAGGGCAATGGCATGCTCTCAACTCACTGCAGCCTCGACCTCCTGGATTTAAGTAATTGATCCTCCTGCCTCAGCTTCCCCCAACAAGTAGCTGGGACTACAGGCATGCACCACCACACCCAGCTAATTTTGTTTTTTATTTTTTGTAGAGATTCGGTTTCATCATGGTGCTCAGGCTAGTCTCAAACTCCTGAGCGCAAGTGATCTGCCTGTCTCAGTCTCCCAAGGTGCTAGGATTACAGTCATGAGCCACCGCACCCAGCCTGTTTCTGTCTTTTCTAAGACACCTTTCCTTAATCTCTGAGGGCTGGAAACCAAGACTGTTTCCCTGGTTACTGAAGCCCACTTAACTAAAGCAAAGGGCAGGGAAGAGACGATATAAAAATTGCTTGGAGAAGAAAGCCAACTTGTATGTGTGTGCATGTGTATGTGTGTGTGAACACGTCAGTTAAGGCTCTGACAGCATCAGAAAACGAATCTGAACTTGTTTGAACAAAAAGTTTCCTGGGATACCTTATAGAGTCCAAGCATCAGGAAACAGTTTGACCTTTTTCAGTCTTAATTCCAAAAATCTCAGAGAAGGGATGAAGATCAATAAACTATATCTAGGAAGTGGAAAGACTTTGCAGGTACCTTGTATGTGGTGGGCTGGGGGCATAGGGTGGTAGGGAGACAAGTCCTAAAAAATGGGTGCTGTGCAGACAATCCAATAGACTGTCATTACAATGTGTCATAAATGATTAGAACAGGTCTTCTGCACTAGTAGGCCTTCTCAGCTGCAATAAACAGACCCAGGATGGAGAAAAACAGGAGAAAAGAGAGGTCCATCATTTATATCAGCTGATGAAAGCCCACGGTTTTGTTACTCCATGCCCAATCTTATCAAAAAGCCTTTCCCCATCCTTCTTTTCACTTATCTGCACAGAATGACAGGCACTGAAGCACAATGAAAAGGTGGGAGGGTGTCTTTAGAGCGGGGTAATGGAGAAGGAGTAGGAATGAGCTTGTGAGAACAGCAGGAGTAGAACACAGGATCTACAGGAAGCAATGTGAGGGAAAGAAATCAAAGGAAGAGCATTTCTGATGGCCTTGGGAGGGAGTGGGCATTGGGGTAAAGGTGGGGGGAGTTTCTCCAGTAATTTCCAGACGTTTATGTGTCAGAGAAGAAGTTCATGATACATCAGCTGGAGATGTTAGGCCTTGGGTTCTGGTACTGCCACATAAGTATTTTTCTCCAGCAGTTGTCAAACCAGTTAGAAATATTACCCAGGAGTCTAACAATGATGCTCTTCTTTCTTGGGTTCTTCTGGGTATGCTCCCTTCTTAGGGGGACAAGTCTTCCCTATTAATGATTAAAGCCATTTTCTCCTTAAGGCAACAATCAAAAGGCCATAACCTTGGCATTGCATGCAGTTCTAGGCACAAAAAAAAAAAAAAGCCAAAACGTAATTTCTGGGTCAGGGGCTCGTAACTAAGGTTGTTTTTCTATGATAATAATGCCATCAATGGTGGATGAGCCCCCAGGTTGTCACATTCCAGCCTAGCTTATATAAATGAATGCAGTACAGGAGAAACACAATAAAATATAAAACATAAAACTCTATGGTGATTAAGTTTGGTGATTAACTAATGTTCAGGTAAGTACAAAACTATGAAATGGTCATTGTAGGGTACATATTTTATTTTATTACTGGTACTGCAATGGCAATAGTTTGTACTATTTTCCATATCGTGTATAGATTCAACTGTATTATAGATGTAAAAGCTTTCTGGCTCAGAAATAAGGTGCAATTTACTGTTTCTGTAAAAAATTAAGTATTAAGATTTAATCAATTAATATACTGGTTGTGTTAAATTTTGGAACACAATTGATGACTGCCATTGCTTTCACTTAGTGCAGCAAACCCTTCCTCTTCTTCCTCTTTTCTTCTGCTCTTCTTCTTTTTCAATTTTTTCATGTCTTTATGTTAGAAGAAGGCTCTTAACGCCACAAACGTACTTTGAAATTGGACTCTTGCTGAAAAATGGACGTTGTTTCACAAATGATATTTGGATCCAATGGCAGGATGTGTTTAAGTATTTTGTTTCAAAATTTTGATTGAAAATGAAAGATTTTCTATGAAATAATACATTTTTCTGGCACAGCTAAACATCTGGATTCTGAGTAGACTGAATTCATGCTTTAAGTTAAAAATTAGTTTTGTGCTTTTCTGTCAAAAACATGAAAGAAGTTCAGTAAGTGGATTGCACATAAGCATTCTATGTCTGGGGAAAACTCAAACAGATGGTCTTTGAAATATTCTTTTAGTAAACATATAATAGGAATCCAAAGGATGAATAAAATATTTCCCACATTATTCAAAATCACCACATTAGAGTATTGAAGAAGTTTTTTGTTTTTGTTTTTGTTTTTGAGATAGGGGCTCACTCTGTCGCCTAGGCTGGAGTGCAGTGGGGCAATCTCAGCTTACTGCAATCTCTGCCTCCTGGGTTCAAGCGATTCTCCTGCCTCAGCCTCCCAGGTAGCTGGGATTACAGGTGCGCACCACCATGCCTGGCTAATTTTTTGTATTGTAGTAGAGATGGGGTTTCATCATGTTGCCTTGGTCTCGAACTCCTGAGCTCGGGGGATCCACCCACTTCTGCCTTCCCAAGTGCTGGGATTATAGGCGTGAGCCACCACGCCCAGCTCTGAAGGTTTTTTTTTTTTTAACGTATTTCCTGATATTTTTAAAGAATTTTTAAGAGAACTTCAAATGTTTCAGTGACCAAGCTATTCCATTTCTATACATTTTTCCAAGAAAATATTTATAATTTGGAGATATGCACAAGATGCACTGTTCATCACAGCATAGTTTATAATAGTGAAAACTTGAAAGCAACCTAAATATTGAAAAGTGGAGGAGGATTGGTTACATAAATCACAGAAATCAACTCCATGGAAGACTATATAAACGTAAGTACTTATGTAGCTCTATATTATGTGAAATTACATTGTTGATGTATTAATAAGTTTTTTTTATTTGTTCGGTTGGTTGATTTTTTTTTTTTTTTGAGATGGAGTCTCGCTCTGTCACCCAGGCTGGAGTGCAGTGGCGCGATCTCAGCTCACTACAAGCTCCGTCTCCCGGGTTCATGCCATTTTCCTACCTCAGCCTGCCAAGTAGCTGGGACTACAGGCGCCCACCACCACACCTGGCTAGTTTTTTTGTATTTTTAGTAGAGATGGGGTTTCACCATGCTAGCCAGGATGGTCTCAATCTCCTGACCTCGTCATCCACCCACCTCAGCCTTCCAAAGTGCTGGGATTACAGGTGTGAGCCACCGCGCCCAGGCAATAAGTTTTTTAAAAATGCCACAGAACTCTAGAGTGTGATTCAAATTATGTTTAAAACACATAAAGGAAGCCCTTGTATACATATCTGTGGGAAAAAAAATCTGGAAAAATATCCCTCAAAATACTGCAATGAATATAAAGACAAAATTCCTCCTAGGGTCTCTTCTCACTCTTGTTCATTACTGAGTGATATCAGACAGACCATTTATACATTGCCTTTTTCTTTTTAAAAAGACATTAACCTTCTCCATTAATTTCTAATACTTCCCATCTAGACATCCATAAATGTGAAGTATTAACATACTCTGGAGTGTTTTCCAATACCTACAATCAACTCTTGGACTCACTGGACACCAGCTGGGTGTTCAACAACTTAACTCAATTCTGATACTAACCACCCGGGGTTAGCACAGACCCTATAGCTTAAGAGCTCAGTCCCACAAAACTGCCCCCTACTTCAAATGTCAGTTGCAAGTCCTGGGCCTCCTGTGCTTCTGGCCAACCAGGTATAAATAGGAGCTTCCTATGAACCCCTTCTAAGGTTCCATAACTTGTTAGAATGACTCACAGAACTCAGGAAGACACTTTACTTACATTTACCAGTTTATTATAAAGGATACAAATGAACATCCAGATGAAGAGGTACACAGGGCAAGGTCTGGAAGGGTACGGAGCACAGCAGCTTCCGTCCCCATGGGGTACTCCATGCTCCCACTGCGTGGACGTGTTCACCAAATTGGAAACTCATCAAATCTCATTTCGAGAGTTTTTATAGAACTTAATCTCCAGTCTTCCCCGCCCCTCCCTGGGGGGCTGAAAGTTCCAGCCCTATAATCAATTGGTCTTTCTGGTGACCAGTCCCATCTTGCTGCTATATAGGAGCCCCACCCTAAGTCATCTCATTAGTATAAACTCAAGTGTGATAAAAAGGGATTCAATAACAAAATATACTCCTATCACTTGGGAAATTCTAAAGGTTTTAAGTGCTCTGTGCCAGGAACCAGAGATAAAGACCAAATATATTGCTTATGATAGCACACATATCTAGAAGGACGATCACTTATGGGAAATTGCATAGAAAAGGGTAACTGGTAGCATTTTCTAACCTCACTATGAGTAAGATACAGTTCCACGTTCTCTGTAATTGTACAGAAACTAACATTTTTGGGCCATACTCTTTCTTTATGTATAAGAGATTTCTGATAATCACTGCACAGTCTCCTTTGAGAGACTGAGTAAAGGGCGACTCTGCACATTCCCCCAAATTTCTTTTCTTCTTTTTATGAAAACAAGTAAGTCTTGAGAGTGGTCCTGTGCCTCTAAATGAGGATCATGAAAAATGGAACCTGAAGAGGAGACTGCAGTGTTCGTTATGTGTATACTGAAGTGCAGGAAACAAAATAGCAGTACAGCAGTGATAAATACAACTAGGCCCCAGCCTTTGGCAAGGAACTTGACCTACATTTTCTCATTTGTTTTTTGCAACAACCCTGATTGGAAGGTACTTTTAGCCCATTTAATAGCTAAGAATACTGGACTTTGGAAAAGTTAACTTGTCCTAGATTTATTATAAATGGCACACACAAAATTTGAATCCTGATCTGATTCTCAAGCTCTTAAATATCACAATGAACTGGAAAAAAAAATGCAAATTGGTACCCTGGCAGTAATGTTCTTGTCCTATGTCCCAAGATTCCAAAACTTTTATAATCTGAAAATTTGTTCTTCTCACACACGAGCGTGTGATTGCTCCCTTTCTCCTGTGTCAGGTGGGCAAGTAGAAGAATAATAATTTCCTCAGGTGCAGTAGGTGATGTCTTTTGGCTGAGTCATTTCTATTCTCAAAACTCCTCAATGGCTCCCTACCACTGTATCAGTTAGTATTAAGTCTGTCTGCTTGTGATAGGCAAGCTACAATAACACAAGGGATTATTATTTTATTCAAAATGAGTTTGGAGGCTGGGCTTAGTGGCTCACGCCTGTAATCTCAGCATTCTGGGAGGCCGAGGTGGGTGGATCACCTGAGCTCAGGAGTTCAAGACCAGCCTGAGCAACATGGTGAAACCCCGTCTCTGCTAAAAATACAAAAATTAGCCAGGCGTGGTGGTGTACACCTGTAGTCCCAGCTACTCGGGAGGCTAAGGCAGGAGAATCACTTGAGCGGGTAGGCGGAGGTTGCAGTGAGCCAAGATCCTGCCACTGGACTCCAGCCCTGGTGACAAGAGTAAAACCCTGTTTGAAAAAAAAACAAAACATTAGTTTGGAGGCAGGCAGTTTAGAGGAGCGTGTTGGCTTCAGTCATCAGGGACCCAGGCTTCTCCTATCTTTCTGCTTCATCCTTAGAATTTGGTTTTCATCCTCAAGGTCACTTGTGGGACCTGTGTGGTTGCTGGAGAATCTAATGGCAGAAATGGTGAAAGGGGTATCCCCAGATGTCTGTTCCCCTTTAATAGACTTCCCTGAAAGGCACACATAACATTTCCACTTGTATGTCATTGACCAGAACTTAATTACATAGCCATGCCTAACTGTGATGGAGACCAGGAAATGTCTTTTATTTAAACATATTGCTGCCCCTAATATTTTAGGAGTTCTTTTACCAATAAAGTAGAAGTGAATGGATATTAGGCAGGCATTTAGCAGTCTCTGCTACAACTGCCTGTGGAATTATACACAAATTTATATTGACAGACTCTAGCACCATCCTACCTAATTGGTCTTGTATCTGACTCTTTGGATGCTATTCCACATCTTTATGTCTCTTCCTTTTTTTTTTTTTTTTTCTGAGACGGAGTCTTGCTCTGTCACCCAGGTTGGAGTGCAGTGGCAGCCATCTTGGCTCATTGCAAGCTCCACCTCCCAGGCTCATGCCATTCTGCCTCAGCCTCCGGAGTAGCTGGGGCTACAGGCACCCGCCACCACGCCCAGCTAATTTTTTGTATTTTTGTAGTAGAGACGGGGTTTCACCGTGTTAGCCACGATGGTCTCCATCTCCTGACCTCGTGATCTGCCCGCCTCGGCCTCCCAAAGTGTTGGGATTACAGGCGTGAGCCACTGCGCCCGGCCTATCTTTATGTCTCTTCTTATACTGTTCCCTTTACCTGGAATATTTTCCCTTTCCTCTTACCATCAGCCTCTTACCTATCCTTTAAGGAACACTTGATGTGCTGCTTGAAGTCATGTCTGATCTTCCCAACTGATTTGATCACTCCCACCTTCAAACTCTCACACAATGGCTGACTTAAACGTCCCAGATACCACTTTCTTTGTGTCATTTCACTGCTCTAAATCTTCAATATCTTTTTATTTGCTCATAGAACAGGTCTGAAACGTACTCAGGTGGCAAGGCACCAAATAGTCTAGTTTGAGAAAGCACCATGAATGGAAAGATGTTCAATTAATTAATTGATTCAGTCAACAAATATTTATAGTGACCCTATTATGCACATACACTGTGCTAGGTGCCTGGTACATGTTTAAAAGTAAGAAGTTGTCAAAGCAAGCTTTATAGTTTCTTTCTGATTTTTTTGGTTGGGATTTATTTACTATTTTTATGTATTTTTATGTCTCAGTGCTTGTTTATAGCTAAGCAATAGCAAAAAATCAAAGATTTCAAGAAAGCATATGTGAAAACCCTAAATAAAATATTTTACCCATTAATCAATTGATTTCTTTCTGTGAATTGGGAAAATAAAGTGACTATTTGATTTTACCAATAAAACCCCTTCGTGCAAATCAAGGCACACTAATTTCACAAGAATCTAGCAAGAGAACCACCACAGTGAGTCTAAACTTTACCTCTTCAAAGTTCCCTCAAATCTATGTATTTCCAAAGATTCTCTCTTAGGTTGTAATACTACACAATACTATACCTCAAGTATCAATTAAAAGTAATGGCAAAAACTGCAATTACTTTTGCACCAACCTAATATATGTTGAAGACCTCAGATTATTTACATCCAGCACCAGACTCCTCCTAGCTTCAAACCAAATAACCAAATATCTACTGAACATTTCTTTTACAAGCCAAATAGGGAAAAGATCAACTTTCCCACAAAAGATGGGTAAAGAGCAAGAGTAGAAAGGACAGAACAAAGTTGAAAATGGCCAGTAAATTTATGAAAAACATCCCCTCATCAGAAATCAAAGACATACAGTTAAAACAAAAATTAAAATATTAATACTATTTTCCCCAAGCTAAATTAATGAAATGTGTAAAAAATGATAATATCTAATGTTTGATGGTAGGAGGGTTTAGAGCTCTCATATATAGCTCACTGTAGAATAAATTGTGAGAGACTGAATATATAAAGGGGCACTGGCCAGACCAGATATTAAAATAGAACTCTGACCCACAGTCTGAAGCAAGCTGCAGCAATTGCCCAGGAAACCAAGCCATTGTCCACAATAGAAAACCCAGGAATCTAGCCTGACAGTCAAAACTGCCATCTCTAGTAACAATCCAGGAACCTTAACTATAACCTCTGAAACAATCAGCCTAAAATGACCAGGACTTTATTGGTAGTTGACAACTTCCTTAATTTTTACTCCCACTTCCAACTAAGAGCAACCAGAGAAAACCAAATATCCACCCCTACCAATCACATAGGTTGCCCCACTTCTGGTTACCCCACCTGCAGCTTTCTCATGCCAGCAGCCTCCAACCAGGGCCTACCTGAAGCCTTCCCTTTTCCTACCTTCCCACTCTTGTGCCTGTGTTTGAGTCTCTGCCACAGCGCAAGTGCTGGTGGCTGACTCCCTTTCTAGAGTAAGCTCTGAATAACTCCTCAATGGCATTTCTCATTTGGATGATCTTTATTCCTGCAGTTGATACCACCTTGCATTATAGCATTTTCCAGAATTATGCACAGGGATGTTAATTAGATGTACTTAAAGTATACAACAAAATAGAATGATTATATACATTACTTTTCATACGATGGAATTATAATGTGAAATCATGTTTTATTAAAATCATGTTTTAGAAGAATATTTTACAAGATTGTTATTGGGAAACAATCTTGAAATATGACTAAGTAAAAAAAAATGACAAAACTTGGTAATATGATCTTTGTTGGACAAGTTTTTAAATAAATACAGAGAGACAGAGAGGGGAAAGGAGGAAGAGAGAGAAAAAAGAGAAGAAAAAAGAAAGGCATATATCCAACAATCATAATCTAAGTGGAGAAATCATGAGTGGTTTTAGAATTTTATTTTATAATTTATTGTATTTTTCCAGTTATCTATTATGAACACATAGTACTTTTGTAATTAGAAAAATGTTATTAAGAAAATCTAATGTGGTTGCTCAGGGAAATTTCCAATAAGCTATATCTTAAAATGACATTTAGAATATTAGAAGGTAACAGGTTTCAGTAGGTACAGTTTTGGAAAAACTAAACTGCAAAATAAGCTGAGGCTGGCCAAATTTGCTAAAGATAACATCAATATTCTTTTAGCTATTTGGTACAGTTAATTAAATAAAGGCTAAGATTGTAGCTTGGAATTAGTAGTGTAATGTGGTGTAAATTTGCTTGTCATTAGCTGTCACACCTGTAGATTGAGAAAGGTAGCAATCTAAGAAGGAATGGAAGCTGAAGATTGGGAAAAGAATCTACAACACATCCCCTAATTAGCAAGGGCATAAGAGTGAATTATTTTAACTTTGTCCACTTTGCCGATTTTTCAAGTTTCCTGAATTTATAAATGCTATTTAATAATGGAAAATATTAAAGCCGTTCATATTGTTTAAGCAATGAAATAATGCTATTGTCACGAATAAAATGGCTATAATTTGAGTTAGTAAACTGTTTCAGACCTACGAAACAAACATATGAGACAGATCCTTGAAACCAGTGAGCCACTCTACAAATATAAGGTCTTAGGTCTGTTTTCTGAAGTCTATTAACAATTTTAGGTCCTATAGACTGAGAATGAGAAGTTGAATCTTACCTTTACCTCCATCTGCATTTTTGTTTTAGTTTTAGTTTTTGTTTTTGTTTTTGTTTTTTGAGACAGAGTCTTGCTCTGTCACCAGGCTGTAGTGTAGTAGTGTGATCTTGGCTCACTGCAACCTCCGCCTCCCGAGTTCAAGCGATTCTCCTGCCTCAGCCTCCCGAGTAGCTGGGATTACAGGCGCACACCACCACGCCTGGCTAATTTTTGTATTTTTAGTAGAGACGGGGTTTCACTATGTTGACCAGGATGGTCTCGATCTCTTGACCTCAGGGGATCCGCCCGCCTTGGCCTCCCAAAGTGCTGGGATTACAGGCGTGAGTCACTGCGCCCAGCCCTTTACCTCCGTATCTTGAAGTTGGGAGAGGGTGGACTGAGCAGGTGATTTGACACAGAATCAGTGACTGTTAGGCTGACTACTCCTCAAACTTGAAAGTATATGCATATGACTGAGGGATACTATTAAAATCCAGATTGTGGTTAAATACATCTCTCAAAGGGCCCCAAATTCTTCATTTTTAACAAGCTCCCAGGTAGTCTTTGGACTACACTTAGAGTAGTTGGAGAATACAAGACCACCTAGATAAGAGAGCCTCAAACTCTCACTTCACATGAGCAAATGGGATTTGGAGGTCACATGTGAATTTCATCCTGTCCACTGTCCCAGCACGAACCTGCTAGTTCATAGTAGGTTTCTTCCTCTAATTCACCTTTCCATACCTGTGTCTCTTCACTTTTCCAGTCTCTCCAAAAGGAAAGAGGCTCATAATACTTTATTGTAATCAAGAGAGTATACTGAATGCGGAACAAACTTGGGGAATTGAGAGTTTCTACGGTTAAATGAGCAGAGGAAAACCTATAAAGTCTGGCTATATCTTTAATAAGACCCATAACACCCTTCTTGAGAAAGAGAATAAACATTCTCATTCCAGAAAAGTAGAAAGGCCAGGAAGGCCCAGAGTGGATGGCCTTCAGCTTTGCTTGCTTGGGCTGCTTGACTTCTCACCAAAATAAAATGGAACCATAAAACAAAAATGACCTTGTGGTTAAGACAGTGGTAATAATCCCTTATTTTCCTTCTTCATCCCAATCTCATCCATTCAGCATAGAAGAGGAGATTGCCCAGTTGGAGAGGCTGTAGTCCTAGAGGTTTATGGGTGGCTGTCACTCATAACAGAAAAGAGAAAATTGGAGTTTGTGAGGAAAGTCAGAAAAGTGGAAGAGCTCATTTTATTTCTCTTTCCCGTGGATACTCGACTGAGGGCTTCCACAGTCTCTTTGGTCTGTATTAAAGTTTTTCTGGGATCTGGAGTTCATCATGAGCAATGTTTGGCCCTGGGCTGCTTTGCAAGAGATTTTAGAAACTCTTGGGTTAGGTTTATACTTGCCCTAGGTTTATACTTAGGGCATTGGGTGCTTGCTTATGGATTTCTTTTTTCTTTTTTCTTTTTTTTCAGATAGGGTCTCACTCTGTTGCCCAGGCTGGAGTGCAGTGGCACCATCAATGCTCACTGCAGCCTTAACCCCCACCTCAGCCTCCTGAGTAGCTGGAACTACAGGCGCACACCATTATGCCCGGCTAATTTTTGGTATTTTTTGTAGAGACAGGGTTTTGCCATGTTGTCCAGGATGGTCTCAAACTCTTGAGCTCATGAAATCTGACTGCCTTGGCCTCCCAAAGTGCTGGGATTACAGGTGAAAGCCACTGCACCTGGCTGCTTATAGACATTTAAATGCCTCAGGGTGGTCTATCCTGTCGGCTGAGTGATTAGCCCACTGGAAGAGGAACCCCAGCAAGGCTTGGAGGAAGAAGATGGAGGTAAGGCTGTTTAGGCCCTGGGGAGAAGACAGGTGTCTCAGAGATGATGTCACCTTGGCTTCTGGGCCATTGAGGAATCATGGGTTGAGCAAGCTACAGACAGAGTACTGAGTCCATGACTTCCTACTGGGTCAGAGTCAATGAGGCACAGGGAGTCAAAAAAGGTACTGAGGCAATCACCACATGCTGCCATTTGCAATGCCCTCTGCTGGTCACCAGCTACTCCAGTGAATGGAAATTGTAAAATGTCTGTCTTTGGACAAGGTGCTGCAGATTCCTGAGGGTTAAGAAACAGAATTCATAATGTTCAGAAACATGGAGAAGGAATCAGTCATTCTGAAGGCTGGAAGTAATACAGTGGTTGTGCAGATTTTGACCAAGGACAACTTCATATTGTGTCTTCACTTGAACATTTACCTATTGAATATCCTCAACAAAAGTTTAACAATTAATTTATTAAACAACAGAGATTTTTTTTAAATCAATGTTCATATGACAGGAGAAGACAAAGTAGCAAGCAAAAATAATGATATTATTTGTTGGCGTATAAATTTTCTCTGACTCTCCACTGCAAAGACTGCTTTATATTCACTGAATATACTTAAAAAAGAGAGAGAAAAAAGGACAAGAACACTTTTAGAGTAAGCAGCATTTGGCAATCACAGAGACTTTGGCATCAGGCAGGGCTGAATTCTATTACTAGTTCTGCCTCTTACTAGCTGCATGACCTCTGAGCTACGGTATTCTCCCCTATAAATGGGGATGATAGTAGGAATTGCTGTGAGGATTAAATGAGATAATTTATGCAAAGCTATAAACCCAGGGCATGACATAGTAAGTGCTTAATAAACACTAGAATAACTAGAGAAACAAGAACAACAATAAAATAAGCTATAGTATTAGCAATGGTTATGTTCACATCCTTCAAAGCAGAATTCCATTGAGTTTGGAGAATTGGCAGCAGAAATGAACCCTAGCAGGTCCGTCCCCTAGAAGAGATTTCCAGGCTCAGATGAAGCTAAAACTACATTTCCCAGAAGGCCCTGGGCCAAGTGTGTGGTTTCCTCTTATTTCCGGGTCTGTCAGGTGACTCTCCCGTGGCGCCATGGCGGAAGCAGAGGAGCAGGTAAAGGGTGCAGGTGGTAGTTGAGGGCACAGGGATATAGAGACTAGGGTGGGCTGTTTGGGGAGGGTGGAGTGGAGTGGGTGGAGGTGCGGAGCTGCTGGAATAGCGCAAGGCAGGTCCGCGGCAGGGCGGGGTGGGATGGCGAAAGTTGGTTTCGGGGAGCAGAGAGGATGCCAGCCCCGGGAGGGCACCTAGGGAAAGCGCTCTGACACACCCCCGCGTTCGGGCTGCCTTTCCTCGGGCCCCATCCCTGTGGCCTTTGCCCAGGGAAATTTTGGCATGAAGGCAGGCCCGGCTACCTCAGGGACTGACTGCCTGTGGGAGGAGGAAGAGAGGCCGGGTGACTGAAATTTAAGTTGCTTTCCACTTGAAGTAGGACAATAAGAACTAGGAGAGAGTAGACGATGAGTTTTGTTTTGTATCTATTGGAGTTAGGTACAGAGCTGGAGCACTGTTGCGGTGCAGCAGGGATTAAATGCATCCGTTCTGGAGCAAAAATGCCTGGGGTCCAAGTGCTGGTTCCTTTTCTTACCCAATGTGCTACTTTGAGCTACTTATTTAACTTTCCAGTGTGAGATGGGGGTAATAATAAGGCCGTCCTCAGAGGGTGGTTTAAGATGGAGAGAGGAGTTTATACACAAAGTTAGAGTACTTAGAACTGTTGGGCTTAGTAAAAATTAAATGGGATTATTTGTTGCTGGTAGTATCCAGTCAACAACTGGCAACGTGGCACTGAAGTTTAGGGTAGAAATTGGTGATGGGAATATGAATTATTTTCATATAGCAGTAGTGGTAATCACACATTTTATGAAATGACGAAGTAAAATAAAAAAGACAAAAAAGAGAAGCAGACCAAAAAAGAGGCTAGAACTTGGGGGAGATAACTTAAGTTTCCATTTCCAGTGTTATTTCAGTTGGATACTGTTTTTCTTCACAAGTTAACAGGGCTGTCAGTTGCAGTCATTGTCTCTAAACAGTGACTTGATGATGGGCTGTTTAGTATCATAAGAGTCATTTACCTAGTTCAATAATTTTTACTATTTTCAACATACTTCATTTGTTTTTACTTCATAGTGAAAATTTGTTCTGTATATATTTTATATATGCCAATAATTGAGACGTTTGACTAGGTAGAAATTTGGTTTGGCTGGTCCTTGTGATAACAAGATAACAAAGTCTCTTATCTAACACTAGAGACTCCTATTTCCATTCTAGCAGTTCAAAGGAAAACACTCATTAAGAACATATCATTTCATGACTGCCATTGCTCCTTTGAATAAGGGTGAGATTGTTTTTCACATTGTGCATCTTTATTTCATGTTGAAATGTTTGTTTTATGGTTTGATTTGAAAGCAAAAAACTGAGTTTCATATGTTCTTAGATATAGTGGAATAGAAATGGAGAGAGTTGCTCCTAGAAAAACCATTGTTTTTTCTTCCATTGAAAAAAACCTATGAAATATTTACCACTGTTTAGTGCAGAAGAAGAATTTAACAAAGTTGTCTGATATAAAAATGACACATACAAAATTAGGGATATAATAATGTTTCACATTTGTACATTATTTTCTAGTTTTAAAAACCCTTCCATATTGCATTTGGTCTTCCCAAAAGAATTCTATGAGGTAAATGTTTACTCTCATACATGGGTGAAACACCTCTGATATTCTAGACTTTCCAGGGGCTTCTAATCTTATTCAGAGGAAAAGCCACAGCCATTACGGTAGCCTGGTTGTCCCACAGGACCTTGACCCAGCTGCCCTTAGCCACCTTTTCTTGACCTCATTTTTCCCACTACTCTCCTTCCCTTCTGTGACTCTGCATCAGCTGTACTGGCTCTCTTAGTCTTCAAAAAGCCAGGCAGGTTCCTATCTCAGGGCCTCTTTGCTCATGCTGTTCCTTTTTGAGGAACCCTGATATTTACAGGCTTCCTCATTTCCTTCATGTCTTTGTCCAAGTGTTCTTTTTCATTGCGACCTTCCCTGACCATGCTTTGAAACCTTCCTGCATTATTTTTCCCTATAATGTGCATCACCGTTTGACATACTGTATTATAAAATTTGTTTTTTTTTTTTTCCCTGTATATTTCTGTGTACCTCTTACCACAGAGCTTGGAACATCCTGACAAGGATTTGTTCACTGCTGTATGTCCAATACCTAGAATATTGCTTGTTACTTAATAAATTTGTGTTAAATGATTGACTTTTACTGATAAACAAATTGAAATTCAGGCAACTTGAGTAACGTGCTCAGGCTTATATCTATAATATAATAAATCTCCAGTCCTCTGTCTCCATAGCTCATGACTTTTCACTAGAATACCCTACCTTTTTAAAATATATGTAAGAACCTAAATCTAAATAGTTTTTTTACTTTATGAAGTAGAATTAGCCCTTTCCATTTTAATGATTTTCCCTCAAGCCACCATTCCACTTTGATGCTTTAACAGCCAATATGTAGTTGGAGTGGGCATTCTCCTCTCCAGTGGTGTCAGTATCTTAAAAAGACTAGTCGTGGACCAGGCACAATGGCCCATACCTGTAATCCCAGCACTTTGGGAGGCCAAGGTGGGGCGATTGTTTGAGCCCAGGAGTTCGAGACGAGCCTGGGCAACATAGCAAAACCCTATCTCTACAAAAATTACAAAAATTAGCCAGGCATGGTGGTGTGTAGTCCCAGCTACTCGGGAGGCTGAGGTGGGAGGATTGCTTGAGTCAAGAGGGTCGGGGCAGCAGTGAGCCATGATCGTGCCACTGCACTTCAGTCTGGGCAACAGAGCAAGACCCTGTTTAAAAAAAAAACGAAAAACAAACAAAAAAAAACCCAGCAGTCTGTTGTAAATGGCTGAAAGACACATTCACAAATTGTTCAGTTCTTTTTTTTAAAAGAAAGTAAGTAATTGTACCTAATCTTATCCTTTATAGATTAAAAATGGTTAGGCTTTTCTCTGATTTGTTTTTGCATTTCACAGTAGGAAGCCATTGAAATCTGATGACGGTAGTAGGGCTTTATTATACCATTTTTTTAAAGCTAAAAGTGTATAAAAATGGAGAAAATAGGGCTGCGTGCGGTGGCTCATGCCTGTAATCCCAGCACTTCGGGAGGCTGAGGCGGGTGGATCACCTGAGGTCAGGAGTTCGAGACCAGACGGGCCAACATGGTGAAACCCCGTCACTACTAAAAATACAAAAAAATTAGTCAGGCATGGTGGTGGGCGCCTGTAATCCCAGCTACTCGGGAGGCTGAGGCAGGAGAATCACTTGAACCCAGGAGGCAGAGGTTGCAGTGAGCCGAGATTGTGCCATTGCACTCCAGCCTGGGTGACAAGAGGGAGACTCCATCTCAAAAACAAACAACAACAACAAAAAAACCCCCAAAAATGGAGAAAATAACTGTTCTATTGAACTTTTTAGAAAACTTGGCATACATTTTTTTCTTGGTATCATGTATCATAAATGCCAGTAATCTCCAGGATTAGCAACACAAAACTAAATGTCTCCACATTATCTTTCGTGAGTGTTGTTTCTTTGGTGATTGCTCCCCTCCCCATTTATTTTCAGAAGAACCAAAATAGTGACATCTGCACTGAGTTATTGTGGTATAAAACAGCTCAGAGGATCTGAAACTAAAACCACTTTTTAGGTATGAATGAAAATTTTTTTATAAGTCACTGGGAAATTCTTGCTTTTGCCTAATATGGTAAAGGTAGTTGTCAAAAGTAACTACATATATATTTTATAGTTTACAGAAAAAATGAATACCCTGCATTCTGCCTGGAAATCTTCTAACCAGCAGTTTTGCTTAGCTCCAAAACGATTTATAGTTGACCTTCATATTCACAGATGCCCAACAGTATTTGTCCATATCTTTCTTATGAATAACATTCTGCTTGAAGTCTGGTTGTTTGTGTATTTGTCTTATCTCTCCTAGAGATTGCTGAGTCCTCAAGAATAAGAACAAGAACTTACTCATGTCTGTATCTTCCACAGGGCTAGTGCTTTATAGGTACTAAGTGTTTAGTAAAGTGTTTAAATGAATTTATTAGGGGGAAAATAGCATTTCAAATTGTCAAATTGTATATTAGTAGGATTTGCGTGAAATTATTTTATCTTACTTGCACCTTTTTTAAGTTATTAATTCAGATGTAATGTGGATTACATCTATACTATAATGTAGGTTACATTCTATACTTTCTTTACTCTTGCCTGCTCCCCAGGTACCCTTTGATCTTCCTAATCAACCAACCTGGACCCTGGTCCATTAAAGTATTTCCACGATTAGACCATCTATTTCTTAATCAAGTAGGAGAGTTTCTACTTTGAATTCTCCTTCTGCATTTTAGAAATTAGGGGAATTCTGTCCTTATTGTAGATCACTTATGGATTATTAGATGTCATATTTGTCATGTATATCCCCATGTGATTATGTTACAATAAAAATCAAATCAATACAAATTTGAGTGCTTCGATTTTCTTGCCTGTAACTGGGAATTTTACTCTCTAAAACTTTTGTGAGTATGAAGTATGTTAAAACTTTTGTGAATATAAAGTATGTTAAAGTGGCTAGGTTGAAATGGTTGTATAAATAAGACAGAGGTTAATCATCGAAACCTGGACTTGGCTTACGTATGCACAATTCTCTTTTCTTACAGTTTGGCTAAGATAGATATTTTAAAGGCAGTGTTACTACTAACTAAAGGAAAAACAAAACCCAAACAAGAAGTTTTAAAAGTATAGAATCAGACAGATTTTAGAGGGTGCACTCTTTCCCATCATGTAACTAAAATGTAGTCACAGATTAGTTTTGCTGGACTAGCGGATTGCTTTGTTAGTTTTTCCACTTATCTTCACCTGAATTGGTCGGCTAGAGGCCACTTCACTAGCTGATTATTAGTAGCCTCCGCCGCGCCCACATTAACACCTTGGAGAGAGGACACTCATCAGATCAGGGGCTTCTGTGTCTCATGCTACTTCCCATTCATGGCTGTGCAGTCCCCTGTTGCCTTTGTTTCTTCTTGATGCCTGGGCCTCCTTATGGTTTTTTTGTTTTTGTTTTTGTTAAAAATGGCTTGTGATTCCAGGCTCTTATTTTAAACCTACTGAATCAGAGTCTGTGCAGATGGAGTGTGTTAGTGGGTATTAGCTAATTCCCCAAACTGAGTTTTGATGATTCTCATGCAAAGGCAGATTTGGGACTGGGTCACCTGGTTACCAAGTTTGCCCTCTTTTCCACGCTGGGGCACACGTCAAGATTTTTCTTCATTTGCAGAATAAGATGAGTGCAGTAGCTGAGCCCAGTAGGCTGAATGGGCTTGGTAACCTGAGTCCTCATCTTTACTACTCAACCAGCCTAGTCCCTGAGTGTCTAAAGCTGGCCACAACTCCTTTGAGGTTTTTTAAATTGAAGCTCTGTGACAACAGGGATATCACATACATACCACACAAAATATTTCCTCCTTCCTGTGCCTATATCAGACAGTGCCTATATCAGAACTCTCTTTCTCATTATGCTCAGCTAGGGCGCATAGTTTGTTGGGAAGACAGAGAAGGTGGCAGTACCTCAGTGAGTGTTCACATGTACCTCCAGGCATAGATGGAGATAGATGATTTCTTGGAGCCTGGTCTCTGCTCTTTTTTTTCCTGCAACACAGACCCAGGTGAGCCCTCCTGCAAAGTTTGGAGTGGCCTTCCTTAGGCCCCAGGCTACCATTTCTCCCCCAAATTCTGTTTTTCTTCCCCAACAGTATGTGGGCACTTACAATTCTGAGGACTTCACAACCCAGGCAAGTCCTGGATCCTCTCTGTCCTGGGCTGACAGTCTTCCTTTTCACCACTCCTGACCTCTGAGGCCAGCTGGGCCAAGCCTTCTCCCAGGCCATTGTCATAGGGTTCTATGCTGATGGGAGGATTAGGGATGGGGGCTGGTTGAAAGCCTGTATGAGAGAAGTCTTCTAGGAGCCCAAGGAATTGTTGGAATTGCTGCATTTGTTGGAAGGTGCTACCTTCCTGCAGTTCCCTTTCTGTAACTGTCCTACAGTTCATAAGCTAATAATTCAGACATGAGTCTGGAGAAAATATGCTTGGTATTGCTCATAAGGGAAAGGCAACATATGGAGGAGGAAGAATTTGTTTTAGATTGGCAGCTTGTCTCATCATCATCACCAGCAACATGTTTTTCCAGTAGGATACTGGGAGACAAAGAAGGCAAAGCCTTTGGGTTTATCCACAGCATATTTAAAATGAGAACTTGTAGGACAAGGCAGTTAATATTAGGTGCTAGCTGAGGGGTACGGGAAGAAACGTAAAAACCAAGCTCTGATATTGAAGAGAGAGTGAATGTCCTCAGGCTGAGTGCCTGGCAACCTCTCCCTGGGGTATCCCTGAGAGACCCACTGAGCCTGTAGAGCATTCCATCAGGATGAGTGCAGGATGGGGCCAGGGGCCTTCTAAATGGAGGGAGTGACATGAGGAAAGTGCAGAGCAGGCAGCACAAACTCAGGCAGGCAGGGGGTGGTGCACATGAGCAGGCGTGCCTTGGTGTCAGAAATTGGGAGTGGTGGGGGTGGTGGAGTGCATTCTGTCCTGGGTGTAACCGCTCAGCTGCAACTGATGGTATGTGGAAGTGTGGATCTTATGTAGACATACAGTCAGGAGTACAGGTTTTTATATGGAAGCTTTTTTAAAAACACCACCTAGGCCAAACAAAACACCTGCAGGCCATATCCAGACCCCAGGCCACTGATTTGCCACTTGTGGCACAGAGATATAAGCAATATCTCGGCGAGGGGTCCTCCAGTGTGGCTGGAGGGTCACAGGTTTGTGGAGAGAGTGGGGAGTGAGGCTAAAGGTCTGTTGGGGGCCAGACTGGGAAGGACTTTGACTACTTTGCTGGGGAATCTGAAAGCTATTCTTCAGGCTGGAGCACTACTGAGGGTTGTTTGAGGAGGGCAGTGGCCGTCTGGTCTGTGCTTTGGGAAGATAATCCTGATGGCAGGTGATGAGTACATTAGAGAGGCCACATGTCAAGGCACAGAAATCACACAGTAAAGCTGTTTGGGTAGGTGGTTGGGCTTAAGGGATTGGTTTGCAAAAGAAAGGTAAAATGAAATGTTTCTGAGTTTAACTGTCAATCCGTTACCCAGAATTGGCTCAGATAGACATTTGTGTCACTGGGTATCTTCCAGCCTATCACTTTTGCTTTGATCAACAGCACTTTATTATAGTAAAATACACATAGCATAAAATTACCATTTTAACCATTAAAAAAGTTGAAAACATTTTTTTTTGTAGAGACAGGATCTTTCTGTGTTGCCCACACTGGTCTCAAATTCCCTGGCCTTAAGCAATCCTCTTGCCTTAGCCTCCCAAAGTGCTGGGATTACAGGTGTGAGCCACCCCCACCTTAACCATTTTTAAGTGTATGATTCAGTGGCATTAAATACACTCACATTGTTGTGCAACCATCACCACTGCTGTAGTTGTGATGTTTGTCCACCTAAAATCTCATGTTCCCCAGTATTAGAGGTGGGAGATCTAATGGGGGCAGATCTCTCACGATGGCTTGGTCCCATCCTTGAAATAGTGAGTTCTCTTTCTATTAGTTCCCAAGAGAGCTGGTTGTTAAAAAGAGCCTGGCACCTCCCCATTGCCCTCTTTTGCTTCCTGTCTTGCCATGTGATCTCTGCATATGCCAGCTACCCTTCAACCTACTGCCATGAGTAGAAGCAGCCTGAGGCCCTCATCAGAAGCAGATGCTGGTGCCGTGCTTCTGGTACAGACTGCAGAACCGTGAGCCAAATAACGCTCTTTTCTTTATAAATTAACCCGCCTTAGTTAGGTATTCCTTTAGAGCAACACAAATGTACTAAGACAACCACTCTGCCTCTCTAGAACTTTTAATCATCACAAACTGAAACTCTGTACCCATTTAACAGTAACTCCCCACTACATCCTCCCTCTGCCTTTGGTAACCTCTGTTTTACTTCTGTGTTATATAAGTGGAATCATGCAATATTTGTCCTTTTGTGTCTTGCTTATTTCACTTTGAAAACAGCATAATTTATAACTTACATTTCAGGATTTGAAGTTAGATTCTTTAAATGAGAGTGTGAAGCTAAAAAAAAAGTTTGAAAACCACTGACTCATTCTCAAATTGTTACCTTTCTCAAAGTTCAGCCTTCTTGGATTTCTTAATGAGGACATTTACTTTACGTCTTCTTTGCCTTTCTCTCTCTAGCATATTAATTAGAGGGCTTGATGAATGAATGAAGCTAAGAAATAACAGACCAGCCTAATTCTTGACATCACTCATGCATTGCTTTGGTAGGATTGTGGAAACAAGTTTTTTTTGAGATCGCCTGTCTGTGTGAGATGTTCGTAGTGGTGCTGAAGGCAAGTCTCAGAGTTTCCTAGAGTAAATGTTCTCCATCAATTCCATAGCCAAAGAAGCTACTCTCAGAGCCCAGTTTTCCCTGAAGATTCAGGTCTCAGATCTTCCTGCCTCACGGTGTCAAATTCTGGCACTGCATGCTTTCTGGTGTGGAGAAAGAGTGTAATTTGATTTTGAGTTTTTGGATTGAAATTGCTGGTTGGAGACTTCTGTTTTTTCTTTTTTAATTTACATACATTTAATGGGTACAGGTGCAATTTTGTTACATATATTGCATAGTGGTGAACTCTGGGATTTTAGTGTCACTGTCACCTGAATAATATATATTGTATCCATTAAATAATTTTCTCATCATCTACCCTTCCCAGTCTCCGTGGTCTGCCATTCTCTACTCTTTGTCCACGTGTACACATTATTTAGCTTCTACTTATAAGTAAGAACATGCATATTTGACTGTTTCTGAGTTGTTTCACTTAAGATAATTTTGTTTTGTTTTGTTTTGTTTTAATCGAGACAGTGTCTTACTCTGTTCCTCAGGCTGGAACGCAGTGACGCAATCACAGCTCACTGCAGCCTTGACCTGCTGGGCTCGAGTGATTCTTCCGGGTTCAAGTGGTCCTCCCAAGTAGCTGGGACTACAGGTGCATGCCACCACACCTAGCTAATTTTCTTTTCATTTTTTCTAGAGATGAGGTTTCACCATGTTGGCCAGTCTGGTCTTGAACTCCTTACCTCAGGTGATCCACCTGCCTCGGCCTCCCAAAATGCTGGGATTACGGGCGTGAGCCACTGTGCCCAGCCCAGATGTTTTTGTTTTAATGAAGAACATAAATGGGGTATTCACCCATTTACCTCATGTGCATACTTGAGTGGATTCTATATGAGGAAAAAAAAATTTCCTTAGGTTTAATGTGATTTTCCTGAAAGAGTACTCAAGTGTCTTTTTAGAACTGTACATACAGGAAATAGGAATCTTAAGTGTGGTTTATTGGCATAGTTATCAAAGCCTTGTATTGCTGATGCTAATAACATAATATTCAGCGACTCACAGAGATGGAAAGGATGTTAGAAGTCATTAAACTCAACCTCTAAGCCTCACTCTTCCAACCCCAGTGGTGTTAGGAAAGTTTATAATGTTGTGGGTGGTGAATGGAACATAATGAGCAGTTTATAATAGATGTTCAGTAAAGAAGTCAGAATAGTGATTGTTAATGTTAAAGTGGACTATGTCCACAAGAGAAGGATCAGTACAGTAAGAGGACTAAAACCAGGAACTGTGATGGTGAGTGCAGAGGAGAAACATTTTAGAAGGTGGAACATGATACATGTCATTAACTCTCTGGACAGCTATCATGTAGTGCAATAATTGTTTTTTTTATGTAGTGCTAAGAACAAAAATGTTACTGTGGATTATTGTAGCTTCAAATGAATAAGAACTTTATGAGACTTGGATTGACATTAAGCTAAACAGGCTGCATTGAGTTACAGAGGAGATTCTAATATTCATTGTGGTTAATGATACAAGTATAATAAAATTCTTAATTACAAGGAACATATCCCCATTTTACCCATGGCCTTTGAAGGCAAGGACTGTGTTGTCCTCCAGGCTGTACTTTGGAAGGTGCCTGCCACCTGTCAGGCTCTTGCTAATTTTTGATGAATGAAATTAAAATGATTTTAAACACTAGATTTACATTTATCCCGCTGTCCAACTTGTATTGAGTAATATATGCATCGATCTTCCTTAAAATGTTCATTTTTTTCTTGAAAATGTATTAGTTATATCTAAAATGTCCTTGCCCCATTTTTTTCTTGTTCTTTGTTTATCTCATGGATTGTTGTAAAGTGCTTACATTCAGTGTCAGCATATTAGTTGTAACCTTTTATTGCTATTGATATCTATAAGTACGTTAAGTAAATCTTCATTTTGCTGACCTCTTTGAGGATGCATGGCATCAGCAGATTCTCTCTTTCACTGGACAGGTGAGAGATTAGCAGGATCAAGTCAATTTTTCCCTTTTTGCTTTGTTTCCTTCAGAGCAGCAAGATTCATTGTCTAGCGAGAGGGAAACTGTGTTAAATGGCAGAATTTGTCTTAGTGGTGATGGTTTAAAGAGTGCATGTAAATTATACAGCTTGTTTACACAGGGTCTGATAGGTACCACTGTAGGAGATTCTTTTAAAAAGCTATTTTAGCAAGACAGTCATTTTAACTCAACCAGATTAATAGCATGATAATTAATAGCACAAGAACTTTTCAGTATAAAAATTGGCTTGTAGATAACATGAGATGGCAGTTTCCTCTTCCCTTCTGAGATTAGTGAGGCTGCTTTGCCAGATGGGTTTCCATTATTAACAAGGGAGAGAGTCTTCCAGGCCCTCAGATGATAAGTTCCTGGGGTAATTTGTTTACCTGTTAACTCTTTGAGGGAGAGCAGCAGGATCTGCCTGCCAGGGTGTGGAGAAGTTGCAGGAGACATGTGAAAGTCAGAGCATGTGGTCCTCTAAAGTATAGTTGTAGATTCTCTTCCAAAAAGGGCAGATGCGTGGTAGTAGGAACATGAGGACTCTTTCCCCTTGCAAATGATTATTCTTTTATCATCTCTTCTGACCATTTTCTTTTTCTATGCTTTATAGGAAACTGGGTCCCTTGAAGAATCTACAGATGAGTCTGAGGTAAGGTGGTGACTCAGGAGCCCTCGGATTTGTAGCTCACCACGTTGTTCTCTTGAGTTGCGCTTCTTTGCTAAATGCAACATTCCCAGGGGCTGAGGGTGTAAAGCAGGGCGATAGGTAACTAAGCCTTGGGGAAGAGCTTTTAATATGCCAGCTATCTTAAAAAAGATTAAATGGATTAGCTTAAAAAATAAGAAAAGGAACAAAAAGTTTTCATCTGAAACAATATTTTAACTTGAAACATGTTGGCAGTTGGAAAATTGATACAAAGTTTTAGAAATTTATCTCAACACTTTAACATCCCCCTCACCTGCTTTTTAAAAATAGCCACTGTAGGTTTTATGATGTTTATTCTTTATTTGTTCTTTTAATGAATGTGACATGTTTGTTGGTATAATTTTTGAATCATTGAAATTGGAGTTTGCTTCTTTTTTTTTTTTTTTTTTGAGACGGAGTCTCGCTCTGTTGCCCAGGCTGGAGTGTAGTGGCTCCATCTCGGCTCACTGCAGGCTCCGTCTCCCAGGTTCACACCATTCTCCTGCCTCAGCCTCCTGAGTAACTGGGACTACAGGCGCCCGCCGCCACGCCCAGCTAATTTTTTGTATTTTTAGTAGAGGCAGGGTTTCACCGTGTTAGCCAGGATGGTCTTGATCTCCTGACCTTGTGATCCACCCGCCTCTGCCTCCCAAAGTGCTGGGATTACAGGCGTGAGCCACCGCGCCCGGCCTGGAGTTTGCTTCTTAAAAAGGGAGCTACTTTAAAAGTTGTTAGGTTATTGTGATAAAGATAGTTTCTTAAGGAGAATAATATATAAGGAAGGAGTTTTTAAAAAATTTATTTTCAAGTCTGCATAAGAAATGTTTAAGCATAATATAAATTTTTTTTTTTTTTTTTTTGAGACAGAGTTTCACTCTTGTCACCTAGGCTAGAGTGCAATGGTGCAGTCTGGGCTCACTATAACCTCTATCTCCTGGGTTCAAGTGATTCTCCAGCCTCAGCCTCCCGAGTAGCTGGGATTACAGGCGCCCACCACCATGCCCAGATAATTTTTGTATTTTTAGTAGAGACAGGGTTTCACCATGTTGGCCAGGCTGCTCTCAAACTCTTGACCTCAGGTGATCCGCCTGCCTTGGCCTCCCAAAGTGCTGGGATTATAGGCATGAGTCACTGCACCTGGCCCAAGCATAATGTAATTGGCTTATCAATTTTATAGATGGACTCATAAGAAGAATTACATTTTTCCTTTTAATATTTCATTTCGCTCAGAGGAATGAAAATGTATCTGTGATAACCTGCTAGAAATACACACTGATATGACTCTAGCCATGATAATCTATTACATTTGGGTTGATACTGCATAAGCTTATGTGAATTTTGTTGCTTTTCCAGGGAAAAGTTGGACTTATGCATATTTCTCTAGAGAACAGATTATATATCAGGGATGTCCAATCTTTTGGCTCCCCGGGTCACATTGGAAGAAGAATTGTCTTGGGCCACACATAAAATACACTAACAATAGCTGATGAGCTAAAAAAAATTGCAGCAGAAAATCAAACAGTGTTTTAAGAAAGTTTATGAATTTGTGTTGAGCTGCATTCAAAGCCATCCTAGGCCATATGTGGCCTGCGGGCCATGGGTTGGACAAGCTTGTTATGTATTATGTCATTGTGTAGTCATGGTTTCTAACATTTTCATTAATAAGGATTTCCATTACTGTGGGGCTTCTGGTAAGGCATTTCTGAGTTTGCTTATAGATAGGGTATATTTGTTAATTTCTCATACAGTATTGAAAAGCATTTTAGGTTACCTTATTTTGGAAATCTCTAATTAACTAAGATTCCAGTGTTCTTAGAATCATTGGTACAGAATCAGACAGTGCTGGAACTCTGTTGAGGAATTTCATTTTGCAGGTGAGGAGGGTGTTGGCAGCCACCTAAATCTAAATCTTTCCACACATGCTCCAAATACTAAACAGCTCAACAAAGAGTAAATAAAAGCACACACAATCTAGGCCTCTAGTATAATTAGCAAATGGGGAGTAATACAAACTTCAGTGCAAGTGGGAAAATAAACATCCAAAGCCAGCAGAGTCGGCTCTGGAGTTGACGCTGGAGCTGACAGTCAGATGGAGACTGGGTAGAAATAAAGAGAGTACAGCTGAGACCCAGCCGAGGCAGAATGCACATAAAAATCATCTTAGTGAGAAGGGGGCCCCATTCTTAGTGGGGAGATCTGAGAACAGATGTGAGACTTGGTGGATTTCGAGAATTTAAAGAAAGGAGCTTGAAAGTGTATAGGGCTTTAGGTGACAAGAGTTGGATGGTGCTGCTTTTGGCAGAGATGGGGGAGGCATCCTTAGCGGCTTGGCAGTGAAAGAAAAGGACAAAGCAGAGGAAATTAAGGGTGCCCAGAAACAAAGAACATCATCAGATCAGGAGACTTACCTACTCACCAAAAAAAGATGCCTCCTAGAAAAGAAAATGCAGAAACCTGGTAAACCACACAGATGCTTCACCCCTTCTTCCCTGGTAACGTCTGTTACTGCTATCCAGGAAAATCCAAGACATTTAAAAATGAATTGAAATGACAAGTAACATCCATAAAAAGCTACTATAGGAAGAAAGAAAGTCAGAATCAGAGGTTTCAGTAGCAGAAAACAATAACATAACACTCCATCATGAGTTGAATGTCTATAAACAAGCATTTGCAGATACAATAAACTACCTTAACGTGGTTTGTTTTTTTTATTTTTTTATTTTTATTTTTTTTTAGACAAAGTCTTGCTTTGTCACCAAGACTGGAGTGCAGTGGCACGATCTCGGCTCACTGCAACCTCCACCTCCCAGGTTCAAGCGATTCTCATGCTTCAGGCTCCTGAGTAGCTGTGATTACAGGTGTGCACCAACACGCCCAGTTCACTTTTGTGTTTTTAGTAGAGATGGGGTTTTGCCATGTTGGCCAAGCAGGTGTCAAACTCCTGGCCTCAAGTGATCTGCCTGCCTCAGCCTCCCAAAGTGTTGGGATTATAGGCGTGAGCCACCGTGCCTGGCCACAGTAAAGTACCTTAAATCAGATATTTAAAAACTATATTAGAAATGGACAAAGAAACTAGGAAGTTAGGGAATGAGACTTGGCCAAACTGAGGAGATAAATGGAAGGAAAAGGTAGTTATTTTAAGATTGAGGAAAGTGAGACCCAAATGTGGCTTGATTGCCTAATGTCCTACAGCTGATGAGGAGGAGAAAGGGGTTCCAACTCTGGGCTCTTTCCATTTTCTTGCTGTCTAGCCTCCAGTGCCTACTGCTTGGGATAGTGCTAAAGAACTGGAGGTGGACCCTCATTTGTATCATGGCCATACCTTGTGCTTTTTGTATGACCTGGGCATAGCACTTACCTCCTGTATTCTTCAGTTTCCTCGTGTGAAAAATGGGTCTTGTTGCTTGCCTTGTATGGTTGCTGTGAAGATAGATACGATTAATGTTCATAAAGCATCTTATATAGAGCCTAGCACATGGGAAGCACTTGCTAAATATTAATGACCTTCAGTTTATATTTTAGATATTGTCATGGTGGCTCATTTTCCAGCTTGGTGCTTCAACCTGAGGGCTTAGAGAGATTCCTCCCCCACTTCCCCCCAACCCTAGCCTCCGTGCCCCCCGCTGCCTCTAGCTCTATGAAAACAGTTACTCTCCTAGATATTACTGATTCTACTGAGTTTATGGACCAGCAAAGTAGTCAGGATGTTGATGGACCAGGTTTAGGCCTTGTAAGTGTAGTAAGCCTGTTTGCAGTTGAGCCTTTGAAGACTTTGGAGTTTTTTTACTCAGTTTGAATCACTTTCCAGTTCCAGGAGCGATATTTTGAGACACCACTCAGTCCACCAGAGATTCCTCCTTCATCCATTTCTCTTCGTTCTCTATCATCTCTTCTCGTGTTTTGTAACTGTTAAACTTTTTTTGAAGGACAGGCATTTTCCTTATATATTTCTACCTTTTCCTTATTCAAGTGCTAGGATAATTTCCATTTCCATAAAGAATAATGTGTAGTGTTTTCAACCATATAACAATTTATATATCATTTTATGAAATGTTGCATTTCATGTAAACTGTGCTTTTATATTATATCAGTAAGACTTTTAAATTTATCTGAAGGTCTTATTTTAATATATGTTTGGGAAAAGAATATTGTCTACCAAAAACTGGCCGTATGTTTTTCATTACTCTTGAAAACTACAATCAAATGAAATGAAATTGTTTAGTTAGTATTATTAATGTAAAGGAAAGTGGTGTACATGTCAATATTTAAAACTTTAAGAATTTTAATATATTTTGCAGTTAAAGTAGAAATGCAAAATCATGTTACAACCAAGATAGTTAAGTATGTCATTTAATAGGCTACATAGTTAAGGGTCCTGCATTTACAGTAATAATTGGTTGTGGCAAAATTTTGAGACTAACTAAACTGGTCCTTCCAGCGTGGATGTTTTGAAAAATATGCAGTGTACTGTTTATTTCACCTTGATATTGTGAGCCAGACTACTTCTTAGATGGTGTTTTATTTTTGAAGAGCATAACAAAGAAGTACATTATCTTCAAAAGGATTTCACTCCTATTTTGAAGCATTAAGATCTTTTCAATACTTAGGGATGATTGCTCTTGTGTAAATGGTAACAGAGTGAGGTGGGAGCACAGAGGAGTGGATGAATGGTCAGGAATGGCTTCAGTTGGAGTCTTCAAGAGTGAGTCTGCCTAGAATCTTGGGAGGTGAGTCTGGGCAGCGAAGCTGGGAGTCTTTGGGAAGGAGGGAATGTATGTGCAGAGACTGAGTCATGCAAGAGTATGTATGTATGTTTAGCCACCCATGAGGCACTCAATGTGGCTGTAGTGTAGAAGGGTGGGGCAGTGAGGCTGGTGAAGGAAATTGGTGCGGTTGTGAAGCTCCTAATGTATTAAACCAGGAAGTGTGGACTTGATTCTGTGGCCATCGGGGAGCCACCCAAAAGTTTGATTGTTGAGAGTAGGGAAGGGGTTGGTGACAGATGAACTGGAAGGAGAGATGATAGCAGGAAGACCATTTGCGTGGTTCTCATGGAAGTCCCCATAAGAGATAGGAGGAGTGTAGAGGCCTGGGCAAGGCAGTAGCGGAAGACAAAGAGGAACTGACTCCAAGGAAATGCTTCTTGAGTCCAGTCAATAGGAAATATAGGATAGTGTGGAAGAGACGAGCCAAATGGGGAGTCAGGAAGATTCCAGTGTCTAGTTCAGCTTTGTTACAGTAAAATGAGTCCAGTATAAACAGTGAGAGGAAAAAGATGTTCTAATCCTGAATTCTGAACCTAAAGATTGATGTCTTTATGTTTAGATTATTCTTTTCTTTAAAGTGGTACTTTGTAATCCATTGGTGACCTCTTTTATATGGCCTTGTTCAAGCTGAAACAAGTAATATGCTTCCGTATTAAATATATTTTCAAACAAAAGCAAATGATCAAATTAATTTCTGGAATTTTATTTTTTAAGTCCTACAAGTTACTGCTTGTTAGAGGCAGGTCTGGGCCCCCTTTGGAGCAAAGATGTAATGGAACAAGTATCGTGTGAGAAGTCTACCCTGATAATGATGATCATTACAAAAATGAACAGTTATTTAGTATAGAAAACAGTGCTGGGCACTTTGGTATGCTCTTTAGGTATCTTAATCTGCCCTGTGACTTGGCCATGATGATCACTTCCAGTTTACAGATAAAAACACAGACTTCAAGTTTTCGGTAACTTTGCAAGGCTACCCAGTTGGTAAATGCATTTGGATCCCGTAGTTTGACTCCGAGGCTCCAACCTCTAGTTATACTGCCTTTAACTTCCTTTTGACTCTCTGTTTTTAGGCCAAACTCTTCTTCTATGTACCTTTATAGAATTTGACAGGATTAAAAAAAAAAATCTTTGGAATTTTCTCTATGTATAATAATGAGATTTTTGGGTAATATTACAGATTTCGATTTGTTCAACTTGTAGGAAAATATACCAGTTTCAGAATTGCTTTCTATTCCAGAGAATAGAGAATAGTTAATTTATATATAATATTAATTGTTTAATAAAGTTCCTGTTATACCTCAAAATATATAATGCTGTTTATTTACAAAACAATTATAAAAATATTTATGAAATAATGTTAGCTGTGAGACCTCCTTAAAAATACTCATTTCTGTATTTAGAAATTTAGCTATAAGAGCATTCATTTGCTTTGTATAATACAAAAATTTGGAAACAGGCTAAATATCCAGAAATGAATTGATTAATAAAGGTTTAGTCATATAACCCATATAATGGATTGTTATTCTGCCACTAACTTGATTAATGGCATTAATTTTTAAGTAAAGAAAATATTCATATGTCCTTTTTCATGTTATCTTTATAATTTAAAAAGCTTTTTATAAAAATGCCATTAAGAACAGGAGTCGACAGGCGTTTTCTGTAAAGTTCTAGGTAGTAAATATTTAAAAGCTTTGCAGACAGAGGCAATATGGCAGATATTATGTGTGTATCTGCCATGTATGTAACTGTGTAAAAGTGTAAACATCATGCTTAGTTTATGGGCTGTTCAAAAACAGATGCCTGGCTGGATTTGGTCTGCAGGCTGTAGTTTGCTGATTCCCGATTTAGGATATATACTGGTTTCTCTCTACCCCACAAAATCCATATATAAACAAAGGAAAAGCATACAAGGCCATATTATCACTGGGACATGTGCTTTTTAATTTTATTTACTATCATTATCTGCCTTCATTTTCTAAATTTTCTATAATATGCATAACTTATATACTTAGCAAAATAACTTTTTTTTAGCAAAACATATTCATCTTTATACATATTATAGGTGTCTTCTGTATTGATGTTTGGGTTGCAGAGCTATGGAACCCAGAATGAAATGGTATGTCTTTCCTTCCCCATCTCAAACTCTCTAACAAGGGAGTTAGGGGAAAGATTTGGTTTATTTCTTAGCCAATTTTATTGTATTCAAGATTTTCTGTTAATATAAAGCCAAAATTGTTTTTTATTCTACTACACTTTTTTTTCCTTGAGATATTAAATTTAAAAAAAAGTCATTTTGAAATAACCGTATATTCACATGTAGTTAAGAAATAACACAGAGGTGGGAGGTCAAGGCGGGAGGATCACTTGAGGCCAGGAGTTTGAGACCAGCTGGGGCAACACAGTGAGACCCCGTCTCTACAAAAAATTTAAAAATTGACTAGGCATGATGGAGCTTGCCTGTAGACATGGTTACTTGGGAGGCTGAGGTGGGAGGATCACTTCAGCCCAGGAGGTTGAGGCTGCATTGAACCATGATTATGCCACTGCACTCCAGACTGGACAGCAGAGCAAGACCCTATCTCTAAAAGAAAAAAAAAAAGGGAAAAATGCAAAGATATTCTGAATATCCTTCACCCGCTTTCCAAAGGGTAACATCTTACGTAACTCTAGTACAATATCACGCCAGGAAATTGATATTGATACAAGGCACAGACCTTATTTGGATTTCACCCGTATTACATGCATTCATTTGTGTGTGTGCATGAGTTTGTGTGTACTTAGTTCTGTGCAGTTTTATCATGTGAAGATTCATGTAACCACCACTCCACTGCAGTGAAAATACAGGACAGTTTCATCACAAGGTTCCCTGTGCTATCTTTTTTTGGTCACAGCCACTCCTTGCCGCACATCCAACTCCTGGCAACTACTAATCTGTTCTCCATCTGTATAATTTTGTCGTTTTATACATACTATATGCATAGAACCATATAGAGCGTAACCTTTGGAAATGGGCTTTTTTTGGTGCTCTGCCAGTCTTTTAACTAGTTGTAGGCAGACCACTCACATTTAAAGTAATGATATGTTAAGGCTTAAGTCTGCCATTTTTTGGTTTTCTGTTTGTATCCTCCGTTTTTCATTTCTCTTGTTTCTCTTTCCTTTCTTTCCTGTGCGTTACTTGAACATGTTTTAGGATTCCATCTTAATTTATAATATTTTTTAGTTCCTTTGTATAATTTCCTAGTGGTTGCTCTAGGTATTGAAATATATATACATAACTTATCACAGTCTACTGGTGTCCACAACAGTTTGCCACTTCTAGTGAAGTGTAGAAACCTTACTTCCATTTAGTTCCTTTACCCTCCTTGCTTTTTAAGTGCAATTGTTTAAATATTTACTTTATGTACTTTGAGCACCACATCAGTTGGTATTGTATTTTTTGGCTTCAACTATCAAATGTCATTTAAGAAACTCATGAAAAGAATAATCTATTATATTTACCCCTGTTTTCACTCATCTCTGTGTTCTCTTCTCCTTTTTGAAGTTCTAAGCCTTTTTTTCTGTTATCTTCTATCTTCTACTGTTCCTTTCTGTATGGAAAACTCCTATTAGCCACTCTTTAAGGATAGGCTTGCAAGTGAGAAATTCTTAGTTATTTTAAATTTTTAAATTTTTTAATATGAGAGTATCTTTATCTTCCCTTCAGTTTTAAGGTTTTTTTTTTTTTTTGTTTTGTTTTGTTTTGTTTTTTTAACCAGATACAGCATTTGTGGTTGGCAATTCTTTTCTTTGAGGACATAAGATATATTGTGCCACTTCCCTCTGGCTTCTATCATTTCAAATGAGAAACCCATTTTCATTTGAATTGGTGTTTCCGGTAAGAAATGTGCTGTTTCCCTAGCTGTTTTCAAGATTTTTTTTTTTTTTAACTTTAGTGTTTGCAAGTTTAATTATAAGGTCTTTGGGCATGAATTTCTTTTATTTGTCTTATTTGGGGTTTGCTCAGCTTCTGGAATCTGTAGGTTTATGCCCTTCACCAAATTGTGAAAGTTTTCAACCATTTTTTCTCCAAATACTTTTTCAATCCCACTCTCTTTCCCTGTGGAACTGTAATAACATGAATGTTGGCCCTTTTATTATTTTTTTCACAGGTCCCTGAGACTCTTCATTTTTTTTTTTTTAAATTATACTTTAAGTTCTGGGTTACATGTGCAGAACATGCAATTTTGTTACATAGGTATACAAGTGCCATGGTGGTTTTCTGCACCCATCAACCTGTCACCTACATTAGGTATTTCTCCTAATGATTTCCCTCCCCTAGCCCCCCACCCCCCACAGGCCCCAGTGTGTGATGTTCCCCAGTAGTCATTCAGGAACAGGTTGTTCAGTTTCCATGTAGTTGTGTGGTTTTGAGTGAGGTTCTTAATCCTGAGTTCTAATTTGATTGCTTTGTGGTCTGAGAGACAGTTTGTTGTGATTTCTGTTCTTTTACATTTGCTGAGGAGTGTTTTATTTCCACTTATGTGGTCAATTTTAGAATAAGTGCAATGTGGTGCTGAGAAGAATGTATATTCTGTTGATTTGGGGTGGGGAGTTCTGTAGATGTCTATTAGGTCTGCTTGCTCCAGAGCTGAGTTCAAGTCCTGGATATCCTTGTTAATTTTCTGTCTCGTTGATGTGTCTGATATTAACAGTGGGGTGTTAAAGTCTCCCATTATTACTGTGTGGGAGTCTAAGTCTCTTTGTAGGTCTCTAAGAACTTGCTTTATGAATCTGGGTGCTCCTGTATTGGGTACATATATATTTAGGATAGTTAGCTCTTCTTGTTGAATTGATACCTTTACCATTATGTAATACCTGCTTTGTCTCTTTTGATCTTTGTTGGTTTAAAGTCTGTTTTATCAGAGTCCAGGATTGCAACCCCTGCTTTTTTTTCACTTTTCATTTGCTTTCTACATCTTCCACCATCCCTTTATTTTGAGCCTATGTGTGTCTTTGCATGTGAGGTAGGTCTCCTGAATACTGCACACCAATGGGTCTTGACTCTATCCAGTTTGCGTCTGTGTCTTTTAATTGGGGCATTTAGCCCGTTTACATTTAAGGTTAATATTGTTATGTGTGAATTTGATCCTGTCATGATGATGCTAGCTGGTTATTTCCCCCGTTAATTGATACAGTTTTTTCATAGCATCGATGGTCTTTACAATTTGGCATGTTTTTGCAGTGGCTGGTACCAGTTGTTCCTATCCACGTCTAGTGCTTCCTTCAGGAGCTCTTGTAATGCAGGCCTGATGGTGATGAAATCTCTCAGCATTTGCTTGTCTGTAAAGAATTTTATTTCTCCTTTACTTATGAAGCTTAGTTTGACTGGATATGAAATTCTGGGTTGAAAATTCTTTTCTTTAAGAATGTTGAATATTGGCCCCCACTCTCTTCTGGCTTGTAGGGTTTCTGCAGAGAGACCTGCTGTCAGTCTGATAGGCCTCCCTTTGTGGGTGACCTGACCTTTCTCTCTGGCTGCCCTTAACATTTTTTCCTTCATTTCAACCTTGGTGAATCTGACAATTATGTGTCTTGGGGTTGCTCTTCTCGAGGAGTATCTTTGTGGTGTTCTCTGTATTTCCTGAATGTGAATGTTGGCCTGTCTTGCTAGGTTGGGGAAGTTCTCCTGGATAATACCCTGAAGAGTGTTTTCCAACTTGGTTCCATTATCCCCGCCACTTTCAGGTACACCAATCAGACGTAGATTTGGTCTTTTCACATAGTCCCATATTTCTTGGAGGTGTTGTTTGTTTCTTTTCACTCTTTTTTCTCTAATCTTGTCTTCTTGCTTTGTTTCACTAATTCGATCTTCAATCACTGATATCCTTTCTTCCAGCCGATCGAATTGGCTATTGAAGCTTGTGTATGCTTTACGAAGTTCTCATATTGTGGTTTTCAGCTCCATTAGGTCATTTAAGCTCTTCTCTACACTGTTTATTCTAGTTAGCCATTCGTCTAACCTTTTTTCAAGGTTTTTAGCTTCCTCGTGATGGGTTAGAACGTGCTGCTTTAGTTTGGAGAAGTTAGTTATTACCGGCCTTTGAAGCCTACTTCGGTCAACTTGTCAAACTCGTTATCCATCCAGTTTTGTTCCCTTGCTGGCGAGGAGTTGTGTTCCTTTGGAGGAGAAGAGGTGTTTTGGTTTTTAGAATTTTCTGCCTTTCTGCTCTGGTTTCTCCCCATCTTTGTGGTTTTATCCACCTTTGGTCTTTGATGTTGGTGACCTATGTATGGGATTTTGGTGTTGATGTCCTTTTTGTTTATGTTGATGCTATTCCTTTCTGTTTGTTAGTTTTCCTTCTAACAGACAGGCCCCTCAGCTGCAGGTCTGTTGCAGTTTGCTAGAGGTCCATTCCAGATGCTGTTTGCCTAGGTGTCACCAGCAGAGGCTGCAGAACAGCAAATATTGCTGCCTGATCCTTCCTCTGGAAGCTTCGTCCCAGAGGGGCACCTGCCTGTATGAGGTGTCTGTTGGCCCCTACTGGAAGGTGTCTCCCAGTCAGGCTACCCAGGGGTCAGTGACCCACTTGAGGAGGCAGTCTGTCCGTTATTGGAGCTCAAATGCCGTGCTGGGAGAACCACTGCTCCCTTCAGAGCTGTGAGGCAGGGACATTTAAGTCTGGAGAAGCTGTCTGCTGCCTTTTGTTCAGATATACCCTGCCCCCAGAGGTGGAACCTAGAAAGGCAGTAGGCCTTGCTGAACTGCGGTGGGCTCTGCCCAGTTTGAGCTTCCCTGCCACTTTGTTTACACTGTGAGCATAGAACCGCCTACTCAAGCCTCAGTAACGGCAGACACCCCTCCCCCCACCAAGCTCCGGCATCCCAGGTCAATCTTAGACTGCTGCGTTAGCAGCGAGTAAGGCTCCATGGGCATGGTACCTGCCGAGCCAGGCACGGGAGAGGATCTCCTGGTCTGCTGGTTGCAAAGACCGTGGGAAAAGCACAGTATTTGGGCAGGAGTATACCGTTCCTCCAGGTACAGTCACTTATGGCTTCCATTGACTAAGAAAGGGAAATCCCCCGACCCCTTTTGTGAGGGTGAGGTGACGCCCTGCCCTGCTTCTGCTTGCCCTCTGTGGGCTGCACCCACTGTCCAACCAGTCCCAATGAGATGAACCAGGTACCTCAGTTGGAAATGCAGAAATCACCCATCTTCTGCATCAGTCTCGCTGGGAGCTGTAGACCGGAGCTGTTCCTGTTTGGCCATCTTGGAAGTGACGACTCTTCGTTTTAAAAAGCTGGTTTTCTCTCTCTCATTCAGAGGGTATACATTCTCTTGATCTATCCTCAGATTCAGTGGTTCTGTCTTGTGTCATCTCCACACTGTTATTGAGCCCATCCAGTGAGTTATGTCTTTTGGTTATTGTATTTTCTAGTTCTAAAATTTTCCTTTTTTTAAAAAAATTCTATTTATTTTCTGAGATGTCCTATTGTTTCACTTGCTTCAAGAGAATTTATAGTTACTTGTTGAAACATTTTTCTAATGGCTACTTTGATATTTCCAACACTGGATTCATCTCACGATAAACATTTTAATGCAAGACAATATTTAAATCATGAAGACTCAATTGCTTCAATATTTCCTATATGCCTCATGTTATGCTGAGTCCTTTATGTGGATTATCTCATTTAATATGGACCACAGTCCTATCAGGTAGTATATTTGGTGGGAGAGGCTGGTTATGCTGAAGTAACAAACAGTTCCAAAATTGTAGTATCTTAACACAACATTTATTTCTGAGTAGAATTAGTAGTGCAGGAAGAGGAAATTGAGCGATTAATAATACAGAAATGTGATCATTTTCTGTAGGGTTTTTTCTATTTATGGAACATAAACAATGTGCTATGGAATACATTGGTGATAGAACTGGAGACTAAAGCAGCTCTGCTTCATGGAGATAAGTATTTTTTAAAAAATCCTGCGTCTCAGTGGATTATGAGGTGGGGAGATCGAGACCGTCCTGGCTAATACGGTGAAACCCCGTCTCTACTAAAAATACAAAAAATCAGCCGGGCATAGTGGCATGCGCCTGTAATTCCAGCTACTTGGGAGGCTGAGGCAGGGGAATTGCCTGAACCTGGGAGGTGGAGGCTGCCGTGAGCCGAGATTGTGCCACTGCACTCCAGCCTGGGTGACAGAGTGAGACTCCGTCTCAAAAAAATAAATAAATAAAAAATAAAATCCTGCGCTCTGAATAGGTTCTTGGTGTATTATATATTTAGAAGTATATCCCACCTTTCTCAGAAGAGTTTAGAGTATAGTACAAAGAACTTTGCAATGTAAGCATCAAATTATTAGCCTAACATTTCAAGATTACAGTTGAACAGCAGAGAGAAGAATAAGAAGGGAAAAAACAGGCTAAAGAGGAGTGTTAAGGAAAGAGAAGAGCACCAAATAGCAAGTGAAGTGTTTTGAGGTCTGCTTTGTACCAGATGAGGGTTCCAGAGACCTTTGATTTGTGAACGCAACTAAATAGCTGAACTAGGCTTATTCTGCCTATAGTTTGTTCCGTTGAAGCAAAGATTGTGTGCGCATTGTATTACTCAGAGCCCAGGCCAAGGCAGGTAGTTACAGAACAGTTAATTGGTGTAGGCCAGGCGCAGTGGCTCACACTTGTAATCACAGCACATTGGGAAGCCGAGGTGGGAGGATTGCTTGAGGTCACGAGTTCAAGACCAGCCTGGGTAACATAGTGATCCTTCCTCTCTACAAAAAAAGCAAATAAAAAAAAATTGTGTTACCTTTGTCTTTACAATTTTTGTTACCATTATTAAATAAGCATGCCTCCTAAACAGATGTGCATTTAGTTCTGGTTTAGTTCTTCCAAATACCAGTTAGGAGTTCTTAAATATGTTAGATGTGTAAATTTTAATAAAACCAAGTGGACTGACAAATACTTGAAATTATTTAAAATAAACCTGTATGCTATTTAGTTGAATGAGAAATTAATTTTAAAATGAAATGCAATTTCTAGGTGCATCAGCCACAAAGAGAGTTCTTTTTCAGTTTTGTTAAAATGAAAACCAGTCATTGTGAGAAATCAGGAGATAGCTTTTTAAATCAGGAAATGCATCACACAAAAGTCATTTATTTATCTCACTTGGTGGGTAGAACATTATGAATCATTTATTGAAAATTAAATTGATTCTTTACATGTATTAATTTTAATAAACAGATTTATGGCAACTAATAACAAAAATGGTAATGTGCCCTGTTATGAGATTGATTGCTGAGAAAAATGGAGCATAGGGTTATAGTGTCCACATAGCTTCCACATAGCACTTGGCTTACAAACTTGCTCTTTCATTTAATGAGCTATTAATATTAACAGGTTCTGCTGATTATTGCATCATTCAGGCATGGATAAACATTCCCTTTGAAGCATATATTATAAAAATTATATGTTTGGAAACTTAGTAGAAACTTTCTGGGGGCAAGATTTTTGAATCTCTATTACGCCCCTTTCTTAGAGATTGAAGAGATGAAAACAACTCCCCTGGTATGATATATATTTGAGCAGAATTTATAATTTCACTACCTAGAAGAAAAATTATTTTAGGCAGTCCAAGATTGGTTGATCATTTTATTCATTCAAAAAATATTTATTGATGACTTTTATATCCTAGATGCTAGGATACACAAGTATTTCATGAGGGAGACAGTAAACAAAAAAACTTAAATATATAATAAACCAAGTGAAATAACACTAGTTAAGGGGACTATGGAGTGGTCTGAGGAGTTGCTGTTTTATCCTGGGTGGTTAGGGAAGGCCTGTCTGTTCAGGTGACATTTGAGTAAATATTTGAGGAAAAAGTCTCATAGGTAAAAGGAAGAGCAAACACTGTGCCCAGAGGTAGGGTCATGCTGGATGTCTTCTAGGATGTGAGTGTGGCTGGAGCAGAGTGGTGGGAAATGGTGTCCAAGAAGTAATGGGCAGCTAAGAATGTTGACCCTACAGGTCAATTTCTTGTCTTTGTTGTTTTATTTTTTATTTTTTGTTTGTTTTTGAGGAGTCTCACTCTGTCACCCAGGCTGGAGCGCAGCGGCCGATCTCGGCTCACTGCAACCTCTGCCTCCCAGGTTCAAGTGATTCTCCTGCCTCAGCCTCTCGAATAGCTAGGAGTACAGGTGCATGCCACCATGCCTAGCTAATTTTTGTATTTTTAGTAGAGATGGAGTTTCACCATGTTGGCCAGGCTGGTCTCAAACTCCTGACCTCAAGTAATCCATCTGCCTCGGCCTCCCAAAGTGCTGGGATTACAGGCATGAGCCACTGTGCCTGGCCCTTGTCTTTATTTTTTACTGTAAGCTGGAAAGCATTGGAGAGTCTTTGTTTTAGTAGGATCACTCTGGATGCTGTTTTAAAAAATGTCTAAGGAGGATAAGTAGGAATAGGGGAGACCATTGGGGAGGCTTTGTTAAAACTCTGGGCTAGAGGCGATGAAGGCTGTAGTTGCTTTTTGTTTTTTAAAGTATAGCCAACAGATTTCCTGACTAAAATGTGGGCATGTAAGTGAAAGGGAACAGTCAAGGATGAGCAATTGGAATGATGGGGTTGCTGTAACTAAGGTAGGGGAGGACTCTGGCTAGAGTTAGTTTTGGTGCTCAGGGTGAAAATAGTGGTGGTGGGTAGGTTGGAAGTTCTACTTTGCATATTTTAAGTTGGAGATGTCAATTAGACATCCAAGTGGAATTGTCTAGTAGACCTGAAGAAGAGTAGTTCAAGTCTGGACTGGAGGTAAGAATTTGTGACTCAGCATTTAGATGGTGTTCAAAACCATGAAACTGGATGAGATCATTTAGGGCATGAGGACAGATAAAGAGGCCTGATTCCTGGACCCTGAGGGGTGCTACCACATTTTAGAGATCTGGTAGATGAAGGGAAATCAGCAAAGGAAACAGAGAAAGGGTAACCAGTGAGGTAGGAAAAGAACCAGGAGAGAGTGGTGCCCCAGAAACCAAGGGAGGATCCCGTCTCTGGATGAAGGACACCATCATTGTGTCAAATGCTGCTGAGAGGAGGAATGAGATGAGGTCTAGGGATTCACTCTTGGATCTGCAAAAGTGAGGCCACCGGTGATTCTAAGAGCACTTGTGGTGACTTGTGGTGACTTGTGGTGGTGGGGCTTGACTGGAAGGAGCTCAGGAGAGATTGAGTTGGCAAAATACCTTTGAGATGCCCTGAGAAATTCTTGTACTGTGTATTACAAAATGGTGCAATCTAGAATGCTTGTATGGGACACTTGTTGAGTGACTGTTAAAGAAGATAATGTGTGTTTGACACCTTGCCTGGCATTAAAAGGTATTCAGAAAGCATGCTGCTGCTGCTATTTTATTATTTTTTGTCCATATGTATGCAAGGCACTTTCGTGAGGATAGGCACCCTGGCCCCAGTATCTAGTAGAGCTGCTCGTCAGTGAATGAATGAATTGATTTTATTAATCGTCTCAACAATTATGTCAAGCTGGTGTTGTGTCCTCATTTTGGAGATGGTGAAACTAGGGCTTTGAGGAGGCCTTTGTCAAACAGAAACAAGGACCACTCCTCGCCTCCTGACTCAACCGGAGAATTGTTTTATCCCATGCCGTGTCCTCACAGGGATCAATATTTAATTTAGGAGCAAACAAATGAGAAGTTTTTTTATTTAGCTTTGAGTTTGGCTCAGAGCTTCCAACTCTTTTGCTCACCATCATTTTTATCCTCTCTGATCCTTATATTATTCTCTGTAACAGGCAGAATAATGGTTCCCCAAAGATGTCTACATCCTAATCCCTGGAACCTGTGAATATGTCATGTTACACAGCAAGGGAAAATTAAGGTTGCTAATCAGCTGACTGTAGGAGAGTGAGATTATCTGGACAGGGCCAGTATAATCCTAAGGGTCTTTGTAAATGGAAGAGGGAGGCAGGAGAAAAGGCTGTGATGTGGGAATGATTCAACCTGCCTTTGCTAGCTTTGAAGAGGGAAGAAGGGCCCACAGCCAAGGAATGCTGGCGCTTTCAGAAGCTGGAAAAGGAGAGGAAAGGGATTCTCCCCCCAGCTTCCAGGGGAGGGCAGCACTACTGACACCCTGATTTTAGCCCAGTGAGATCTGTGTCAGACTTCTAATCTACAGCACTGTACGACAACAAATTTGTGTCGCTTCATACTACTAAGTTTGTCACATTTTTTTTACAGCAATGATAGGAAACTAATACAGTAAATAATTTGATTGAATGACCTTGTCTCCTTAACACTTTTCATTAGGCCGCATTTCAGAGTTTTGGAAGTCAAATACATCCAGCAAGGAGAACATACAGAAAATGGTTGTGACGAAACTGCTAATACTGTGGGGAGCTGTATTTATAAAAATGTGTCTTTTCTGATGATTGTTCAAGAGTGTGTTTAAATGATCATTTCACTTGACAATTAGGGCCTGATTCTATGCTGTCAAGGCTTTAAGGCATTCCTGTCTCTGCAGGCTCAAGAAATGCTATAACAAATCTAAATAGCACAAAGGTTTCTTTCATCCATGAGCTATTTCAGTTTCAGTGCAGCCGTTTTTAAATACAGAGATTCACAGGCATCCATGTCATCACAGTTCTTTACTTTAGAATATGACTGTTTTCCCCAAAGACCTGAGTAGATTAAATACGTCTCTCAGAATCGCATCAGGGAGGGATGGGAGTGGGGAAACCTCTGAGAGAGCTTAAGGGTTTAGTCTGTTGTCATCATTTCCATCACCAGTGATTGGGCAGTTGTGAGGGATTTGGGCTGTCATGGGCTACTTTTAGTCTTTACAGGCATCCAGGAGAGGTTCTTGGCTAAAATAGGAGAGGGTAGCATTTCCTTTTACATTCCTAATAACAAGATTCACACTTAAATGTGTGTGAAAAAAAATTTTTTTAAATGATGTGGTAAAATAAAAAGTAATGTATCTTCATCTTTTAATAGCTTAAAACAATGAGGTAATTAGATAAGAAGTGTTACTGTTTGGTTTTATGGTCTGGTCATGTGATAGGAAGTAACTTAGAAGGGAGGCCATGAGTTCTGCAGTGTGAAGTTGGGGTTGTAATACACATCATGGCTGTATTTTTAGTATTTCACATTCACTGGGTATTACCAGATACTAAGCTTTGTGCTTTACGTACATTTATTGCATTTAATTCTTACAAAAGTCCTCTGAGGTGCAGGTTATCATTTCCTTTTCACAAAAGGCAAGGTAACCAAGGTTTTAAGTAACTAGTACAGTGTATATGCGCTGCATATGGTAGAAATGGCAAAAGAAAAATTTTAGTTTGTTTTGTGACTGGCTCTTGATTATGAATTTCAGTAGGATTTTGGATAATTTTCTTTCTTTCTTTTTTTTTTTTTTAAAGAAATGACATTAGTGACCTTTATTAAGATACTTGATTGTCCTTACATCTCATACCTATTTCAGCAGGGGTCTCCAACCCACCGGTCCATGTGCGCAGTGGGGGAGTGAGCATTACCGCCTGCGGTCCACCTCCTGTTAGATCAGCCACAGCATTAGATTCTCATACAAGCATGAACCCTACTGTGATCTGTGCATGCGAAGGATCTAGGTTGCACTCCTTATGAGGATCTAATGCCTGATGATCTGAGGTGGAACAATTTCATCCCCAAACCGAGACCATCACCACCACCCTCACCCTGGTGGAAAAATTGTCTTCCACAAAACCAGTCCCTGGTGCCAAAAAGGTTGGGGACCACTGTCTTACAGCAGCTTCTGGATTTTTTTTTTTCTGTTATTTGAATACTTCCTCCAAAAATACGATTCAGTGTGGGAATTTGTGAGGTGACTCTTCTGAGCCTTCATGAAGTGCACTTTGAGTTAATCCACAGAGGAAGCAGCCCCTAACAAGCATCTCTACTTGTTAGGAGGAAGGGAGAAAATGGAGGAGTGAATGCAGCCGGCCAGTCCTCACCCCTGTGAGGCTGGGCTGTTGCTGCCCATTTCTGTAGTGAATGGGGAAGCAAAACCAGGCACCCGGGGGAGAGGTCAACGCTGGATCTACCAGCTTTCCTTGACCCTCATCCTTACTGTTGCCCCTGGCTCCCCACTGTGGGTCGTTTCAGTGCCTCCATAGTTTCTTACTTGGGCATGTTAATTTCTGGAATCCCTCTTTCCTCTCATTTTTAGCATGTCTTCAGGGCTGAGTTGGGGGTAGAAGGCCAGCAGCACAGGTCAGCTCTCTGTCTTGGCAGAAGCCATGTTTTGTTCTTTCTAGTCATACTGTCTTCAAATAAGACCATACCAACTAGGATCAATTTATTACGTTTTCCATTTTCTTGTCTTTTGCCTTGGCTAAAACTTCTAAGTTGGTTTTGAAAAAAGCAGAAGTGATTGTTGGCACCTGTGCGTTGTTTCCTGCTGATGATGGGAATGTTTCTCTTATTTCATTGCTCCATATCATGTTGACTTCTGAATTCAAATGGTCATTCGTGGCTCTTCATTCTTAGCTCTTCGGTAAAGAAACCTTTGTATTTACTGAAAGCTTTTTTAAGATCAGAAACAAGTGTTGAACTTTATAAATGCTGTCTGCAGTGTCTGTCAAGATGGCCCTGCGTTTTCTTTTTCCTCTGACTTATCAAATGACGTCAGATTTCCTAATACTCAGTCTTTGTGTTTTTGCAATATTTGATCTTACATGTTTTTTATTAATATATGCGGGGTTTGATTTATGATATTTAGACTTTCTACATTTAAATTTCTACATGAGATGACAGAATTTTATGTATATTTTTTGTTGTTTTTGGTGTACTGTTTGGGAGTTTTGATATCATGGTTATCAAAATGAATTTGGAAGTTTTTATATTTGCCTCTTATGGGGCAGCTTAAATAAGTTGGGAATTTTCCATTCTTTGAAGGTTTTTAATAGAACTTGCCACTGAAACAGCCTGAGCCATGTACCTTTCTGCATGAGATAGATAGTACTTTAATGGCTTTTATTTTCTCACTGTTTTTTTGTGTGTCTCATATTCAATTTGTCTGTAAAAGGTATTAATGCTTGGACTTACTATTTTTTTTTCTGGTTTATTAATTCATTTTAGCTTTACTTTTGTTAGTTTTCTCTGGTCCCTGCAGTGCCCACCTTCCTGCTATTAGAGGTCCTTTGGTCCTGCACTGCTTAAGGCTGGACTCCCAGACCATGGAGGGCACTGCCCAGGTGATAGAGGTTTAGAGTCTCAGCCTGTGGAAGAAAGATGTAGAAAGATGGTGGTCAGGGCTAAAATGTGTGAGGATTGGAGATACAGTGGGCAGAGGCTGCAAGCATAGTTCTCCTTCTGGAAAAGAGTAGCTAAGGGGTAGGGCAGGGGTCGGCTCTGTGAGGCTGGGGCAAGCTCAGCCCCAGTCTTGGGCACAGAGGGTTGGTGGGAGAGCTAGAAATCATCTGAATACCTTTTGTTCAGGTGGGTTATGTTTCTTGAAACAAATCAGAATATGTCAGGAATTTAGATTCAACAAATGTGTCAGTTTCTCCTTGATTTTGGTAATCATTTTAATGCTTACTGCTATAGTGAATTTTTATCTTTATCTAATTTTTCTTGGAAATTATTGAGAAACTGGTAGAGGCTTTGGTGGGGGTGGTTAGCAAGTTGCTTCTTTGCACTTGGCTTATGGAATGTGCAATTGGAAATGCTCGAGAGGCATTTAATCTCCTCTCAAACAAAATAATTTGAAGAGCTTCAGCATTTTCCTTTTTCGTATAACAACATAAATTTATTAGAAATAAGTGTAAGTTTTTCTGACAACTGAGTTTGCAGGACCTCTATTTGCTTCTACTGCTAGAAGATGATATAGTTCCACTTCTATAAATTTATCTATAATTCTAGTTTATGGTATTTCAAAATTGCCAGCCCTTTCCTTCTGTTTGGTGCCTCGACCTCCCTGCTCCCCCTTTTACCCCTCCTTCTCTGTGTCTGCGAAGTAACACATAGTTTAGATGATCTCTGAGGTTCCTTTGGTTAATATTCTATGATTTGGATTTTCCTGTGTGGAAATCTAAATGAGAATGTCTTAGAAAAGCTGCTTACCAAACCTGGTCTGCTGTTACTACATACGTTTGTTTTCACTGGTCTTTATTAGGTACCCACAGTTCTGTTAGGTGAAGTTCAGAACAATGAAAAGGCATAAACTCTGCTTCTGAGGATCTTGTGATCACCAAGGGATATTGGCAAGAGAGGAAAAGAGGGTTATGTTGGCTTTAGTGGCGGAAATTGTCCACCTGAATGGCATAGCTTGAAGATTGGTGAGGTTATTCCATATGGCTAGAAGGAAATGAAAAGCTTATTTGCTTTTCTCATTTTTTCCCCTCTTCTATATATTCTTATCGCTTTCCCAATATAAACTAAATGATGGGAGTTGATCCTGTTTATGGTATGTGGCTTAGGGCATGGGAACCTTCACCTTATTTTTTCCTCCTTGAATTGAACATGAAATTCTAATACTACAGGGCACAGGAGAGACCAGGGTTTATGAAGACTGCATATCTTGTGAATCTTAAGTAGAGCTCCTCAATTATTAGGGGCTCAACTTCTCAGTTTTCTGGTTAGTGTGTTACGGTAAAGCAAAGCAGCTTTGAGAGATAAAAATCTTAGCTCAGTAGATACAAAGTGTTGAAGAGGATGTTGAACCGTTTTTATAATAAATATGTTTGTTTTAGAAAATTTAGAAAATATTGGCAATAGCTCACAACAGTGATTTTTTTTATTTGCTATCTTTAATAGTTACAGCAACCGGGTGATGTGATTTCTATTTTCATCCCCATTCTACAGAGGAAGAAACCGACCTTAGGGAAATTACTATATTGGTGTTTATTCTTCTCATCTTCCCCCCATATATGCATATACATTTCTTAAATAAAATTTGGATCATACAAAGCAGGTTTTATGACCTATTCTTTCACTTAGAAAGACATTGTGAGAACATTTCTTTTTGTTATTAAATTGTCTTTGAAAACAGATTTTAATGTAAATGTAATATTTTATCTTGTGAAATTTATTTAATCCAGAATTTTTCAACCTTGGGGCTACTGGCACTTTGGGCTGGATAATTTTTTGTTCTGGGAGAGTGTCTTGTGCATTGTAAATTGTTTAGCATAATCCCTGGCCTCTACCTGCTAGATGTCAGTAGCACCTTTCCCCCACCCAACTGTGACAACAAAAATGACTCTAGACATTGCCAAATAAATGTCCCTGGGGGACAAAAATCACCTCTGGCTGAGAACTACTCATTTAACCGTATGTATTTTATGCTTTAAATAATAATATGTGGGTATAGTAAACTCATGCTGAATTTTCTGTTTGAAAAAGTAGACCCATGCCATCCAGATTACATTTATCAGCTCCTAATTTCAGCTACTTTAAAAATTAATATATTTTTTCCTTAATAGCAATATTGCTTGTAAGTTGAAAATTTAACAACATTTTTTGCATTCATATAAGAATGTAATTGCCTATCTCTCAGCAGTCTGATGGAAAGGCATGCTGGGAGCTTTGACCACAGTTGTTTTATTGTAGATGAATTCCATTATCTTCATGTCACTTTCTTAAAAAGTTTGGTCATTGAGGCAGCTATAATACCTTGTGTTATTAATGGAAACCAGAAGTTACTCTTTCAGCTTGTTTATGTAGTTTTCTTGATACGTTTTGACACTTTAGAAGGATCTATAAAGCCATCTTTCCTACCAGATAGTCATCTTTGTGTGTAAATAAAATGATCTTTCTTTAATAGAACTATAGCATACAGTATTAATAGTTACAGTTGTCTTTTTAAGGAAGTAGCATTCTTTCTTGGGATGAGGTGTGGTGGGCGATACAAAGCTGATTGAAGACTTTTTGATTCATTTTGAACTTTACCTTCAGGTTCTTTTTTAGGCATTCTTTTTTCTCATCTTGGATCTTTTCTACACTTTATGGAAAACTTTAATACGAATGTGACAAATTTGGAGATGTCCTATATTATTCATGTACTTTTAGTGATAATGTTATAGTTTCAAATAAATGTGAATATCCAATAATATGTAGCTCCTGTGTATGTTGCCTTTTGTGCGTGTTGTTAATGTGTTAATATCCTGTGATAGTGACTGGAACTATTCCTTAAAATATTGTTATATGTTTTTGAAACTCAAGATGTGTTTTGATTGATTGTATTAATTTTAATTATGCTCTTAAAAATTTATTTGTATTTGGTACCAACTGTGTTTTATCTTTCTATTCTCTCCTCTTAATAGTAATAGCAAAGAAATATTTTAGTCATAGGGCTTCTACAAATTGAATTATTTGTAAAGAGAGAATTTTTTAAAATGCAAATTTCCTAAAATTCAAATGTTCTGATACAGGATTTTGATAGCTGTTTTTTATATGTTAAGCTTGTAAGGTCCACTACTAATTTTGGATATTTCAATTCCCCATAGGTAATTAGAGTTCTAGAAAGAATGTTCTAGAGGAAGAAAACCTGTATTTTATAGCTTCATCCCCAGGGTTGGTTATCGATTTTCTTTTTATTAATAGTTGGTTTTTTACTGTGGAAGTTCAAACTGCATGAAAGGTTTTTTTTGTGTGTGTTTGTGTGTGAATTTCTTTTGAGGATATTAGTGTTTCCCTATTGTATCTAGCTTTAAAACATTGGATATTTATTAAAAGGATTTGCCCCTAGTCAGATGTAGTTGATGACATGAAACCAACTAAACCATTCATCTTATTAAAATTCCTGGAGGTTCAGCTGAGGTCTTTCTCAGGTGAAGCTGGAGAGGATGAAGGTCATCTCCACAGAGTGAGATGTGAATAGTTGAGGAGTGCTCCACTGGTGGTGGTTTCTACCAGCCTAATTTGGGCTTTATAAGATATCTCACCTTTCCCCAATCAGTATATTGAGTATCATTTTATTTTGTAAAAACAAAACAAAATGGATTTTAATAAAGAAATGGTATCCAGAGGTGACATTTTAAGTTCTGTGTAAGTAGTAACAGTAGAAAATGTGATGATCTTTCTCTTAACCCCTAGAATTCATGTGACACACATTTTTAAAAAGTAAAATTCAAGTCTTCATTTGGCCTGTAACAGTGATGCCATATAAAATGTACCAATATATGTGAAAGATATGTTTAAACAAGATGAAAAATGTAGAACCCATTCTGCACAATTATTTTTGGTTGTAAACACTGAAAAAATCAATTTCTTGTATACAAATTTTAAATTATTAGGTGAAAAGAAATGTAAAATATTCTTGTTGGTATACAAGACCAAGTTAGGTAAACAGGACTTCCTCCATGAAAATTTACCCCATGGTAACACTGTAACAACATCACTAAACAGTTTTTCAGGGAGAAGTCTTTAAATGCTTTGATTTGTTATCCTTAAAAGTAATTTCCCTCCTCCTAAGTCCAAAACTCAGTAAGATTGACCATGATGTGACATTTATTTTCAGATAGTGTTTAGAATTCTGTAGGATGGTATAAAGGACTTGTCTTTAATTAAAAGTGCTCTACACTTAGTAAAAATCTATGTGAGTTGAGGAATTGATTCTTTTTAAAAGAAAGCCGCAAATTTTTCTTGTATGGGTAAATGTCACTCTGTTCATATCTTCGCTTAGCTGCAAGTCAGGACTTGTACTATTCCACTAGGTTGTCATAGAAACGCAGTTAACTGTCATCTTAACTCAGACTGTTGATGGTTTTATTTGTAGGTTTGTAGGATTATTAAAATTTAACAAAAATTATTGATTTGCTTTTTATTAACACTGGGTTGTTTACCGTGGAAGTCCAAACTGCATGAAAACCTTTTTTCTATTATTATTATTTTTTTAGTTAAAGAGAAACTCTATAATCTACTAGACTTTTAAATGTTTTTTATTTAAAGTGTGATATAGAGTCAGCAGCAGCAGAATAACCTCCATGAATCGTATTTTTCAATCACTTTCTATTTTCTTTGTTTACAGCAAGAAGGAAAAAAAAAACCTTAAAAAATTCACCTTTACCCTACTTTTAACTTAACATAAAAGATACCCGTCAGAAAAGCGTGAAATGATACATCAAATGCCTAATATTGGAGTTTTCATTTTATTTATGGTTTTTGAAACCCCGTAAGGATGCTTCACTGAGCTGTGTTGTGAAAACATTTATTTTTGTATATTTATGTGTGAGAAATTATTTAGTTTTCACTTATAAGTAAGACAGGGAAACCTTATTTACAGTAACTTTATCTAATGGTCCGTGGATGAGTGCTTTTATGCAAAATAGTCAAGAGGCTAGAATTAACTTTTCACATTGGATGCACATTTGATGTCCAGACTTGAGCAACATGTGGCATCTTATTATAAAGACTAACACTCAGGATTCAATTTGTATTTAACATGTTTACTTCAGAATGCACACATCATCTGTGCTACATTTAATATTAACTTTGTAATGATTTCTCTTTCTTGCTTGTATTTACATAAGTAGAAGTGTCTGTTGTTTTTTGCAGTTTTCTTTTTTCACATTTTTTAGACTTGGCTAATTAGCTATTTTATATTTTCTGTTAAAAACAGGTCAGTTTTGAGGTGTAACAGCTCCTTGGGTTGGGTAGATGATCACTACCTTTTCATAGAAATGTGTAGGCCCTATGGATAACTGTGCATATACTTCCCTTTTGTTGCTATTAGTTCTTAAAGTTATTCTTGGAAAGTTAATAACAGGTATATCATCTTTGTTTTTAATACTTGCATCCGAAATAAACAGCTAATAGCTTATGTATAACAAGGGAATTGAATTTAAGACAGCTTATCAGTAGACACGAAATAGCCTGCATGATGGCCTCCAGTGATCCTTACCTCCTATTATTCATGCTCTGTGCCTGCACCTCCCACACTGAATCATGACTGACCCGTATGACTGAAAGGATATTGTAGAAATGACAGTGTTCCATCTGAGGCCATATGAAACATGGATGGGGCTTCCACTTTGTTTCCTCTTGGATCACTCTTGCTTCGTGGACCCCTCCACAGGGCTGCTTGATCAGAACATGGCAAGTGGCTTCCTCCGGAGTGAGTGATCCAAGAGTGTTGGCAACTTCTGCCAACAGTGAGGACCAACTTGCCAGCCATTTGATTGAGCCATCTTGGAAGCAGATCCTCTAAACCCAGTCAGGCCTTCTGATAGTTACAGCCCTAGCTGACATCTTGTCTGCAACGCCGTGAGAAGTCCTCAGTGAACCACTCAGCTAAGCCACTTCTGAATTGCCTACCCTTAGAAACTGTAAACGAATACATATTTATTGTTGTTTTAAATCAGTACATTTTGGTGGCCAGGAGTGTGGCACATGCTTGTAGTCTTAGCTACTTGGAAGGCTGAGGCGAGAAGATTTCTTGAACCTATGAGTTTGAGTCCAGCCTGGGCAACATAATGAGTCTCTATCTTTATAGAAAATAATAATAAAGTAAGTAAATCAGCAAGTGTTGGCATAATTTGTTACACAACAATAGCTAGCTAATGCACCTGCTAAATAAACATATTTTAAAACATTTTCTAATGATCACACAGTTTATAATTATTTCTAGGTTTAGAATAGGCTTCTGTTGTGATTTGTAGCATCATTTTCTTTGGAGATTTTGGAGTGTGTTATAGAAGGTATTGACTTTAGAGCACTCATAGCTGAATTTGAACTTTAGCTTCTCCTCTACCCACTGTATGTCTTGAGGAAATTACTTAAAATCTCTGATCACCAGTTTTTGCTGAAAATCTGTAAAACAGGATAATTATACTTAACTCTCAGTAGGGTTTGTTTGTTTTTTCTTTTAAGTCAGGATGAAATGAGATATCTGATATTAAGTCTCTAGCATGATGCTTGATGTACTCCATCATTTCCATTAATCCACAGATTAACCCCTTTCCATGTGAAGATGCAATCCCTTGCCCCACAGGTGAAGACTTCTGTAAGAATTTGAGTTTGCAGTCTCTGCCTAGTGTGTCTCATCAGTCTTATAATCTTCCATAGGCAGAGCACTTATTACTCTACAAGTCGTTTTTCTTTTGCCTAATTTTCTTTTTACTATGATGCACCTTAGGTGTGACTTTATATTTATCCTGCTTATTGCAGAGCTTCTTGAGTTTGTAGGTTGATGTCTTATCAGTTTTGGAAAATTCTGTTGTTATCTCTTTAAATGTTGCTCTTGTTCCTTTCCATTTTTCCTTATCCTTCTGGGACTGTAATGAAAAGTATGTTAGAGCTTTTCACTGTGTTCTACATGCCTCATAGATTCCTTTACATATTTTCCTTCCATTTATTCTTCTCTGGAGTTCCCTTTGGATATTTTTTTTTACTCATTTCACTTATTTTGTCTTCTGTTTTGCTAATCTTATATTAAACCATCTATTGACTTCTTAATTCAGTTAACATTTTCAGTGTAAAAAATTTCATTTGATTCTTTTTTTTTTTTTTAACAGATTAGAATTCTGTTGAAAATTTCTATCTTTTCATCAGCTTTCTGTCTTTTTCTGTTTTTTTTTTTTTTTTTTTTTTTTTGAACATATAGTCATAGTTATTTTAAAGCCCTGCTAACTTCAATGTCTAGGTCACCCATTTGTTTATTTTTATGGTCTTTTTTCATCCTGATTTTTGGTCATTTGGTCCCGTCTTATGGCATACCTGGTAATATTTTATTGAATCCTTAGTACTGTACATGAAAAATTGTAGAGGCCCCAGTAGTTTTCTTTCTCTGAAGAGGAGTCACCCTTTCCTTCACTAGACAGTTATGTTGGGGGTTATATACCTTACTCCAATCAAAGATTGAGCTGAGTCAGAACTCTAAGGGAGTTAAGTTTTTGTGTCCTCTGGGGACCAGGGGTTCCAACTAAGACTGTGATATTCACCAGGATCCAATTTCCCGATGCCTCTTGAACTCTTATTCTTATCTTTTTAACACATCAAGGCAGCTGGTTTGCATTTTTCTTTCTGTTCAGCTTTTTAGCTTCATCCTTTGCAGCTTTAGAAATTGACAGTTGTCTTACAGGGAAAAGTAGCTGTGTAACAAGCTCATGTCTCTGCCTCTCTTCCACTGATATCTTAGCCCCGCAGGTCTCTCTCCAGTTTTGTCACTCCATCCCCGCAAGTGCCAGAAGGTGTGCTGCTTTCCCTACCCCCGGCAGTGGCTGTCTTCCCAGGCAGAGCTTGGGTTCTCAGCCTCTTGTCCTACACCCAGAATTAGTAAATGCCTCCAGGAAGAAAGTGGCTGTAGAATGCCAGCTCAATTCTCTGCTGCCCTGGAATCTTGATCCTTCTAGTTGAGGTTGCCTCAGCAGCCCTTTGATGCCTTGGATAGATGTTGTTATATATTCCATCAAGACTTTCTGGTTATTTGTGGTGGGAGCACTGATGTCCTCAAGCTACTCTAATATTAGCTGGAGGGTGAAGACTATGCAATTATGGTGGTTTGAATGGTTTTTTGACTCTACAAACCACGGTAATTCCATAGTCTTCACCCTCTAGCTAATGTCAATGAGTAGATTATTTTTATGAACTTCTGTTTTGGCTAGTTTTATGCCATCACAGTTCTCCATATGTAAACTTTTTGTTTCCTATTACTTATTGAAGTAAAATAAAATCTTACTCTGAATCATTATTATAATAATTTTTACAACTCTCCTTGATTTATTAATTCAAGGCCATTATAGTAAATATTGATTACTAACTTTATTCCATAACTGTGAGGATTAAGAATAGTTTATGAAGCCGTACCAAATAGTAAGGTTGAACATGTAAAGTTAGTGACAATATAACACCAAGTCTGTATACTCTTGTTTTCAACTTTTGAATTTATTTTACCAGTGAAGTTACAGCAATTGATATACCTAGGCAAGATGAAATATGAAGATTTTAACCTTTAGCTGTAGTTGGAATTATTAACATCATTGAAGGAACCATCTCTGGTTCTCTCGTAAGAAGTGTGTTTTGAGGTTTTCAAAACAAATAAATCTCTGACGGGTGTCATTTTTCTTTGCCGTTTGTGCAGGAAGAAGAGAGCGAAGAGGAACCCAAGCTGAAGTATGAAAGGCTTTCCAATGGGGTAACTGAAATACTTCAGAAGGATGCAGCTAGCTGCATGACAGTCCATGACAAGGTAAGATAGCACTTTCAGAGGATTCTTCTGTAAATTGTTTCCATTGTAAATTTGCTTGTGCTTTGGAGTCCTGATGTTTTTGGTGGTGGCTTTTTACAGTGATTCTGTCTCCTTGCCACTGCTCTCTTCCTCCTTGCCAACAAAAAACCCCAAATATTTTATATGTGTGTACGCGCCCATTCACACACATACAACACACTCCAAGACTGTATTAAGTAGAATGTAGACAGTGATCAAAGTCAAAGATTTATATGAAACGGGTTTTGGCAACTCTGTCGCTCACTTAATTCCTCAAATTATAAGGATTCAATTAGGAACCTGTTAAGATTAGAAATAATGGGAAGCTCAGTGCTTTTAAGTTATTCTTTTATTAAGTTATTCTTTTATTAAGTTATTATTGGAAAGTATAAGGGATTACATTGTAGGTGTTATGAATAGTAGAAATGCCCCAAATTATTACTTATACGAATGAATGAATTTATTCCACATCTGGGTCCTTGCCGTAACAAAGCTCTCACCAACTTTCTGAGTCCAGGGTAAGTACTAGATAGCACCGTTAGCCTATTCTTGGACCAAAACAGTTTGTGTCATAGTCAGAATATTGGGGGGCAGGGAGCTTCACCCATTGCTCTCTTCTTCCCTGTGACCTTGTAAGTTTTACTCCTTCCACAAAAAGCAAACTGCTCTTGTCTGATCCATCTCCTGGCTTTATCCTATGTTACTAGCAGTTGGCCTCATCCTCCCGCTTGCTTCCCACCCAGTTCCTTTTTACTTCAAATTTTGTTTCATTGTAAATAGAGTCCTGTACCCCCAACACTTTATTAGAATGTATGCCTGCTTTCTCATGTTTTACCAGCAACCTTCTCCTTTGAGATGCCAGCCATTTGGCTGCAATGCCATCGACCCCTTTTCATTGCTGCCATTCTCCAACTTCTGGTCCCTTTTCTTCACTCATTGAATATTGGCCTTGTAGTTCTTCAACCAAATTTCATTCCAGTGACCCTTACCTCTTCTCTGTTTCATCTCCCCATTGATAAGGCCACACTTTGGATGGTGTCAGCACTGGAACTTGAGGATCTTAGCCTCTGTGACACTCTCTGTTGACCCTTGTTATACTTCAAGCTTTTGTGCTCATTTTCCCACAAGCTATATGACTTTATGGAGTCCTGATCTCTAATCCTTTCATTCTTTTTCTTTTATTTTTCTGTGTCTATGAAATGATTGATTATCCTAACTCTATCTTACCAGCATCTTCAGTTCTCATACATCCCTGTCTTCCCGTTGTGCCCCTCAGCCATACTCTCAACCCTGAATTAGTGCTTTCATGACAAGTGCAGCCATGTGCTGGTATAGACTCACACACCTAGGTAAAGTTGTCACTAAAAATTGTTCTGAATTATTTGTCCTTTGTCAGTTTCTTTAGTCCTCAGGCCCTCTTCTGAACCATTGTCCCTTCTTTCTTAGAGGATGATGTCATTTCTATGTAAGAAGATTGAAAATGTCAGGTATGAACAGCCTCAATTCCTGACCTCTTTTTCACACCCATTCTTACCCACAGGAGATTTTCTTTCTTTCTTTTATTTATTTATTTTTTTTTTTTGAGATGGAGTCTCACTCTTGTTGCCCAGGCTGGAGTGCAATGGCGCAATCTGGGCTCACTGCAACCTCCGCCTCCCAGGTTCAAGCAATTCTCCTGCCTCAACCTCCTAAGTAGCTGGGATTACAGGCACCTGCCACCACACCTGGCAAATTTTTATATTTTTAGTAGAGACAGGGTTTCACCTATTGGCCAGGCTGGTCTCTAACTTCTGACCTCAGGTGATCCACCCGCCTCAGCCTCCCAAAGTGCTGAGATTACAGGCGTGAGCCACCACACCTGGCCACCCACAGATTTTCTTTCTCCTATTCATGAATCTTTTGTTCTTCACTTCATCACATTTCCTCCCTTGTTTCCCAGAGATGCATACTATATATTGGAACATACCTAATGCTACCTCCAAGTAACCAGAAATCTACCTCGTATCTATATAGATTTGCCTATTTTGGTGTATTTCATGTAAATGCAGTCAACATTATTTGATCTCTTGTGTTTGGTTTCTTTCACTTAATGTAATGATTTTGAGGTTCATTCATGATGTAGCATGTATCAGTACTTCATTCCTTTTTTTTGCTGAACAGTATTCCATTGTATAGGTATGCCATGTTTTGTCTATCCATTCATCAGCTGATGGACATTTTGCTGATTCTAAATTCTGGATCTCACCTTTCTTCTCAAAACTTCTTTATCGTGACACCATTCTTTTCCTATTGATCATTTGTGACATTCCTTTCTGTTTCTTTCACTTTCCTTTGTTTGCCTCCACTTTTCCTTTACGTGTTGGCTTTCCTAGGATTTGGTCCATTATCCACATTTCTTCTTAATTTATACTTTATCTTGGTTTTAAATCTCAGGATTTCTGTGACCACCTGCACACTGACCTTCACTGGAATAGCATGCATATTTACTTAGTTGCCTCTTAAACATCTTTATCTGCTGTTGTCTTTTTTCCTGAACCTCAGCATGTCCATAATGAATTCATTTTCATTTCCCTCTAAACTTGGATCTATCTTTGTTCTTTATCCCATTTGGTGGCATCACCACCTCCTTTGTCACCTAAGCCACGGATGAATCCTCTGCTTTCACCCAGCCATTTGCTAAGTCCTGGTGATTTTCTTACTACTCTTGCTCTGGCTTAGGCTCTTATCTTCTACTGCCTCCACAGAGTAAATAAAAGAATCTCTTGTGCCTCTAATTTTTCTACTTTAAACCCATCTGCCACCTGGTTGCCAGAATAATCTGCTGAAAATACAGATATTAAAACTCTTGTATGATTTTTCATCAACTACGAAATAAGACCTGAGCTCGTTAATGTTGTATCTAAGGCTCTCTAAGATCTTGCTCCCTGTCTATTATTGGCTTCTGTCTTAACCACTTTCTGCCATAAGTGTGGTGCTCTGGCCACAACACTTGGCTGTTTCTATTCACAACACCACATTCTGCTTGATCCACACACATCTGGAGCTCTTTTCTTTGTTCAGGTATTCTTTATTTTTCCTGGGAACTAATGCACATACTGTGAACTTGTCTATTTTCCTTCAGATTTGCTTTCACTCTAGTCTGTTCATAACATTCTACTAAAGTAATCTTCCAGAAACCTCAACCTGATCATGTAATCCTCCTTCTTAGAATTCTTTATTGGCTTCTTGATGACTTAATGATTTGGGCCTTCCCACCCTGATTTCCTCTACTTTCCTGCCTTTCATCTCTCCATAAATATTTGAATGCCTCTTATTAGCTGACCTTTCCAACCTTATCACCTGTCTCTTCCCCTGGGCATGAATTAGATGTGTCATCCATAATTTCTTGACTTTGTCCTGCATTTTATGTGTCTCTGTGCCTTTGAGCAAGTTGTAGCCACTCTGCCTAAAATGGTTTTTACTACAAGCCTACCCTGTCTGCCTTGGTGTCTATTTTCTAATTTCTTTTTTAAAGTTCAGCACAGCTGTCATCTACTATGTTCCATAGGGTCTTAGAGATACTTCCATTTTAAGCATTCTCTTTAAATTTAATTGTAATTAATCCATTTTTATGTCTGTTTCCCTCATTATACCATAACCCTTTTAAGTCACACTTGGTCATTGTCTAAGCGTATTATAGAGTGTTTTTTTTTGTGTGTGTTTGTTGAATGAACCAGTGAATGAATGAAATGGAGAACAAAGTTTGCCTGCCTAGAGGTCAAACTTCATTAACATTGTACGTAAACCAACTTTGCCAAAGAGCCTGATGTTTGGGAACTGTAATCAATGCTAACTTTTAGAACATGCACTCTTTATCTGAAGTCCATGTTTCTATTTAAGAGGATTCTGATCCAGTTGAGTGTTTTAGCTTTTAATTCTGATCCTAATTCTGCTACTCATCGACTGTTTCCAGGGAAGTCTCATCAACTTTCTGAGCTTATTTCCTCATGTGTAATTGAAGGCACTCCCTGCTGTAATGCTTTGAATACTATAAAACACTATGTGAAGGTAGATGATATTAGACAGTTGACCAGATTTAAAATGGACTACTCTTGTTTCCTTTGCATTGTCCAAAGGACTGCTTATCACCTTTTCTGCTTGTTTCCTTACATAAAGTCCAGTCTTTATGGATGTACATTTATCAGTTACTTAAGTTACTTACATGAAGTTTAAGGTAAAAGCAGTTGTGCTTAGTGGATGATGCCCAATCTGGTAGTATAGAAAATGAGTCAAGTTTCTGTAATTAAACATGAAAGGGTCTAGTGAAATTATATTTATTCTTTGCCCATCTTGAATTTTAAGTACATTCAGGTGAAAAAAAAAAAGAAACAAAACTCAATAATTACAAAAGTTCAAGGCTTTTAATGGCTGGAAGGTGGGTAAAATTTGAGAATTTGTATTTATGTTGTCACATTTGTGGCCATTTTGCATTTTTTGTTATATTTTAAGTAGTGGAAAGTATTAGCAAATGATGAAAATATGACTCATCCATAATATTGGTAGTTAAATAACTATAATTGGCTTAGTAAACTTTTTTTGAAGAGTATATATTTCTAAAAGTGGATAACACTAATTTATCTAATCTGATAATGAAATGTTTTCCTAAACACAAGATAGCTTGTCATAAAAATCACTGAATCTTTTTTTTCCAAAATGTTCTAACATAGTTTTAGTTTTAGGATGAGACTGTAAAGTCAAAATAATTATTTTATGTTTTCTTTCTATTTTAAAGATTAAATGAATGAAATGAGAAATTTAGAAAAAAGAAGGGAAGGAATTAAAACTTGGGTAAATTACATAAAACTTCTGACTTCCATAAAATAAAATGTAATTAGAAGTTCAAAAGTGGCCTTTACAGAGGTGTCAGAGAATGGCAGCATTAAAGCGTTTTAAAGATCCAAGCTCCCTTCTCCCTTAGTTTCCTAACAAACTAAATACGGTATTTATGAGGAGAATCAATATTGTGAAATACTTGGGGAGCAGTGAGCTTTTAAGACCCATTCTTTTACCACAGATAGCCTCAGAATGGAGTATTGTTTTCAATTCTTATCGTATGTGGTGTTTTTCTATTTAAATATTGTCAGTGTCACTGTAGAGGTAAAATTACAATCATTTGAGTTCTCTGTTTCTGATTAGAACATTCTTTTGCTTTGGAGGAAACATTCCTGTTTGGTTTAACTATTCAGACTAATTTCCCCCCAGAATTACCTGTTTCCCCTTTCCCTTCCAGCGCCCAAGCATTGTGTTTTCACCAGGCTTGCTGTCTGCCCTGGATGACTAATCGTCATGGCACCTGGTGCATTCAGGCAGGCCTGTGCAGCGGAATCGTCATACCTAGTTATGTCTGCACACCTGATGTTTTATTAACCAGTATTGATTTTTTTTACCCTGGGGACTTTTTTCTTCCTGAAAAAAGGCAACCTTGCAGGAGTGAAAGGCATTGCAGGGGATGAATTTCTAATGAACTCCTTCTTTCCCTTTTTGTGACTCCTCTTTAATGTAGCTTCATATTTTAAGTGCCTGAACTGAAATTTCATTTTAAGCAATTCCATTTTGATAAATCCTTTTAAATCTTGACTTTCTGTAAGGTTATTTTTTAAAGATTGTGCTGCTTGACTGAAACACTTAGTAGTGCCTGTAAATTTGAGCGTTTCATTATGGGTTGCAATGAAGCATGCTCACATGCAATGAAATACAGAGAATTTTGGACTATTTGAGTAATGCTGAAATAAATAAAAAGGAAGAAAACTCTCATGTCATATTTCAGGTAGTCCTAAAGTTTCTTCTGGTTTACTTAAGGTTAGTTCAGAGAATTAAAGAAACAGTAGGACTTACGACATAAAATGAGTATTTTTTGACAGTTATTTTATAACACAAAAGGGTTTTTATTTTGCATGATAATATAAACATTAACACTCAACATTATATATTAACTTTTATAGAAGCATCCTAAAGCTAACTGATGGTATAAGTACACCTGAGATTTTCGGTCTCTCAATATGGCATGGATTTTCCATTCGAAAAAATAATTTGTTGTTTGTGTATGTGTGCAGCTTAAGCGATAGCACTGATTTACACATTTGCCATAAATTAGGGGGAGTTTCTGAATCATTCTTTTCTCACTTTGAGTTCAACTGTAGGTTGGTCGTGTTTTCACCGCTGCATTTAATTTACTGCCTCAGTCCATCAGGCATTGTGTATAGACTGCATACACACCATTAGTTGTCAGTAGATGAGGGTCCTCATGAGTCATTCTGACAGCTGGCTTGCACTATCACAATAAAATAGGCCCTGTTCTGTTATTTCCCAGAAGCTGGAAACAAGCCTTCTCCAAGGCATGCATATCTTTTGAGACATTGCAGATCATTTATGCATTAAGCATCTTGTCTTTAAAAATGGTTTTGTTACTACTTGTGTATTAATAGTATTATTAATTAATTAACTGGCCTCTTTGTTCTTCTTACAGTTTTTGGCATTGGGCACACATTATGGCAAGGTTTATTTACTTGATGTCCAGGGGAACATCACTCAGAAGTTTGATGTAGTAAGTATTCTGTATAAAATAATGTATGAGCTAAACTTCATGTTAAGTATTTGTGTTTTAGAATATTGGTTTACCAGTTTGTTTTAATAGCATAAAGAGGATCTTTATTAATTCAATCAGAGTGCTAAGAGTATAAATTTGAACTTTATAATATATTCTGAAAACTTAAAGGTGAACTTATAAAGAAAGGGGTCTAGATACATGCATTATATATTTTGACTGGGTATCTTTTATATGCAAACTCCATGTAAAAATCTATACATCTATTTAATTGCAAATTCTTTACTTAATTATAGTCATCTATTTGGCTTTAATTTCGGGCATTTAGAATACTCCTGTATTCTTTTAAAATTGTGACAATGTAGAATGTCTAGGTGAATTGTTGTTAAAAGAAAAAAATGCTGCTTTCTTAGTGAATAATAGTGCAAATTTACATACTCTGGAAGTTTGTGGAATCCTTAAAGTATGAACTCCCTCATTTAGTGACTAATTTCAGTTGTAAGTACATGCCCTGTCTTCTTGTTGAGATGCCAAATGTAATTGAAAATTGATTGATCACCTTGCTGGATCGGTTTCTCTCTTCTAAATATACAAAGCTAAAATATTTTATGTGACTGTTTTGCTGCTTGGACTGTTAGGGGATTATATTGATTGAAAGCAAAGAACCAGGCTTTCTTTTTTAATTGTGATTTGGAATCATTGAGGATGAAGGTACTATTGAATTTGAAGCTTGATTTTGGTGTGAAGGTGTACCTTAAAGGTGTCAAGAACTTCCATGGTTGTGTAAATATGACACAACCACTTGGTATGAAAAAGGTGATCATTTCAGGGGACAAATACTACTTTTTTGAAGAAAGCATCAGCACTTGTCAAAATATCCATCTATTGATATAGTTTAGAAAGGAGATTACAGTTTCTAAAGCTGACACGTTGTATGGGAAAGAAAAAGGGATGCCTTGTTTTGCTGAAAAGAAATGGAACCCTGGAACGAGGACAATCTTTGGAGCAACACAGACAGGGAATTATGTGCTCTAATCATACTCATGCATCAGGCAAATCCCTTTGAGGCAAGAGGAATATACTTTTGACCTTCCCTCTTCTACCCACTGGACACTGGACATGCATCTTGATGACCAAAACATTTGGTATTTCAGTTGCCATCCATTAAAATGTGTACCTGGTACTGGGCCAGGTGTCGTTTTTGTGGTGTTGTGCGTGCCCCCTCACCTTTAAAAAAGATTGACTGTGTGGTTTCTTACATTTCCTACTCCCATTAAATGAGTCCCTGACACTCTGTTTCTGTCTTTTTGATATTGAATAGAAATTGCAGTGTTTGCTTGCTAAGGTTCATGGACATATACCATTGGTTCCATTGCCAAAAGTCAGTCCTTGTATCTATTCAGTATAAACCTTCAGTTATATCTTCTTTCATGTCTGTTTTATGTCGAGTATATCCTACATCCATCCTCTTTCAGGTAATTTATAGTATCATCCATAAATTTGTCTAAATCTTTCTTCAGTTCTTTTTTCAGTCCTGACTATATGACATCTTTGAAAATTAAGCTCTCTATAGCTTTGCACCTTTTTTTGGCAAGGGAGGAAGATAGTTTGGTGCTATTTTTGTGTGTTTGTTTACCTTACTCAAGAAGGTGATAGTCTGTTTTTGAAAGTTCTCTTTAGGCCATGGCTTTTTCGTGATCATTGGCAGAATCTACTGAAGCCAAGCGTATGTCTGCCTAACGACCTGGCAGTTTGCACTCCTAAGTACATATTCAACAAAAATGCTTGCGATGCGTATGTCCACACACACACACACACACACACACACACACACACACACACACACAAACAGATTGTTAATAATAGCTTAATTCCTAATAGCCTCTAACTCAAATGTCCGTCAATAGTAGAATGGATAATTGTGGTGCATTCTTAGCAAATTAAAAAGAACAGCCTATTGATAGATTAATTTTATAGACTTAATGTTGAGCCAAAGAAGCCAGACCCAAATGTGTTCATGTTGTTTGATAACTTCTATATGGTGGTCAAGAAAAAGCAAAACTAAACTATAGCAATAGAGTTCAAATAATGGTTTGACCTGGGAGGGAGCACAGAAGAGTCTTCTGGAGTGCTGAAAATACTGTCTTGGTGGTTTTCTCATGATCTACATATGTAAAAATCACTAAGCTATCATTTGAGATCTTTGTACTTTATTCTATATAAGTTGTACCTCAGTAACACACACATACTTGCACAAGCACCTATACATGTGTACATGTCTTTGGTTGAGCTTGAGCAGTGCTCAAATTTTCCTTGTTTGTTGAAGCAACCCCTTTCTGCTACTCAATATTGAATAATACCTAATTGCCTAGGTTGACATCCTGTTCAGAGATCATTTTGTAAATGAATCGTGACACTGAGGTTATTCCCATGGCTGTATATTCTACAGTTACATAAGAAGGTTGACAGGATTCTGTTTTATACGGCCATCTTTTGTTGCTGAAGAATGACAACTGCTAGAGTGATACTTTATTATGTATATTAATACTCAGATTTCAGAATATTTGAAAGAATATTCAGCATATGTTAATTCAAATACTTTGGCCATAAATGGTTTTTTGAGATTATTTCTAGATATAGCTTTATGTTAACTCAAAACTTAATTGCTAAAGCAATTTTACTTAACTCAGAGTAAAATAACGTGACTTCAGAATTCTTATAAAATCTTAGATTCCTTTTAAATTCCCACGATATTTATGCCCATATAACCACATTAATCATAGTATAATCATGCGTCGTTTAACAGTGGGATGCATTCTGAGAAATGTGGCGTTAGGCAATTTTGTCATTGTGCAGACATCATAGCCTCTACTTACACAGACCTAGGTGGTACAGCCTACTGTACACTTAGGCTGTATGGTATAGCCTGTTGCTTCTAGACTACAAACCTGTACAGCATATTATTGTCCTGAATACCATAGGCAATTGGAACACAATGGCAAGTATTTGTGCATTTAAACATACCTAAATATAGAAATGATACCATAAAAATATGGTATAAAAGATGACAAATGATACATCTGTACAGGAGACTTATCATGAATGGAACTTACAGGACTGGAAGTTGTTCTGGGTGGGTCAGTGAATGAGCAGTGAGTGAATGTGAAGGCTTAGGACAGTAGTGTACACTACTGTAGACATTATAAACCCTGTACACTTAGGCTAAACTCAATTTATTTAAACATTTTCTTTCTCCACTAATACATTAGCCTTAGCTTACTGTAACTTTTTTACTTTATAAACTTTTTAATTTTAAAACTTTTGACTTTATAATAGCACACCTTAAAGCAAGCACATTGTACAGATGTACAAAATATTTCTTTATGTATTTATTCTATAAGCTCTTTTCTGTTTAGTTTTTTTTTTCTTTTTTACTTCTAAAACTTTTTGTTAAAAATGAAGATACAAACACACACATTAGCCTAGGCCTACCCAGGGCCAGGATCATCAATATCACTGTCTTCCACCTCCACATTTTGTCCTGCTGGAAGGCCTTCAGGGGTAGTAACGCACATGGAGCTGTCATCTCCTGTGATAACAATGCCTTCTTCTTGATACCTCCAGAAGGACCTGCCTGAGGCTGTTTTATGGGTAACTTCTTTTTTTATAAGTAGGAGGAATATATTCTAAATACCAATAAGAAATATAGTATAGTAAATACATAAGCCAGCAACATAGTCATTTATTGTCATTATCACGTATTATGTAGTACATAATTGTGTGTGCTAGACTTTATATGAGTGGCAGCTGACTAGGTTTGTTTACACTAGCATCATCACAGACACGTGAGTAACATGTTGTGCTGTGCTGTTACTAGGCTGCAGTGACACAGAGTGTTAGGAATTTTCCAGCTCCATTATAATCTTTTTTTATTTAAATGTTTAGGAAAAGATAGCTTGTAAAGCATTACAGTCTTATAGGACCACTGTAGTCTATGGTGTAAACCAAAAATAAAGTTCTAAGCTCCTCAGTCTACTGAATGGACTCCTCTTAGGATTCGTGAAAAACTAGTTCAGGCCATGACGGGAAGGGGGAGTCAGACATGCCTCATTATATTCTCTTCTTTTTGGAATTCAGGCACAACTGACCGGCATTAACATTAAGATACAGATCTTAAGACTGACAAAACAGACTCTTTGTAGTGTGAAAGGAAATAAGATACCAGATTCCAAACTGACTCTAATATAGCATCACATGACAGATAGCAAGCCCTGAAAGAAGTCAAAGTATTTTGCCCTAATATATATTTCTTTGGCATATTTTGAAATAGCTGTGCAAAGCTGTCTCTTTTGGGGAAAATTTACATTCTGTAGAGAATCCCCTTCCCTTTCCAGGTCTTTTTCTGATCCTGAAGAGAGTAGCTTAAAGGTCTGAATAGGAAACGTTTGCCGTATATTACCTCTAAGGGTGCCACCTATAAGACTTCTTCTACATAGTAAGAACCTTGGTCTTCACAACTCCTTATCGTAACCCAGGTACTCCTTTCTGCTGATTCTTTCTGCTGATAACTTAACTCTTTCAACCAGTTGCCAGTCAGAACATCTTTGAATCTACCTATGACCTGTAAACCATCCCTCTTTCCTCTCATCTCCTCTTTGAGTTGTCCCACCTTTCTGGACCAAACCAATATATACCTCACATGTATTGATTGATGTCTTATGTCACCCTAAAACATAAAATCAAGCTGTAACCCAACCACCTTGGGCACATGTTCTGAGGACCCCTTGAGGCTTTGTCATGGGTCATGGTCCTTACATTTGGCTCAGAATAAATCTCTTCGAGTATTTTACAATTTGGCTTTTTAGTCAACAGTGGGTATATGTGGTCTCTTGTTGACCAAAATGTTGTTATGTAGTGCATGACTGTAGTTACTTTTTCTTTAATAGCCTCCAATTTATTTAAGCATTTTAATTTAAAACTTGTTAATTAAGGGTACTTATGTTGAAGCAGTGATCAAATTATTGTGCCATGTCTCTGTTAAATATTTAGGAGCATTATGCCATGTGTTTTAAATATTTATTCCTTTAAGTGTGCTAGTGAGAGAGCAAACAACTTGCTGATCAAACATAAATTTCTACTGTTCACCTTTATGTGTTTTTCTTTCTTTGCTAGAAATAGAAAATGATGAGGTTTTGCTGTAAGGCACTATAGTAAGAGACATTATATAAATATTTATAAAATGGATGATTACAAAAAAAGGAGATTAAAACAAAACAGGAGCTTAGTGGCCATTTTGTGTTAAGATAAATATCAAATTTTTGAAATTAAACTCTTGAGGCAGAGGTGGGTTGATGATTCTCCTTGTCAGGTAGCAGAATCTATTGGTATTTCTATTCCTGTTTTTGATTTGAGATTAAACTAATGGACTGTATTCCTTAGTTGCTGATACCTTTCGTGTTCATGTGCTGATAAAAACCCAGACCTCTGTCCATCTAACCATTGTGTCTCTGAGAACATTTCACAGTTCTTTGTTACTTCCCACATCAAGTCCTAACTATCTAGCTAAGCATTCCAGACCCTGATCATTTGGTGAAACCCACCTTTCTAATCTTAGTTTTAATTTCTTCCCTCTCTAGTAATTTTTATCTGCTCACTACCTTCTAAATATTGCCATGGGCTTGCCTGTTTCTAAGCTTTTGATGACTTCTTTTCTCTCTAGAATACACTTCTGTGAATCTCCATTCTTTCTGCAAGGTACTTCCCCTGGATTGTAGCCCTGAGGTGTTTCCTTCCTGTAAACTCCTATATTACTACTATTTCACTTGTAGTGTGGCCCCTCATAGTGTCAGTACCAGCCTCACATTCCTATTTAACGTCTTGGAGGATAGTTGCCATGTCTCCTGGTATACTTCTCTCCTCTTCCCCACCCTTTCTCTTTTCTCTGCTGCCGTTTGGTATCCAGTAAGTATATATTGGCTGATAATATTGTTTTGAAACATAACCATGGAACTGGTGATTTTCTGTTACTACCTTTCAGGAGGCCTCTGGGAGCTGGTTCTCTGTTCTCCTGTGTATTATTCTACCTTCACTTGTCCATTGGATGTATAATTAGAAATTTTATACTGAGAGCTACTGTAGACTGAATTCTTCCCCACCTCCTAATTCATATGTTGAGGTCCTAACCCTCAATGTGATGGTATTTAGAATTGGGGACTTGGGGGGTAATTAAATTTAGATGAGGGCCAGGCATGGTGTAAACTCAGGAGGCTACGACAGGAGGGTCACTTGAGCCCAGGAGTTCTAGGCTGCAGTGAGTTATAATTGCACCACTGCACTCTCTAGCCTGGTTGACAGAGCAAGACTGTGTCTCTTAAAAACAAAAACAAGTTAAAAACAATTTAGATGAGGTCATGAGGGTGGAGTCCTCAAGATGAGATTAGTGCCAACATAAGAAGAGACAGGAGAGACCTTCCCTTCCTCCCCCTTCCTGCCGGCCATATAAGGACACAGCGGGAAGGCTGTCTGCAAACCAGGAAGAGAACCCTCACCAGAATGTGACCATACTGGCAGATTGAGGACCTCCAGTCTCCAAAACTAGGAGAATTTCTGTTGTTTAAGCCACTCTATGATATTTTGTTATGGCAGTTCAAGCTGACTAATATAAGATCAGAGTCTTAAATCTTACTTTTGGAAAGTAACCCTTATGTTCAGCAGTATTTAAGTTTTTAATATATACTCATACATTTTCTAGTTGCTATGGGTAATGTATAAAGTCATCAAAGTTTAGAAGCTAAAGAGACTTTAAAAGATCATTCCAGATGCAAACGGTATCAGGGAAGGAAGTGTGTAAATTGGGCTTGAGCTGTTCTGGTTATGTATTCCATGCCCACTACTCTTCCACCCTTATCTCCTTGTACATTCAAGACCTCCCTTATGTAGCGAAACATTCTTATTAGGGCACTTCCCTAACCTGAGTTTCAAAACATGTTTTTGTGACTGGTTCCTCATCTGTGAGTGATGATGGTTTCATTTTTCTCCCTGGACTTTGGGACTCGACCATCTTTTGGACTGTATTGCTGACCTTTTGTTGCTTTCTTTGGCTGCGAAGAATTTATTTCTAATATAAATCAGCTCCTCTTTTCTCTTTGCTTTGGATTGATGTATGAGTGTCTGGAGGATCACCCATCTCTTTTTTCATGTTTCAGCAAAAGAAATGATCATTTTCCTTCTCTCCTCTCTCTTTGACAGTATCATCGTGAAGATTCAGTGTTCCTTTAAGCTGCTTAAATTTCATTTTTAGTATTCACAAACACCTTTTTTTTTTTTTTTTTTTTTTGAGAGGGAGTCTCACTCTGTCAGCAGGCTGGAGTGCAGTGGCGCAATCTCAGCTCACTGCAACCTCCGCCGCCCAGGTTCAAGTGATTCTCCTGTTTCAGCCTTCCCAAGTAGCTGGGACTACAGGCATGTGCCACTATGCCCAGCTAGTTTTCATATTTTTAGTAGAGACAGGGTTTCATCATGTTGGCTAGGATGGTCTCGATCTCTTGACCTCATGATCCGCCCACCTCGGCCTGCCAAAGTGCTGGGATTACAGGTGTGAGCCACCACGCCTGGCCCACTTTTTTTTTTTATCCTTTACATGGCTTAACCATCTCCTTCTTTGTGTTACCTCCACTTTGCTTTTTTTTTTTTTCTCCACTTCTTGAACGTACGGTACTTTTGTCACAATTATATGCCTCAATGTCATTTTCCACATAGAATGCTAATTTCCTGAGGACAGTTTGTGTAATTTATCTCTGCATCATCAGTGCTCAACATAAAAGCTGGTGAACTGATAGAAATAAGAAATTGATAGAAGTTCGCTGAACTAATCCATAGTTCCAAATCTGCAGTTTCACATATTTAGACTATTTTCCAGATAATCAAGGTTTTTTTCATACCTTCCTCTCCCATATCAGGATTATTGTGTGTACATTATAGGAAATTGTATGGCCATGACCATCTCTTTGACAGTTAATACAGATGCCATACATTCATTATTCACCTAAACAGCCTAACTCTTTTGGGCTTATTCATAATGTGGCCAGTGTGATGTTGGGTGACTGTTCATTGAAAGAATCTTTGGAGCAGATCTATAAACTTAAGCTATGTATCCTTGAACAAAGAACCCTGCTCTACTCTTGGTCTAATGGTACTCACTTATCGACCTGAAGCAAATACCATCTGTAGTATGCTGTTCTAGATGTGGCATCATTAATTGGCAAGCAGGGCATGTATCTTTTTGATATGATCAAAGTGGTTCATTGTTGGCTCAAGTGTGCCAGTGCCTGTAATACTTGTTTAAGACTGATTGACAGGTCTCAGATTCTTGTGTGTTTAAAGAACTTGTTTTCTATATTTGAACCCCGTATTTTGAGTGATAAGAGATGTGTCAAAGGAATTGAAAATTACTTAAATGGAAATCATTCTAACTTCTGATAAATGATGCCAAGGCAAGTCATATTTCCAGTTGTCTGCATTAAAAAATAATCTCAAGTTTGTGGGTTAAGTATTTATAGATAACTTGATAATTTTGATGGCTTCTACGCACCAAAGTGGCTAAGAAAACATGGTCAGAATTAAGGATGCTTCTCTCTTTTAGAGTAAAGTGTCATACTTACTGAATGTTTTAACATCTGACCCTTCAGTGGTAACTACATTTAGGCAAATATCCCTTAAATAGCTAAAACTGAAAATATTCCTTCACTGAATGAAATTACCCTGGTATTTCACATATTTCAAAGTCAGGGTTGAAGTAATTTTAACTTTGTGGAACATGACTCTGAATTGGGTAGTAGACTGGGGCTTAGTTGTCTGAAGCCTTTGGATTTCATTCTTCAGTACAGGGTACTCTCAGTTCTGGTGGTTCTTTCTTTGGGGTTCAAGGCCATTATTGCAAAGTAAGAGCTTTAAAAGGATTATGAATAAGGTGTAGACCTAGGGGAGGAATCTCCACCTTTGCAGTTGGGAGACAGGGAACCTGTAGAAAGTGAAATTTGAGGTGAATCTGGAAAGGTGAATGTGTATTTTCCAGGTTGTTAGAGTGGAGTTAAGACAGTGATACTTTTTTTTTTTTTTTTTTTTTTTGAGAAGGAGTCTCGCTCTGTCGCCCAGGCTGGAGTGCAGTGGCGCAATCTCAGCTCACTGCAAGCTCCGCCTCCCAGGTTGATGCCGTTCTCCTGCCTCAGCCTCCCAAGTAGCTGGGACTACAGGTGCCAGCCACCATGCCCAGCTAATTTTTTGTATTTTTAGTAGAGATGGGGTTTCACTGTGTTAGCCAGGATGGTCTTGATCTCCTGATCTTGTGATCCGCCCACCTCGGCTTCCCAAAGTGCTGGGATTACAGGCGTGAGCCACCGCACCCGGCCACATTCTTCTTATGAAACAGGGAATCACCAAAGGGTGAGGAACATTTACCATGGACTTCTTGTCTTCATGTATATTGTGTTAATTATCTAGTAGTATCTTGGGAGTAGGGGAGTGGAGAGGAAAGAATGGATGGTGAGATGCAATAGGAGCAAATTATTTGGCAGGTTTAGCCAAAGGACCAAAGGAAAAAGAATGGAGTGTTTTCAAGGGAGTGTCTTTGTGGTGACTGACTTTGGAGTTCAGAGTATTTAGGGAACTAAATGAACCAGAAGGATGATGGTAAATCGGATGTCATGGACCAGATATGTGGATAAAGTATGAGTGTCTGTGCATATGGTTTAACAATAAATAATTTTAAGCTTGAGTTTGTTTTGTTAATAATAGACTTCTTAGTCTCTGGGAACCATGACAGGGTATACTTCAAAATGGTAGTGTATACTTCTTTCTTAAACAAGCTCTGTTTTTCTGTTTGTGTAGCTTTGTTTTATTCACCTGCTCTAGAACTTATTTATTTGGCTATAATTTCTAATGTTTTTCATTTAATAGGATCATGATATATTAGGATAGTTGAATACTTAATGGATATTTTTCATCTAGCCACTCAAGACATGAAGTTCTTGTTACCCACACAAGAGGTTGGTTTGATTGTTGGGCTAGGTATCAACCCAATGACCACAACCAAGGAGATTTAGTAAGATTTAGTATTTAGTAAAGGGATTTTATTGCTTGTAACAAGTAGGGAGAACACCAGGGATAGTTCTCAAAGCAGTGTCTCCCGGAGCTGGGGACTGGGTCAGGTTTTATAAGCATATGATAATGAGGTGTGATCTGACTGGATCTTGCAATGAGGTGATGCCGGGAGGTCTGATCTTACTGGATCCTGACTTGGGGTGATGCTAGAGCTCCATCTGATTGGATCCTGGATCCTGTTAGGTGGTGTTCGCTTCTTAATTCATCCTGCTCTTAGATTCCCCCTGTGGTTGCATGCTTGGTTCATCTGGGCATGCTCAGGTTACATGAGCTGAGGGTCCATGGCAACTGAAAACGCACAACTTTGTCACCCAGAAGTTGAACCATGTTGTTCTGGTGCGGCTATACTTCCACAACATTCTTGTCATTTGGTTGCCCAGTCTTTATTTTATACTTCTATTAAGATGAATTTCATTATTTCCATGGGCAGCTATTAAATGTTAACACTTTAGCTTTTTTTAAGTTTAATTTATAGCAAGGAAAAAATCATATTAAAACTAATTAAAATGGAATAATGCATACCACTAAATATACCTTTAGAATGGCTAAAATTACAAAGACTAATCATACCAAGTATTGGTTAGGATGTGGAGGAACTAGAACTCTCATACACTGCTGGTGGATGTACGATAGTGTAACAACTTTGGAAAACAGTTTGGCAAAATTTTAAAACATGAAACATACACCTATCATACATTCCACCCTTTCTAAACTTAGAGAATGAAAAAATATACTCCTACAAAGATTTCTACATGAATATGCATATCAGTTTTATTTGTAATAGTCCCAAACTGGAAACAATCTATACGTCCATTTGCAGGTGAATGGAGAGACAAAATGTGGTATATCTAAACAATGGTCATTCAACTCAAAATAAAAAGGAATGAACTATTGATCCGTGCTAAGCATGGATGAATCTCAGCTCTATTGTGTTAAGTAAAAGAAGGCAGATTCAAAAGGCTACATATTATAACATTTGCATTTATATAACATTCTAGAAAATGCAAACAAATCTGTAGTCAAAGAAAGCAGATCAGTGGTTGCCTGGAGTTTCATCTCAGAGGAAAAGAATTAAATGCCCTATGGGGTAATCTAAAAATCTGATTTCACTTTACTGATGTGGAAAAAAATTAATATATTACTCAGGGCACTTTTCATTGCTCAGTGGCAGACATGTGTGTGAGTTCTACCCTAATTATATAGAAGGAGTTTCTTACAGAAAATAGCAGGTTTGTTACTGCTTTAAGTTGCCCAGGAACCAACTTTTCAGTGTCCTGTACACATAGTGAGTGATGTGAAATCTTTGGGTGGGGTGGGGATCTTGTTACTGACTCTGTCCTTTGAATAAGTTCTATGAGGTGAAATCACCTGGACAGATGCTGTAAACATTTTTAGGGTTCTATTGCAGATTGCTACATTTCCCTGCAGTTAGGTTATACCAAAATATGTTCCTGCCAGCAGTCTGAGAGTTTATCATTATATCGCATCACCAGTGTTGGCTGTTGTTATTTGAAAATTCATTGCCACTTAGATTTCTAGAAAATGGGAATTTATCAATTTAGTTTGTATTTTTCTGGTTACTAATGAGGCTGTTTACTCTTGAGAAGTGTTAGTTTATATACTTTGCCAGTATATGTGTAAAGTTCTAAATTGATTTGTAATTAAAAAATTCATTGTTTACAAGCAGAAATAACATTGATCAGGGGTGGCTCATGTGATGGCTCAAAATCAGAAGAATTAAGTCGCTACCAAGTCAAATTTAATACTTACCAGTCTTCCTATTATTAAATGAAATACTACGATTTGCTTTTAGGGAGACATTGACTTTCACACTCAATATTTTAAATCTGAAATTTTTTTCATTTGCTTGTACACTCGTTTTGATCTTTAAGTTATTTAAAAGCTTAATTAGAAGGTGTTTGTACCAAGTTTTAAGAGTATATATATTTTTGTTAAAATGTTACCTACATAAGGAACTCTTACAGATCCATAAGGAAAACCCAAACAACTCAGAATGAAATTGGGCAAATGACATGAACAGGTGCTTCTCAGAAGAACATCAAATGCCCAGTAGCCATGTGAAAAGACCCTTGATTTCTTTAGTAACACAGAATAATAAGGGAAATGTGAAGTAAGACAATATGGTACCATTTTATAACCATCAACTTGGCAAAGCATTTAAAAGTCTGATCAATACCAGATCCTGGTGCTGGGACAGGGAATAGGGAGCTGTCCTCCAGGGTGGAAGGCATAGAAAGTTTGGACACAACTTCTTATTTGAAGAGTGACAAATGTCTGCTAGTCTGTGGGCTTATCTTTCAGTTTCCCATTTATGGTGTTTTAGGTTCAGAAATTTTTTATTTTAATGCAGTAAATATGTATCAGTCTTCTCATTTACAGTTTGTGTGTTTTGTGTCTTCTAAGGGAAAATTGTATTTTGCTTCTACAAAGTTGTAAAGATATGGAAGGGGGGCAAGGAAGTGCTGGGAAGGGAAGGGTGTGTCTCTGGCTAGGGCTCCACCCCTGGGCCTATACCTAAGGACCCAGGTGAGGACAGGAATTCCTGTTTTCCTGCCCAAATGTTGCATTTCCCAAGACCACCCTGTCCTGCCACACCCCATCCTGTGCCTATAAAACCCCTGAGGCCCTAGTGGGCAGAGACACAAGCAGCTGGACGTCCAGAGGAGCACATCAGCAGAAGAACACACAAGCGGGATGTTGAGAGGAGCACATTGGTTGAAGAGCATGCCAGCAGGCACCGGCAGACACCGGCACGCTGGTAGGCCATCAACTGGTAGAACAACACAGAGTTTGGCCTGGGAGGTTGGAGGAGAGGCCGGGCTACTGAGCGGCCAGACTTCAGGAGAAAACTGTCTCCTTTCGGGCTCCCCCATCTGCTGAGAGCTACCACTCAATAAAACCTTGCAGTAATTCTCCAAGCCCAGGTGTGATCTGATTCAAGGCAAGAAACCCTAGGATACAGAAAGCCCTTTGTCCTTGCTATAAAGCAGGGGGTCTGATTGAGCTGACTAACACAAGCCACCTACAGAAGGCTAAACTAAAAGAGCATCCTGTAACACACCCCCACTGGGGCTTCAGAAGCTTAAACATTCACCCCTAGATGCTGCCGTGGGGTCAGGAGCACCACAGCCCACCCATCTGCATGTTCCTCCTAGGGGTTTGAGCAGCAGGGCACCGAAGAAGTGAGCCACACTCCCATCACATGCCCTGTGAAGGAGATGAGGGAACTTTTCCTGTTTCAATATTCTTTGTATGTCCTTCTAAAGTTTTAAAGTTTTGCTTTTTACATTGTCTTCACTTTTCCTCAAGAAAAAAAAATTCTCACTGGACTGTGAGAAGAATTTATTCCTTGATATTGTGACAGATACTGAAGTTCTTACCTTGCCAGAAAAAAAATTACACGAAAATGAGTCCCTTGAACCTACTGATTTCCCATTTTCTTTCCTTAGCTCCTGTCCAGCCCTTGACCCCATTGCATTAGTGGAATCTACTATCCCAGATTGGATGTAGAAAGAGCAGTGGTGATATAATGATTAGAGAAGAAACTCTGGCGGGGCGGTAATGTCCAGCAGAAGGATGGTTGACGGGTTCTGGAGGTGGCAGCACTGCACGCAGGCCAGGCTTGGGGTCAGACGCCAGCCAGCCAGCCCTGCCACACGTTCATTAGTTTGGTGTGTTACCACACTTTCTTCATCTGTAAAGTGTGGATCATAATCACACCTGATTTCAATGATGGTTTTGAGAATTATATGAACGAATACATGTAAAATATGTAACATAAGGCTTAGTAAACATTAGTCGTTATCAGAAGGTGGATCAAGCTAAGAGTCCAACTGAACATGTTTACTACACTTCCTGAAGAACTATTATTTTTGAATTTATTCATATGTTTGGCTTTAATAATGTTCAATTGTATATGGGGTAGGCAAACTGAAAGGGAGGTAGGGAAGAAAGAAAGAAAAACGAAGGGGAAAAAAAGAGAAGCTTCTGCGACACACCCATTCTTACACCCATTTTGCTGCCTCCCTATCCCTCAGCTCCTGTGTTTATTTGGGAGGAGTGGGTATCTTTTATCACATTACACAAATAGTATTTTAAGAACATTATTAAGCTTGAGTAATTAGGTGTGTGAAGTCGATCCCAGTGCAGGTCTAGTGAGTTGACTTCAGAAATGTCTTTTCGATGTAGCAACATTGCAACATGGCTTGTAAGATGCTTCTTTTGAAAAGTTTTGAGAGACTGCTTGGAAAATGATTTAATGGGGATTGATAAAGCAGTGTTTTTACACTGGAGAGCATTATAACAATAATTTCTGTGGTGGAAGTAGAGTCAAATTTGTGAAGTGTTAAGTAGTCTTTCTTCGTCATATGTTGGAAAAATAAATTAGGCATTTTCTCTTTGGTTAATAACTTGGTCTCAGTTATTTAAATTATTTGTACTACCCACCCTTTTTAGGTAAGTGACTTTACTAATGTGGAAAACAAGGGCTTTACTCTCTCAAATGTTTAGATTTTAGATAAATAGAATGCATTAGCATTGCTGCAGCTATCATTAAATCAAAAATAAAAGTGAGAAAAATAAGAACACACCTTTACTCCTAACAGATTTTTCCTTTATCATTGATGGTATCATTTACTTGTATATTGAGAACTTAAACAGGGATATTTATGGGCCCTGCTGAGATGTTCAGAAAGCTCTGCAGCCTTCATGGGTCTGCTATATGTTTGGCTTTCTTTAGCTGCTTTTATTAGTGGAGTTTGTTCTCAAAGGTGTGGCATAGCAGATCCTTAGGATTAGGGTAGCCTAAGGATCTGAGCCTAAGGATCTAAGACTTAATTTTACAGAATATTAACATACTTATAATTTCCTTTTTAGTTATATAGTCTCAGCGATGACAACCCCATTTCTGTTGCCTTACTGTTAGAGAAAAAAAATTCATTACACTCTCTAGGGAATGTTCTCTGGGAAAAAAGGAAGAATTTTGTTTTCTGGAACTGTAGTGATAGATGCCCTGTGGACTAGGAATCTTAAGGGTATGGCCAACTACTAGAGGATGCTGTATTTTTTTTTTACCAAACCCATTTGGATACTAAAACATCAGTGTTTATTTCTAGGCTAAATTATCATTTAAAATAGTTCAGATCATTTTGGTTGTATGATGTTTGAAAATGTCTGTTTTGTGAATGGAAGGGATTGTCCCTTCTCCACAGAGTTCTGGCTCCACAGACAGCACTGAACTGTTCCCAGCCAAGTCCTGCCAGTGGGACAGCCCTTTTGATTATTTGACAGCTTATCTTTTTAAGTCCTTGTTTCTTTTTTGGTGTGGTCTACTGGGCCAGACACGGTGAAGTCTCCTACTCTTTTTTAATCTAAATATTGGGCCCAAGAAAAAGTCATACTTTGCCTAGTTGCAAAGACTGTGTTTCCAGACTCCTGATGAATATTATCTCTTCAGAAGGCCTGTTCTCTTCTACCCTCAGTGTTTTCTTCCATCTCTGTGACGTTTTATCCTCCATCATCTGCCTCCATTATTCCCCGTATATCCTCTTGATGCTTCTTTTAGCTCATTCTTTCCTTTGCTGGTTCTTTATATTGCCATCATCCTTGTTCATGTCTTTATTGAATCTCACCTGGGTTATTGCAGTAAAACCCAACTGATCTCCCTGCCTTGTGTCTCCCCTAATCCCTTTTTCACACAGCTGCCCAAGTAATCTTCCCAAAGCAGTGCTAGGATTTTGTTATTCCCCTCCCTGAAAACACTCGACTGACTCCTTGATGCCTGTGGAATAAAACAGCTCTTCTAGGCAGCACTCAGGACTTCTGCTTTCTGTCGTAACAGTGGTCCCCTGCATTGCGCCTACACTGTATCCAGACTTCATTCTTTGGCTCTCGTTGGAATGCACTTTCTTGTCTTTGCGTACGCAAATTATCGGTGTCATCTTCTCTGTGACATGGCCCTTGATGACTCATGCAGAAGAGTATGTGTTTGGTATTCATTTAGTAATTGCTTCTTACTCCTTCAGCAAACAGTCTCAAAGGATGTGCTAGGGATATTACATTAATGAAACACAGACCCTGCTCTTAAGTCAAGTCACTTGTGGAACTTGCCATATAAACAATGGTTTGCAATGTAATGTGTTGAAGTATAAAATAGAGTTGTGTTCAAAGTACTGGGGTCACAGACTCTACACAAACACCTTGTATTCAGGCCATTTTTTTTAAATTCTCTTTATATCATGTTGGGTGTTTGGTACTATTAGTTGCTTTTTTGTTAAGTGCAGTTATTGAATTGTTCTGCATTATTCCCTTGCAATAATCCAGTGACTTGGTCATTCTGCTTTTCTTTCTCTATCACTCTTTCTTTTGTATCTTTGTTGGATATATGTATAAGCAAGGAAAATATTTACTTGGTTTAAGAACAAATAATTTTTAAATCATATTTCACACATTATGTGTCACCATTTTGAAAATTTAGTTGTCTTTCATTTCAGATTACTTATATACGGAAAGAAAAGTTTATTCTCTTTAACAATGGTATTCCAGTAAAGTGGATTGTTTCACAGGGGTATCAGAACCAAATGCAGTGTTTGGTGTATAGCAGGTGCTTGGCAATTCTTCATTGATAGTGTGAATACTAGAAAGAGAAACTTTGTTGGCTCCTTATGCCATTGCTCAGACTGGTTTTGATTTATATAAAAGGTCCCATTAGTTTTCTGTCTTACCTGCCAAATTTAGTATTGTAAACAACCATTCAAGACATCTTGGGGAGACCACAGTGCAACTTGTCCAAGGTGTTGATCTGAACTGTTAAGAGAAATTTAACTTTCTCTTAGTAGCAGTAGGATGTGGGCATTGCAAGCTCTGGGGAAAATGAGCTCCAACTCTAGATTTGCTGTTCATCCACCTCACCCTACGGGACAACTGCAGGATTTGTAGCATCCCGGAAGGTGACTATCTTAAACTTGAACGGTATTTCAGTGATTTGTAAGCTCAATAAGTGCAAGGTTCACATTTGTTTTGTGTACCACTGTGTATCTGCTATCCAGCACGGTCTCTGGCATGAGAATAAAAGAGATGATTTGTACCAAAAGCCTGTTTTTTTCCTTTTATTGAAGTAATGTTTTGAACATTTCCCAGATTGTGAATAACTGTCTTGAGTACATAGTCACTGTCTGGTGCTGTGTGCGAGCCAGGCTTCTACCATTGTCCGTGGGCTTGTGGCAGGCACAGGCAGAAGATGAAGTTTAACAAAAGGAAAACAGCTCAAGGAATCAGCAGTATGCCAGCCTCTTAGGAGGCAAACCCTTCAAATCCTCCCTGTGCTTTTAAAGGTTGTTAGGATTTAGAAAACCAATGTCTATCTAATAAGTCTTCTGTAGGTGGAAAGGCCGTTCCGTGCCCCTGCCTCTGTTGAGGTTCTACCGTCCTGGTGGGTGCAACAGCGGGGTGAATATCTGAGCCTTTTACCTGTCAGCCATGCACACGGGGCTGTTGGTCTCAGGCACAGAGTAGGCACAGCAGCCTAGGGTTTTAGGGGTCAAATGAAGTTGCAAATGGTCATTTTCTATGGTCTCATAAGTTTACAGCATATAAATGCTCTTATGGGGGAGATGGTTAAAAACTCTTGATTAGAGGAAAAGTTAAGGAAAAAAGAAGGGATATTTTAATGAATAAGCAGAGACTGATTTATAAGCATTCTCATAAATACAGAAAATTTAAGCTCCATTGTTAAACAGGGATGACATGGATGGGCAAAATTATTTTCTTTCCAAACAAGATGACTCTTCCTCAAAATTTCTTTCCGTTCTTCACATTCTCAGATGATTTTTATTTTTTTTAGATTATTTCCAAGATGTTAAAGTTTAATCAAGGACGTTTATATTCTAATAGAGTAATTTGTTTTTAGGTCATTAGAATGGAAGTTTAAGTGGCTAAAGTTTCCTAACAAGTTTCCTAACAAATTTAGTTTTTTCAGTCTATGTTAGAAGTTAGAGAATATTAGGGCTCTACGGAGATATATATAAATGATGCAGTCTGTATATCTTAAAGTAATGATTTTATATTATTCACTTTAATTTTGTAGCATCAGGGCACAGCCCTGATGAACCATAAAGCTACTTGAAGCACTGCAGCTAGTTTGAAATCACTGGGAAGGAATCGTCTGCAGTTCAATAGACTGTGATATTTGGGGAGCATTTGTGCACTCTTGTATTAGGAGTATAACAGTCATCATCTCAAATAGTAGACATGTAATTGTTTCATATTATTAAAATAGCAATATTGGTATGACTAATTTTTAGCTACTATGTAACTTAAATAAATACCTTTCGCTTAGAAAGCAGCATTGCTTATACATATAAATAGAGGTGAACTTTTAAAAGTATAAATATATAGTAGATAATCAGTAGTTGTTTTTGGAATAAAAGGATATTTCAACCACATTTTCATGCAGTATATTAAATGTAACATAACCCGGCCATGCCACTTTTTATCACTTACCCCTTCTGCTTATAAATCGCTGCCTTTTGAATTTCCTAATTATTTCTCAAGTTGGAACGAATTGTTACTGATAAGGCAGTTATTTTCTTATCTGTAGAAACAGCAGCTTCTGTAAAGATCTGGATTGTCTTGAAAGAGCTTCAATTTAATATAGTCATTCAGTTTTTTTTTTTGTTTTTTTTTTTGAGACGGAGTCTCACTCTTTCACCCAGGCCGGACTGCAGTGGTGCTATCTCGGCTCACTAAAAGCTCCGCCTCCCGGGTTCGTGCCATTCTCCTGCCTCAGCCTCCTGAGTAGCCGGGATTACAGGCGCCCAGCACCGCGCCCGGCTAATTTTTTGTATTTTTAGTAGAAACAGGGTTTCACCATGTTAGCCAAGATGGTCTCGATCTTCTGACCTCGTTATCCACCTGCCTCGGCCTCCCAAAGTGCTGGGATTACAGGCATGAGCCACCGCGCCCGGCCAGTCATTCAGTTTTAAAGGCATAGAGTCATCTTTAAAACGTCATAAGAAGACATTTTTTGCATACTCATGTTAATTCTGAAATATAATTAGTGTCACGGGGACATGATTGCCGCATCTGGACTGTCAGCTCTTCATCAGCTACTTGAATCTGATCAAATCTTTTCAGTTGAGTATTGAAAACCTTGGGTCCCAAAAGAACAGGGGCATGTCAGAAGTTAACTCTTTCCATTGAACTTAATTGAGGCTTTATCATCCTTTAAATTTTTTCTTATTTTTAAGAAAATAACATTTTAACAAAACTCTGCCTCTGTTTTTATTCTGCTCTTTAGTTGTCTTTTTATAGAGCTTTTGTTTATTTATGTATTTACCTGTTTTCTCATTGCATGAGATGTGCCTCAGACTCTGAATGATTGTGGTTCTTGTTCCCTTGGGAGCTTCATCGAGCTTTTCTATGCCAGATGCTGAGTTTAAAGTAGATTTCTGCTCTCATGGGCTCACAATTAAGTGCCAGAGACAAGCAGCAAAGTGAGTTATTGTTCTGAAACAGGAATGCTTGGATAGAGACTGATGTGGGAACACACAAGAGGGGTATGCCATCCTGCAGAAAGGAAGTTAGGGGCCTTCCCATAGGAGGTGATGCTTGCATTGAATCTTTTAGAAAGAGCTGGAATTTGCCAAGTGGTGGGCGACAGAGGCTATGCATGGCCTATACTAAGCCAAATATATAGAGTTAAAGAAAACATTTCAAAAAACCAGGATGTTTAGAATCTTGTGAATCTTTTGGGTCTGGCTGGAAATGAGCCTGAAGAGATAGGTGGAGCCACGCAGTGAAAAATGGCTTTATCAGTAGGACGACTATATATTTTACTATTCGAATGAGGATGAAAGGGCAGCTCTTAATAATTATACCTGGACAGCAGTGATAGACACAAGGGCAAACTGGGATGTATGGTTGTTCTGTTTAAAAGCCATATTAAGGAATTTACTTTAAACAGGGTAGCAACATGTGTAATTTGCTTTTAGAAGACTGACTTTGGGATTAGCAGTGTGGAAAATGGGGTGTTGGAGAAGACGAGCGTGTGTCGGGGGATGTGCTTGTGGGGCTTGTTTGGGGAAGTGGTGTCAATTAAGAGATCATTTGCTACAGCAGTGGGAAAAGGATGGATTTGAGAGGTATTAAGAGAGATAGAAGGATAGGACTTAGTGACTTTTGATTGCTTGTGTGGGGTATGAGGGAGAAAAATTTCTCTGGGATGACTCTTAGTACTCTGGCTTAGATAGCTAAGTGGACTGAGAGTCATTAGGTGAAATTGAGAATACAGAAGAAGGCACTGGTTCTGGAATTGACAATTTGACACAGAGCTGTAGAGTAGTTGTTGAATGTGAATATGCAGCTCTAAAGAGAGGCCTGAGCTGGATTGAAAATACCGCTGTTTAAGAGGCAGGCTGAGGATCTACAACCTGAAAGGGTGACTGAGAAGTTGTGAGTGAGTAGAGGCTGGGTGCAGTGGCTCACGCCTGTAATCCCAGCACTTTGGGAGGCCAAGGTGGGTGGATCACCTGAGGTTAGGAGTTTGAGACCAGCCTGACCAACATGGTGAAACCCTATCTCTACTAAAAATACAACAATTAGCTGGGTGTGGTGGCGCATGCCTCTAATCCCAGCTACTTGGGAGGCTGAGGCAGGAGAATTGCTTGAACCCAGGAGATGGAGGTTGCAGTAGGCCAAGATTGCGCCATTGCACTCCAGCCTGGGCAACAAGAGCAAAACAACAACAACAACAACAAAAGTTGTGAGTAGAAAGGCAGGAAGGAAATGAAGAGAAGTGGGTGTAATGGAAGCCAGTGGAGTAGAGTTTCAGGTGCCAGAAAGCCATGGGGACTGAAGGGCATCCACTGACTTTGAAGCTAAGAAAGCTTTGGTGACCCTTCCCCCAGCCATTTTGGTGGTGTCATTCAGGTAGAAGACCCATTTCTTGTCTACTAGTAAATGGACATAGGGAATGAAAGGAAATAGGCAGCCATTCCTTTGTATACCTTGGATGATTGGTTCCTTGGAAGTATCTTTTCTCATCAATTGGCAAAAATGGTAACTTGAGCAAGAGAATAGTGAGTCATGTGTATATATATTTTCCACATCCACACTCGTGAGGAATGAAGTACATCTGAGGCTGGCCAGCCAGGCTTCTTTGTTGGTTGAATGACTGTGATGCAGTTTAAATGGTATTTGTAACCCAAAAATTCTTTCTTTTTTATTTTGTAGTCTGGTTCTGGATTCTTCCTAGGTACTTATTCAATTCTATGTGTAGTTATTAAAAAATCTACAACCCTCAAACTGTAAATATTTTAACTTGGTTTTAAATGAGAACAAAAGGGGGAAGGAAGATGAGTTGCTGCCAACACAGTGGCAACTCTCAGCTGTTCTGGGGCAGGAGAGCTAGGTCACCTGAGAAACTTGTGTACTTCAAGTACAGGAGTGGTGAACTGGACTAGAGAGTGGGTGGGTCTGGTCCTTTTCACTATCTGTTCCCGGTATGAAAACATTAAATGGTTTTACTGTTTCAATGAAGGAAGTCCTCTCTTCTCACTTTTAAGCAAAAGCCAGCAGCCTGTCTGGTAATTAATATGATATTTCCATTTGCTAATGGGGACTGAAATTTTCAGCGTCTTAATTTTTGTCTCTTTTATTTTACATTTAATGTTTATTTTGCATTACTTTGTTTTAATTCTGAACTAGTTTTTCATTATATGTTTAGTAATCATTGTTTCTGTTTTTTATGTTGAACATTTAAAAATCTTCATTTACTTAACATTTATAACATATCCAGAATTTAATATTGCTGTGAAGTCAGACTAGGCGTGTATTCATTATTTTTTCTTGTAGGATTTTTGTTCAGTCTCTTTCCTAATATTTGCGATGATTGTTCACTTGAGAGCTAAAGTCTTCTCCCCCATTTTCCTAAGGGGAAGCATATTGTAGTAACTGTCATTAAATAATTTCCCCATAAACAGTGTGCAATGGGTTCATGTTTTTATAGCCTATTTTTTGGTGGGAAGGAGTACTGATGTGCTAGGTAAGAATGATGGATTTCGCTTTTGTCGTTGGGCCCATAAATAACAAAAATATAACAAAAAATAAAAACATAACAACAGTTTACTTTTTTTTACTCAACAGTGTTTATATAGCTCGTTGTTGTCAATGCTGAGGGAAAAGAAAGTTGGAAGGAAGCAGTGGTCAGCAGCGTCAGTTGTCACAAAGCAGTCAAGGATGGGAATGCTGAAAGAATTCCCCGTTTGCTTCAGCCTCTGAAGTTCTTGGCAACCTTAGGGAGAGCAGTTAGCGATGGAAGGGTGGACAGCAGCCAGCTGCCATGCTACTCAGGAGTGACAGTGATGGGAGGCCCCGGAGCACTGAGTGGATGGCTGTCCTGGGGAACTGGCTGGAGCCCTTCCATCTTCCCTTTTGCATTTACTGAACCTGTATTGTGAGACTTTCAAGAGAGCTTCATGAAAGTTCTCCAACTTCAGGATTGCTTGTTTGATTAATATATTCTCCATCTTGAATCAAAGAAGGGTTTAGTGCTGGAGAGGAAATCTTAGAGCAACTGAAAAGATTGGAGAGTTTATAGTTAAAGAATATACTGTTCTGGCCGGGCAGAACGGTGGCTCACACCTGTACAGTGGCTCACACCTGTAATCCCAGCACTTTGGGAGGCCGAGGCGGGAGGATCACATGAGGTCAGGAGTTCGAGACCAGCCTGGCTAACATGGTGAAACCCCATCTCTACTAAAAATACAAAAAAATTAGCTGGACGTGGTGGTGCATGCCTGTAGTCCCAGCTACTCAGGAGGCTGAGGCAGAAGAATCCCTTCTTCTGCTGGTTAGCAGGCAGAGGTTGCAGTGAGCCGAGATCACACCACTGCACTCCAGCCTGTGCGACAGAGCGAGACTCTGTTTCAAAGAAAAAAAGAATATACTGTTCTGGTTTTAAAATAAGTCAGTGAGAAAATAAGTATTTGTACTTGTTTTTGTTTTGTTTTGTTTTGTAGATGTATAGAAAACCTGCGATTAGGTGTGTTTTTCATAGGCTTCTTAAGTCCAGATGGAGGTCTTGCTTCCCTCCTGGGTGTATCATCAGTGGAGAGTAAAATAAGCAGTAAAATGAGCTTTTCCCAAGTATGAAAGAACAGACGTTTGCTTTTCACACATGGAGTGTAAGTGTGGCGTGCTTGCTAACTGTGACTAAAGAGCATGAAGTTGCATAGGCAACCATGTGGATGTTGAGATTGCTAACTAGTGGGTCTCTGAGAGAACAAAAATGAAATCCTGGCTTCTATTTCTTATTCATTCCTCTCTGGGTCCGTGGGGATGCAGCATTTTTGAAGGAATCAATTATCCATTTGTTAGTCAGAGGAGCCTTACAAATTATACATTAGGAGATTGATTTCTTGGGTTCACTGTTGGGGGACTGATAGCTTAAGGTGGGATGATGAGGAGTATCAGGGGAAAAGAAGTTGCCACAAAGAACACCATTAAAAGCAGCTTTCGAAATGACCGTGAATTTATTCCTAATTGAAGAGCTGACATAATCCATACTAAGTGTATTTATTTCAAGCATCTTACATTAGGTAATTGATTATCACATGAGGTGTACATGTTGGTAATTTTACCTTTTCTTTAAATTTAAGAACTTGAGACCACCTGTAGTGGACTTAGATTTAGAAGGTATGTGCTGGTCCTTGCCCCCTCCTGCTTACTCGGACTTCTTTTTTTATTCCATTAAGGAAACATTTTTGTATGTTCTATAGTGTCAGCTTGACATTATTGATTTTTGAACAAACTCACTTATATTGTCCAGAATTCCAAACATGTCTCCATTAGTAATAAAATTGTAGCTAATGGAAAATACAGCTGAGGCCATTTTTCTCTGGTCTTCTTTTCTCTCATCTCTTTCACTTTCCCACATTTATGCCAGTATTACATCTTTGCAAACACACACCCCAAATTTTATGTTTAGATGTGATGGTTTCTGCTCATTGCTGTTATGGTAAAAGGTTTAGGAAAATCAGTCATTTTAGCTATGCAGAATCCTGTACTAGAAGGTTTCCCTCTATGTTTGGGAATATCCTGTACCCTTTCTCTCTTTCCATTTTTTTTTTGTTTGTTTTTTTTCCTGTTGTTGCTGTTTGTTTCTTTGTTTTCAGTGTATAGAAATGGTAGATGTACGTAAGGCATTTGTTTCTTTTATAGGATTATGGATGCCAGGCTAGTTGCATGCAACATTGACAGTTGTAATATTGAAATCCTCTTGTTTATTTGTTCTTTATTAAATGTTATGGAACTGTTATGGAAATGGAATGTGCATAGTGATGATACTCAGTTATCACTCAAAAATATGCATGTAAGTTCCTGCAATCATGGTTTTAAATATTATATTTGATATCTGGTTTCTTTTTGTTTTTAGATTAATGAATTTCCTACCTTGCCATATATTAAAACTATCTTCTGATTAGAAACAAAATAAATATTTTTTTTGTAGAAATCTAGTAAAGCATAGAAAGGAGTAACCCAAACATTAATAACTTAGCACTCAGATATAACCAATGCTAATATTTGGGAGTATCTGCTTCCAGTCACATAGGTGATATACAAATACTGTAAGTATAGTAATATTCGGCTAACCTGGAGTTAACCAAACTTCAAGATTTGAGAGCACAGTTCTCCTGACAGCCAAATCTACCCAAGACTTCTGACATACACTGCAAGTTGTGGGGATTCCCAAAACCACCCTCATGTTTGATGGGTAGGAGACTCACAGAACTCACTGAAAGCTGTTATATTCATGGTGCTTTATTACAGGGAAAGGATACAGGTCAAAAATCAGCCAAAGGAAGAGAGAACATACAGGCTACAGCATGGGATGGTTTCAAATGTAAAGCTTTCATTGTCCTCAGGATGTGCTACCCTCCTGGTATAGATGTGTGCTAACCAGAGAAGCTCACCTGAGCCTCAGTGTTCAGGATTTTTATGTAGACTCTATTACACAGGCATGATCGACTGAGGGTTATTCATGTGGTTAATCTCAGCTGCCAGGTTGACTAATACCACTCTGACCCAAAGCCCCCACCCACTAAATGATTGGTCTTTTTGCTTTGTCCAGCTCCCATGCTAATACGATTGGGTATGGCAGGCCTACCCTAATGTCTGGTCTGGCCAGCCCCCTGCCTTTAACCTAAGATGTTCCTGTCTATTACACAGAAGCCAAGGGCAAGGGCTGGACTTCTCACTGGACAAAGCCAAATACCTTACTACATAATACCTTTTTGTTAAGTTAATTTTTAAGAATTATCATTTAGATGCTTTGCTTTTAGAAATTTAGATAATTTCTATTTCTTAGTATCTTACAAAAGAAACTTGTTGTGAAAAGACCTTTGTGAAATAGTAATCTTTTTGCTTCTCTTTGGTCATAATAGATAATGTATATTTTAAGTAATTTTGATACACATTTTCAAATACCCTTCAGAAACATTTTCCAAATTTGAATTATCAGCAGTGTAAGATGAGTAGAGTATCCTTTTTTGTGCTTCTTTGCCAAAACTACTATTTTAAAAAGTTTGCTGTTTCCAAAGGTAAAATATGTTATTTTTTGGTTTTCATTTTTTTTTGTTAAATTAACTCTTGTTCTTGTTTACCTACAATTTATGCACATTGACTGTTTACTTGGTTTGATTTTGGTGACTAAAAAATTCAAATTTCTTCAAAAATCACTCCAAATAAAAATTTAAAATGTGTAATAAGGTACAAAGATGTTTGCAGTCTGCATGACATGGGGTAAATATCCTTTACCTATAATTACTTCTTATAAATCAGTTTAAAAATTATGGACATCTCAAAAGTAAAATAGTTTCTGCTCCTGGATTCATTCTTAGAACTAATATAGCTTAAGACTGCAGTTTTTACTGATGTATTAACTAGCTTTTCTCTCCAATTCTCTTTAAAGTGACCCAAGAAATGGGAAATATTTATACTTTCACTTTGAAACAGAGAAGGGAAGACTGTAGTAAATAATTAAGTACTAAATAATGTGATTGCATTGATTTTGGGGAGGCATAAATCAAGTATAATTTATAATAATTTAAAGGTAATTGCGAATAAGATAAAAGTAGATCAACAGCATCTAATTGTTGGATAGAAAAGAAAAAGAATTTGAGTAATATAGCAAATAATAAAAAATGAAATGGGGAAACATAAAAACTATAAAATAATGTAACTAAGCCAATGCTAAATGGATCAGATATTGTTATATTGATTAAAGAAAAATAACCTTAGCTTTGAAGGACACATATTTTACAAAATGAGAAAGTGAAAAATAAAAATGTGAGCAAAATACACAGTAAAAAGCCAAACAGAAATCAAGCGTGTTGGTAGTAGAAATGTGATAAAAACTAGAATTTAGGGCAAAAGAGCATTAACCAGCAGAAGGCATAGTATATTGATTACATTTACAAGTTAAAAGGAAGATTGAGTATAATCATTGTACCCTTTGATATGCCAAATTATAGGGCATCTAGTATCTGGACCAAAATTCATTTGAAATTCAAGGATAAATGAACAAAACTACAATTGGAGTATGAAGTTTTTGAAACTTGTTTTTAATCAGTCTTTGATAGATGAAAGAGAAAACAGTAAATATATAGAGAAATTAAATAATATAAATAGCATGATTTTAAAATACATATTTTGAGCCTAAAATAGAGAATATGAATTATTTTGAAATTATGTCTTAGGTTTACAAAGACAAATTATTAAATTTCTAAAAATAGATATTATACAAACCACATTCTCAGACCACAATGCATCCACACTAGACTTTATTAATAACTAGATTAATGGGCAAATACAACATCACCATCCTTGGAAATGAAACAAAATGTTACTTTTCTCAAAAAGGAAATAATTACTGTAATTACACATTAACTTTTGTCCTTTGGTTTTTGACCAATGATAAATCAAAAGCATTTTATTATATGACTGACAAATGAGTCATTATAATTATTAGGCAGTATATTAATGTCTGGAAATTACAAGATGGTGAACAAAATTGTTCTAAAGTAAAAAGGGAAAAAATTAAGGAATAATAGTAAGAAATTAATAAAATAGAAAAATTTTAAAATAAAGTGAATTGTTGAGTTTCTGCAAAGAGGCTAGTACAGCTGATAAACACCTGATAATGATAATCAAAGAAAAAAAGGAAACACAAGTACTTATACCTGTAAGATATCTGTATATTTGCAAATATGAAATAGGAAAAGTAGTAGTACCTACCTTATAGAATTGATGTATTAAATGATGTATGTATAAAACTCATAGAATAGAGCCTGGTGTATAATGACCGTATAGTAAATATTAACTTAGTAGTAATAGTTTTACTATTTATTCTTAGTAGTATTAATATCATCAGTATTATTAAAACAGTGAACGAACAAAAAGTAAAATAAAAGATATTTTCATCACTGATGAATTTAAAATGTGCTATTTTTTTTTCTTGGAAAATATGAATGACCAGATTAGAATGAGAACATTTGAGTAGCTTGACAATTAAAGTGGAAAAAAAATGAAAAAAAAATCTCAAAATTTAAGAAATAACCCATTAAAGATGTCGATCTCAGACATTTTCCTGGGCCAGTTCTTTTTGATCTTCTTAAATTTTTAATGTTTATTTGTGAAATGTAACTTTACATAAAACGTGTAGTAAAACAGATCATCACCATGCTAACAGTCACAAAACTACCACTCTGTTGAGAGTAAACCATGTGACTCTTCCTAATCACAGTGTTCTCTCTTCCCCTCAGAGGTAACCACTATACTGACCTTTATAGTAATAACTCTCTGACTTCTCCGTTTTATTTTACAACCTGTGTGTGCTCCCCCTACACACTCTGGTTTTGCCTATTTTTGTGTGTTATGTAAATGGAATCACACAATACTTGTCAGGAATGAGGAAAGGATGCTTTCTGTGATTGCTGCTCCTTGAATAAAACTGTCAAAGGAATATTAAGACCTCTCAGGGGAAACATATAAAACTTTATTTAGAGATACTGAAGAAGACCTAAATAAATGGAGAAATGTTCCATGTTTGCGGATTAAAAGATTCAATATTACAAAGATAACAAAGGGAGAGCTCTCAACATCTTACCATTAAGTGCAATATTTTCCTAACCATTCAGAAGATATTCTTTAAGAGACTGAGGAATTTTTCTCCTTGTGTGCTAAAAAAGTTTTTTTTTTTTTTAAATACCATGAATGGATATTGAGTTTCATCAAAAACTTTTTGTAGCCCTTGAGATAATTCTATGATTTTTCTCTTTTATCAATATAGAAAATTAGCGTTTATAGGTTAAATCAGCTTTGTATTTTTGGAATAAACTTGGATTTTCTCTATAGGCTGGCTTTGTTAATTGTTTCTTTAGGATTTTTTCATTTATGTTTGTGGGTAAGATTTACTTGTACTTTTTCTTTCTCCTAATATTCTTATTGAGTTTTATTATTATAAGGTTATCCTGGTCTGGTAAAATGGGTTGAGGAGCATTTCCTTTTTATTTTTTTTCTCTGCAAGAATTTATGTTGAATTGGAATTTTTTATTCTTTGAACATTCTCTCATGAAGTTAATATTCTAGTGAGTGAGTTTGAAAACAAATAAGTAAAAGATACACTAAGATAGTGGCAAGTGCTAAGGAGACAAAACAAAAGCAATGAGGAGTTATGAAATGTTTGGGTAAAATGTTGACTTTTTAGATTGGTTGGCCAGATCTCACTGAGAAGATGATTACCAGCACAGAGTAGGCAGAAAGGCATTCCAGGCAGAGGGTGGACAAATGGAAAGGCCTTAAGGCTGGAAAAGCAGCAAAAGGTCATCAGGACTGGAGTAGAGAGAACCAGGGGAAGAGGGGATGAGGTCAGAAGTTGGAGGGAGGGCAAAGGCCAGATAATTTAGGACTGTCAGGTCGTAGTAAAAATCTTGGCTTATTTCTTGAGATAGGAGGCCATTGGAGGGTTTTAAGCAAAGGAATGTCTCTTATCAACCTGTTAACATAGTGTCACTGTGCAGGCTTGCTGAGAATAGATTTCTAGTAGAGTTAGGGCAGGAGAAAGTCACCTAGTTAGGAGACCATTAGGGTAATCCATATGAGAATGATGGACCAGAATAGCAGCTGTAGGGGTGGTGAAATGTGGTCCGAGTCTGAATAAATTTCATCAGAAGAGGTGATAGGAGTTGTGAAAGATTAGATATAGAGTGGACATAAAGACAGGAATCAAAAGTAGCTTGAAAGTTTTTACCCAGATCAACTAGAAAAAGGTAAGCAGAAGGCATTAACTGAGGTGGGGAAACCATCAGGAAGAGCCCTTTCCAGAGGGAATATTGGGATCTTGGTTTTGGATATGTTTTAGATGAGGTGCATATTAGGCATCCAAGTACAGATATAAAAGAAACCATCTTAGATACTGGTCTGCAATAGGGAGAGGCCCTGCCTGGAGATAAAAATGTAGGAGTCATTCCATGGCCTGGAGAAAATACTATGTTTTGAGTATAGATGTAAAAAAGAAGAGGTGCAAGGACTGAACCATGAGATATGGAAGTCAGGAATTACCAGTGGTGCTACGTGCTCCAATTAGGTGAAGTAAGTTAGGATTGAACAAGGACCATTATGTTTAGCAACATTGGGGTCATTTGATCTCAAAATTTACAAGAATAAGTACTTGAGAAAAGCCAAAGAAAATGTGAAAAGTTGTGACTGAGACTTACTAGATATCAGAACATACTATGTACACCCTCTATAATTAAATCAATGCTGAATTGATACAGAAATGGACAAAGAGACCACAACTGAAAACTCAGAATGTTATGTGAAAATTAGCTGGACGTGGTGGCACGTGCCTGTAATCCCAGCTACTCGGGAGGCTGAGGCAGGAAAATCACTTGAACCCGGGAGGCGAGGTTGCAGTGAGCTGAGATTGTGCCGCTGCACTGTAGCCTGGTGACAGAGCTAGAATCTGTCTCAAAAAAAAAAAAAAAAAAAGAAAGAAAGAAAATGAATTCTGAAATGTAAAAGACTTAAATATAAGAAATAAAGTAATAACCATCATGCAAAAAAATAGGAGACTGTATATACAATATCTGGATAAATATACCTCATACCCTAAAAATAGAAAAGAGCTCTTATAGATTGACAAAACAACAAACATGTTAATAGAAAAAAATGAGTAAGAGAAGTGAACAAGCAGTTTACAGAAGATCAAATTAATTGGTCAATAGACTTAAGAAAAATGGTTAAGTTTATTAGTAGTCAGGGAAATGAATCAATGAATATTGATTGTTGGCAGAAAAAAAAGTGAAAAAAAACCCTTCTATTGCTAATAGAGGTACGTGGGAAAAAGGATTATCTTACCTTAGAGGTATGATTTTTTTCCCCCATAATGTTGCTAATGTGATGGCACAAATGGTTTCCATTCAGTGAGAAACATGTTGTAATGGAAACTTCGTTTATTTGCACTTGGAATGCTATTGTGTGACATACATAGCCCTTAGTAGCACTGTGGCTTTAGACCACTCACATAAATTCTTGAAGCCTCATTTTCCTCATTGTGAGATGGAGATAACCAGCCTTAGCTGACTGCTTTCCTCTGGGGTTGAATAACAGATCTTGTGTATGCCAGGTCTTTGCAAATGATATAATGTGATTTACAGAATATTAGGATAGGCCATGAGCTTTTCAATACCAGAGTCCAAGAACAAATTACATAAACGTGTATATAGAAGGAAAATCTACTAAGTGTAACTTGCAGTAAAGAAGAGCTTTGTAAAGAAGGCTTGATGTCTTAGTTACTTTCATTATTGGATCTCAGTTTTCTGAGCACAGAACAACGCTCTCCAGTAGAACTTACTGCAGTGATGATGTTCTGTGATCTGTATGCTTTCCAGTACTAGTCACATGTAGTCGTTGAACACTTGGCATGTGTTAGTGCAGCAGAGGATCTGATTTATCGAATTTTAATTTAACTTTCAGTTTTAAAGGCTGCATGTGGACAGTACCATATTGGACAGGAAACCTAGGCTGCACACACTTACTAAATTATAATTTGAGGCAGCTTACAACCAGATGCCAAAGAAATTACAATCAGAGGTAGGTGCAGTTTATATTTGCCAAGACTAAAATCGATATTTAAAAAAATGTAGTTTGATGAACTCAAGATCTGAATAAGTAAACTATTAACAGAAGATATTCAATTTGAGGAAGGAATTTATTCAAAGACTATAGAAGTTGAACATTTAGACTTCTCAGCCGGAAGTCCAGACATGCTGGCCTAGGTGCTTTCCCAGATCAGCTTTTGCTTTCTTTGTAGATTCCTTGCTGCCAGTGCAGTATTCTTCACTCCTCCCAGGTTGTAGCCCTGGCTCCTCTCTTTTCTCTGTTTTGATTCCCTGCTATGAGCTTCAGTTTATTCTTCTACAAAATGGATCAAATATCTATCTTCAAGGAACCTTTACTCTTCTGACATTCTAGGAACTTTAAGGAGCTAGCTGATTTTTCATGGACTGCATTTCAGGGGTGTCGCTCATGTGGTGATTTAGGGATCAAGATGAGAAAGGATTTTGTAGCCAGGAGTCTCATCCTCCATGTCAAAATGTCTTTCCATAGCATCAATCAGTGGGTGGCCTTTTTGAGGTCTGGGAGCCTTGGTCTGCCCTGACCTTTGCCTACTTGATCTGAGATATTTTTCAGTTGAAGATCCCACATTCAACTTTGCATATTTCCATTTATTTTATCATCAAGCCAAACCATTTTAAGGCTAAATATTTTTTAAAAACTACTCTGCAAGCTCATGTTGTAGCTGCCGTAGGCTTACTTTTCTTCTCATAGTTTCTACTGTGCTTTGTGTAAGATAGTTGGAAACTGTCATTATTTAAGAAGAAAACAAAGAGCTTACTATTTTACAAAGAGCAAAGACATTGATTGTTGATATATATTTTCCTGAAGTTTTACACATCTTTTTGTCTTTTTCTTTTTAGAGTCCTGTGAAGATAAATCAGATTAGCTTGGATGAAAGTGGAGAGCACATGGGTGTGTGTTCAGAGGATGGCAAGGTATGGCAAAGATGTGGTCATGCAGAGAGTTCTGTGGCGCCAGCCCCAGGTGATCGGAACAGCACCTTGCTTACTATATAACTGCATTAAGACAATCTTGATTATTCTTTCTGAGTATTGAACTTGCTTCTGATTGGTCATAATTGAAGTAAAATATATTTTGCACAAATGTGCCTTAGGAAAAGTAATTACAAGAATGTCAATAATGTAACTAGTATTAAGCTGATTAACAGCTGTGGCAGGGTGACGTGTCACCTTAATCATTACTACCGTGCCACTTCTGCTTCAGTGACTAGTCTGCAGTTCCTGCAAGACAGTAGTTTAATGTCTTTCTGCCATAAATCCACAAAATTGGATTTTGTGGGCATGATTTCTGTGGGCCAGTGGTTTTCATTTTCACACACAAGTTATGAATGTTTCTCTTGAATTATAGAATCTTTTGATAAGCAATCATAGTTTATCAGAAGAATAAAGTGTCTTACAATGGCCACATTAAATAAATGTAAAATCAATATATGTACAGTTTTCTAAAAACCTGGCGCCTACTTCCTCGACCAAGGACATACATCATTTGTGCAGTGTATAACTAACAATTATCAGTGCTTCTTGCTGATGTTGAGCTGTGACATTTAATGGTTGTGGTGATTGATTTTCCACTTATAAGAATGTCTTTTTTGTTTTTAAGTCGATGGAAATCTTTTCTAATGTTGGTTTGCAATGATAAAATCCTAATGCACAGTGTATTTAAGCTACTTTTCTAAAATAACAGTTTGAGAGAGTGCATTAAGAATCATTATAGATCTTTACATATTCCTTACTGAGTAAAGCAGATTTCCTAATCTAATTTTGTATTTATTATGTGCCCTAAAGTCAGTGGGCCATTAAGATGGGTAAATTAAAAACAGTATACCCGGTGTAAAAGAGATATACCCATTTAATCTGTTAACAAAAAGCAACATGAAGTCTCTTGACATACAAGAATGCATTTTATATATCTAAGCCTAATGTTGCCCAAAGAGTCTTTTGAAACAGTAATTGGAACACTAGTGCTTTTCAAAAAGCACTGTCAAATTTTACAGTACTTTCAGAAATTCTGAGATTGTCATGATTATCAGAGAGAGATGAAGGAGGAGTTGGTTTGTGCAGAAATGGAGAAGAATTATCCACACCGCTGAAACATTTTTTGTGTTCATGTATTTGTAAAGAAAGATAATCTTCATTTTGTTTTCTTAAAGGTGAGAAATTCCTTTTGGGCTGTAATCAGTTTAACCGAACTAATTTGTTGAAAGATAGTACTCATTTTTATTAAAAATTGGAAACGAATTTTTACTAAATACTTCATCTAGGAATTTTCAGAGCTTTAAATGTTGAAGAATTGTTATTTAATGCACCAAAGTGGAATATGTTAGCTACTCCATCTGGTGGATAAGATGAACCTCAGATTATCTCATGGTACCCTTCTTGTCAAACACCTTTGGTTTCCTATTTTGGTAAAATTTATAGCTGCCTATTTTAGTGTGGAACCATGATATATTTTTGGAAATAATCTTCCCGTATTTTTATTAACATTGGTAGAATTGAAAGTAAATCTTTTAGTACACATAATTACATGTAAGCTACCCCCTTACCATGGGTTAGTCAGTATTGTGAAAATTGAGAAGCTAGTATAGAATGATCTGGTAAAGTGGTTGGTGATGATAAAAATATAAAGACATTACACAAACACATTCCAGATATCTAAATCTAATGCATCTTTAAATAGGTTTTGTGGGTATTTTTTCCTTTCTTCAGTGTGTTAAGGTTCCTAGATAAATAATTATTTATTAGGGTTATTTCAAGGATAACCTTTGATATTTGCATTCAGTTTTCAAGTCATAATTCCAGCAGTTGTTTAAAATTTACACCGTTTATTCAGCTGGTGCTCATTTTCAATCTTTTTTTTGTCATGACTTTTCTGCAGTTCTACATTTTGAGACACACATATCGTATGTGTGCGTGTGTGTGTGTGTGTGTTCAGTTTCAGTTTACTGGCATATGTTTCTAGAAAACTTTTAGGATAAGTACATACAAGGTTTATTTTGGGATTTCTTGCATATGTTGCTTTCATATGTAAACTATAGTATAAAATTCTGGGTTGGAATATTTTTTCTCAAAATTTTGGAGATGTTGCTCCCTTTTTTCTGACATTTATTTGTGTAGACATGTCTGAAACCAGCCTACTTTTGTTCTTTTCTAAAACCTTTACAATTTTTTTTTTGGTCCTGCCTTGGAACTTGGACTAATAATAATAATTACAACAAGAACAACAACAGTAATAAATGGTCTGTGTAATTCAGTTTGCTAAGTTATGTCTAGTTCTGGTCTCTTTTCATTAATTTTTTCTGGAGTACCGTCAGTCCTTTTGATCCATACACTGAAGTATTGTTTTCATTTCAGAAAAGTTTAGTTCGGTTATAATTTTGATGATTGCCTCAGTTGCATTTGTTTTCATTTCTTCAAAGAAATTCAGTAATATAAAGCTGAAGGCAATATCGCTTAGAGGCTAGGAGCATAGCTCTGTATTCCAGCTGCCTGGGCTGGCATTCCCACTTGGTGTGTGAAGTTGGGCATGTTGCTGGCCTGGCAGTGCCTCCCTCTCCCCATCTTGGCAGTGGGAGGCCCCTGAGGAGTGTTGTGAGGTGCAGGGGATATGGTAAGCTGTCAGTTATGTATTAATTGTTTTTATTGCTAACCATTCATTTTTAATCCATTGCAGTCTGGCCTCTTCCTGTCTCCCATTATTGTACCTGAACTTTTCAAGGCAAGAGGGTGAATGATTAAGCACTATTTACCCTTCTCCTCCTTTTGGCAATACATAGGTTGTATAGAAAATTGTTCATTCATATTGTGTGACGTCTCACACATATACTTTGCTTTCTCATTTTTAGCCTTTTATTTCTGTGTAGTCAGGGAGAGTTCCTCTACTTGTTTATTCCCTTCTCTGATTCACTTTTCTTCCAAAGTCAGTTTTGTGTCTTACTGCTTCCTGGAGTAGATTTTTATTGCATTTTGCATTTTTAATTTGTCTGAAATCTTTCCCAATTCTGTTTTCATATCAGCCTGATATATATTTAATTTTTTTAAAATTAGAACTTTTTGGCCAGTGCAGTGGCTCACGCCTGTAATCCCAGCACTTTGGGAGGCCGAAGCGGGCAGATCACGGGGTCAGGAAATCGAGACCATCCTGACTAACACGGTGAAACCCCATCTCTACTAAAAATACAAAAAATTAGCCGGGTGTGGCGGCGGGCACCTGTAGTCCCAGCTACTCGGGAGGCTGAGGCAGGAGAATGGTGTGAATCCGGGAGGCAGAGCTTGCAGTGAGCTGAGATCACGCCACTGCACTCCAGCCTGGGTGACAGAGTGAGACTCCATCTCAAAAAAAGAAAATAAAAATATAAATAAATAAATAAACAAAAATTACTACTTTTTATATGCCATAGAGTGTCAGATGGGTGTTGTCTAGTGGTTAGCAGTGGAATTATCCTGTCACTTCTTAGCTGTGTGATGTCTGCTAAGTTATTTATACCTCTCTCTACCTCAGCCCATTTCCTCCCCTGTAAAATGGGGATAATAACAGTACCTACTTAATTATTAGGAGGATTAAATGAGTTAATATATGTAAATTACTTGGAATAGAACCTAGAACAGAAAAATCACTTAGTAATTGTGAGCTATTATTATAATCATTGTCGTCATCTTCCTGTTTTTCTGCTCCAGGTTCTTAGAGGTCTGATCTTCTTGTTGTGGTTGCCAAACAGTTTTCTAGTTTTTTCTTTGGTTTCTGGTTAATATTAAGATATTTCTTAAAGCATGGTTTTTCTCCCTTTGAATCTTTGGAATGTTCTGCAGGACTTTTTTAATAGACCTTGGCTATGTTTTTGTTTGATTTGTTTATCCATTCCAGAACAGGCAGATCTCTTCCTCAACCTGGGTTAGCAAACAGATTCAATGTCTAACTTGCCCTTGTTACTGTTTTGGGTATTTTAGAATCCCCTTAGTTCAGCAACAGGGACCCTAAAATGAGCTCAGTTTCCCGTAACTAAATGAAGGCAGCTCCCTGGGGGGAACTAGAGGCTTCTGTCATCACTCTCTGGTCTCTGTTAGTCAGCCTGGGTGGAGAGTATGAAAACCAGCAATCTTGACTGCCAGAGTCCCTTTAGCTACCACTGGAGGTATAATGACAGTTCACATGTCCACCCTATTCTGATTTTTAATGTGTTGTTTGGAAGCAGAAGTTTGAGAGAGGCTGTTACAAGGGAAGTCTAACTGGGAAGGTCATATAGTACTCTGGCCACCTCCGTCCTCATTTCTCTGCATCAGGGCTGTTGCCCAGTGTTCTGGTTGGCAAATACATAGAGTTTCATGCTAAAGTGGAGAATGATTACATCCCTTACTGTTTCATGAGGGTAGGTTTCCTCTATTTCGGGTAACAAAACATGTACCACATACTTCTAAGGTACTCACATGGCTCTCTGGTTTGTAGCTAATGAGAATTCTCCCAGGACTTTGCAGGAGCTTGGTTCTATGGCTCATTGTTAGGAATTTTCTCTTTTTCTTCATTAGGTATTTTTTTTTAGCAGGTTCAGGGTAGTTGTTAGGGCTACTACAGGAGATACCGTTTTCAAAAGGGTCCTCTCTCGTAACCTTTAATTATGTGATTCTTATCTCAGATGAGCTCTTCCCAAAAGCGGAGGGATTCCCTTTACAGATAAGTGTGATTTTCACAGACAAAATGGCAAAATAAATAAAGAGGGAGAGAGAGGGGAAATAAATGAGAATTGTTTTGGATTTTATTATCTTTAGTAGTATAACGTGTGAGCAGCTAGTTTGGCATGTCATAGTAGTGAAATGAACCAAAACATTGAAGATTTTACAAATCACCCTTGTGCTGATACTGACAAAGCTTATGAGATTTGTCTCGTGAAGTTATATGTTTTTTATATTGAAATAGAATATAAGAACACTTGAGGAAAATGTTGCTCAGTTAAACATAGTAATAGAAACTGACCAGAGAGTTCTATTCTTGATTTGCCACCTTCAGCAGTTACTCCTCCAGCCCCTACTGTGGGTATGACAGTGACATTTTTGCTTCTGGCGAATTCTTAAGGATAGTGATGTGTATCGGTGCCTGTTTACTATGAACTTGTTTGATTTTGTTCTCTTTTTTGTTTATTCCTCTTTATCACTATACTCTTATGCCTTCAATATGCATTTTTAATTTTTGAAGGGACATTTATCCTCAGCAATTCCTAATTTAATTTTCAGCATTACATCCACAGTCCCAGTATTTATCCACACATTTACTGATCTGTCAGTCTTTTTCTACAGGCTTATGCATCATTTGTTTACATCTCATATACTTTTCTGCATAATAGAAATCACTTTTTTTCTAAAATTTCTTTATTCCATCTATAAGGCAGAAGGAAGTTTATCCATTTGAATGAATAATCAGCTTCATTTAATTTCAATTTCTGTCATAGAGTGTCCTTAATTCAAAGTCTGATATTCATGTTCTTTTCAGTTTGGCACATATTTAAGGCTTTTGAATGTTTTTTTGTTGTTGTTCTATTCTACTCTTCTTACACTTTAGGTAAAAAGATATCTTTCTTTTTTGCAAATTTCAGTTTATCCTATATAAAGATAGCATGTAGAAGAATAGGATTTAGAAAATCCGGGTTCTGGTTCTAACTCTTCTGCTTATGATTTTTATGACCTTAGGCAAGTCATTTTTCTATAGAATCATCAGTTCAACAGGCATAATGGTATTTGCTCTTAGACCTAGCAGTTTTGCTATGAGGACCAAATGAGGAACAGCAAAACATTGCCAATTGTGCAGACTTCAAAAATATCATTTCGCCTCACCAGAAAGTTTGAGTTTGTTTGTTCAGGGTGGGATTTGGCCATTAGTTTCCAGGAATTTTAACTGTACAGGTGTGTTTGAGAACCACTAAGGTAAAGCATGTTGACACATTTAGGGATGTAAGTTAGTAGCAGTAGTATGAGATTTAGCACAAGACCATGCAGTACATGACCTTATTGTACTGAAAAGAAATAGATTAAGTTAGGAGAAGTTCAGCTTGCTAGTTGAGCAGGTATTCATACTGAGGTAGCTTCATCAAGGTGGCCATTTGTTGATTCACTCCATTAAGATTCCCATGATTCAGGAACCTCCTTCTTTTCACCTGATTTTCTTAGATTTGTTGGGGTCCATCAAGTTAAACTTCCCCAGGTAAAGTGAAACCCTGAATGCAGTGCTTTCCTTTTGTGCTTTTTAGCCATTATTTTATAAGATGTTTGTTATATTATCCTATGCCTATATATTTCCATAAAAGTAATGACTTTATACCCTCTGAACAATGAGCAGCAGGTGATGGGGGGGACATATGTGTATTTGCCATGTGAAGAATACATTTCAAGGCCAGCCTCAGGAAAAATGAAATTCCTTCTGTTTTACATTATATTATCTCCTGTTTGTAGAACCCAAATAACAAACTTGGCACAAGTATATAAAAACAGTAGTTACAAAATGAGTGGATGGTCCCCAAAACTTTAACTTTTAATGCATGAATCTATTTCCCAAAATTATAACATAAGTGAATTTCCTGCTTGGGGCTTGAAAGAATGAACCACTCAGAACTTACCAAGATTAAAATAAGAAGAAATTGAAAGTTTAAGTAGTCCTATATTTATTTTTCAAATAGAATTTATAATTGGAAACCTTTTCACAAAGAAACTATCTTAGTCCATTTGTGTTGCCATAACAAAATACCTTAGACTGGGTAGTTTATAAATAACAGAAATTTATTTCTCACAGTTCTGAAGGCTGGGAAGTCTGATTTCAAGGTGCCAGCATTTGGCATCTGGTGAGGGCTGCTCTCCTTGCTTCCAAGATGGCGCCTTGTTATTGTAACTTCACATGGCAGAAGGGATGAATTATGTGTCCCTGTGTGGCAGAAGGCAGAAGAGCAAAAGGACTAGCTAGTCACCTCAAGCTATAGCTAGTTACCCCAAGCTTTCTTATAAGGGCACCAATCTCACCTATGAGGGCTCCACCTTCATAATTTAATCACTCACTAAAGGCCCTACTTCTTAATACCATCACCTTGGAGGTTAGGTTTCAACACAGTGAATTTGGGGAGAACACATACATTCAGACCATAGCAAAGCCATGAGACCTAGATGGCTTCACCAGTGAATTCCTACAAAAGTTAAAGAAGAATAATACCACTATACTAGAGACTAGAAAGACAGTGAACACATTCCAATGTTGGGAAATAGTTCTCATTGGCTCTAGTACTATTTGTTAGCTCCAAGCATTTGAGATCTCATGGAATTCTTATGCTGAGAGTATAAATAACCATCACTTTGGAGGTTAGGTTTCAACGTAATGAATTTGGGGGAACACAAACATTCAAACTTTCTCATGGTGAGAGCATAATTAATTTGAAACCACTTTGTGAAATGGTTTGCCTATTAAATGTGAACATGCACATAACCTATGACTCAGCAATTCCATTCCAAGGTATACACCCTTCATGAATATGTATATAAGTCCACCAAAAGATTTGCAAAGCATGTTCTTAGCAGCAGTATTCATGATAGCCCCAATCTGGAAACAACCTAAGTGGTCATCAATGGAAGATGGATATGTGAATTGTGATATATTCATACATGAAATAATACCCAGCAGTGGCAAAGAAGCAACCTCTACTATATCCAACAGTGTGGCTAAATCTCACAAAGAAAATGTTAAATAATGAATGAAATAAATCAGTGAAATAGAATATGATTCCTTACTTACAAAATTCTAACACCAGCACAACTTATCCATGCCAGTAGCTTTGAGGGTAGTGATTAGTTGGAGGGTGTTATTTACTGGAAAGGGAAACAAAGGAGCTTATTGGCTTCTATTTCTTGATCAGAGTGATGGTTACACGGATATGTTCGTGTCATAAAAATTCATCAAACTATAAATTTATGATTTGTATTTTTTATAGCATGTGTTTTATATTTCAGTTTTGTTTTTGTTTTGTTGTTGTTAAGTAAAGCACTCAGAAAATATACTAAGTATGAATAAAGTAGCCTGGAACAACTTTAAGGGAGACACTGATAAGCAGGAACTTAAATCTTTCATTTCTGTATTCTCAGTAGATTTAGCATAAGTTGTGAGTGAAGTGTGGTTCACCTAATCTCTTACCACACTGATCTACATGGTTGGTTTATTTTATATATATGAGAGACACTAAAAAAAAATCTCCCCTTTCCTTTAAGGGATGAAAAAATAGTTCCTTTAGGGACAGCTTATGGAAGTTTATAAAAGAATAGTAATAACTTGTTCAAATCTGTTTCATTGTTTTAATGGCATGCATTTAATACAATTTGTGGTGATTGAAGGGAACTCTATCCATGGAATGCTTATGAAAGCTTAATTGCAGCAAAGTACCCTCAACCTGATGGGATTTTCTTTTTTCTTTTTTCTTTTTCTTTTTCTTTTTTTTTTTTTTTGAGACGGAGTCTCACTCTGTCACCCATGCTGGAGTGCAGTGGCGCAATCTCGGCTCTCTGCAACCTCTGCCTCCCAGGTTCAAGCAATTCTCCTATCATCCTCCTGAGTAGCTGGGACTACAGATGCACGCCACCATGCCTGGCTAATTTTCATATTTTTAGTAGAGATGGGGTTTCACCATATTGGTCAGGGTGGTCTTCAACTCCTGACCTTAGGTGATCCACCCACCTCGGCCTCTGCCTCTCAAAGTGCTGGGATTACAGGCGTGAGCCACCGTACGTGGCTGATGGGATTGTTTTCATTAGATATTTAATAGAGGTCACGGGGCCTTAAAATTATTAAATATTCTACTTTTCTTATTGATAGTATGTGTTCATACTGACTCAGTAGCCTTCTCTATTGCTGTCATGGTGAGCTGATACAATCCATTTTCTTTGTAGGTGCAGGTATTTGGACTGTATTCTGGAGAAGAATTTCACGAGACTTTTGACTGTCCCATTAAAGTAAGTATTCAGCAAGTTTTACTTTTTCTAAGGGTTTTCTCAAGTAAGGCAATATGGATTACAGTAATTTGAACATTACCACTTCTGTATTAATTTTGTCAGTAAGTGTCTGTTCAACACTTCAGATGTACTGGATACTATTTAGATGCTGTGAAAGAAGACAGAATGTGTATTTTGTGACTGTGATCTCAGTCTGTCTTCAGGGGTATTTTATTATAGTGAGTGAGATCACTCACACACACATACACACACACACGCACGCACACACACACACGATCTGTGGTAAAAGACTCAAAGAGGTAGGAATAATATTAAGCGTTCCAAAGCTGAAAGGAATCACTTTTAGCTGTTCTTGTCAGTGATGGCTTCATTGGTGGAGTGATGTTTAACTTGGCTTTAATAAATGGAGAAGGACTGATGAGAGAAGCTGGCTTTCCATGTGGAAGAACAACATAATAGAAATGGAGAGGCTAGAAAGTTCACCTTGTGTTCAGGAAATGGCAAATTGTCCAATTTATTTGGTACATAAAAGACTGATTTCACAAGAGAATGTGAAGGAAGATTGGGCTGGCTTTACATTCAGGCTGAAGAATTTGGACTCCATTTGGTAGATAACTAGAAATTACTAAATATTTAAGAACAAAGTAAATAAACTGAACTAAGCTTTAAGAAAATTAATATGGTGACTGTATACAGTATTGATTGAAGGACAGATAAGAGTCAAGAGGACTAGTTTTAGATAAAAATTATGGTAGTTGAGGTGTCTATTATAGTTGTTGAAGGAAGAGGTCATTTATTTTTTTCACCTGTTTATTCAAACATTTATTGACCAGCAGGTAAAGGAGAGATAGGGTCTGATGTATGTTTTAAAAAGTTGAATTTGCCAGAGTGGAGGGTGATTTAAACAGGAGAGTGATTGGGGACAAAAGACAATTTAGAAGCCTAATATAATACTCTAGGCAGGGCATTACAGGATCTCAATGAAAAGAATGATAGTGAGTGTTCAAGATGGAAAGGATGAAATTTATTTGGACAGCCTGTGCTAAATAGACTTAGCGAGCCTTAGTGATGGCTTGGATGAGGGTGATGAAAGACGGAAGAGCTCAGGGTCAGTTCAGGTTCTCGCTTTGGGGATGGGGTGTGGGATGCCATCAGTTGCAGTAGGGTATGTTTGAGTAAGGACATGGCTAGGCTAGTTTGGTCCTGAGTTTAGATAAGTGTAGTACATCAGGTGGGGACGTTACGGAGGTTTTAGAAACATGAATATGGGCCTCAGGATGGAGATTGGCCCTTAAACACAAACGTGATAACCATAGTTGAATAAGGTGAAGCTATTTTTAAAGATATTATCCAATTTAGAGCTGTAGAGTGAGAAGAGAAGACTGATGGTGAAATTCTGGAACACTCTAACTTGAATACTCAGGCTGTGGAAGAAAAAACAGCAAAGGAGTCTAAGAAGAAGCAGTTGGAGGGACTGTAAGGAATCCCGAAGAGTGGTGTCAGAGAAGCCAGGGGAGAGAGGGTTTCTACAAGGAGGAAGTGGTCAGCAGTGTCGAATGCAGTGTGGAGATTAAATAGGGGGAAGGACTGAAACAAGGGCATTCTATGTGGTGATTTTGAAGTTACTGGTGACCTTGCTGAGGACTCTTTTCAGAGCAGGAGGGTCACTATACATGAAGGAATAAATTGGAGATGAGGAAGTAGAAACAATCAGCAGAGACTCTTCTTTAAAGAAATTTAGTAATAAAGAAGAGAGATCATCTGGTAGAGAGAGGGGCCGTGTCCTGGGAAGGTTTTTGCCGACCATGTTTTGGTTCATGGCAAAAACCAGTGAAGAGGAAAAGATTAAAAATAAAGAGAATGCTTCTTGGAGCAGCACTAAGCAATGAGATCAACAGCTTAGGTAGGGAAGATAATCTTGGAAGAGTCCTAGACCCTCTGCCTGTGAAACAGGCATGAAGGAAGTGGACTGAGCCTAGCTATTGCAAGTTAGACAGTGAAGGAGGAGCACTTGTGGGCAATGACCCTGATGGCTTTATTTTCTTACATCTGAAGGGAAGAAAAGGGTAACATAATGTGTTTGAGGAGCAGAGGAGATGTTTGGAATCAGTCCCTGATCTACAGTTATGCATTACGAGAGAGCTAGGGGGAGAGTTTAAGAATGTGAAACAATAGAATGTGTGAATCCTTCACTACTGGTATTGAGGATGGATTAGGAAAGTGTTGAAGGGAAGAAGGGCTAACCTGGGAGGTAGGAGTGTTTAGAGCAATGAAGGATCATATGCTAATCCTTAAAAATGACATTGTAGGAAGAGGAATCTATTCCATTGTAGGAGGGAAATGTGTCAATTAATACAAGTATAAAATATGTTTAATTGAAGGTATATAGAAGTAAAATTGTGTGAGATTTTGTGTGTGTGTTTACCTAAAAAAAATTCTCTATGTTAAATTAGAAAAACACAAAATTAGTTAAGTTGGTGATTTCATGGGTGGTTTGGGGATAAAGAGAGAAGGAGGTGGAGTCTATGCAAGCTTACAGCCACAACAGATGAGCTCCAAAGATGGAGGTGCACTGAGTGGAGCCACGAGGGCTTTTGTTTTCATCCCCTCCCCAAGATGTTAATGATGTTATGTAATCATAAAGCCCTTGCAAATGAAGGAAACAGTAACAAGGGTGGTGGAGCAACCTTAAGAGAAACCTGGGTAGCAAGGGGCTGGAGAAAGATTGGATGAGTGGGAAGCAGATGAGAATCAGGGGAACAGGTTGTATCTAAAAAGCTAAGTCCTGAACGGTTAGCTCTTTGGGCCTGTAGCTCTGTTCTCTCTCCATTGATGGGGTCTTGGTGTAAGTGGGCTAAACGTCTGGGAGGCTGCGTTGCCACTTGGTGCCGTCTATCATTGAGAGTCATCTTGGACAAGGAGTTAGTTGGCTTCTTTCTGTTTTTTTTTTTTTGTTTTGTTTTCTGTAAATTGTATCCAGTTAGAAACAGTTGTGACATCTTGCTACCTTGACCAACCTCCCTTGACCTCCCTTGCTGCCTCTATACAGGTGACATCCACTTATAGGGGTCCTCAGCCAGAAACTAGAACTGACTTATCCTACTCTTTGAGCTTTGACCTGGCTTCAGAGAAGAAATCTTTTCACGTAAGAAGAAAACTCAGATGTCATCAGTTGTTGTAAAATATGATTTGAATATATTACTTCCTACCAAGGTTTCAGGATAATTTTTAGATCATGCTGCTTGAACTGTGTCAGGGGTTTTCATTCTGTGCATTGGCCATGACTCCTAAACCAGAGTTGGGTTCTGTTTCTCTTGTAGATTATTGCTGTGCACCCACATTTCGTGAGATCCAGTTGCAAGCAGTTTGTGACCGGAGGGAAGAAGGTAAGTGCTGTGTGTCTCTACCTTGATATGTAGCCTTGAGGGGTGTTGTGTGCTTACTCTGTAATTTATCCTTAATGTTTTTATGTCTGGCTATTCATTAGGAGAAATTCGAGAAAGACAAATGTAATGAAATCTGATGATCATCATCTCTTGGGGGAGTTGTGGCTTCAGTGTTTCTCACTACATTGCTTTTTTTGTTGAGACGGAGTCTTGCTCTGTCGCCCAGGATGGAGTGCAGTGGCGTGATCTTGGCTCACTGCAGCCTCCGCCTCCTGGGTTCAAGTGGTTCTCCTGCATCAGCCTCACGAGTAGCTGGGATTACGGATGCCCACTATCGTGCCTGGCTAATTTTTGTATTTTTAGTAGAGTTGGGGTTTTGCCATGTCTCTACTAAAGACATGGCCTGGCTGGTCTTGAACTCTTGACCTCAGGTGATCTGCTCTCCTCGGCCTCCCAAAGCCCTGGGATGACAGGCGTGAGCCACTGCGCCCAGCCTCTTGCTACATTTCTTTGAAGTAGATATAGGACAAGAAAATAAGAGAGCTGTTACATCTAGAGCTTTGAAACATTGCCCCTCCCACAAAAAAGAGGCAGCATTTAAAAATAACAAAAGCACACTTAAACTACTGATTTTTTTTTTCCGATTTTTTTTTTCCTTGTAGAAAATCTCTTGCGGGCCTTGATAAACTTTTAGAGCAGTTATGGCTACTCTTCGCTGACATGTTCATGGCACATTTTATTATCTCAGTGCTATTTAAAAAATAAGAGATTGGACTGGGCATAATGGTGGCTCACTCCTATGATTCCAACATTTTGGGAGGCCAAGGTGGGAGGATCACTTGAGGCTGGGAGTTTGAAACCAGCCTGGGCAACGAGTGAGACCGACTCTACAAAAAAATGAAGAAATTAGCTGCGTGTGGTGGTATGCCTCTAGTCCTAGCTATTGAAGAGGCTGAGGTGGGAGGATCACTTGAACCTAGGAGTTTGAGGTTGCAGTGAGCTATAATTGTGCCATTGCACTCCAGCCTGGGTGAAAGAGCAAGACCCTGTCTCTTAAAAAATGTAAAGAGAAATAAGAGAGAAAAACTTTCATATATTAACATTTTTCTGTTTATAGATGTAGTAAATTCTCAAATTAAAGAATCTGTCTGCTTATAGAATAAGTCAAATTAGTTTTTTTTCTGTTTTTATTACTTAGAGATATTTTAAAGACTGTTTTTATACTAAATGCTATCACCATACTGGAACTCCGAATATTATTTACTATTCGGTTTGGAGCCAGTGAAAAGGAAGTAGTCTATAGCTATTTCTGTAGTAGTATAGAGCTATGGAATGGCTGCTTTGAGGCCCAGCTACTGAATGCTTTTAAATGTTTTATGATACTTATCTGTCATTTTCCCTTGGTTCAATAGTTAATAGAATGATAGGGCGGGAAAACCTTCTGGTCATTACATGACTCGTTGTAATGAGTGGCAGGTTGGTAGATCCTGATTCCATTCCACAACATAAAGCCAAGATCACGCCAGTTCTGATTTCTGTTAGAGAGCCCCTCCTTCCCCCATCTCACAGCCCATTGTTATTCTTAGGCTGTAGTTGCATTCACCTTATGTTAAAATGTCCAGGGGACTAATTAGTGGGAATTACAGACCTAATCTCACATTCTCTAGCTTAGGTCTGCAGCTGATCCACTCCTGAAAAAATAACTACCTTACTTGTCTTTGTCTTTGTCAGCCTCAGGAAAGAGTAGCATTAACATTCCTCTCGTATTTCTTCACTAAACACTTTTTGGGTTAAGAAATTTTGTGTATGATTGTATTAGGGTTCTCTAGAGGGAGAGAATTAATAGGATAGATGTGTGTGTGTGTATATATGTGTATATATATATATATATAGTAGTTTATTGGGGAGTATTAACTCACAAGATCACAAAATGAGGTCCCGCAATAGGCCATCTCTGCAAGCGGAGGAGCAAGGAAGCCAGTCTGAGTCCTAAGCTGAAGAACTTGGAGTCTGATGTTCAAGGGCAGGAAACATCCAGCAAGAGAGAAAGATGTAGGCTGGGAGGCTAAGCCAGTCTAGTCTTTTCACGTTCTTCTGCCTGCTTTTATTCTGGCCATCCTGGCCAGATTAGCTGATTAGATTAGATTGTGCCCATGCAGATTGAGGGTGGGTCTGCCTCTCCCAGTCCACCAACTCAAATGTTAATCTCCTTTGGGCAGCACCCTCAGACACACCCAGGAGCAATACTTTGCATCCTTCAATCCAATCAAGTTGACACTTGTTATTAACCATCACAGTGATAATAGCATAAGTTCACATAGCTGAAATTTAAACCCAGGTGTTCTTATTAAAAACTCAGTAAGAATAAATAATTTTTCTTTTTTTTCTTTTTTGAGACGGAGTCTTGCTCTGTTGCCCAAGTTGGGGTGCAGTGGCATGATCTCGGCTCACTGCAACCTCCACCTCCCGAGTTGAAGGAATTCTCCTGCCTCAGCCTCCTGAGTAGCTGGGACTACAGATGCCCACCACCCTACCCAGCTGATTTTTGTATTGTTAGTAGAGATGGGGTTTTACCATGTTGGCCAGGCTGGTCTCAAACTCCTGACTTCAGGTGATCAGCCCACCTCGGCCTCCCAAAGCGTTGGTATTACAGGCATGAGCCACCATGCCTGGCTGAATAAAGAATTACATTTTATTTAATTCTCACTGGGAATGGTCACTGCTTTTTGTTTTAAATGACTTAAAACAACAAACATTTATTATCTCATACTTAGAAAATTCAAGAGTGGCTTAGCTGTTAGGCCCTGGCTGAAGGTTGCTCATGAGGGTTCAATTGGGATATTGGTTGGAGCTGCTTGACCGGGGCTGGAAGGTCAGGTTCTAAGATGTCTGCTGCCTTCTTAATAATCTGCTATACACTTAAAATATTGATAAATCACTTTGGTTTAAATATTTCCCTAGCATGTTTTGATGCAGTTTTGATTTTCAATTTCCAATTTCAAGAGTTAGAGATTTTACAGTTGTCCCCTATTTCTTGAAGGTATTAGAATAAAAGAACATACCAGAGATAATATGAGTGTTGATGTCCATGTGGTAGGACTGAAGATTTGGAGGAGAGATTTTGCTGTGTTGGTTTATGTTTTTTTGTTTTTGTTTTTGTTTTTTTTGAGACAGAGTTTTGCTCTGTCGCCCAGGCTAGAGTGCAGTGGCGCGATCTCGGCTCGCTGCAAGCTCTGCCTGCCGGGTTCACGCCATTCTCCTCCCTCAGCCTCCCGAGTAGCTGGGACTACAGGCGCCTGCCACCATGCCTGGCTAATATTTTGTATTTTTAGTAGAGACGGGGTTTCACTGTGTTAGCCAGGATGGTCTTGATCTCCTGACCTTGTGATCCATCCGCTCGGCCTTCCAAAGTGCTGGGCTTACAGGCGTGAGCCACCACGCCCGGCCTGTGTTCTTTAATAATCAGTGTATTCGTGAAGTTTAATAATTGCTTTTCTGCTGCAAGGGATACCTGTAGTCTTATCAAGTTTGCCACATTAATTCTGCTGCATGAGTGTCTTGTCTCCCTGTAGGATGTCTGGGTTAACTGTCAGTAACATATTCTTCATCCTTTTACTTAGCATTTGATATCATTTGCAGACATCCGTAGAAAGGACAGTGTGCATGCAGCAGTCTGGGTCAGAGTCCATTGAGTAGATCCATGAGCAGTGCAGGAACAACAGAGTAATCTAGCATCTAATTGTTGGTAAGATAACATGGGAAGAGCTTGGAATTTATAGAAAGTTGGACATTGTGATAAGCAATAAGATAAGTAGAATTCAAAAAATGCTGAACAGGCAGAACATCAGGGGTTTGGTTTGTCTCTTTGGTTGTCACTGACTACTTGACAAGCTGTTCTATGTTCAGTTTTCTATGAGAGAGTAATTTTTTTTTCCTATTCAGTTCTCCAAAAATGCATCTGTTGACATCTCGTTCCAAGCATACAGAAAAAAAGTTTATATGTATATAACATGAGAGTAAAATAAAAACAGTTAAGGTCATCTGGTGAAAAATTGAATTAAAAATGATTTTATTATTAACTTAGACATTTGGGACTAAAATAATTTAAAAGAAAACATACACTGAAGAGCTTAGTGTATTGTATGTAAGGCTTAGTATATGGGGCATGAGAAAAGCACATGTATGATATTTTAAAGTGAGGAATCCCGTGATTACCCATGTCAGTGTAAGTAATTGGTATTAAGTCATTATTTTTTTAGCTGTTTTAAAATAGTTTTATTGATACATAATTTGCATACCATGAGGTTCACCAGATGATAGTGTGCTGTTTAGTCGTTTTTAATATATTTACAGTGCTGTGTAACCATCAACGTAAGCTAATTTTAGAACACTTCCGTCACCCCAAAAAGAAACCTTGCACCTATTAGCAGTCACTCCCCATCTTCCTTCCTCCCCTCCTCTCATCCCTAGGCAACCACTAATCTATTTTCTTTCTCTATAAGTTTTCCTATTCTGGATATTTCATATAAATGGAATCATGTAATATATGGCCTTTGTGTCTAACTTCTTTCCTTATTTTTCTAGGTACATCAATGTTGTGGCATGTATCCGTATTTCATTCCTTTTTATGTCCAGATGATATTTCATTGTATAGATCTATCATGTTTTATTCATCCGTTTGTCGCTTGATTGACATTTGGATTGTTTCTACTTTTTGGCTATTATGAATAATGCTGCTATGAACATTTTTGTACAGCTTTTTGTGGCTGTGTGTTTTCATTTCTCTTGAGTATGGAATTGTTGAATCATATAGTAACTCTATGTTGGACATTTTGAAGAATTGCCAAACCGTTTCCCAAAGTGATTGTTCCATTTTACATTCTCATCAGAAATATATGAGGGTTTTAATTGTCTACATTCTCACCAATATTCATTTTATTTTCTCTTTTTGATTATAATCACTCTGGTATGTGTTAAGTGATATCTCATTGTGGTTTTGACTTTCTTCTAATGACTGATGATGTTGACCATGTTTTCCTGTGCTTATTGGCCATTTGCATATCTTCTTTGGAGAAATGTTTATTCAGATTCTTCGCCTATTTTTTAATTGGGTTTTTTTAATTATAGAGTTATAAACTTCAAAAATAAATTCTGGGTAGATATTCCTTATCAGATACATGATTCGCAAATATTTTTTCCCAGCCTATGAGTTGTCTTTTCACTTTATTGATGGTATCCTTTGAGGCACAGAAGTTTGTAACTTTAATAAAGTCACATTTATCTTAATTTTTTTGATACTTGTGCTATTGGTGTTGTATCTAAGAGATCACTGCCTGTTGCCTCTTCCAAGGTCATGAAGATTAATGCTTGTTTCTTTTAAGACTTTTGTATTTTTTACTCTTAAATTAGGTGTACAATATATTTTGAGTTCATTATGTATGATGTAAGACAGGAGTCCAAATTTATTCTTTTGCATGTGAATATCCAGTTGGCCCAGCATCACTGTTGCAAAGACTATTCTTTTCCCATTGTGTGGGCCCTTTGTGGAAAATTGGTTAACCATAAATGTTAGGGTTTATTTCTGGATTCTGAATTCTACCAATCTATATAGCTATCTTTATGCCAGTACCCCTTTTAGGTTTCAAAGCCACTAATTTTTCTGTAATTAGTTATGGGATGGCAGATGAACTACAAATGCTCCTCAATTTACAGTTGAGGTTGTCCTGATAAGCCTATTGTAAGTTAAAAATATTGTTAAGTCAAAAATGCATTTGATATACTTAACCTACTGAACATCACATCTTAGCCTAGCCTACCTTAATTGTAGTCAGAACACTACAGTTAGGCAAAATCATTTAACACAAAGCCTATTTTATAATAAAGCATTGAATATATAATGTAATTTATTGAAGACTGAAAGTGAAAAATTTAATCATTGTATAGGTACCATCATAAAGTTGAAAAATCATTAAGTCAAATAATCATAAGTCAAAGACTGTCTACTCTTAAAACTTTGGTTTGGGGTTCTTTCCCTTTAAAAAGCCATTATATATCATCATTCTTTAAGGAAAACCTGTTTTTATTCCCAGTACAATCAAAGCACCCTAGGGTAATACAAGCAAATTATTTCCACTTACTACAGAAGATATATATATATATGAATGAGATATATCTATCTATCTGTATATATGGAGGGGTGTGTGTGTGTGTGTGTGTGTGTATGACAAAACAAGTCTTTTAAAAGTGTGATAATAGTTTGTGATTTAGAATAATTTATTTAAAAAAGCCATTATAATTTATTTTACTTATGTTAAAGGCTTTAGAAACATGTAACTGTGTCCGCAATTTAATGACTTGTAACATACAAACTTTGATTTATTTGGATCCATTAAATTTTATCATGTAAATATGTATTTACTAAGTACTAAAAAGTACCATTTTCTTGATAAACTATAATGATCTGTTTGCATATGGTTAAATGGAGATTTTCAAAATGTGTATCAGCTTGGTGTGGTTTGCAGAAATCTCCAGAGAATTTCCTTTTTCTACATGTTGTGTGGTATGTACTTGTAAAGATTATTTATGCTTCATGTTTTTGACATTAGCGTGTTTTGTTTGTTTTGAAATAGATTTATTTAGTTGAGGTATTTTAGGATGTATTTTTCTAATTTCATTAAGAAATATATCTGATGTTAAAAACTAAAGGCATTTAGAAGGTTACATTAAGAAAGGAGGACTTGTGAAATGATCACTTTCATTTTGAAAGTGTTCGCAAATTTTTAGGAGGAGCTGCTCTTTTTGTAACTGAGTTATAGAGGTTTATATCTTTGAAAAATGAGATAACTACATTGGCTCAGTAGCTACTTCAATCCTTTCAGCTGCAATTTTAAACTAGCAGCAGAAACTAGGCAGAACAATTTTGAAAAGCCCAACATTTAGCAAATGGTTATAACCTTGCAATAATCATGTTATAGATATCAAGATCCCTCCTCTGTTGAGAACAGGTGGCAGATCACATAGGGGGAAAAGAGAATAAAGACATATGTCAGATAACTGAGAGGTTATGACTTTCTGCCTTTAAGAAATAATTTAATCTTCAAAAAATTGGAGCAAAGACTAGCCAAATGAAGGTGTAATGTGGAATAAAGACATTCTTAACCCTTAAGAACAGTGATCTCTAGACTGACAGCCAAATAAATCGTTGGAATTATATGCCACCTTCTACAAACAATGGGTTAAAGTGGCACAGAGACTAGAGGAACTAAGTAGAAAAATAGAGGACCACTATGAGATATTCGTGAAGTCATAAGAAAATTTGAGAGAGATGTCTATTAATATTTAATAGTTCTTTAATCTTATTACAATTTTTGATTCCTATAAAAATTATTAAAGTAATTAGAACATACTTTTCAAAGTATGCAACATACATTGCAGAACATAGCAATGTAACAGAAGAAACCCTGAAACTGTAGTTTGACAGCTATTTCCTTTTCAAAGTTCTGGCTTCTTAGGTGTTCAGAGATAGCTCTTTATCCACCAGGGACTAGGACTAGGAGGCTATAGTTCTGTCTGGCATAAACTTTTATTTTAGGTTTTCAAGGTATCTTCTTAGTAGTTGAATGCCATAGCTGGATTTATGGACTCCAGTGCTTGACACATGAGCATAAAAAGCTTATTCCATATTCTGTTTTGTTTCCATCTTGAAAAAAAAAAAAGAGAAAGCACATCTCTTAAAAGTGCCATTGGAGAGAGCTTTCAAACACGTGAACCAATGAATTTTTTTTGTAAGTGTAACCTTCTTTTGTAGCAAGAATTTTAATACAGGAGCATGGCAAATGAAGTTTCTATTTTAGAAATAAATCTGTCAAGTGAATGTTGTCTGGATTTTTTTTTTTAATTGTCCAGCTTTCCCTGTCAGCAGGTAAGCTTTAGCTTCATAGGACCTTTACTTTTGAACACTGAAATACACTTTATAATAACTGGTTCTACTACTTTGACAAATCATTAAATTGTCGCGATGCTGTTTGCAGTGGAGTTCATTTTTAGAAATCAGATAGTCAGCTGTTTGGCGTTACGGTGGGATAGAATGAGGGGACCTGGCCGCAGGGGCAAGTTGCTTTGTAAGCTGGAAAATGTCAGTCAGCAAACAAGGAAAGGACTGGAGTGAATGAAATGAGGAAAATTTGAAATGGCAAATTTTACCTGAAGGACAGAGATGGTAGTGTCAGCCAGCTTCTATAAGCTTCCAGCAGTGGTCTGCAAATAATAAATTGGATTTTGAATCCTTTTTGAGGGAGGATTCAATATGGGAAGCTTTTTATAAAACTGTAAATATTTAAAAAATTATTATTAAGATTGTTTTTAAATTTTATTTCTTTTGCCCATGTTATCAACATTTTTATTTTTTTCTAGCTTTATTGAGGTATAATTGACAAATTAAAATTTTATATTATATATATATATAAAATATACATATATATATATTTTTGTATTTTTAGTAGAGACGGGGTTTCACTATGTTGGCCAGGCTGGTCTCAAACTCCTGACCTCGTGATCCGCCTGCCTCGGCCTCCCAAAGTGCTAGGATTACAGGCGTCAGCCACCATGCCCAGCCAAATTATACATATTTAAGTTATACAATGATGATTTGATATATACCAAATGTATTTAGTATTTATTGTGAAGTGATTGCCACGTTCAAGCTAATTAACATTATCAGTTGCCTCACATAGTTACCATTTCTTTGGGGATGAGAATACTTAAAATCCATTGGTAAATTTTAAGTATTTAATATGGCATTATTAAATATAGTAACCATAGCGTACATTAGATCCCCGAATTTATTCATCTTAGAACTGAAAGTCTGTGCCCTTTTGGCCAGCATCTGCCAATAGCTCCCAGTCCCCTGGCTACAAATCTTTTTAGAATCTAGATAATCCGGTGAGCCTTTTCTTACCACTGCCATCCCTAAACATGAAGTGTAGGAGTGCTTCCTCGTGTGTTTGTTCATCTTTGGGTCAGATTGGAGCTGGGGTTTTGGTGGCTAGAAGGGTTTTGACATTAGCAGTTCCTCTCTGTCTCCTGTCCAGTGTTTGGATCTCTAGGATAGTATTTCCGCAAGTTTTCAGATGCTTGATTGTAGCCTTCTACCTGAAACTTCTTCCCACATTACTTACCATTGTAGTTTTCAAGTGAATCGTCTGAACATTTTTAAGAATTAAAATTAAGGCTCCCTAGTTAATTCACAGTTACACCACAGGCAGCCACCAATCTAACGGTTGCACGTTGAGGCATTGTAAATACATACCTTTATTTATTCTAGGTACTGTGTTGTAAATTGTGGTCTCATTCCTAGAAATGTATTTCATGCTGTCATCAATGTACCAAAATTGATTAAAAACCATTGATTAGCAGGAAGTAAAACACAAATGTAACCTTCACAAGCATTTTTTTAGATATGAAAAACCAAGCAATAAAATAGCTCTACTGTTTAAAGTATTTTTCGGTGAGTTTTCCTATGTATACTAAGCTATCTGAGGCTAAAAATAGAAATATAATGCTTAAATAAAAATCATTTTCAGTCGGAAAAACAGGTGTTCTTCATTGCTGATTGCTTTTTTGATGTCAATATGTAGGACTCCCAGAGTATTTGAATGGTATCTACAGCGGTCAGGGTGGGAGAGTTGGGTCCATAGCAACTTCATTTTCCTTTATGATTCCCATTGTCTCATATCCATCAAATGCCTGTTAAAAAATATACTTTTTTCTTTAATGAGTTCAGCTAACTTTTTCATATATTTCCATACTGATTGTAGCTTTCCCCTGAACTCTGATGTTAAAACTACCATCTCTCTTCCTTATAACCATCTTTTGCTCCTTGCTGATAATATCTTCTTTTGCATATGGAGAGTCCTGTGCTTATTCTTAAGTATTTTGAGCAAGGACTGCAAGTGTCATTGCCAGTTCAGAGGTGTTCATTAGATATTCTTGTGGGATTTAACATCAGCTGATTCATTAACACAGAGGTTCTCTTTCTCTCTTTTGCTTTAAGAGAAGGCTGTATAAAGCAAGGGGTCACAATTGCAGTCATTGTTAGTTGGTGTCGTGGTACAAACTAAATCACAGTCATTTCACAGGAGTATTTGGTTTGAATCTGCTTCCTGAATACAACCTTGTGTCATGCTTCATGTTAGGTGCTGTGTGTACACAGGATCTTGATTTCAGAAATGGTGGTAGGCTTCCAAAAGCATATAGATAGGATGGTGTAGGTAGAATATAGTTAATAAGACCATTAGTCAGAATAGTGACTTGACAGGAAAATGAGTGTATTTGTATATTCACATACAACACTATGGGGTAAATTTACAGTCCTTTATTTGTCTTTAAGCCTTTTGGATCCCCCTCGACCTGTATGGTTTGTTTGTTTTCCTTTTAATTTTCTAACTCAGTTTCAGCCAATTTTCTTGATATTTGTAACAGTGAAAATTGGTACAAGCTGTCTAACAATAGTGAATTAGCTGTGTCAGTGCCCTGCGGCCAAAGATCACCAGGAGTACCCCATATGGTTTTAGGAAGATGTTAGAAGAATTGTAGGATTTAGGCTGGTGTGAGGTGATTTTGGGGAGGTTTAAGGCATCAGGGCTTTGCTCTAGATTGGATGCTGTCATGAAGCATGAGTAATTCTACAGCTGGGCATTTTGATAAATCTTATCTAGAAGGAGAAAAGCCTAAGCCAAAGCCAAAGTCATAACTGGTAAAGAAGCAGCAGTCTGTCATTTTAGCCAAAGTGGGAGGTGTTTGGTCATTGCCACGACTTGGAAAATGTTCATGTCTTGTTTGCATTCAGACATGATTATGGAGTGGTCTTGCTTCTGTCCTGGTCCTTCATGGTCATGGAGTGGCCTCGGCTGATGTTGGTTTTGTGTGAAATTGTTTATATTCATCAAGAGAACATCAGAGCCCTGCTGTGGGTGCCAGGCTAGCTTCTGGTTGTCAGCTTTTCTCTTTCTCAGTTGGAATAAATAAAATTCTCAACATTTGTTAGATTGCTTCTGTTGAGGTACTTTTCTAAAATATATGTATGGTCTGATTATCCTTTTCTGTAGAAATAAAATTATGTATGTAGATGTATTCATGGAAGGCTGTACACCAAATTATTAACAATATTTGTGTCTGGGCAGGATTATGAATGTTCTTTCTGACCTTCATTGGCTTTTATTTACTTTTTTGTAGTAAGCATGCATTATTTTTATAATAATAAAAAGTAAAGGAATGTTTAGAGTAATCTCAATTATTTTAGATCTTGTTTTAACTTATCACTGTACATCATATGAAATTCCCTACATTATTGATGTCTATTCTTAGCTCAGTGTTATTGAATAGTTGCATAATATTCTATCTTATGGATCTATTTGATTTTCTTAACCATTCTTCTGTCTTTGGACCTTTAGGTTATATCCAGTGTTTGGCTGTCATAAATCATGATGTGGTGAACCTTGAAATCTTTGGCCTTTCATCTGTTCCTCTGAATGTTTTCCTACCATTGATTCTTAGGATTGGAATTACTGAATCAAAGGTTATGATAATTTTTTAGGCATTTAATATGTGTTGCCAAGTAAAATTGTATTCCAGAAAACTTACACCAGTTTACATCAGCTATGTGTGAGTACCTATTTTACCACATGCTCATTGCCAATCTGATATATAAAGATACTCCATTTTTCTATTTTATAGTATATTTGAATTTTTAGTGATTTTGAACATTTTTATTTATTAGCTAGTTCTGTAGCTTCCTTTGTGATTTGTCTGATTGTATTCCTTGCTCAGGGCAGCTTTTAATATTACCATAGAAGCCAGGACAATGAAGGCTGTCCACTTGATATTTACTGTCAGTTTGAGCACAAATTATTGCTGCTTACTGAACAGCCTGCAGCCTTTTCTCCAATTTTGGCCAAATCTGGAATAATTATTGTTGTTCCCAGGGAGGCATTATATAGGAGTCTAAATGAGGCTTTAGAGTAGACCCTGAAGTGTGTAGAGAGGATGAACATATGTTACCATGTAGATGTGAGTCTGCCCCAAAACCATCAGTTCTGCCACTTCCATGAAAGCTATCAATGCTGACCAGTGTGTCCAGTTAATGCCAGTTTTTCATAGAGATGGTAAGAAAGTGGATTATAATGCTTGAAATTGGGTTCATTTGACTCATTTTCTTCTGCAGATAGTCTCCTGATTTTTTTTTTTTTCAACTTTTGGGCTTTACTTTGTTTTTGTTTTTGTTTTTTTGAGACAGACTCTCACTCTGTTGCCAGGCTGGAGTGCAGTGGCGCGATCTCGGCTCACTGCAATCTCTGCTTCCCAGGTTCAAGTGATTCTTCTGCCTCAGCCTCCCGAGTAGCTGGGACTACAGGCGTGCACCACCACGCCCAGCTAATTTTTGTATTTTTAGTAGAGACGGAGCTTCACCATGTTGGCCAGGATGATCTCCATTTCTTGACCTTGTGATCCGCCCACCTCAGCCTCCTGAAGTGCTGGGATTACAGGCGTGAGCCACTGCGCCTGGCCTGTTTTACTTTGAATTGTGTGAAGGGCTTGTTCAAATACATAAACCCGTGTTTTCAGGTAACTGTCTGCATTATTCAAGACTTAGCAATTTTGCATCTCTTTTTGATATACTCACTGTGCAAGGATTTTCACCAGTCATCAGTGATTGAGATTATATGTAGTTAAAGTTAGAGATATTTGTTCATTGCAGAGAACATTAATTCAAGTTTAATCACCCAGTGGATGACTTTTCTGTTATCTCTACCCTGATGCTGAGGGTGTTTGACCTTGGGCCCAGCCCGGAAAATGTATCCTCAGATAGCTGCAAACTGAAAAACAGACTCAACGTGTTTGGTATGAACAGCCAGCTCTATTAAATCTGTGGGATCCATATGGAAGATTTTTTTTAAGTGGTAAAATTACTTAGAAAGTGTCCTAGTCATTTCTGAAATCGCACTTGTAATTATGTGCTTGCATTTGCAGCAATTGCAGATTAGTAGTCTAAATAGGGGACTACCTCACATGCTGGCTTGATTGCCAAGCCCACATAGGTGTGTAGGTAGATACTGCATAGGTGGGTAGGTAGATCTTTATCTAGCTGTCATCTCTAGTTTTTTAATGCAAAGAAAGCTGCTCCTAAATGGCACGTCCGTTGTTTAACTTATTTTGTTTTCATGGAAGCTTTGCTTGGATTTCTTGGTTGCTGAATTGATCGTTACCTTATGTTGATACAGTGTTTTTTAAATTTCAGAGCATTGGTCTGTCTATATAGGTTTCGCAGAATTAACTGCAAGGGCATGTCCAAAGTCTGTGTTGCTAATGCAGGAACGGAAAACCAAATACCACATGTTCTCATTTGTAAGTGGGAGCTAAATGATGAGAACACATGGATACATAGAGGGGAACAACACACACTGGGGCCTATTGGAGGATGGAGGATGGGAGAAGGGAGAGGATCAGAAAAAATAACTAATGGATAGTAGGCTTAATACCTGGGTGACAAAATAATCTGTACAACAAACCCCTGTGGCACGAGTTTACCTACATAACAAACCTGCACATAAACCCCTGAAATTAAAATACAAGTTAAAAAAAAAAGTCTGTGTTGCATAGGAATGGTGTTTACTAAAATATTGTTTGTAAGCAAGTGGCATTTGAGTGGGCTCTAGGAACCCTTGTGCACAGAGGTTTTCCGTCGTACCAACATTTTGTCTATACTGAACTGGTTTTAAACATGTTAAATTCAGATAAAGGAGATTGAAGCATTATAACTTGTTCAGAAAATAACCACTGAATTTAAGGAAATAATATATTTGGGAAGTTCTCTTTTTCTTCCCACATGTTTATATTCTATCTTGATGGACACAGTAGAGCTGTTGGTGGTGTTTAGAGAAGCTGCGTGTTTGAAACTTTGGCACTAAGCCTAAGCACGAAGCAAAACAAAGACACTTACCTGCTCCATATGGGTTCCTGGTCATTCATTCCTGCCTCCTTCAGGGTTCAAGACCCCATTTGCCATCAGTAGCCAGCCACCATCCTAGGTCTTCTCCACACTCACTCATATTTTTCTCACTTGCCTTCTTGACTTTTAAAATTTTGCTCATGATCTTTTCTAATCTTGAATATTTAAATCCTTTTGTAACAAGACTTTCCCATTGTTATCCCCTTTGTTTATTTTTATTGAGACAGTTTTATTTGCTGGGTTTTACTATTCTCTATTTCTCTATTTTATTACCTGGATCTTCTGCACCTTCCTGACGTAGCACAGGTCCTCCTTTGTGAAATATTTGTTTTCTTCAAGCCCCTTGGTTCTCCCCGTGGGAACACACATGGTATCTAAGCCTTGACCCTCGGCTGAAGCCCCTGCTGAATCTTGCCCACTTTCTTGTCTGCCTCAAAGCTAGCAGTGTGGTCAGTATTTAGGAAGCCTGAAGGAGCCAAGTGATTTATCAACTTGAAAGATCACAAGGTGATTAAAACAGGGCCAATGATACTCTTTTCAACTCCATCAGGGAAGAGTGAGTGACAAGTAATGATGGGCGTTAGGTGACCAGAATCGGGGACTTCATTACAGCCTGATAAGAATCTTGCCACACATGTGGGAGATTCTGGGCTCCATGTCCTTATACCACTCTGTAGAGTAGGAAAGCACTAGATAGATTTATCAGCACAAAACAGAGGAGAATAAAGTATATTGCTGAGGATGTGAGGGCTCATATTGAAATATAAGTATTGAGAGTGCTGACTGCCAGAATGTGGATTTATGGGAAATAAAGCCCTAAAATACTTTTTCCAACAAAAAAATAGACCTCTTGGAAACAGCTTTTCCTCTCTATGTACTTAGCTCCCATTGAGCTTAAATTGCTCTTAGTATTGTGATAATGACAATTCAATATTACAGGGTATGGAAGATGAACCAAATAAATTAACCAGCTGCTTTTAAGCGTAGTTTTTTTCAATGGCTTACCCCATAAAATGCTTTGTAGAACATTCGTGCTCAGTAGGTCTGTGGGCAGTTTTATGACTGGAAGGAAAAAATGGATATTATTAAATGTCAGTGAAGTACAGGCAGGTAGTTTTGAGGTAGTTAAATTAGTATAGAATGTTTGTAAGAAAAGGAGTTCATGTTTTCTTAAATCACCAAAGCAAAGCTTTCCTTGGCATTCTTGTCAGAAAATATGTTTCTGCTTGAAATTCACAGAGATTAGGATAAAAAAGCCAATGGAGAGTGGATCATTTGGCCATTCTCCCTTCTGTATGAAACTCTATGTCAAATCAAAGCAAATCCTGCATGAGAGTTTCAGAGATATAGAAATGACTCCATAATTACTAGCAGGCATTTAAGGTTTTATACTATGTAGGATAGGAAAAGTGGACTCATGAGTGAAGAATAAAGTAGGGTGGAGAGGAAAGGCAGAAATAAATGTTCGACGGGGCCAGGCAGGTAACATCAAGGAGAGAAGCAGGCCACATGCGAGAGAGCCTGGAGAAGTAGGCGCTGTGGCAATCCAGAGAGCCTTCTGCAGGCCTGCAGACACATTTCAGAAATTACCGTTCAGGCCAAACGTGTGGCCAGTTCGTGTCTCTGAAATAAAAGAGCTGCAATTACTTAAACCTAATAGAGGAAGGCTAACCTTAAAAGCAGCTTTCAAATTTTTGGCAAGTTGTGCACAAATTCTATCTGCTGGCCTTCAGCAAAGGGAAATAGACTGACATTACATGCCTGGATATGGGATCCATAGAAGTGAGCCCTTTCTAAAAGCAAGGCTGTGTTGATTGTGTGAATTAGTCATTGGGTTCTTTAAATTTTTGAGATTGGAGTAGATTCCATTGTGTTCAAAATATTTTAGGAGTATTACTAACTGTAAAGATAGGCTGAGTAACTGAAACGTTTTGGGAAATCGTGTAGCTCCTCCTGTAGCAAACGCATTGTGTGTATGGTCAGAGAAGGAAAGAATTAAGACTAGTAGACTCGGATAGCCTACTTAGTATTTAATATTTATTATGCCTATGGGTCTAGCAAAGTATAAGATATGATCCTTTTCCCCAATGCACTGGTTGGGGAAATGCAAGGTAAACACACCAATCTCAGTGAACAAGATTTAATAGTTAGTTGTGCAGTGAGAAAACCAGTGTGACCATAAAACATATACAGAACCAATAAATTGGGGGAAAATTATTTGACTTACAAAAGAATTCTCTTAAATGATGACTTTCCTTAGTATGTTTATGATGACCTACTTTATTTAGTATTTCCTTAGTATGTTTATGATGACCTACTTTATTTACAGATATTTTCTTATTTTTCATCCACAAAATATAAAGTGATAGGGACTTAGGCTATTTGAAAAACATAAGAAAATAACGTGAATCCTGTCAAAACTTGTAATATTAATTAGTTAAAATTTGTTTCATTTACAGAGGTTAATTTTTAGCCCCCCTCCATTTTTGAGCACACATCAGTTGCATAGAATGGCATGTGCCTGTCTGCATTGTAGAAATGTCATTGGGAGAAGCTTCTTTGCTCTTTTAATTGCATGTCAGAGCAGGGTCCACAAGGTTTTTGGGACTCAATCCTGAGATGGCCTGGATTCAGAATTCGTCTGTCCTTCCTTTGCCTCCTCCCCTCTGCTGGAAGTTTTTAGTTTCTTGTTTTGGGAGGTAGAGTAGGAGGCAAAAGGAGGCCAGAGTTCTGCCACCTCTGCTTCCTCCCATAGCTCGGAGCACACCAAGTATAACAGAAAGGGTCCATTGGAGTGAGCTTGCATTTTGGTAGGAACTGCAACAAGATTTAATTAACAGTTTTCTGAAGAAGTTAATGTTTTATTTGAAAAGTATATACAGTTTATGTAAATTCATTCTAATACATGTTCAATATGCCTCAAACATTACTTCTTTAAGTTCCAGTGAATTTTTATTTATTTATTTATTTATTTTGAGACAGAGTTTTGCTCTTGTTGCCCAGGCTGGAGTGCAATGGCACAATCTTGGCTCACTGCAACCTCCTCCTCCTAGGTTCAAGCGATTCTCCTGCCTCACCCCCTGGAGTAGCTGGGATTACAGGTGCCGGCCACCATGCTTGGCTAATTTTTTTGTATTTTTAGTAGAGACGGGGTTTCACCGTGTTGGCCAGGCTGGTCTCAAACTCCCGACCTCAGGTGATCCACCCACCTCGGCCTCCCAAAATGCTGGGATTACAGGCATGAGCCGCTGCACCCAATCTCCAGTGAATTTTTGATATTACTTTGTTGTTTCATTTTAACTATTCCCCTAAGTTTTCCTGATTGTAAAAATAAGAGAATGGATTTTCATTCCCATTAATGTATTAACATAAAAAATTCATATATTTAGTGCAGAATAATTATAAAATAAAAATAATATAAAATTTCAGCACGCATTTATCGAATTAGGATTACTTTGTCATGTATCTTTTAGATTTTATAATATATGTGAATACACATTCACATTTTATTTTAAGGACATTGTATTGAATACTATTTTGTCATCTGCTTTTTTATTTAATATGCCCTCATAGCTTTTTCTGTTAATGAAGATACATGCATAAAATAATAATGGATACATACTCATTGTGTGTGCTCCATCGTATTATGCTCCGTCATTCCTCAGTTGTTAGTCCATTTCTGGCTGTTATAAATAGCTCTACATGCATCTTTACTAACTTGTCTGATCATTTCTTAGCGTAAGTTTCTAGGTAGCAACTTCCTGGTGTCATTTTTTTTAAAAGCTTTGAGTCCATGATGCCAAATGATCCTCCAGAAAGACGGTGTCCAAGACCGCAGTTCAGTAGTTTGAAGATACCTCTTTCTCTGCACATACTCCACTGTACCCCCCACCCCACATACCCATGCCTGATCATATCATTTTGATTCGTCTTTATCAGTTCATTCTTTTTCCTTCATCTATCAATTCTAGAAACATTGCTGTATTGTTTTGAGTGTTGATTTTATAAAATGTTTTACTATCTGTCTGGATGAATCCATTCCTCCCCCTAAATTACTTAATTTTTTAAAAATTCCTGTTATTCTCTCATTTTTTAAAATGAATTTTTAGCATTTTTTGAATTTCTAGAAATAATCCCTTTGGATTTTTTTGGACTTGCATTAAAATTATAGGTTAATTTAATGAGACTTAAGCTCTTTAGTGAGAATTGGAGTCTTACTATCCATGAATAATGTGCCTTTCTGTTTATTGAGTTCTCCTTTCGTATCCCTCAATGAAATGTTTTTGTTTTGTTGTGTAGCGACATGTCATGTTCATTATTAACTTTTAAATCTAGATTTTCCTTTTTTTTACAACTTTGATTGTATCCCATAAAGTTTAGGTTTATAGTATTTCTCATTTTCAAAGTACTCTGGTTACCATATGAATTCCTCTTTTACCCAAAGATTGAGAATGTTTTTTGTACCATTTTTGTTTTGTATTGTTCTTTCTCTCATTCTTCGTTATTAATTTCTTAATTTTGTTGTTACATGAGAATTATGATGATAAGAATTAGATTTTACTTTTAAGTTCTTTTGTTTTTTTTGAATGTCTTGTTATTCATATGGAGTCACAAGTTGGGGATTACTCCCTGGATAATTTGTATTCTTTTAAATGCAGGATTTTTCCATAGGTGCCTGCCTTTTGTCAGAGTGCCTGCTTTCCTTCCTACCTGGGACAGCTACAGTGCTGGCTACATGCTTGGGGACCCAACCCTTTGTGTTTCAGAGTAAGACTGGCCACTCCCCTTCGTTCCTGCCCCATTACACTGAGTGTAGGGGGTGTTGTGGCATTCTAGTACCTGCCTGACTTCCCAGGCAGGCTTTTTCTGGGGGAATGAGTTAAATCATGGCCTTCACTGGAGTCTTATTATTAGCATATTTTACATAATTTTTAGCTTAAAATTTGGAGCATATTTAACTTTTTCAACACAGGTGCAGACTGTTCTCCTCTTAGTACTACATTGGTCATTTCTAGGTGGGAATTGGTGAGGGAAAGGAATTCGATGCTGTGTCCCACCCTGCTGTTCTCCCGGCCATCCTGCCAACCCTTCATTCCAGCAGGTGATTATTGAGCACTCACTGTGCTTCACCCATTTCGGACGATCACCTCCATCAGATCCAGGCCACAGATAGAAGATAGACATTTTGATCTTATCAATTCATCATGTTTAATTGTTGTGGCCAGGCGTGGTTGCTCACACCTGTAATCCCAGCACTTCGGGAGGCCAAGACCGGTGGATCACCTGAGGTCAGGAGTTCGAGACCAGTCTGGCCAACATGGTGAAACCCCGTCTCTACTAAAAGTACAAAAATTAGCCAGACATGGTGGTGCATGCCTGTAATCCCAGCTACTTGGGAGGCTGAAGCAGGAGAATCACTAGAACCCAGGAGGTGGAGGTTGCAGTGAGCTGAGATGGTGCCACTGCACTCCAGCCTGGGTAACAGAGTGAGACTCCATCTCAAAAATAAATAAATAAAAATAATTGTTTTTAGCTGCCTGTCTTTAGTGGGGCATAATCTTCTCTGTAGCAGGAACTGTATGCTCAGCCTTTCTCCCCCTTTCCTACATTTCTGGGGTCTGTTCTCTGTTTTCTGCAAATGGGAGGAAGAGGCTGAATCACAGTCTGGGGACACTCCCGAAGGCCTCTAACTGTGGGGGTAGGAAGGCATGGTAGTAGTGACTTCTGAATTGGAACCTGGGATAGGAGAGGACAGGGTGGGTTAGAAGGTCTCTGAGAATATATCTGATGGGAAGATGGGGCTAAGTATGGTCAGAAGAATCCCTGCCTCCAGTCTCCCTGTGGAAGTTGTGAAGTCACACAACTTCAAACTGTCGTAGCATTTTAAAGTAACTGTACTTTGCTTACTTGTGATGATGGACATCATATTTAATTTTAGGGATTTTATTTTGTGCTTCCTCTGCCTGTATTAGTCTATTGAGAAAGATATACAGGAAATACAAATAAAATGTGAATTTACTCTCTTTCCCCTGTTAACCTGTTTCCCCTGCCTCTTTTGGGGTGGGTAGAGGACATAAAATATACTAAGGTAGACTGAAATTGCTTGTAGTGGTAGGAATTTTAGTAATTCTGTTATGGAATCTGTTGTCAGCATTTGCTTTGAAAGGATAAACATGTGTTTCAGGATTGCATGCCTTAAGTTACATACTGTATAAATGTCTTTTCTTAAAGGATTTAAATGGAATATGTCAAGAAAAATATTTATTGTGTTCTTAATAATGTATGACTTCCTAGAATTACATCTTTATTAATCGTAGAGGTTTTTGACCAGTTATATTTTATATTAAAATTTATCCAGCAGGTTTTTTGAATGATAGAATCTTCCCGTTAAAATAAAGACCCTAGATACTATGAAATTTCTAAAGAAGCTTAATTCCAATTGTTTTTTTATTTTGTGACATGAATTACTGTTCAAAAGTCATTGTTCAATTATTTGAGTCAAATGAAAAACATAGACTGTTTCTATTACAGTTTAATCTGTGACTAATATCTTATTTTCAGTGAAAAACTTAAAAGAGGTTTTGATTTCCCAATTTACAAAATAAATTAGTTCCCGGACAATCATTTGAAGAACTTTTGCGATACAAATCTTTTGATTAACTAATGTGCATTATTTTCCATGAATCTTGGTGTTTTGGTGCCACCTTGTGGCTTGGCCTTGTAGTAACTTCAACACTCATCCATTTTAAACAACTTCCTGGGGAGAATATGATGTGCTAGGAATTCTTTCCAAGGTACAAATAACATACTACTGTAAGTCTACATTAAAGACGTCGAGAGTGACTTGTTTGTTATTTGGTCACGAGGATAGGTAAAACTAGTAAGTAAAGAACCTGATACATTATTTTCAGTTTCTAAGATTCTTTGTTTATGCTTTTTGTCCCTAGCTGCTACTGTTTGAACGGTCTTGGATGAACAGATGGAAGTCTGCTGTTCTGCATGAAGGGGAAGGGAACATAAGGAGTGTGAAGTGGAGAGGCCATCTGATTGCTTGGGCCAATAATATGGTAAAAAATATGCCTCTGTCTTCCTAATGCTTGTTCAGTGGCAGAAGAATGGCCAACTTGATAGGGCTGTAATGAAGGGAAAAGATGCCACTTGCTGTGGTGGTGATTTCTAAAGGGTGTAAGGACGATTGGTATCATACCTAGGAGGTTAAAGAAATTAGATTGCTTTTGGCTTTCATAATATAGTAATTCCCAACATATTCTGGAATCTATTTTAGAGTAAGAAACCTGAGGCATGGAGAGTAGCCAAGAAAATGAAAAGCTATCTTAATAATTGAAGGACTGCATTGGGAATGGGTCTTGAAAATATCATTTGCCTGTTGGCCAAAGGCAAGTAAGAGTTGATATGAAACAAGTGCAGAATATTGCTGATTTCTCTTTTACTCCCAGTATAATCATAGACAGAAGTATAGACCTGTCTGTAAGAAAGTGGATCGTAATTTTCAGTGCTGCATTTTAACTTAAAGTTTACTTGCTATGAATTGGGGCTAGTAGGAAGTTTTAAAAATGGTCTTTTTGACATCTGGCATATCTTTTGAAACATCAAGGTATAATTTAGTAAATCGGTTCTATTCAGTTTTAAATGGTAGAAATCTGCCTAGACTCTACCTTTTTATTCTGGACTTTTCTTACTTCTCCTGGGTCACGATGAAGGTAAAACAAAGCTGTGGTCTCTTGGTTCATTTTTAGTTAGCTGCTTGCCTGATGTTTTCATTTGAGAACTTTAAAATGTCAGATGTAGTTTTCTTTATATAGGTGGCTTTTCAGACTCAAAGCCTTTCTAAAAAACAAACTTCATTTTTCATGGTGGAACGATAAAATTAGAAATGTTACTTGTCTGTCAGTTTGGAAATGCAGCTATTGATGTTTGTACATTTCATGTTTCTGTTGGGTTTGAGTCACCCATGCCATCTAAGAAAATCTCCTTTGTCCAGAAAGAAGGGTGGAGGTTTCCTTGTGGTTTTAGTTCCCACAGGGTTTGTGTGGAGCAGGAGCATTTTCCTTGCATGCTCAGTAAACACTGCTAATATTTCTCCGTGCTGGTTATTGGTAGTATGTAGCAGGGGCTGTTAATAAGTTTTCTGTTACTTTCCTCCTGAGTAGAGGATGCTTACTGCTGTATTATTTTCCAGGGTGTGAAGATTTTTGACATCATCTCAAAGCAAAGAATCACCAATGTGCCCCGGGATGATATAAGTCTTCGCCCAGACATGTATCCCTGCAGCCTCTGCTGGAAGGACAATGTGACACTGATTATTGGCTGGGGGACTTCTGTCAAGGTGGTTTTGCTTGTCTTTATAATAAGTCCGTGTTGTTATAGATCCACTGAGGGTGGTCCAAAGGACTGTGAGTCTTGATTGGCTTCTAGGACCCAAATCTTTTCACTTGGATGTTATTGTGACGTGATTACCATTTAATGCTCAAATTATTTCCTGTGCATAAGTTTTAAGATGTATTCTTTCTTTTCCATGGCATGTAAAACTATTTGTGAACTTTTTCGTGTTGAGAATGGTGCTGTCTTTTTCAATCTTCTTTTAATTTCTCACATCCCAGCTGGCCTTAGCTATTTACAGAACATGGGGTTAGTTTTGTTGTTTAGTCAGGTTTTCTTCTCTTTATTATTCTTTTCATTTTCCCTTAGCTTTGACCCTTCACTTCTTCATTAGAGTTATTGATAGTGGAGAGAGAAGGTTAAAATTAAATCATCCTGCTGCTTGGTAATAATTTGATAGAGTAGAGACCCAGACTTATCATCAATAATAAGATTTGGGCATATTTTCTGAAGTTTAATTATCTGACCCTTATGCGCCTGGGTAAATGAAATTTAGCTGTTCTGTGAAAGGGGGCCCAAAGCTCATTCACATTTATTTTATGCCTACTAGTGCTTCTGTTATATTAGATACTTCAGAGCCAAAAGTTGTTTCCCTTTAAAAAATAGACAGCTTAATTCGAACAAAATAAACTAAAAATTAGTGGAAGTATAAAAATGGCATGAGAGAGTATCCCAGCAGTAGTCTCATGGAAGAGCTCAGGCTTTGAGGCCAGACAGACCTGGGATCAAGTCCAGCTTCTCCATTTTCCTTTGGGATCCTCTGTGAGCCTTACTGTCCTCATCTGCAAAGTGGTAGTGCTAATTGTTCTCACATCACAAGTTTTGGGGAGAAATAAATGAGCCAATGCATGTAAAGAGTTTTGCATAGAATCTGATGTAATTGCTTAATAAATGTTAGCTGTCATTATTATATAAAGTTCTAGCAATGTCATGAAGGGGACGTGGCTATTTAAAATGTACTCTTCTCTGGAAAGGGAAAGTGGAAAATTATTAATGTAATGATTGTTATTAGCAAAACAAACATTGTTACACTTCAGGCCCTCCCAGCCCTCATGTTGTTATCATTCAGGTTCTTTTTTCTTCATGTGTTACATGAACACAACCTGATTTATATTTAGGGTAACAGGAAGGAAACTGTGCCTATATCGTAGGATGGAAAAAGGGATTCCCTGGGCTCCCTGTCCCACGTGTGTGGTTACTCATCCAATAAATTTATATTCTTAGTATTTTAAAAATCCCTTAAATGGACCAGGTTGCTTGTTAGTTTTAAAGTTCTGATTTTCTTTTCTTATGGTGAAAGACAAGGAAAATTAGCCTGTAGAAATATGTAACAAGTTTACTCATTACTCCCAGAAATTCTTTCTCTGGTATGCTGAATAATGGCCCCAAGGATAGCAAGCCCTAATTCCTAGAACCTATAAATGTTTCTTTATATGACAAAAAGGTAAATATTACTTTATTTAGCAAAAGATATGATTAAGTTAAGGATCTTGAGATGGGGAATTAACCTACATTATCTGGGTGGGCCCTAAATGCAATCACGTTTATCTTTATGAGAGGGAGGCAGAGGGAGATGCTAACATGGAAGAGAGGAGGAGAAGGCAGTACCACTGTGGAGGCAGAAATTGGAGTGAGGTGGTCAGTGAATGGTGGCAGCCACCAGAAAGCTGGAGGAGACAGCAGATTGTCCCCTAGAGCCTCCAGAGGAAGTACAGCCTTGCCAACACCTTGATTTTAGCCCAGTGAACCCAATTTCAGACTTGTAGCCTGCGGAACTGTAACAGATGTTTAAAACAACATCTCTGTTGTTTTAAACCACCAAGTGTGGCAGTCTGTTATAGCAGCCATGGGAAACATATACCCTTTCTTTATGCCCAAGTTAAGATCCAGCTTCTATACAATTTTTATGTCAAATATTTCATTTTATTGGAGGTTCCTTTTCTTCAAACTCAGTTCTATATGTTGAGCACTTCTCAGTGTAGACTCTTAGTGAGTTCTGTTGAAGGAAGAGGAGATAAGGACGTGGTCTTTCTTCAGAGGGACAGCAATCTTGTTGGGGAGAAGCAACCAGAAACAGTAAAATAAAGTGTGCAATTGGACCTTACCATTTACTTCATTCATTCATTTGCCCAACAAACGTTTACCAGGTGCCTGCAGTGTGCCAGGCAGTGTTCTAGTGTTGCAGAACACAAATATACAAATGAATGAGTTCCTTCCCTTGGGAAATTTATGTTCTAGTGAGGAAGGTGGACAAAAACAAGTAAGTATAGCATGTTGAAGGTGGCAAATAAAAAGGAGAACATTTTAACAGGATAATAGGAAAAGGGATTGGGGTAGGTACCATTTAATATAGGGTGGTCCAGGGATGGCCTGTCCAATAACTAATATGTTGTTTGGTCAGAGATCTGGAGAGAAAAGTTATACAGCTCTATGGGGGCCTGGGGTAGGAGGTGTTAGCAGAAGGAGCAGGAGTGCAAAAATTCTTGAAGCAGGAGTGTGATTGGTGTGCTTTTGAGGAACAGCAAGGAAGCTGTTTGTGTCAGAGTGAGTGGAGCAGATGTGGAGGAGAGGGATGTAAGTGGGGGTCGGGGAGGGTGTGGTGGAGGAGCAGGTGATGTTGGAGCCCAGGGGCCCTTGAGAAGTCTTTGGCTTTTAATTTGACTGAGGTAGGAAGCCAGCACAGGGCTTTGAGCTGTTGTGGAGTCAGTTAAGTGATCTAACTTGTATTTTGGAAGGATCTCTGGTTGCTGTGTGGAGCTAAACGGCAAAGGGGCAGTCAAGAGGGGAGACCAATTAGGCTACCGCAGTCATCTCCATAAAAAATAATGTTGTCTCAGGTCAGTGTAATGCAGCTGGTGAGAAATGACCAGATCCTGGATATATTTTGATGGTAGACTCTGCAGTATTTGTTGACAGTTGGATGTGGGGTGTAAGATCACAGTCACCTAACATACTGGAAGGTGAAACTACCTTTTGCTGAAATGGGAAAGACTGTTGATAAAGCATGTTTAGAGTGAAAAAGGCAAGAGTTGGTTTTAGGTGTGTCTACTTGAGAGATGCCTGTTATCCACCCATGTGGAGAAGTGGAGGAAGCAGATTAGAGTTCATGGGCAAGAACCCACCTATCAGTGGTAAAGGGCTCTTACAGTCATTGATTTGTGCTTATGCAAGACATGAGCTTAAGGTAGCACTTACCTATTCACCCACCTTTACCTGCCACTTCCTACCTATGAGACAGGTGCTGGGTGAGCCCAGACCACAGAGCTGAGGAGTGCAGTAGAGCCATGCCCAGCTACCAGTAGTGCAATGCATCCTTGTTCTCAAGCTGTGGCATGACCAGCGAGATACCAGTCAGGCCTTGGTGTGAATTCCAGCTCTGGCCAGGCAGTCTGGCATCACTCACAGAGCCTCAGTGTCCTCATCTCTGGATTAAACATAATAACATTGTCTTTCAGGGGTGTCTGAGTGTTGGAAGACTGTCAGCCCTCAAGTTCTGTCAATGTCTCTCAAATCTCTGCACTTCATCTTCCTGTCAAGTCTTTTTGGTGCTGGTTTTACCCCCCCTAAACCTATCCTAAACAGTATAGCTAGAATAATCTAAGTGCAGGTCAGATGAGGTCAGTCCCCTCCTTGCCCATAGGATAACTGATCATAAACATGACTTCCAAGGTTCTTTGTGATCTGCCTCTCCGTTACTCTCCAGCCTCAACTCTGTCCCCTTCTTCCCCCATGCCCTTCATTTCTGTCCGATTGAGCTTCCAGTTGAAGGCCCTATGCTGTCATATCACCGTGTTCTCCTGTGTTGTCTCTCCTGCTTCAACTTACATGTCACTTCTTCCAGGAAGTCTTCCTGCCCTAGCAGGAGATGCCCCTGCTCTGTACTTCCCTGTCACACTTCAGTAAAGTGCCTTATTTTTGTGTCTCCCCCACTGCACCATAATCTTAAGAAAATAATGATATCTATTTCACAAAGGCCTTAACTCAGGAGCACTGCCAGTAACTGCCCAAAAAAGTGTTCACTAATATTGCCGATACATTTGCTTTTTTATTATACTTCAAACCATTTGAAAGACTGTTCCTCATGTACTTATATCAGCACATTAAAACAGTTGTCCATTTGGCATTGTGGAATGTGCCATTAGATGATTTAGTAGTTTCCCTAGTAAGTGTGGGAAGAAGAGTGGATAACTTATAAGCTCAAAAGTCTACCAGAAGGGAAGAAAATTGGAGAAGTGGACAGGCAGTTATATGAAACGGACAAGAGACAAATGGCAAAAAGCAATCAAGGAAGAAGACAGCCGGTCACTTCTATGTGGAGGCTTCTACCTCTGCAGCCATGGGTTCAAGCCCCGCCTGAGGGAAAGTGGGCACTCTGCATTCACTGAGTCGCTGCAGTGTTGCTGGGCAGCAACTCAGTATACTACGTATATTAAAAAACAAAACCTTACAAAAGTTTATGTACCCATTGGTATCAATTCTACTTCTAGGAATTTATCCTAAGTAAACAAAAGTCCTAAAGTTTTATATATAAGTATGTTGATTGCACTATTGCTTACAATAGATATAAAAACAAAAAAATATGCCCCCAAAGGGGGTTGATTAAGTATAGTACATTCATGTAATAAAAGGCAATCATCCCTCAGTGCCTGTGGGGAATTGGTTCCAGGACCCCTGTGGATCCTGGGCTCCTCTGATGCTTATATAAATGATGTAACATTTGCATATATAAAATGATGCGGTATTTGCATATAACCTATGCACATCCTCCTGTATACTTTAAATCATCTGTAGATTACTTATAACACCTGATACAATGCCTACACATCACTGCATTTGCATAGACTTAATGAAGTAGTTGGTGTACAGCAAGGTCAAGTTTTGCTTTTTGGAATTTTGTAGAATTTTTTTTTTTCCTGAATATTTCTGATCCTTGTTTGGTTAAATCCATGAATGTAGAATTCATGGATGCAAAACCCATGGATATGGAGGGCTCACTGTATTATAACAACTTTACAGAATTATGTTGTAGAAGAATCTTTAAATAACATATTGAATTACTTGTATTAAATTGTTAGGTTAATAAAAGTAGCTTTCATAAAAAAGATTATTAATGGTGTTCTCTTTGTGCTGGAACAATGACTAATGCTTGTTTTCCCCTTTGAGTTTTTCTATATTTTAGAATTTTCCATACCATAGTTACAGTTAATGGTAGCAGCTATAAAAGAACACTATGTAAAAGAAAAAGGAAAAATCCCTGATCACTGACAGAAGTTGTACTTGGATTAGTACTTGACTTCAGGTTCAGTCTCACCAGGAAAGCTGAACTTATGTGAATCAGGCTTTATTGAGGAATAAAGTTGGTGAATATAAATAGTGATTGCTATATGTCATTTACATTAATTTCTGTCATTTAAGTCATAGGGTAGATTGTACTCCATCTGCAGTGCTACAAGGTTAATTTAACAAAGATACCATATACTGAATAAAATGTTATGAAGAATTTTCCATCAAATGAATAAAATAACCTGCGAACTTATTTTCCAGGTGTGCTCAGTGAAGGAACGGCATGCCAGTGAAATGAGGGATTTGCCAAGTCGATATGTTGAAATAGGTATGGCTCCAACACTTGCCTTCTGTGGATGTAAAACTTCATTCAAAATTTTCGTCTTCATTAATCTCACCCAGACTGCCATAGTCTTTTGCCTGGATCCCTGCAGCAGCCTCCTAACTGGTTTATCTTCTTCCACTGTGAATTACTGTCATCTGCTGTCCCCACTGCTGTCAAAATACAGATCAGATCTTGTCATCATCCTTCAGTTCCTCCACATCGTTCTCAGAGTGCAGATGGAACTCCTCAGTGGATCACGGGGATCTGTGTTGGCCCCTACCCACCTCTCCAGCTGTAGCTTATGCCAAGCTTCTCCTTGGTCTCTGTGCTGCAGCCACACTGACCTTTTACCTGTCCATGCCTCTCTTTCCCCTTGTCTAGCACAGTATTTGGCTAGAGTGTTGCTTTCCAGGGAAAGCACTGGGAAAGCCACTGGACCTCCCTGACTGAGTCAGGTCTTCCCATTTTAGGCACTACAGCACTGCAGGCCTCCTCCCCTTTCTAGCACTTGTCACGGGTTCCAGTGATCCTGTGATTATTTGATACATTTCTGTCTTTTCTACCTGACTGTCACCTCCTTTTGAGCACACACAGGGTCTGTTTTTGCTCACCATTTGTATCTTGAGGACCTGGCACAATACTTGCACATAGAAGGTGCTTAATATTGAGTTGAATGAATCAGTGACTCTGGGAAACAGCTGTTCAGGAGAAGTATGCCCTGGATGATGTACCATGACTTTTATAATTTAGTTTGAAAAAATTAATCTGAGAAAAAAAATTGCCATATTATGAGTCAGCTGAAAAGTTCATTTGCCCATTTGCTTGGTGGATGGGTAATATCAATTTGATGGGTTATTCTGCCAAGGTGAAGTTGAAATAAATTATTTGCACATGATTGTATTTCTGTAAATAGAAAGACATACATTACCCACATGACTAATGTGGTTATAACATTTAAATCTGGGCTATTTTGTACTTGAAGTCAGAAGTTGGTGGTAGAGTTTTAATCTTTTTTTTTAACTTTAGGAGTATAACTACATAGTTCAGATTGCTTAGTGTATGGACAGTAGGTATATGAAGAATGTAGCAGTGCTGAGAAAAACTGAGGACCAAGATAAGAGACAAGATTTATGACTAGACTATATAGATAATTGTTTCAATATCTTTTTCTTCTTTCCTTGCCTACTAGAAAATAAAAAGAAAAACAAAAGCCTCTCAACATCTCAATGCAATGTCCTGAGAGATTAGTATTTGGATATTTTTAATTGCCAGAGAGGTATAAAAATGTAGCAATTGTCATCTTCTTTCCTTAGCTGATACTTATTGATCATGTACTAGGTGGAGGGCATTGTGCTGCTTACATAAACTGCAGTAACTCACTTTATCCTCACAGGAACTCTTTAAGTGCAGGTAGTTTGCTTTTTATTCTATAGATGAAGAAATTGAGGCTTAGGAGGTAAATGACTTGTCCAGGATCTTACTACTATAGCGTTAAAAATGGATAGAATCTAACTCTACAGAACCACCAGAAAGCTTCCAGGGAGGCAAGGAAGTTTGCTGAAGTGTGTGATCTTGATGAGGTTACTTAACCTTCTTGACCATCCTTTTCTCACCTGTTAAATGGAGGTGATAATATCTATCTTTTAGGATGGGTGTGGGAATTAGACATGGCATAAGAAATGTGCCTAACATGGTACTTGGCACACAGTAGATGCTCACTAAACCATGATGGTTATTATCACTATGCAGACTTTCATCCCAACTCTGTGACTGCTGATAGCTGGCTCAGTGGTGGCCCTATTAGCCTAGAACCCTGGGATCACATTATTGCAGTGTGGTTCATCTGTACTGTAATTTACGTGAAATAGACCATATGTGGATACTAACAGTATCACATTACTGACATTTTACTACTATGGTTAATGGTTAAGTACCATTTTTTCCCCTCTTAAGAGTAAACCTTTAAGAATATAAGCCATTTCCACAGCAGGAGGCAAAATAGTTTGGATAAGAGTCCTTAAGTAGGATAACAGAAAGGGAAATATTAGGAGGTCTGGATTACAATTTCCTTTAGCCCTGAATAGTGTGAGCCACTGTTCTTTGGTAAATGAGGTGAAAATGGCATTAAGATTAAAGAAATACGTATGGCTGTACATTTCTTAGAAGCCAATTGTTTATAACTCTTTCTGTTACAACTCAGACTCTCAAAAATAGCACGAAAGTTATTCCTATCACATAGGCTGTTGATTTATTCTGTTAAATGAAAAATAATAATAATATAATGAAGATTAAGCTTCTTGGCCAATCACCAACACATGAAGAGATTCTCTATACATAGGGCTTTTGGGACATCATATTTTCTTTCAAATTGCATTGTTAAAAATAGATTATGGTTTGTGCCTAGCATCCATGTTTTAACTTCACTTGCATCTCTTGTATTCTCACAGGACTCCCTGAGCCTCTGGTACTTTTCACCAAAGTCTTCCATGATCTCTGTGGTATGGTAGTTGGAGAGCTGACATCATGATGTTGGGAAATGAAACCAATGTTTGTGTGTCATTTTCTGGGAGTTTTCTGCCAGGGGTAGTTGACTTACATGCAAGGAATTAATGATTGACTTCTTGGTCTTAATTTCATGTGGAATTTTGTTTAATTGAGATTAAACAACTATATGAGAATCTATATAGAATGACAAGTCAGGAAGAAAGGGAAGAGAAAAGAAGGGAAATCTTTTTTACTTTCAGTATTGTCTGTATCTTCATTGATCATATACTGTGGTCTTAGAATTTAGCACATCATTCTTTTTTCAGTCTTTTAATTGACTGAAAAAACAGTGACCTGAAAATTGGTGATCTGTTTTCATAGTGGAGGAGAGTTGTGAGATAATTCTTTCCTAGATCTAAGTATCTCTCTTTATCCACCTGTTACCATTTTGATTCAGCTATATGGGTTACAGTAGTGGGATCTTTGTGTGTGTGTGCCCAGGAGTGATGTGGTTTCATCTCTTAGTCTGAGTCTCAATAGAAATGATGACAGCTGGCATTCTTCAAGGTGTTTTTACTTGAGGATCTAGGTATGTATGGTTTTCTGTTCTGTTATAGATAGTTCAGTATAAATTTCTGTAATAATCTGTTCTGCATTGAATTTTTTTTCTAACATTTTGTTATGAAATTTTCATTAAAGAAAAGAACTTTGTAGTGAATAGAACCTCCAGGATTCTGCAGTTAAGATTTTACTATATTTGCTTTATTACGTATCTGTTCATCTATTCATTCCTCCTTTTGGGAGGGATGTAACAACTCTTTCCCCGCTCAGTAGTGTAGACTCAGGTTTTTGTTGTTAGGAGTGGAATTAATGAAGTTTCTCCATAATAAGTAATGGTAAGAAATCTGAAGCACCTGAAGTAACAAATATATATTGTTCCTTATATAACAACCACCACCAAGCACAGTGCTGAATACATTGCAAACAGAAGGTCATCTAATCTTCCCAGTATGCGAGTGGGTAGCGGCTACTATCCCCATGGTGTAAGTGAAGAAGCTGATGTTCAGAAGGGTTAGGTAACCTGCTCAAGATTATTCATAAACAAGGCAGTTTTTGCACTTAGGTGTGCCTAGCCGTAAAGTTGTTGCTTGTAATCATGGTGTCACACAGTGCTTCCCATGTTTCCTCTACCCAGCCCCTGGCCTTTGTTTACAGAGTCTTGTTCCAGACATTCAGATACAGACCACTGCAGAAATGCTCTAGAATCTGAAGACCCTTTTTCTATATCAGTGATGATAGCTGCTCACCTTTTCTAGGAACTGCCAGATGAAATGGAAATGCAGTAGATTTGTTTTTTTATTTTGGTTCAGAGAAATATCTCATTTGGAGACTTAGAAATTATATTTTCACTTGCTTTATCCTGAGATTGAGAGCTTTTCTTCATTGCTTCTCCTCCACATTTTTAGATAATTTATAGAACCTGATTGCCTTGGGTGACCTTTGGAATTGTTTCTAAGGAAAGGGAACCAAACTTAGATTATGCTTCTTTCAGCCCTTTTAAAAAGAAGAAAAGCCCTTGTTTGCTATTTTTTAGTGTTTAGCTTAAGTTTAGTTGATGCAACAAGGTAGTTTTATATTTATAAAATAAAGTGTAACATTTGGTTTGAACCTTGTGATTAGCAGGTCATTGGCAATGCCTTTCCTTTTCTTTTGTCTAAGCAATGTGCTGTAACATACTCACTAAATATTCCTCATCAGTGCTGTTTCAGGAGACTAAAATTTGGTAGATGAGATAATCCTATCAGCTTAGTGTTGTCATTTAATTGACAATAGTTTGCTGAATATTGATTATAAAATACGGAATTAAATTGCAAACTAAATTTGTTTTCAGCAGTTTTTTATCTGTGTGTACTGTTCGGCTCCTGTCTGATTTGAATGTTTTTGTTATTTTGTCCATTAGCCATTCTTTTCAATTTCACTTCATGTAGCAGATCTTCTCCATAATTTGCTGATGTAAAGCATTGTGAAGTCAGTTTTACTTTAATGTGTCTGCTTCTTAGCACAGCCTGAAGCTGTTGAAGTGCCGTTATTTCCAAATGTATTTTCAGTGATAAGTGGTCATGCTGACAGAATGTCTAAACTTATTGAAAAGTCTGTGGGTATTACATCCAGTTGATTATAAAATACTAATATCTGGTGACTAAGGGGCCAGAATCTCTTGGGAATAAGACACTATCTATCATAAAGGGCCCTCAATGCATTTTCATAAATGAATATAAGACAATGAAGGGTAATTGTTCTTATTTGTAAATTGCTTGACACACATTTTTGTTTGTTTCTTTAAGAATCATAGAAGCTAAGATCTATGGGATGTCACCTTATTTAACTTCAATAAAGAAATCTGGGTAGCATTTAGCTAATGGACATTTGGGGACCAATAAGGGAATAAGAAATGGGGGAAAAGAGGCAGTGCAAGTTCTGTGTACTGCAGCGCTTTAGCCCTTGCAGCAGCACTGCAAATTCAAGAGAGGGGCTGGGGCACCCTGACTGCATGCAGCAGAATCACCAGAGAGCCCTCACTTCTGTTCTTGCCAACTGCAGTGTGCTTTGAATCTAAGCATCTCTGTATTCTTATATTCTTCCCCTTCCCCTCCTCCTTCCCCCTAACTCCCCCCCTCCTTCTTTCGATATAGGGTCTTGCTCTTTGCCCAGGCTTTAGTGCAGTGGCATAATCACGCCTTACTGCAACCTCAGCCTCCTGGGCCAAAGCGATCCTCCCACCTCAGCCTTCTAAGTAGCTGGGACTACAGGCGTGCACCACCATGCCTGGCTAATTTTTTAATTTTTTGTAAAGATGTGGTCTCCTTTTGTTGCCCATGCTGGTATCAAACTGGGCTCAAGAAATCCTCCCACCTTGGCCTCCCAACATGCTGGGATTACAGGCGTGAGCCACCATACCCGGCCCTGACTTACATTTTCTAGAGTGACTTATGGTTGGGAAAAATAGGACTTCAGATTCCTACTTCTCTTATCTTCCACTTAAGTGACTTTAGTCAAGTTACTTAACCCCTCTGAGCCTCCTTCCCTCTCTAAAATAACCATAGGGTGGTTGTGGTGAAAAGCAATATTGTATGTAAATATTTAGCATACTGCCTCACAGCATAGTAATGTTCATTAAATGGGAGCTATTATTAATATTAGTATTATATTTAGTTACAGTGAGAGAGAAAAATAGTGGTTTCTTTTAAAATCAGAAGATCTGAAAATTGTGTTTTATAAAATTTGTAATTTAAAGACAATTTGGGGAAGATGTAAATAAGGGTTTACTGAATGATTCCGAGGAGATTGATAATGTTTTATAATTGCATTTCTCAATAAAATGTATCTATAAACATATATGACAGAGGTACAAGTAATAAAAATATTGATTTAATGTTGTCTCATAGGTTTGAATACACAGATAAGAAGTGAGATAACCTAGTTGGGAATTATTGGAGGATGGTTTTTTACTTTAAACAAATTTTGATTTTTATCCTTTGTAATCTAATATCCATTAGGGTTTTAAACAGTTTTTTTTTTAAATGAAACGAAGAGGTTGTTTTCTCTCATGTTATCCACACCATTTCTGGCTTAAGGGGCTTATGGTCATGATTATTGCTGCTGTTTCCACCCTCATCTGTACCTCCTCAGAAGCTAAATTTTCTTGCGCTGTGCTATTTTTTGTTTTACACCTGTTCCTGTTTTTGCACATAGCATGTGGTATTTTAATTATCTCTTTTTTTTTTTGAGACAGAGTTTCGCTCTGTTGCCTAGGCTGGAGTACAGTGGCACAATCTCGGCTCACTGTAATCGCTGCCTCCCAGGTTCAAGCAATTCTCTGCCTCAGCCTCCCAAGTAGCTGGGATTACAGGCGCCTGCCACCACGCTTGGCTAATTTTTGTATTTTTAGTAGAGATGGGGTTTCACCTTCTTGGCCAGGCTGGTCTTGAGCTCCTGACCTTGTGATCCACCTGCCTTGGCCTCCCAAAGTGCTGGGATTACAAGCGTGAGCCACCACACCTGGCCTAATTATTTCTTTAAATATTCAGACTCACAATCTCCTTTAAGTTAGGGTCAGGTCTTAGTCATCTTGATGCATCTAGAAGACTGTCTCGTGTAATTGATACTCAGTTACTCTTTTTTCTTTTTTTTTGAGGCAGAGTCTCGCTCTATCACCCAGGCTGGTGTGCAGTGGCAGGATCTCAGCTTACTACAGCCTCTGCCTCCTGGGTGCTCGCGGGTTCAAGCGATTCTCCTGCCTCAGCCTCCCAAGTAGCTGGGGCTACAGGCACGTTGTCACCACTGCCAGCTAATTTTTATATGTTTAATAGAGGCGGGGTTTTACCATGGTGGCCAGGCTGGTCTCGAACTCCTGACCTCAAGTGATCCGTCCACCTCGGCCTCCCAAATTGCTGTGATTAAAGGCGTGAGCCACCGCACCCAGCCTCAGTCACTCTTCATTGACTTAAGTTGTAACCCTCAGAGATTATGAGACCCAAGGAATGAGAAAGTTCTTTCTTGTTAATTTTTATACCAATCATATGGCATTCATTATGCAACTGATGGTGTGTATGCTATCGAGGGCCAGACACTGTTGATCTATTTGTGACTCTAACCCTGACCCCATTGCCCTGGGCAATGTAAGGTTGATGTATTAAAACATGTATAACAGCAATATGTGAAAATTTTGTGGTTAGAAGATTCTGGGAATGTAGTGGCAGTGGCAGCATAATTTTTCAAACTACCTAGTCCTCCCATAAAAGCAGAACAACTAGGTCACAAAACCAAAAACCCACAGACAACATTTACAACAAAACTTAGTGACAAAGGTAGTCCTGAGAGCCCCAAGACACAAATTAATGGGAAAATAAAACACTGATCGCTGCAGGGTGATATCAGCATCTGTGTGAGAGAAAGCAGAGGGGAGCAAGTGGTCATCTAGCAGACTTGAGGCCAGGGGAACTCCAAGATAGCCAGTTGGCATTCACTGGAAAGGCCAAGAGGCTGCTCTGAGAACTGGGCCCAGGACCTGCAGTTAGGTGTGAGAGGCTGGGCAGCCCAGCTACCCCTGGCAACTCACACTGTGGAGCAGCCAGGCCTCCTCTCTCCACTGAGGAGACACTGCTGGGAGCAGAATAAAGCCTGAATGAGACAGGGACAATAGAAACAAAAGAAACAGGTCCAGATAACACCAGGGAGGAGCTGAGCCAGGAAATCTCAGAAAGCAATCTGCCATATTTTTCATATCAAATGGAAACAGCAGAAGAGGGAGCTCTAAGAGTTCAATAATGGTCATTTCACCTAAAAAGCAAGCAACGTTAAATCCATAATAAGTTTTAAGAAAAAGTGAGTAAGAAGCAGACATACCAGAAAGACACACCTACGCAATAGATTACAACTGTAATTTCCAGTTTCAGAGGAGCTATAAGACATCTTTAAAAAGTGATGTAAGAAATCAGAATTTGAAAATCTCAAATTAGGTGACAGGCTTCAGGAAGAATTAATAAATAAAAGCTCATTTCAGAATTGAAGACTGAACCTGAAGGAAGACAAGAACAAATAGATGCAAAGATAATGTTGGTAAGAGGAATAGAAGGGGAGCAGGAGGAAAATTGTAAAAATCACAAAGCAATAAGAACAAAAAGATTAAGGTTAAGTGATAAATACTGAAGACAGGCAAAGATAATTCAGTCTACCAATAAAGAGTCCCTGAGGAAAAAATAAAACTAGAGAATGGGACAAATACTATAGACAATGTCAAGAAAAATTTCATGAAAATGCAGAGAAACAGAAGTTGAAATTATAAATTAAAATAGCACACTGTGTATCCGAAAATAGTGACCCATAATGAGCAACACCAAGATATGTTCTAATGAAATTATTGGACTTTAAAGCGAAAAACTTGGGCATCTAGACCTGCACTGTCAAATGTGATAACCATTAGCCACTGTAGCTGTTAAGTCTTTGTGGTATGGCTAGTGTGGATTGATTTGTGCTACATACAGAATTCCAAAGACAGTCTAGAAATAAAAGGTAAAATATCTCATTAATCACTTTTTATATTATTACATGTTGAAATAATATTTTAGGTATGTTATGTATTATTAAAATTTCACCTCTTTTTTTGAACTCTTTATCGTGGTGTAGTCCATTCTTGCATTCCTATAAAGAAATTCCTGAGACTGGATAATTTATAAAGAAAAGAGGTTTAATTCTCACAGTCCTGCAGGCTATACAGTAAGCATGATGCTGGCATCTGGTTGGCTTCTGGGGAGGCCTCAGGAAACTTAAATCATGGTGGAAGACGAAGTGGGAGAAGGCACCTCACATGGCCAGGGCAGGAGCAAGAGGCAGGGGTAGATGCCACACACTTCTAAACCACCAGATCTTGTGAGAACTCACTGTCGTGAGGACAGTACCAAGAGGATTGTGCTAAAACAGTCATGAGAAATGACCATTCATGAGAAATCCGTTCCCATGATCTAATCATTTCCCACCAGGCCCCTCGTCCAACACTGGGGATTACAGTTCAACATGAGATTTGGGCAGGGCCACACATCCAAGCTATAGCACGTGGCTACTGGGAAATTTTAAATTACATATGTCATTTGTGTTTTGGCCCACATTATATTTCCATGGGGCAGCTAATCAAGGGGCCTCTAGCCTCCCTTTTGGATGAGGACCGTGTACAGAATCGTATTCATCTCATCCTCATTCTGGATCTAGAAGACCTTGCTGAATAGAATTTTCCTGTGAATATAGTCCTTTTGAACCTCTCTTTCTTACTCTGCTAGAATCTCTGTCTTTTTTCTTGAGTTATTTCTAGCATGTCTAGGAATGCTTTTATCCTCCTGAATAAAGCAGAATGCAGAAGTCCTTCCACCTCCATCAGGAGGAGGAAGGCTGTGCCTCAGCTGTAATGCCCACCATAGTATAAGGCCATCATCTAGGTGAACATAGCGCACTCCCTGCAGGGCCCGCGAGCTGAGCCTCAGCTGGCTTTCTAGATGACCTTGATCTGAAGTAAAGCCACTGTCTTTTGTGGCTACCTTTAGGAACTCTGCCTGCATTTTTCACTCCAAAAAAAAAAAAACAAAAACCAAAAAAAAAAACACCCTGTCCAGCTTTTGCTCCCTGTTTTCATGTATTTCCTCTCTAGCAGAATTTATGTTTATTTTCTTTGTGATTTATCTTTTCCAGATAATCAGGTTGAAAATGAGCTTCTGTAGTATTAGAACTGACAGCCACCTGTATTCAAACTGAGTCTCCTTTAGGAGAACAAAATATTTTATTTAAATTAATAGAGTCATTTTTACGTGGAATAGAATAGAATTTTAGTGAAAGTAAATAAACTGAAACTTCCATTCGTCCACTGAAAATTTGAAATATAAAGTCTGTAATTACTTGAATATATTTTACAAAGTCAGTCCATAAGCTTTTATATATTTTATGTGCATTTTTTACAAGAATATATATTGTCATTCAACATTTCTTTCTCTAAATCTATATGAAGAATATTCCTTATACCTTCATGTTCATTTTGACACCACTGTCTGCAGCCAGCCCTTCTGGGACTCAGCATCGCTATAAAAGATAAACAGAATCTTGTTAAATCTAAAAGCAATTATGTTTCGCTGCATTAGTAAAGACTAATGGAAAAACAAGACACCACCATTTATTCTAAAATGTCTTACTTTGTGGCAGAATGGCTGCAGACATTTCCCTAAATCAGCAACTCACATTAGAAGTGAGTTCTTTTTTGCATGATATCATTACCAGTGGGTATTAATGGAGATGAATTGCTGAGTGGGAGAGTACTCGAAACCAGATAAATGGCCATTATTTTGGAATTCTTAATTTGAGAATCATGCTGAGTATTACTATAATTGCAATTTTGTTTTCTATAAGAGATTTTTGTTGGTATAAGGGAATTACTTTAACAAAAAGAAAGACATAATTTAGTTTCAGTTTTATCCAAATGTTGATTACTTGCTTACCTGTGCGTCTGGAAGTCTTGACAATATTATTTTCATGTACCACATCTTTTCTTTATGAATAACATTTTTGTCAGCTTGTGATTTAGCCACTGCATATAGTCCGTGTCCAAATTATTAATTCTCAATTAGCAAAATTTGGCAAGGTTTAGTACTTAACAAGTAAGCGTTTATTACAACATCTGGAATTGAGAAGTGAAATAGATATGTGCACCTGCAATTTTTCTTTGTTTTGTTTTAGAACACATTGGAGTTTCTATCATGTTCTTAATTAGAGAACAGGAAATTTTCTGTCTTACTCATACAAGCTATTGTGGACTGGGGAGTTGGCATGTAGAGGAGGAAAGATTTGGGTAGGATTATTTCGTAGTTTCTCTGTTCTGTATCTTGGAGCTCATTCTCAAGAACCAAGGCCTTTGATGTATATTTGGTTACCTTTAGGAGAAACACTGACAGTGTCTGTCAGTGAGACTAGGCAGCCTATTTGGCATCCCAAGTGGGGAGAATACCTCCTTCTCCCACCCCTTCTTTTGTGATTAGGAGACGTTTTCCCTTAGGTGTCTGTGGCAGACAAGCACAGCAAAGCCTGTGATTTCTGTGAGAATCTCTGATTCTCTGCTCTTCACCCAAGTTGCTGGTAAGGGAACTGTATGTGTAGCATTTCAAAAATGGAATGTGATTTAGTAAAACAGAATGCAAGTCCATTTCTACCAGTCAGAGATTAGTAACCTCAGGAGTGATGACAACCAAAACCTCTTGTTAATATGTCTTCTAAAATGTGAAACTGCCATCTCTTTCATCACTGGGTCCTTTGTGGCCCCATACTGTTTAATATCATCTGTACATTCCGGCTCTCCCCTGCTCCCTGCTTCACCGCCCACGTGCATGCACAGCACTGTGAGCTTCTCTAGAACCTTCCGCAGCCTGGTTACGCTAGAAACACTGTCTCTGCACATGTGGTGGAGGTTGAGGTGGTTCTCCATATAAGCTCTTTTGTGAACATTTATCACAATTACCACTTTACCAAAACTATTCTTAAGTATCTGGATAAACACATTTGGTTCAAGCCCACAGAGATTAAGGAAAAAATGTGTTCCTGGCAGAACTGGGACCAGAGCACTTGCCCTTGGACTTCCATTGTATGGTACTTTAATTGAGGACAAAGCAGATGAAATATTATCTTTTTATAAGTTTATGTTGCTAACTATTACATCTTTTTGGTCATCCACAATTTTATTTTGGTGCGAAAATTAAATTGTGATAACAGCTGCGTAAGGAGGATCATTAAAGGTCAGCAGAGACAAGGAACACTAAGTAATCTGCAAGGGAAAGAAAGAGGGGGACAAAGGAAAATTCAGTATTTCATCTGTATTATGAATTTTATTTCTACTGTCATTCCTTTCTCTTATAGTTGGGAAATGTTAAAATGACTTGTTCAAGTTCAATTTAGTGGAAGTTATAACCCAAATTTCCTTACTCAGCATTCAGTATTGGTTCCAGTATGATACATTGAGGTCCCCTCATTGGGAAAAGAGTGTGGAAGTTAACTAAATCTGCAGCTAATACCACAGAACCGTGGAGATGATCTGAATGAAGAAACTTAGAAAATGTGGTGGGTCAGAACAAGAGTTTACTCCCAAATGAATCTGTGAAGTGTAGAGTATGATTTCTGGAAGGATCTCTGTAATACCACTACTGTATCAGTTAGCTTCTGCTCTGAAACAAGCCACTCCCAATCTCAGTCTCTTAAAACAATGATCTTTTATATTTTATAGCAGCTAATAATTAGAATCATATAATAATAATATGTGTACTTCTGAGCTTTCTGTCAGATCTTTGGGGTCCAGTGCAATTAAAGTCACATACTTCTTAAGTGATGCAATATGTCTTCTTGATTTTAAATGGATTTTTTTTTAAAGGAAAGAGAAATTTATTATTTTTCTCTAGCCTTTATTTCACTTAAGAAATACTGATGTTTCATCATAAAGTAATCTGTATTTATGCATCTTTTTTTAACTTCAAGTTCTTTAAATAATATCCCTCTTCTCCAAAATAGTGTTTCATAATTACAGATAACATTCTTTGTGACCTTTGTACTACTATAATGCCCCAATTGAGAAAAACGAACTCAGGAATTTTAAAAAATTATTACTGTTACTAATAATGGTTTATATTTCTTTTTATGGGTTTCAAAGCATCTTCATGTAGTCTATGTCATTTTAAACTACCTAAGCACAGTGTCACCCTTGACCATTCATGCTGCTATTATTGTTGGATTCATTTTTGTTTGTGATGGGAATTTGCAAGTCTACTTTCCCACATATTCGTTTCCAGGATTGATCGTTGTGAAGCACTTGCAGTGCTGAGTTATGAAAGTATGTTCAACGGTGTCCCCTTTACGTTAGCTTTTAAAAAGGGGTCCACTAGCATTCACAGTCATTGTGTTCCTCCAGATGTGTGCTGCTGTTTGCCCCTGTTGATGATGACTCCTGTATCCCTTTTGTTTGCAGTGTCTCAGTTTGAAACTGAATTCTACATCAGTGGACTTGCACCTCTCTGTGATCAGCTTGTTGTACTTTCGTATGTAAAGGAGATTTCAGAAAAAACGGTAATTATTTTCTCCCCAGATACAAAGGCATGTGGGGGTTCACTTTTAGCATTACACCCAGATCAGGTTGTTCATCAGTAGCATACGCTATAATCTGAGCAGAACTTTCTGACCTATAAAATAAGGTTGGCAGAGATTACCCTTTAGACCTGACATATTTACTTTCCGGAAACTCTACTCATTGCCTGCCTTTGTTCCTATTGCTGAGCCAAAAAAGAGTCTTTTTTTTCGACCTCTCTTGGTATATTAGTCAAAAGGAATGAAGGATTCCTCTTGCTGAAAGGGGAAGAAACTAAGCTGACACTGTGCATTAGCAGAAATGACAGCAATGAACTTGATCAGCAGCAACAACAGGGGTCCCTGTGGTCAGAGGGAATTACAGAAAGGGCATTTCATTATTTTCTTTGGTCCAGACATATTTGTTTACTTCCTAGTGGGCTGGTGATTCTAAGTAGCTTGATTATGGCTTTGAAATGGATTGTTGTGAAATCTCAGTTATCAGTGCAAATAATGGTACATCAAAATCTGTGGCTAATAAAAAGCAGCAGATGATCTAAATTTTGTTGTGCGTGTCTTTGGAAGAAGCTTATATATTGCCCAGTGGATGGGTATCCACACCCAGTCTCCCTTTGAAGCTGAGGACGGCCCCATTCCCAGCTTGTCTTTATTATGAGAGTCCAGGGGTCCTGCCAGCACAAGAATAGGGGTGGCTTCAAGGCATAAAGAAGGAAAGCATACTGTAAAGGATTTTCTTTTGGATGCTGTATATAGAAGAAATTGTAATTGATTCTCTAGTCCTTTACAGTAAGTAGGCAAGTGGACTATCCTTGTTTGTATCCTTTTTTTTTTTTTAAATGGCAAGAAATAAAATGGGGGAGAAAAACCCTGGGAGCCCTGGTTTTGAAGTGGTAGCTGCTCTTGAGCGTTTCTCTGAGCAAGCACTTGCATTAGGAAGCCATCACTATAGTAACCTGAAGCTCTGGGTGCCCATGTTGCTAGGCAATGAAATGCTATAGACTTAAGTGAACACTCAGACCTACTAAAATCAATAGGGTTGGCTTCTAGCCCTATTGCAGGACATCAGTTTGCTATTATTTTATTTATTTTTTGAAAATAAAAGCAGTGGCTCCTGGGGGAGTAAATAGAATGCTTTTTGAGGAGGAATGCAGGAAAGATTGAGAATGTGATTGGAAGAAATAAAGAAGCAGTAAAACGAAAAAGGAGAAGCCTAATAAACAACTGAGCAAAGAAAGAAAGGAAACCTTTGTTAATAAAAGAGTATTTGAAGGGAATAAATGCCAAAGATAGGCCAACCTCATAGAGCACGTAGAAAATGGACTTTTTCCAGAAGAAGAAGCGAGGGTTTTGGAGATGACTGGAACATGTTTATGCCAGTGTATGTAGATACTCATTTTATAGAACATTAAAGTACACCTTAAATCCTTAAACACAGAATAAACTCATAAAATTAAGGCAAAAGGAACAAAGAGGTAAGCTCCCTTCCCCCTTTATTTTTTCATACTGAAAAGGTGGTTTAGCGACATTGAATACAATTTGTTTTATATCATTCAGTATTATCCCCCAAATAGCCCCCAGATATCCACGTGATACCTTTCACGTACATGCATGTTTTCACATAGTTGCAGGGATAGTCACATGCTACTCTGCATTGCCCTGTTTTCATGGGCATTATTCCATTTTCCCTGCGTATGTCTGTGTACTTGCCACCATCATTGTGTTTAGTGGTTGTGTACTATTCCATCTGCTTGGTACACTTTAATTTATTAAGGTGTTCTCCTAGTATTTTACTTTTCTTTCATTCATTGATAAAGCACATGTGTGTTAGAAATTGTGCTGGGCACTGGAGATCCAAGATCAACAAAACCAGATTTCTGCTCTTAGGGAGTTCACAGGCAAGGGCTGTTTGGCCAGGGAACGAAAGTATAAAATGAGATTCACATTGCTGATGCTTTTCTTATACATATAAAAGAGCCTTTTCTATGGTCTAGTGAAGTGATTTTCTTTTTATTTTGTTCAAAATATTTTTTTATTTTGCTATTCTGATTTTGATATTTTTATTGTTACAGTGGTCAATTTTTAAATATATTTCAGTTTTCTCCATTTTTTTTCAGTTGTTTCAAAGTTTAGCAATTTGTAATTTCTCCACAGATCTGATAGATTTTTCTTCACTAGTTGATCTTTTATAGTTGCTATTTTATTTTTGGAATGTTTTCTGATTGTAAGTTTCCTGAGGCCTTTCCCACCATGCAGAACTGTGAGTCAGTTAAACCTCTTTCCTTTATAAATTACCCAGTCTTGGGTATTTCTTCATAGGAGTGTGAGAAGAAACTAATATGTATGGCTAACTAGAATTAATTTGTATGATATATAGAAATGTAATTTAAATTAATGTTTCTCTCTTTTCCCCCACTAGGAAAGAGAATACTGTGCCAGGCCTAGACTGGACATCATCCAGCCACTTTCTGAGACTTGTGAAGAGATCTCTTCTGATGCTTTGACAGTCAGAGGCTTTCAGGAGAATGAATGTAGAGATTATCATTTAGGTAGGAGATATGAAAGATCTGGCTGATATGCTTTTTTAATGTTTTTTTCTCCCCCTTCCTACTTGCAATAAATGGAATTTAAATTAAGGTGCTGAAAGAATCTTAAGAGAATACCTGCGTAGACTGTGTGTGCTGAAAACAAGGACATTTGGATGCAGAGATGTTGCAAAACTTGCATAAGCTCCTATAGTAAAAGGGAAGGCTAGAGTTCAGACCAGGACCCGGGGGAGGATTGGGCCCCTTGTTTTTTGTTCTTGTATTTTTTCTATTGTCCTAACTATTTAATGTGACACATAATTTAATGTCAAGCTGCATGGCTCCATGGTTGTCATATCACTCCCATTTTATGTGTCAGGAAAGTTCGCTCTGGGGTGGCAGAGAAGTTGTCTTTCTTGTTTGTAACTGAGTGCTCAGAGCCTGAAAGACTTCTGGCACATTTTAGGTGTTCAGTGAATATTTGTTGAGTGGACGGAGAAATACACTTAGTCACTGCTCATAAATACAGGGAGAACCATTAATATTTAGTCATACCAGAGACATCTGTGTTTGGCTGTTATCATACCCTTGTAAAATATATTAATGAAAATAGAACAGTTCAGCTTTGTAGGAATGCTGTACTACTTTAAACACAATTGACATTTGTTGAGAATATTTTCAGTTCTCATTGTGGCCAAAGGAAATGAAGAAATATTCTATATATGTTTAAACTTTCTTATATGAAGACCCTAATCCATTGAAAAACATAAGAGTATATTCTAGACTTGGCAAAAAGCAACTGTGATTCACAACTGAAAAGTGTCCAATCTAGGTATTTGGCTCAGAGCAAACTCTCCTGCACACTTAGAAACCCTTCAGAACAGGTTTTATAATTGAATTCTGCAGGAAACCCTCAGATTGGCATTGTGCACAACATGCTGAAATGATAGATTATGTCCCTAGGGCTTGGGCATCTGTCATTTATGCCTTAGGTGGCCTTGACCTTGATGAGGAGGAAACATTTATCGCTGACCATGGGGTGTAATTGTTCTGTAAAAGTAGAACAATGCTGTAAATGGCCACAAATAAAATTTATATACAGTAGATGAATTCTAATATGCAGTAGACATAGAGAATTTTTAACACTTTTTCAGCTGAAGTCAGAGTGTTGATGTATTAAACGTAGAATTTTAAACTCACCTTATTTTTTTTTCAAGTTTTTTAGTATGTCATTCCCTCCCTTTCTGTCCTTCTCCTTCCCTCTCTTGCTTTTTGGTCAAGTATTTTTACACTTAAATATTTTTAAAAGCACTGAAATACGCTTCTGTCATTCTTTACCCTGTCTCCCACACTTACCTTCCAGCAGAGCCAAACACACAACAAAGATAGACACATTTTCTGTTCGCTCTTGGGTTGGGTAACCTAACCAGGTCCTCTGAAACCATTGCCAAGTTTTCTGCTGTTCAGTCACCAAGTCGTTCCTCTCTTTTCTCACCTACAGAATACTCTGAAGGGGAATCACTTTTTTACATCGTGAGTCCGAGAGATGTTGTAGTGGCCAAGGAACGAGACCAAGATGATCACATTGACTGGCTCCTTGAAAAGAAGAAATATGAAGTACCCTTGATTTTACTTCTTTGAAAGTATTGACTCATCTACAGCATAGAGAGAGAAGATAAAATGTTTTTGTAATAAATCTTTTATGTAGTCAAAGTAGAGTTTCCCAAGCCAAAAATATGTAGGAAGTTAATAACTTTCTAGTACCCCCTTCAGAAATTAGGGAACCAAAAGATTGCAATGGATTGACTGGCTTTCCTGTTAAGTGGGGGAGGAGTTGGGAGTGGAGGGAGGAGGTGAGTTAGATCTAGACTGTTGGAAGTTTCATTTTTTGATTTTGTTCAAAGAAATTAGAGATAGTATTTCAGAAGTGTCTATTTAGATTTAATGAAATCGTTTATTTTATACTTATCACATTTTTACTCACTTAGGATGGTTTGAACTATCAGTTTGGATAGAATGATGTTGTCCACTTCATTGAGGTTTGGCTTAGATTAATTTGAATAGATAATGCCCAATATCGCTTAAAAAAAAAGAAAAAAACCATTTTTCAACTTTAATAGCTACAAAGTTACGTTCTTAGATGGGCTTATATACTAATTTAAAACAACATCCACAACAAATAGTCTACGTATTTGTTGTACTAAGTTTGTCACCATCTGAAAGGATTTGGAAAAAAATTTTTTTTTTCATTTATAAACTATTTAAAGTCCAGGTATCGATACCTAGTTCATAACCCAGTAATTACCATGTTACTTTAAATCCAGTAGTTTCTCAAAGAAATAATTGTATGTTTTAAATATTTATGTTAAAGTAGTATTTGTAAACTTTCCAAAATAAAAACAAAATCAGAGATTTTTCAAAGACTTAATTTTAGATATACATAAACATGCGTATAGTTCACTTTTTTATTGAAACATAAGGGAAAATGCTCCTTTATCAATATGTCATAAAGATCTAGAAGACAGCTGCCTTTTTTTGTATGGAGACTAGGAGACTTTGTTGTATTTTGATTTGTGTCTGAAATGTGATTCCATTGTCCTAATGAGGAAATGAATTCAAATGGAAGTGGGAGAAGTCTTCATTTTGGTTGACTGCCTTTGAGTTTGAATTCAGTGAGGTTCATTCAACCATAGCATTAACAATTCCAATGCTTCAAGCAAAAGCCATGGGAAAATGGAGCTTTATTCGTGTAGTGCAGAATGCTAAACCATAATAACTATAGTGTTTATAACCTCAATATCTTTCTCTCCCACCTTCTCCCATTTTCCCTCCCTCCTTTTCTGCTTTTTTTTTTTTTTAAATCATCCTTATGTTTGGAATAAAGGAAGCATTGATGGCAGCTGAAATTAGCCAAAAAAATATTAAAAGACATAAGATTCTGGTAAGTGTGCAATTTGTTATTTGAAACATAATTTTATCTTTCAATAAGTTATAGTGAGACTGAAAATAATTTGAAAAGAACAGGTTTTTCCTATCTTTTGAGAATTTATTTTAAACTAATTCCCTAACCTATGAGATCAAAATATTTTATCAAATCAGTTTCTGCTTGTAAACAAGAGACTTGAACACCTGCTAGGAGGCAGTTTTAGGTAATTTGGAAACTGTATCTGTGGAAAACACTTTAAATACAGAGCTTTCTAGTTATGTGTATGAAAGTTTCCCTAAATCGTAGGTAAAAATCACATTATCACAAAATTTATCAAAAAAAGAGAGGTTTCCTAAAACTGCATTGCTTTGGTGTTTCCATAATAACAGACTCAATTGATTTTGTTATGGAAACTAATCTAGAGCATCAAATACATTTTTATTACATTTTGGACTCAGGAAAAATAGAATGACTGAAAGCCCCTTTCCTTGTTAACTGTGACAGTGAATGTGCAGATGGAGAGCAGAGGAACTCACATCCTGCACATGTGAAGGGTCCTTGGAGACCATCTAGCCGAGTTCCCTTTTTTACAGGTGAAAACTGGAAGCTCAGTCTTTTATGCCTATTTGGGTTTCAGTACAAATTCTTTCTGCCTACATTTTCCCTACCGTAAACTTCTCTGTAAAACTCCACATGAAAGCCTGAATTGTCAAAGAGTGCAGAAGCAAAATAATTTAGGAATAACAGGAGAATAGAAAACCAGAGCATCTTAAAAAAAAAAAAAATCCAGCCAAAATTGTGGAGAATAAGCAAGGATTCTCTAGAAATGGAAGAGAATGCATTCCGGCCCTTAGAGTAGTTAACATATGTGAAGAGGCAGAGAGGTGCCACAGCTTGGCCTGCTTGGTTATGTGGGCAGTTGAAGGCTTTTTTTTTTTTTTTTGAGACGGAGTTTCGCTCTCGTTGCCCAGGCTGGAGTGCAATGGCACAATCTTGGTTCACCGCAACCTCTGCCTCCTGGGTTCAAGCGATTCTCCTGCCTCAGCCTCCCGAGTAGCTGGGACTACAGGCATGCGCCACCACACCTGGCTAATTTTGTATTTTTAGTAGAGACGGGACTTCTCCATGTTGGTCAGGCTGGTCTTGAACTCCCGACCTCAGGTGATCGGCTTGCCTCGGCCTCCCAAAGTGCTGCTATTATAGACATGAGCCACTGCACACAGCAGTTGAGGGGTTTACTACATAGGTAGCAAAGGTCAGATCCTGAAGTGCCGTTCGTAATTAAGAGCTTGCTTCTCTCTTGGAACATCTAGAAGTCAATTTAAGCTTTCAGACATCAGATTTCCCTGTTAGAAAGATTCTCTGATGGAGATGGGGCCAGAGGAGGGCCAGCTGAGATGGAGATCAATCAGGAGGCTTCCTAATCCAGGTGGAAGGTCATGAGACTTACACAGAATCAATAGGATTGGAGAGGTGAAGATAGATGGAAGATACAGTAAACTTTTAATCTTTGGGATGTGGTAACTGACTCTGTGTGGATGAAAGAATAAGAGTAAAAATCTAGGCTGACTCCCAGGCTTTGGGCTTGGGCCTCTGGTTTGGTGCTGCCATTTACTGATTGATAGAGATACCCTGTGGAAGGAGAAGCAGGATTGGGAGAAATGATGAATCCTATTTTAAACACATTAGTTTTAGGAATCTGTGGGACATCGTAGTGGAGCCCAGGAAAGAAATTTGGGCTGAAAAGTTGAGTCTCAGTTTCTGCACAGGACACATTAGGGTCCTATTAGCACTACTGACTGTAACCTGTTTATACTCTTAGCTTGCTTTATGTAATTATGCTTGCTTCTTAAGCATATTCATATTTAAATGTATTTATATTTTCATACATTTTAGAGTGAGTGTCATGAACAGAGGACCATGAATGGAACCATCAGGAATGCTGTCATTCAAGGGATGATGCATACATAGTAGATTTGGAACAGCCAGAGCAAGGTCATTTCATGGGAGCTGAGAGAGGAGAGAATTCCAGGGTAAAGAGAATTAAATGCTTGAGTAGTGGAGGTAAGCAGGTCAGAAGGGTAAGACGAGGTCAGCTGGTCAGTTGTACACTGGATTTGGTGATATGAAAGTAGTGAATTTTCTGTATGTGTATTATTTATTCTGAACATGTTGTAGGGAGTGAAAAGTGAATAGGAGATTATAAAGTACGGTTCTGAGTATAGATTATCAGGTTAGCTGTGAAGGGGAAGAGAGTGAAGGCTGTAGCTGAGGCTGTAGCTGGGGCTATGGCATCCTGGGATGATGGTAGTTTTTGGGTATTTTGTGTAAGAGAGGCACTTAAACATGCTTATGCTGAGGGAAAAGAGGTAAAATAGAGTTGACATAAAAGGTTGATATAAAAGGAAGAGGAGGAGTGCAGGATAAGCTCCACAGTGGAGAAGCATGGACGTGAGGAGAAAGGTTGGAAGGATTGACTCTGAAAAGGAGACATTCTTTCTCTGAACCTTGATGGAAAGAACCTGTGTAGAATTGTTACGTGTGATCTGTTTCCAGAAAAATAAGGAAGTTAGACACTCTTTCTTCACTTCTGTTCCTATAGACTTGAAATATGATTTCTCACATAGTAGTTATTAAAGTAAAAATTTAATATACTAAAAATGATGGGTATTTTGCTTCACTCTTGAAATGGGCATGTCCTGTACATTAGTCCTATACATTAGTTATGAATAGATTATTTTTCTCTTAGCATGATGTAATTTCATACCAAACATGCAGAGAAGAAATGGGCTCCTGCCATTTTTTTTTTTGCCATCCAAGAAGGTATTTCTTATGCACCTTTTTGTACATAAAGTAGAAATCAACACCCAACGTTTCTTATATATATCAAGCTTAAGCTTCTGGTGAAAATACTTTTAGGTGCAAATAGTATATGAGAAGATGAGTCATGGGGAGATCAAGCAAGAGCTGTCCTCCCATGCCTCTGGTGATGTTGGCCACCCCAAATCCTTTCAGAACCCAGGTAGAATAAGCGAATAAACATGAATACTCTGAAGCCAGTCACTTCCCTGCTTTCAGCCCAATTTCTTCTGTAAACTGATGGGTTTGAATCACAGGTTTTTCTGAGCTCATATCAACTTTAATATTCCCTATTTCCTTTAGTATGATAGTCATTATTTCATTTTTCTTATAACTTCTCTTCAGACTTGGGGTAGAAGAAGTAGGTAGCTTGCATTCTACAGATGAAGGCACAGGAAACAATTTTATATACATTAACAGTGTGGAATTGTTCGATCATGTTTCTAATATCGAATACCTCCTTTATGAAAAAATGTCTTAAAGGGGGCAGATTAGGAGCCTTTAAAATACTAACATTATTTACTTTTTTTAATGACCTGACCTGTGAATTCTAAAATGTATGAAAATATAAATACATTTAAATATGAATATGCTTAAGAAGCAAGTGTAATTACATAAAGCAAGCTAAGAGTATAAACAGGTTATAGTCAGTAGAGCTAATAGGACCCTAATGTTATGCCCTGTGCAGAAACCGAGACTCAACTTTTCAGTTGTTTCAGTTAAATTTTGACATTTCTTCATTTGGCTTTCTCTAGGATATTGGCTTGGCATATATAAATCACCTGGTGGAGAGAGGAGACTATGACATAGCAGCACGGTAATGATGACATTTTCACAATTATTTGTTAATATAAATAGAATTGAGCATTGCTAACAGTAAAAATAAGCCATTCTTTGCAGTTGACATTTTATTTTTGTACATCTTTCTAACGAGGGTAATTTTTGAATATTATTTTTAAATTATAATTTTTGAATATTAATGATTCCAAGCACAGAATCAGTTTAATGTTTATTATTTTCCCAACTATTTCATTTTTACCGAAGGAGAATTTTTTTTCTCATTATTAATGAGAAAGGTATCAAGAACCATGAAGGATCTCAGACTTTACCTATTTACAGTCTAACAAGTTAGCCTGTCATTTCCCTGGTTGCTGGCAGAAGACAAGAGACTCCCAGGTCAGAGCTAAAGGACTCTGTGAGCAATAGTACCAGCCAAGGTACTGCTACAACAATAGTAGTCAAATAGAGTGTCAACATTTGCCCCGATCCCCAAACCCCAATTCCCACAATGCAACAGAGGGTGGGCATGGAGATCCTGCCCATGCAGTGGGTTGTGATACGGAAGAGGACCCCTGAGCTTAGGGTATCTGAATCTTTTCTAGTGACCAAGAACCCCATGTATTAGTCCATTCTCACACTGCTAATAAAGATATACTCGATACTGGATAATTTATAAAGGAAAGAGGTTTAGTTGACTCACAGTTCAGCATGGCTGAGGAGGCCTCAGAAAACTTACAGTCATGGCAGAAGGGGAAGCAAACGTGTCGTTCTTCACAAGGCAGGCAGGAAGGAGAAGAACAAGAGCCCAATGAAGGGGGAAGCTCCTCATAATACCATCAGAGCTCGTGAGAACTAACTCACTATCATGAAAACAGGTTGAGGGAAACCATCCCCATGATTCAGGTATCTCCATCTGGTCACTCCCATGATGTGGGGATTAATGTTAACTACAATTCAAGATGAGATTTGGGTGGGGACACGGCCAAACCCTATCACCTTGTCTGCCTTTTGTCCTAAAGGCGTCATTTTACCTTTATTGTACTGGGCAGTAAGAAACCTTCCCTTTCCTCAGGAGGGAGACACTATTTGTGTCGTCTCATTTCTAGAGCTGTTTGCTTTATAAGCATCCTTGGAAGATAGTCCAGAAGAAAGTGCCTCTGCTTATGATTCAAAGAGAATTTTCCCAACCTAAGGATGGCAGTTAAATAGAAGTGACTAGACCCCAGGATCCTGGGTTGCAGAGGTCTGTGGTGGGCAGAACACATAAATGTTATGTAGTGGTGTGCAAGTCTGTGTGAGGGGTTCCCACTGGAACTGGCAGTGCCCGCTGCATGACTGCATGGCAGTCCTGGAAGAGTGCCCTCAAGCCTGCTTCTCGTCTCCTGAGGTTATTTAAGAAAATGTGTTTCTTTGATGTGTAAAGTAAGGTTTCATTCATACATAAGCAGTCCTCCAGGTTATATAGTAGGATAGGATTCTAGTTTTCTGAAGTCTGATTTTGTAGTGCATAATTTAAAGCCATTTAGAAAGGTTCTGGCACTTTGGGGTATGACAAGTTTTCTTCAAGGCAAGAAAGGTCTCCCGAAACCAGCAGTGCTCCTCTGGGTAAATGGGAAACTTAGAACAGGCAGATAGTTGGGAAAGCCCCTAGTTATAGTCTTCTGAAGTGATTCATCTTTATTTATAAGCATTTTATATTAACTTTTATAAGTTGTGTTAATTTATGTATGCAACCAAATGAGTAACAGTAATATCTTTATGTTCGTTGGTACTTGAGATAGAAATTCATCAAAACTCTGAGAAGAGAGATTTCTCTAAACCTCTGGGGAAAATGTCTACTTATTCTGTCTCTGTTTGTTTTTTGTTTTTTTAATATATACTTTCTTTCTGCCTGGGATGTTTTTACTGCCAGCAAATGCCAGAAAATTCTTGGGAAAAATGCAGCACTCTGGGAATATGAAGTTTATAAATTTAAAGAAATTGGACAGCTTAAGGTAAGCAAAGCCTTATTTTTAACTCTCAGTTTCTGCAAGTAGTATATTAATATTGCAGTGGAAACAAAGATAATAGTACTCAGCTCTTTTTTAGGACGTGATTATTATCTCAGATGGAAAGAAAAATCAAACTTTTAGAGACAGTTTCAAAATATAAGCCTCGTGTAAAAAAAAATATATAAGATTATATATTTATTACATATACAATGTGTTCACTTATCTCTTTCCAATTCTCTCTGTGTTTAGATGAAGTTTTCATGCTCTTTTTAATGACTTTTGAAAATAGGTGTAATCTCATCCAGTAGGTTATAAAGCATAAGACTTTTTTTAGATTTACTGAATAATATTGTATTTTTCAAGTAATATTTTACCTGCTGAAAGACAGATGGAAAAAATTGACCACCTAGCTCTAATGAATAATTTTGATGTTTCTTTTTTTAAATCTTTCAACTTAGTGCACAACATCCTAATCAATCAATAAAGTATTCCTATATTTGTTTTAAACATTTAAAAATTTTTCAGTATTTGTGGACCTTTTGAATGCTCTCTTCAAGTTATAAATATGCTTTAAAAATTCCCAGTTACTCATCTTGTCAACCGTGTGACTCCTCCTGTCTGCCCTGTAAATGTTACACTTCTCATTGGGTTTATTGGATGGTTTCTGGAGGATTTTATCCAGTCGTGCCTCCCTGTTTACTTTAATGGCTGTGTAACTTGGACCTTTTTTTTGAATATCATGTGATGGCCGTTTCTCCTTGTATATACTGCTGATGATGATAATTCAAGTTAATATAAATCCATTCCTTCCCAAATTCAGTCCTTTTCCATTGAGTCTGTGTTTGTGATACACAATATACCCATTCCCCAGAGTGTATTAGCTCAAAGCCACTGTTCTTGATTAGAACATGTTACACCCCTCCTCATTCTGTTTAATCTCCACTTCTTGTCATTTTTTTCATGTCAATACCAATCGGGGCTCTTCTCTTCCCCTGTGGTACCATTGCCTTAACTTTTGCCTGAGCCATAGCAAATGCCTTCTGATAGATCTGTGGGCAGCCCTAGCCCAGAGTTATCTGCATAAAAAATAAGTCTGGACTCTCACTTCCCTAATACCTGTTGCTTCCCTCCTGCCTATAGAATAAAATCAGAATTCCTCTCAAGACCCCACCTCCCCTTCCTCTCCAGCCTCACCTCCCTTCAGTGACGCCATCTCGCATCTCTGGGCTCCTCTGACCTCCCTGCACACAGATGCATGTTCATGGCTCCACGCCTTTGCTCATGCTATTCCCCCTGCCAGATGTCCTGCCCCTCTCTTATTTTTTCCTGAGAAACCCAGGGCTTTAGTGGGCATGGTTCTCCTCTGCTGCTGCAGCACTGTGCTGACCCCTCTGTTATAACACTTACCACACAATACAGTTATTGTCTGTTTAATTGTCTGCATATCTTTCTTCTAGGACTTGTGAGCTCCTTGGGGATGGTGACCTTCTCTGTCTGTCCCCAGTAAAAAGTGTGGTGATTGGATTGTAGGGCATTATAGGGTCATTGAACAGTATTTGTAAATTTGACTTTTAACACAGTACTGAAAATATCTGAAGAACACAAGATGTATTTTTCCTAATTTCAAAAGATGATTATGAGTTGGTGAAGGTTGGTAAACTCCAGTTGAAGGAAGGAAAGATGAATAGATTACCTGTACTCCTCGATTACTTAAGAAGTCGACTTTTTTCATCTCTGTGACTTTCTCCCTCCTATTATTTAGATTTCTATTAACTCATCAGGAAGAACAGAGAGATAAAGATTAACCTAGGCAATTTTTAAATTCATTCATACATGTATATACTTTTGAAAATATATTATAATTTATTGTTAGAAAGTAGTTTTCATTTAAATCCTGTTCAAAACATTTTTTTCAGAGTACTGTATTCCCTCACATTTTTAAAGTAAAAATATACTTTATGTTTTCTGCATAATTGGAATGCAGTTTTGTTTTTTCATATTTTAATGGACTTTTTTTTCCCTTTTCCTTACCTAGGCTATTAGTCCTTATTTGCCAAGAGGTGATCCAGTTCTGAAACCACTCATCTATGAAATGATCTTACATGAATTTTTGGAGAGTGATTATGAGGTATGGTGTTCTGATGTGGTCATATTTACTTGTTCTCGATGGGAGGTGTTAGGAAATCTAGAAAGGAATACAATGGAGCAATGCCTGTAAAGGAAACAGATTTGTAGTTTGCATGTGGCAGGTGAAACTGAGCTAGAGAAACTCCAGTATAACTCATGTTTATGTAGACAGTGAAAACACTTAGTCCGTGTGCATTTTAAGGAATTCCTTAAAGTTACCTTCTTTCTAGAACTAAAGAAAAAGAGCTAAGTGCTATTTTGTAGATTTCATAAATACAATAGCAGCTGCTATTCCATCTTTGATATCATCCCAGAAGAAAGAGAATTATGAGTGTTCTGTGAAAATGATGGAGAAGAGTACAAACTTCCTTTACAAATGCTGAAGTATGTTATAATTTTCCTATTTTTAAAGTAATGTAATTTAAGCATTTAAAAAAATTTATTGTTTTTATGATTCTGTTACAGTTATTGCACATGATTGAACTCTTATTTTTTCATGAAACTTTTAAAAATCCTTTATCGTCAAAGTTACCCTGTTGATTTCATATCTGGAACACTTTTTATTGAGATGGAAAGAAGCATGACTTAACCTTAGAGATTGTAGATGTTTTCTCCTGAATGTTTTAGGATGTATGTCTGGTCAGTACTGTTAAGGAGGTTGTAAATAATTTGTTTTTATTTTCATAAGCTCTTATAAATAGTTCATGTTTTACCTTCCCTTATTCTCAGCTTAATTATTTAATTTTGAATTAAATTGTCACATTATCAGTCAAATAGCTGTGTTCCCTAACAACACTTTTGATCACATATTATGTGGAGAGACATTTTGTGTTGCTAAACAGAGCACTGAAGGTCAGATTACAAAAAACAAACTGTACTTCTCTGGAATATTGACTTGTCAATTTTTTTCTCCCTAAAAAGACATGAAGTAATATTGGAGGTAAAGATGCTTCATGACTTCTTTGTATGGGGTTTCTAGTCATATGCCTGTAGCTTTGCCTATTAATTTACGACCCAGCAGAGTTAAACAGTTAAGCTTTGTTTAATATTAACGACAAACATATAAGCATGTTAAAAATTGGATGATTTCTGTGGCATTTCATTTCATGAGTACTTTCTAGACTTTTACTTATTATGATAGGTACTGAGGTTTTCTATAACTTTGCTCATTCAATCATAACAGGTCCCTTGTTCCTGTGTCCTCTAATTAGTAATAATGGCCACAGATAGATTTTATAAATATTTCTTGGGTAGCACATTTATTCAAGGGTACACAAAGCCAGTTGAACAGAGAGAAGCCTAACATGAAATATGATAGATGTTTATTTCAGTTTATGGTGGGGTCATCATGCTTTTATCATACAAGATGACTGGTTATTTTGTCTTTATTTTGTGTTCGAAGTTGGCAGTACCATGAGGCTGTTGCATGATAGGGAAAAGAAAAAATGAGGCCAAACTTTCTTCTTTCCCTGAGCATTATTATTAATGGTCTAGGGGCTACTGTGAGCTGCTGGTATTGGGGTAGAAATCTTTACAGACTATTTTATCTTATATAGTCTTAAGAAAACAGGGCTGTCACGGTGGCTCACATCTGTAATCCCAGCACTTTGAGAGGCCAAGGTGGGAGGATTGCTTGAGCCCAGGAGTTCAAAACCAGCCTGGGTAACATAGTGAGACCTGTCTATAAAAAACTAAAAATTAGCTGAGTGCTGTGACATATGCCTGTACTCTCAGCTATTCAGGAGGCTGAGGTGGGAGGATCACTTGACCCTAGAGGCTGAGGCTGCAGTGAGCTGTGATCATGCTACTGCACTCCAGCTTAGGTGACGGAGTGGGACCCTTTCTCACAAAAAGAAAGAAAGAGGCTGTGTGTGGTGGCTCACCCCTGTAATCCCAGCACTTTGGGAGGCTGTGGGAGGCTGAGGCGGGCGGATCACAAGGTCAGGAGATGGAGACCATCCTGGCCAACATGGTTAAACCCCGTCTCTACTAAAAAAAAAAAAAATACAAAAATTAACCAGGCATGGTGGCATGCACCTGTAGTCCCAGCTATTTGGGAGGCTGAAGCGAGAGACTTGCTTGAGCCTAGGAGGCGGAGGTTGCAGTGAGCCAAGATAGCGCCACTGAACTCCAGCCTGGGCGACAGAGCGAAACACCACCTGAAAAAAAAAAAAAAAAAAAAAAAAAAAAAAGAGAGGAAGAGAGAGAGAGAAAAACAAAGAAAGAGGGAGAGAGAGAGAAAGAAAAGGAAGGGAGGGAGGGAAGAAAGGAAGGACAAGGAAGGAAAGACAAGGAAAGGGAAACAGAGAAGGAAGAAAAGAAAGAAACTTGATCTGAAATATTATTTTGGTTCTACAAACATTTTAATGTTCTGATTGAATCCATTCCCAAATTTCTGAAGTAAAATTTCAATCATATTAATATATAAGAAGTTTGTAATCTAAATGGAAAATATGTGGTCTTTTGTTCTGGTCTCTTGCCATCCTTCCAGGGGCTACTTTGGTAGAAATCGGGTGGAACTTTAATGAAAACTATATTACTGATTCTTTTGCACTTTTCTTACCAAATCCTGGTGCATTACAGAAGCAGCTTCTATCACATTGTTTTCATTTCTAAGTATTATTTAAACAAATTCACAGTAGTTCATTAAAGTATTAATGGAGTTATTTAATAGTAATAATGTACTATTTTTTATATAAACCAAAAAGTGACTGAGACAGATCTCAATCGACTTTAAGGTTTATTTTGCCAAGGTTAGGGACATACTTGGGGAAAAGAAACAGGGTCTGTGTCCTGTGCTTTTTCCAAAGAGATTGTTGAGGACTTCAAAATTTAAAGGGGAAAGAGCAAGCAGGAGGCAAAGGAGCAAATTTTAAAAATAAATAAATAAATAAGTAGGGGGAGAGTAAGCAATGAGGCACTTGGTCACATTCCAGTGATGCTCTGATTAGCTCAGGAAATCTACGTTTTACATGTAAAAAGAGAGAAGTGGGGAAAAAGTCAATTATGCATTCATCTCTTGCTCAGTAGATCTAGCTTTGACATGAGCTAAAGGAAGCATGTGAAATGACAGCTCTCTGTTTGGGAACAAAAGGAAGGCAATTTTTGCATGACTCAGTTCCCTTAACTTTCCCTTTGGCTTAGTGAATTGGAGGTCCTGAGAATTTATTTTCCTTTCACATTTAATAACGTGGATGTTTTTAATTCTCTTTACTGTCTTATGAACATGTTTTTGTTCTAAACATTGTCAAGGATCAGTAAGTAAACTGCTCTGTCATACTTTGAGTTATAAAACATGAAGTCTAAAGTCGGGAATCAGGGAGTAGAGACTGAGCAAGATACTGGCCCAGAATCAGCTGTGGGACGGAAACAGGATCAAATCGGGGAACCACAAAATTTGAGATCTAGAGATAGCCAGGATAAGAGCCAGGGGATAAGACTTGAGCCAAAGTCTCAAATTCCAACATAAAACTGGCATTAGAAGCCAAAGTGGAAGGAGGACCAAGATGGTGACTTGTTAAAGATATAGAATGCTGGACAGTTTCACTGTGGGAGCAGCCCTGTCCCAAGCAGACTGCCACGGTCAGTTGTGCTGGCTATACAGTGCACAACTGCATAACCAGTTGCACCCAGCAGCCCAGGCCTAAGTGCATTAGAGGACTCTTGGTGGTGGGGAAAGTAGCTGACTTGGGTAATATCTGTAAGCTGTTAAAGCTGTCATCCAAATGTTACAGTTAGTCCAGAATGGGGATGGGGCAAGTCCAACCTAAACTCTTGTCCATGCACTTTATAGAAGGAACAAGATAGCTTTCTTAGTTGTACATTTCGTAAAACTAAGGACAGAAGTAGATGGCACGACCTGCCTCCCAGGAATGCTAAATGGAGATTTATTGTACAATAATATTCCCTGCAACTCTTCACCACACCCAGACCCATAGTCTGAAAATTGATGAAATATTTATTGAACAAACTTTTAATCATATAATTGTTTGGTCTGTTATGTGACTAAAAGTGAATACTTTTAGGGATGGTTTAAATTGTTTGGTTTGTTTTGAGAATTTAGGAGAAACCAAACTCAGTTTCTCATGCTATACTCTCACAACACAACACTTCTGTGACCAAATATCTGGGTTTTTCCGCTACACACCAAGAAAGCAATTAGTTCTGCAGTGGACACCAGCTGGATGTCCTCTAATTCAGTTCATTCTGACACTGTCTACATGAAGATAGCATCAGTTCCTGCAGGCTGAGGGCTCAGGCCCACAAGACTGCCCCCACTTCAGACATACCAATCACAAGTTATAGGCTGTCACCTGTACTTCCGACTGGTCAACTATAAACTGGAATTCCCACTACCACCTCCTTAGATTTGACTCATTTGCTAGAGCAGCTCATAGAACTCAGGGGAACACTTTACTTACATTTACTGGTTTATTATAAAGAATATTGCAAAGGATACAGATGAACAGCCAAATGGATTAGATGCAGAGGGCAAGGTATGTGGGAAGAGGCATGGAGCTTCCAGGTCCTCTTTGGGTGCACCACCCTCCAGGAACCTCCAGGTGTTCAGCTCTTGGGGAGCCCTCCAAAGCCACTCCTTTTGGGTTTTAATGAAAGCTTCATTACTTAGACATGATTGATTTAAACACTGGGCCATTGGTGATCGGTGTAACCTTCAGCCCCTCTCCCCTCCTTGGAGGTTGTGGGGCAGGGGTGGGGGTAGGGCTGAAAAGTTCCAACCCTTTAATCCTGTCTCAGTCTATCCTGTGCCCAACCCCATCCTTAAGTTACCTAGGGGCTGCTAGCCACCAGTCAGCTCATTAGCATACAAGAAGACACATCATTTTAGAGATTCTAAGGATTTTGAGAGTTATATGCCAGGAAACAGAAGGAGGACCAAATGTATATTTCACAATATCACAACTATTATTCTGTTGAATGAGTGTTCTTTTTCTGTTTTTCACCTTTGGTTAGGGTTTTGCCACATTGATCCGAGAATGGCCTGGAGATCTGTATAATAATTCAGTCATAGTTCAAGCAGTTCGGGATCATTTGAAGAAAGATAGTCAGAACAAGACTTTACTTAAAACCCTGGCAGAATTGTGAGTATACTTAAGTGTTTCTTTTTCCATATCAGTCTGTGTTGAAAAGTTTTTCATACTTTAGATTTGGCAAACTCCAAGTGGAGAAGATGTATTTTATACCATTTTCCTACATTCCTTCTTAGTAAAAACCTCTCATAAACCTCAAATGAGTAGGCGATAAGGACATGTGTGAAACTGTACAATTGCAATGTAATCTGTTTCCCAGAGAAGAGAACCCCTAACGCACAGCGCTTGGGAGAGGCAGTGGTTAGGAAACAAAAGGGTGCCAAGTTTTAGATCACTCAAGCATAACAGTTTCCCAATGAGCAAGGCTCTGGATTCTGCTCTTCTAGGGTCTTCAAGTCAGTTAATTTAATCTCTCAAATGTCAATTCCTTATGGGAAAATTTTAAACTTTAAAAGAGATGTCATAATAGAGGACTCCCTGACCCTGAGTCAGGGCTCAGAAAATGGCAGCTTGGTTAATATTTTTCATATTTCTTGGGCACATTCAGTGATGCAGGCTTTGTGCGAGACGCTTATGATACAGAGATAGATAAGATATGCTCTCAAGTACTTCGATCTAGGGAAACAAGAAGTATACTGCAGGTCTAGCCAAGACGACCATCCCTGCATCCACCTCTCCTCAGTGCCCCCATCACCTCAGGCCACTCCTCTCCCTTGTTTTTTCTTCTTTTGCCCAAAACCAAAAAAGGTATACCAAAATGACCTAGAACTCTGGACGTGTTGGATTTTCCACAAGAGGAGGTTGTGTTTATGGCATTCTAAGTTGAAATGCTAATCATTTTCTCTTGGAAACGTTGTCCTGTTAGATACCCCTTAGAGTCTGCAGCACGTTCGTAATGGACCAACAGTACAGCTTCAGTTCAGTGAGCTCTCAAGAGCTGACTTAGGGACTTAATGTGAAAAACATTGTTTCAATGGAAAAACACATTTCAGTTAGACACAGCCCCCTTAAAATCAGCTTTTGGAATATTAGCCATTTGTCAGCTGAATACTGCTTGTAAGAATTGGAACGGATGTTTCTGTTACTAAAATGAGAACTTCATCCTGGATCCTAGTTTCTTTGCTGTATGGATGTTTGTAAAACTTTTGAGACTGAGACCCCCAATAAAGACCATTTTTATTACTTGAATATTGTGAATTTTCTTAAATTTTGGCAACATGAGAGGCAAAGTTCTGAGAAAGAAATACTTATTGGTCGTGTATAGTTAAATCCTATTCAAAAATAGGAATATTTTTTGAAATAAAGTTAACTTTTCTCTCTAAAGGAGTGTTTCCATTTTTAATATTGTGAACCATGATCTCTCTGTGTGTGTTTTAATTAGAACTGTTGATGAATATTAATGTAAAAAATTTGTATTACCAGGTACACCTATGACAAGAACTATGGCAATGCTCTGGAAATATACTTAACATTAAGACATAAAGACGTTTTTCAGTTGATCCACAAGCATAATCTTTTCAGTTCTATCAAGGATAAAATTGTTTTATTAATGGATTTTGATTCAGAGGTAATGTGCTTTTTATTTTAGTACTGTCAATTATTTTTACTATTCCAAATATTTAATACTTAGATATCTATCCAAATGCTGGATTGGTGAATGAATCACATAACTTGGCTTTATGCCGACAATCTTTAGAACACTCTGACCCTCGCTAGATGTTGTTATTCTAGTTGTTTGGCATTCAGGAATCCTTTTCATAATGTAGTTATTCTGTGAAAGCAATTCAAAGTTGATAGAGAACTTTTAAAGTTGTGTGTGTGCGCATATAAAGTAATTTCTTGCTAAAACAATTCATATAATTTATAGAAACAAACCACGTATATACTTTGACTCATTTATCCCTCCTAACCTGTTTTCCAGAATTTTAAAATTAAGTGAACTTCCATCTTGACCGACTTATTACTATTTTATTTCTTGGTGTTCACGTATCCAGCATGTGGGGTTTCCCCTGGTTTGAGGTGATGCTCATGTCCAGGACATGTGGAATGTTATTTTATTGTGTGACAAATTTGAATAACCTAATAATAAATTTACGCCCCCTAATGAGTGGACCCAGCCACAGCTCACATTGGTGCTTGCAAAGTGATGCAAGCTGTGTGTGTGTGTGTGTGTGTGTGTGTGTGTGTGTGTAAAAGAAATCTAATTACAAGTGCTCATGACAGAAATAATGAGGTTTATAAAACAGTGTTCTTATTCAAAAAATTGAAATTTTAGATAAACCTAAAAGTAGAACCCTAAAGGCTCCAAAAGGATTAATGCATTTTTCAATTATATTGTACTGTATTTAGAGATATTGTGTGCTATATTAATCTCCACCAACTTAAACTTAATTTAGATAGGAGCTAGAGCTACGTCTTTTTCTCAAAGATGCTTTAGCCCTTTTTAAAATACTGAGTCAAGTCTTTAGGGACTACAGATTTACGAAGAATTACGTAGCTCCAAGGAAGTTCAGGTAGAGAGGCTCTGCTTGTCTGGCAGAGGATGAGATGCTTATGTAAAAATTAATTACATTTTCCTCATATCTAGTCTCCCCTCATGCACCCCCTTCCATTGTTCTCCAGAGCTCGTTTTGCATATGTTCCTGTGGAAAAAAGATGAATGAGCTGAAACTAATTGCTATTCTAGAATGTGATCCAGATGTAAGGAATCAGAGTCTTCTGGTTAGAAGAGACCTTAGGGATAATCTACTCCAACACCCTCGTATTTCAGAGAACAAAAGTAACATTTGGAGCAGACAGCTAGGTCGTAGCAGAGTCTAGAACAGGGCCCCCAGGTGTTCCGTGTGAGGCTCAGTCTGGTGTGCTGCTTTCCCTCTTCCTCTTGACATAAACTGTCTAGTTTGTGTTTCCTGAATGATAAAAGTGGCTAAAGTAAATTCTGAAAGTCCAAAAGCTTTATGTCATTATGAAACTTCAGGTATCTCATTCTCTTTCTGACTCTTATTCCCTTCTCCTCATAAAACCAGCTCCTTCTGTCTGTGGAGTCTCATAGGGAGACTAGGTCGAGGTTGAAGTAGCTGGAAGAAAAGCTCATTTTCTTGATATACTGGTAAAGAGATGCTCTCCATAACTACTGAGAGTCTCATGAGAAGGTGTGAAGGTATCCGAGACATCGGAGGGCGGGGGGCTAGGATATGGGCAGTCAAGATGTTTTGTATTTGGGAAGTTATAGCAAAGCACCATTTTAGTAGTGTGCAAAACACATAGGCTTCAGATTGAGATGCATTTGAAAATGCAGTTCTTCACAAATGTCATTTTCCATAAGAGCCATTGTAAAGCCAAGGGCCTCCTTAAGTATACAAAATAAGCCTTCCACCTGTGAACTGTGGTAGGTACACTGCATTGTGTTTAGTCTTCTCTTCTTAAATAACGGATTTCATTGACTGTGGCTTTTCTTATATGTTTCAGAAAGCTGTTGACATGCTTTTGGACAATGAAGATAAAATTTCAGTGAGTGTCATTTGTTTTTATATGTGTTACCAGATGAACGTCTGGGACTCCTATAGCTGTGAAGAAGAGAGTTTATCAGATAATTTTGTAGCTGTCTTTCTGTCCTCATGACTCCACCTTGAAACTTTTCTTTTTTATCTAGATTAAAAAGGTAGTGGAAGAATTGGAAGACAGACCAGAGCTACAGCATGTGGTGAGCATGGCAGTCTCCTCCTTTTGCCCTTTTGATTGACCAGTGGGTGAATCACCTTTCAGTATTGGTGCGAGGAGGATACTGGAGTGAATTCTTCAAGGAGGTTAATATTCCAGTTGGAGGTTTCACCACAAACAATGTTCTGTAATTACCAAAATGCAGCATATGCTGTGAATTCAAGGTCAGGGATTAATTGTAGATCAGGCAGTTGAATTTTGACCCACAATTGAATTGTGATGGAAAAAAGTTACCAATCTATCTATTATATTACTATAATATAAATATATGTAACATAACTATATATTTAACTATAATGAATGTTTTTGTGTTATGTTGTGTCTAGGAATAAGCACTCTCCCTCTGTAGTTGCCATTAAATATAACCATGGCATATATCACAGTAAAGGCCAGTATGGCACCGCAGATACTGTACCAAGTTCTCCTGCTAAGGAAATGTCAGACAACCATTCCATATCCAGACCACAGAGCGATAAAAGGGCAGAGTCTCATTTCTTTTGTCCCTCACCATGACAATAGCTAATTCCATATTTCTTGTGTGCTATTGGTGGTTGTGTAATTAAGGCCTGTTATTCTAGATTTCTTTGGGGGGCTACTTCAATTCTCTGCATTGCATCATCATGAGAGTAAAGCAGGAATAGTTGTTTTCTATGTCCTTTAAAAGTTATACAAGAGAAAACTTAGCACACTTAGGGATTATATCAGTAGGACTATGGGTATCAGATACAATAAGTGCACTTGTATCTTTGCCCATCTCATTGCACCCTAGGAGGAGGCTTAGGGAATAGAGCATTTTTTTCAAAAGTCAGTTTTCTGCTTTGAAGCTTTTGAAGACTGCAGGAAGGGAATGAGAGGCACCTTTTTTTCTCTTTTGCTCAGATGCTACTGCTGCATTGTTCATGATTGGAAATCTCAAGATTATCTGCTTCCCAAGCAAGGCTCCACATTGCTAACCACCTTAGGAATTCATTTATAAAGCAGTGATTTCTGACTTACTTAAGCCAGGAGACAGGATTATGGGCAGTAGCTCTCTGTGCGACAATGTAATCAGTGCAATGGTGAAGTGGTGGCACAGCCCACACTAACATGGCTCATCTTCCCTGCCAGGCAATGTCTTGTTTCTATATATATAAATTTGACTCAGCATTCATGTGACAGGGCCTCCCTGTCCTTTTTGCACTCTGGGAAACAGCACCACATATCCCCGCTAACACACTGACCCCAGTGCCAGTGGACTGGCGGTGGTGTTCATCAGACCTCTGCCTGGCACATGAGTTCAGTCTACTGCTTGTACTGCTCCGTTTTGCCTTAGGAAGAAGTGAACAGGAAGCCTGAAGATTGGTTTCTTAAGGTGCATGTGTCCATGGTTAGGCGTCATTGTGACTAGATTCAACAGCAATAACAAACATCAGCGCATTTACAGTCTCAGCTGCAGGGCGGCTGGTGCTCTATGTCTGTTATAAACCAATCCACTTGGAAACAGCAACCCAAGGTGTTAATGCTCGTGGGATTGGTGATTAAGTCTTCCTGTCTTCAGTAGATTGTGGGGTTTTTGTTTACATTTAATATTAACTAAACATTGAATTGTTTTTTGACTTCTGAGTACTGTATTGATAGACTTAATCTTGCCTGTGAGGAGAAAGTGAATTACTGATTTCCTGTGAAGTTAACTTTTTTTCAGACAGCTAAGGTAAGGAATCAGTTTTGAAAACTGTTTCAGAACACCTGCATTCTTCTTGATTTTTACTTTGTATTTTTGTTTTTGATGTTACCAGTTTAGGCAGCATTTCATTTGAAGAGTCAACAAAGAGGAGATGCAGAATGTATGGAAATGAGTTTAGTGCCCGCTACTTGAGTTTTTAAGAATATGTGCTTGTCCCAGGACTCTACCCTCTTTTGTGTAAAATAATTTTTATGATCTGGGAAGACCACTCATCTTTTTATTTCTGAGCCAAAGCAGATACCAATGATGATATTGACAACTACTGTCATTAACATTTCTGTAGTTCTTAGTGTATGCTAAGTTCATTGGTTCTGAGTGATTTCGTAATGGCAACTCGTTTAATTGTCACAGTAACTCAATAAAATTTTTGTAGATAAACTGAGTCTCAGAGAGATTAGTGACTTGCCTAAGGTCACAGTTGGTACGTGGCAGAGTCAGGTTTTGGGGCCCTTCTAGAGAAATTATCGGAATCCTTTGCTCTCCCAAAGGGTTTTCCTTTCCACTTCTCCATCACCTAGAGGTTTTCCCTGAAGACTGCTTCTCCCCCAACCTGTCCATGGGAGGTGTTTAGAGCTAAAAATAGCAATGTTAGCCAGGTATTGCTTTTCTCATTTTAATGGGTCACGGCTTATCTTTTGTTCCTTTTAGTATTTGCATAAGCTTTTCAAGAGAGACCACCATAAGGGGCAGCGTTACCATGAAAAACAGATCAGTCTTTATGCTGAATATGATCGACCAAACTTACTTCCCTTTCTCCGAGACAGTACCCATTGCCCACTTGAAAAGGTAAGGCACAGACTCCCCGACTTGTACACTTTGGATGAAGAGGTTGTCATTGATGGTAAGTTGTTTGTCTTTCTTCTCTTTCTATCTCTGTTCATCTGTCCCTTTCCAGGGGGAAGACTGTTGCTCTCAAAGAAGTAGGTTTTTGGCTGGGACATTCTGTCAAGAAAAGGAGATCTCATTGGATTAGACTTTGGTGAAGAGCTGAAGCATTTCTGTGACAGGTTTAATTGGAAGAACAGCTTAATCCAGGGTCTAGGACTTAATCAACCATCAGGCAAAAATGATATATTAGAAGTCTCAGTCCATCTCCCAGGATCAGAGTGACACCTCAGAGTCAAGAGCCTGGGAGGGAGACACAGACTGTCCTAAGCCAGAAGCAGTTGCTCCAGTCAGGAATCAGGTTTGATAAACTGAGGTCATAGCTTAGGTCCTGCATCCTATCTTCTTTAAGTGTCTACCCTATGTTTTTCTTTGTTTCTCCTACATCCTACATTCCACTATAATTATCTGCTTACTAGTCTCTGTCTCCTGGAAATTCTTCAAAGACAAGGAATTTGTCTTACTCATTTTGGTAAATCTAGTACCCACCACACATTAGACATTTACTAAATGTGTGTTGCATCATGAGTGAGAGAATGAATGAATAAATTATATACATGCAAGATCCTAGTTCGGGCTAAATAAGGACTAGTAAGTTTTATGAGACTGCTGTTTCAAAATAAACTGAAGTACTTAACTATATATGTGCTAACAACTGGGCAGCCTAAAAGCCAACAGTATTATGTCCTACAGTTCTCAATACCATCTACCACTAACATCTACAAATGTCTGACTAAATTTGGATGGCCAGATACTTTTGAAAGTCAGCTGTGTGGACCAACAAAATAAAAAACATATTTGACCCATTAGAGATATGTGCAAAGAAGCTGGATGATAACACAGTTTATGTACACTTACAACTTCCGTGTATGCTTCCTTAGCCCATGATTATTAAATGCATTGGAGTACTGTGAACCAATTTAGCTCAATGGATTTTTAAAGTCCACAATTATTGAAAAAAATCTTGCCTGCCTGTTAACTTATAAAACGACATTAGCATTTTATATTTGGGGCCCTAAGACATTTTCTGAGGACTTAATTTGGAAATTCATTATCTTACTCTAAAAGTAAAAACAGATACTACCCTCTTCTCTCAACATAGGACTTTATAACCTGGCAATAGAGTGAGAATCTTATTCTTTGAACAGTGCTCCTTCATTTGTTTCTCACTTTTCAAGAGAACATTGTATATTTCAGAGAGGATGTGGCAGTCTCCTGAAGTCTCCCATTGACCTCTGAGACAGAGAGGTCACATGTGGGTGATTAACAGCCCTTCCCATTCCCTAAGCACAAGATGCAGAGGCGCCACCCAGGTTCCAGTATCTCTATATCTCTCACACACTTTATGCCCACCTGGTTTAAAGTTTTCGGGTCTAGTAGTACTCAGTGGAAGACACCCTGCTTCACCCAGTAGGGAGCAGCAGAATGTTGCAGACCTGCATGTGATGCTTCCTACACATATGGCTTGCTTAGAGCATTTGTGTAGACCTTGTAGAATTTTTCTCTCTGGTCCACTGGAAACAACATATTGAATGTAAAAGAACTCAGCACAAGCATAGTAAAACCAATTATGTTTTAGACACAGTTATTTTTAAAAATTTATCTCGTGTCCCACTGAAAGAGAATTTTGAGCATGGATTAGAGGTGGTAATGGTGAAACAGACCATTATAAGATAATCAAGTAGTAATCCATATTTTTAGGACTCCCTAAATGGGTTTTCATGTTTCAGGTTACTGAGACTTCTTCATAAGAGATTATCTGTTTGTCAGGACCTATTGTGGGAAATCTGTATATTTGTAGAAAACATAGCACTCTACCCTATCAGGTACCCAAAGCTGTCTTAAAGGAGAGGTTCATGACAGTATTACTAACTCAAGATTCTCACTCCGTTTTCCTTAAAGTAAGTTCTGGTTGGGTGTGGTAGCCCACACCTCTAATCCCAGCACTTTGGGAAGCTGAGGGTGGGAAAATAGTTTTGGGCCAGGAGTTTGAGACCAGCCTGGTGAACATAGCAAGACTCTGTCTCTACAAAAATAAAAACATTAGTCCAGTGTAGTGGTACATGCCAGTCAGTATTCATAGCTACTCAGGAAGCTGAGGGAGGAGGAAGTCTTGAGCCCAAGAGTTTGAGGTTACAGTAAGCTATGATTGCACCAGTGCACTCCGGCCTAGGCGAGAAAGCAAAACTCTCTTTAAATAAATAAAAAAGAATAATAAGAAAGAATTCTGTATATACTCAGTCATCTTAGAAACAAATCCCTTTTATGTTTACATGTGACATGAAAAGCTATCGTATGTACCAATTTGCGAATGACAAAGTGGATTTCTCCAATTAAACGCATCCCAAGCTTGCTAGTAAAGGGCACGGAATACCTGTCTGCCTGTTTTGTATAAAGAGCGACTCATAGAAAATGTGATCTCTTTTTCTCCTGAATATGAAATTGAGAACTTTGAAATTATAAAGCCTCCCTTTCCCCAAAGAAATTTCTGTCTGCTTCCTTAGAATTTAGAGATTGTTGAGTCCTATTGGTACAAGAGGATTTTTTGTTCTTTGTTTCTACTTTAAATGAGAAGTGTTTAAGCTTTCAAAGGCATATTCAGAACCCATTGATCCACTGTTGTTTATAATTTACCTCTGGCAGAACACTATATCTTTCTAATTTTGGTTGTCTTCCTTTACTGGGAAGACACTATATCTTTCTAATTTTGGTTGTCTTTCCTTTGGTTGTCTTCCTTTGCCAACAATTGGCTAATTGTTGAGAGGAGGTGATTTCAGATTGGCAACTGATTGAAATCTTCAAGAATCTAGGTTAACCTTATTTTGAATTGATTGAAATCCCACAATCAATAGTATTTGGCCCAAAACTTTGGAAAGATCCTGACGTCACATCAAAAGCCCTAGTTATAGTTATCAAAGGCCAGAGTTCAGGATTTAAAATCACCACGACTCTGAAATTCAAAAATTAATCATAAACTTTTATGAAATTGTTTGTTCTAAAGGAAATACAGAGTTTGTGGGAATTTATAATATCTACAGCAATTTTTAAAGATAATAAAAATTATTTGTATTTCTTTTGTGCTTTATAATGTATGTTGTGCCTTCATGTATATTGTTTTATTTAATCTCTACAAAAGTGCAGTTAGGTGGATAGAGTCGTTTTATACATGACAAGCCAAGTCTTAGGGAGCTGGAAAAAAGCCTAAAGTCTAGAGCTAATAAGTTGAGGGACCAAGACTTAGAACCTGGATGACTTAATTTTAGGCTCTGTATTTTTTCCACTATGTTGGGGAATCATTTTCAGGTTTAAAAAGTTAATGGAAATAAGATATTTCCTAGTATTGCAAGAATCATGAAAGATTATTTTTTTTAACTGTTAAACTGTCCTGTAATTTACAGATGTGGTCATCAGGCACTGGTTTTCATTTTGCAAATCTGATTTGCTTGTGCCTAGAGTGGTTAAGAGCAGATCATCAGTTTTATAGTTCAGCAGATTTATACCGGAATTTGTGATCGCTCTCATATCTAATAGTATTCACAAGGTGGCAGTATTTCTGAATTCGGAAGAATAAAGCTGAGAGATGCCAAGTTTGCAGATTTTCATTAAAGAAATTTAAAGAGAAGATTGGATAAAAGATGACGAGATCAAGGATAGGTAGAAATAATTATTTAATTTACATTTGATAAGGTTCTTATTAGTTACCCTCAGTTTTCTAACTTCATTCTTTACCTTCATACTAAATCAGAAAGAGGAGAATTAAAATATTATTTTTGCATCATTTTTTACTCAAGTTCTATTATTATTCTGATTTTTCACTTCTATTTTCACTGCATTGTCCGCGTGTGTGTGCGCGCACGCGCGCGCATGTGTTGTGTGTGTCTACTTTAAAAATCTTAGTTTCCCTACTGTTTCCTCTAGAGGGAGCACCATGGTCCAGGAACATTCAAGAATCTAAATGCTTTCTTTTTATACTTTACTCAAAATTTCTAGAGATTTCTAAAGTCCATTTTCTCATTTGTGAGAAGAGGATAATTTAAGATACTGTTAGAAACTCATCATGAAACATCTAAAATTATGTGAAATTGAAATTTCAGAGACTCAAATTATCTTTGAACTTGGTGATACTCATCTGCTTACATTCCGTGTCATTCCTAACTTCAGCTTACCTTCAGACATTTCTTCCCACATGACTTCCTTTTTGAAAGTATATACAGGATCTTATAGCCTTGCTATTCTATGGCATATTCTACAGCAATGGAAATGTTTTATAATCTACTCTGTCCCACATAGTAGCCACCAACCACATGTCACAATTGAGTATTTGAAATCTGGCTATTGCTACCAAGGAACTGAATTTCAATTTAATTTAATTTTAATCAATTTAAACTTAAATAGACACATAGAGCAAGTGGCTGCTGTCTTGGATAACTCAGGTGAGGCTTCAAACTGCAAACTCTTTTGTGGTTTGAGACTAGCATGTTCTTAAGCATTCTCATGTGCAGAAGAAAATGGGTAATGGTTCTGTCTGAAATCTTGAATGGTATTTTAAAGTGTGTAAGTGAATTTCCAAGTACAGAATTGATTCATGGATACCTTTTAATAATAAATTATTTTAAGCAGCATAAATGCTTATCATTAGTCAGACTATCTTTCTCTAAACATTCTCCTTATTCAGTTGTATTACAGTGTTCTATTTATCTGTGAATGGCAGTCCCACTCAACTATAAACTATCTGTATCTTAACACCCAGAACAAATCTAGGCACTCAGTTGGCTTCTCAGTGGTTTTTTGTTTGAATCCCGTGTCCTCTGATGTATTTGCACTATTTTGCTTTATTATTTAACTTCTTACTTATGTTTTTTGTCTCTGCAGTAGTATCACTGCAGGAGAGTGAAGAGTTGGTAAGAAAGTTTCATCATTTACAATGGTGATTGACAGGCAAGACCATATAGGAATAGGTAAACCATATTTTTAATCAAAATAAAGGAAGATTTTCTCGGTATTAGCTAGGATTAGATTCAACTGTGAGTGATAAAAATCCCAAAATAATTGTGGCTTAACAGAGCAACAGTTTCTTTTTCTGTCACGTGGAAGTGTTGGTGGAGTGGCCCTGCTGAGAGCACCATGCCGCGGGGTCAGAGACCGGGGCTCCTTCCTCTTGTTCGTCCACCTTGGGTGACCTTGACCTCATGACGTAAGGTAGTGCCATCCAATAGTGGAGAGTCAGGGTAAGGGAAGCATTTCAGGCAAGGGGACGCAATGGAGAGGTGAGCAGAGGCAGGTGAAGCTGCACAGAAATTAAGGGCTAGGTTGTGGATGCCTTGTAAGTCGTGGTAGAGATTCTCAGCTTTAAGTCTGAGTGGAGCGATGCAATAGAAAGTTTTGTAGGCAGGGTATGAGATAAGGTTTCCCAGGTGCACTCATTCATCATACTGCACCCGGTTCAGATGCCACTTCCCCTTGAAGCTTCTCACAAGAGGACCACACAGTTTCAGTGTCCCTCCTCTGTACACATGGCCCTTTGTTCATGTTACTCTAATCGTGGAATAATGCGTTGTCACATCTCTGTCACTTCCTGGACCCTGAGCTCCCGGGGGTGGACTCATGCTGCTAATGCTCCTACTAAGCCTCCTCCATTATTCTCTTCTTTGTTTTCCTCTTACCTATAATCATCACTAACATTTTTATTATTGTCATCTTTGCATCTCTATCTAACCTGACCCTCTAGCACCCAGCACAGAGAATATAGTAAATGTATCCTGATTAATTTAGAATTAGTAAGTAATTTATCAATATATAGTAGGTCTTTTTTTTTTTTTTAAGACTAATGGAAATGCTCTCATCTGCATAGTTGCTCCTTTTTGGATCCTTCTTGATCATCAAAAGTGTTTTTTCCTTCTCACCTTTGACAGATCCTTGAGCAGAGTTCTCTTTCAGCCCCTGTGATCTGGCAGTACAAATATTCCTAGTAAATTCAATCATTCATTCGTTCATTCATGCAGCATGAATTCATATTTCCTGAGCTTATGGTATGCACAATACTAGGAAAAGTTCAACCATGAGCAACATTCCTTACATCTTAATGGAGGGAAACAGAGCTTAAACAAATGACTACAGATTTGGAAGGAAGCAGTGCTGTAAGGAAACCTGAAGTAGTGTAAAGAGAGAAAGCTTAGTGGGAAAGGCCCTTTCTTTTCATTTGGTGTCTTGTTTTCTACTCTTGCTCATGAAATGTTCTGAGTAGCTTCAAATATGTTTTAAATTGAATTGTGTAGAGTCCAGTACCTCTGAGAGGTAACTGAGTGCAGCTATTCTAGGGAGATGTGTTCTTTATTTGTTTGCTTTGTTTTATTTTTAAAGAAGCTGTGGAAAAATTCTTTCAAGTGTAAGTTTAAATGACTTTATTACTGTTTGTTCTTATTTGGTCGCCTATAGTAACATTTTTACCCTGCTTTAATTGAAGGCTCTTGAGATCTGTCAACAGAGAAACTTTGTAGAAGAGACAGTTTATCTTCTGAGTAAGTAGCTTTTATTCATTTTGGTCCCCATAAACTAAGAAATGGGATGACAACATGAAGTAAATTGTGTAAGAAAGGACATAGGTTTTAGACCAACGTAACACAGAATATGAGCCTATTTTTACAATAATTTAATATATGAAACAGACTTCACAGCACAGTAAAGAAGGAAGAGTTGTTTCATAAATGTTGAAATAACATATTGGCAATGTATAATCAACATATCAAAATTTATCAGTTTATACCTCACAACATAGATTAAGTTGTAGATGAGTTGACAAGTTTTTTCATTTTCTAAAAAATTATAATCAGCTTATATTACCATCATATTGGTAGAAAATAAATAATCACTTTTAGAAATCACACCCTAAATAACTAGAGGAAATGCAATTGAATACCATAGTTTTGGAGAAGGAGGAGAGCTTTTTAATATAATCTAGGTGTCAGTGTTCCTGGTCTTCTGGCTCCTACCTCCACATGAGTCACAATTTTTGTACCATGCATACCAAGAAACAAAACTTGTCATCTTTTCACATTCTTCCAAAATGAGCCACGTGCATGACAACAATGTGGGTTGTACTGAGGATTGCATAATGTAGCATATAACATAACATTCATATTTGGTGTTTCTCCATTGTCACTTCCCTGCTGACCTCAGTAGGGTTTTTCCGCTTTACGCCTTTCCCTTATACAGCACTCACTCTCATTGGCCTCTTTGCCTCTGTTGAAAAATAATCCAAATCCTCTATTCCCTTTTATGTGTATGCAGATTCATGGGTGCTCAGCCACAAACCCAGAACTGTCCAGTTATAGCACCTGCCCTTCTTAGGAGAAGTGCTTTTGGGGCTGCATTTTGTTACTTCAGCATGTTCCTGGGGTTCTAATCACAATTTTAGGTAGCTCATCAATTCACTAATTCCAAACAGTGTTCTCCCCAAGAAATATTTTGGTGGAATAAATTTTTGTCATATTGTCTTAGAAGCAGTAGAGGACTTATTAGGGACATATAGTCTGATTTTATAAAAACTTGATAATCCTGTAAACATTTTTAAATAACTAACCATTTTTAGAGACATAAACTGTGGAAATAATATTTGTAAGAAACACAAAATGCTGTGGAAGGGGTATCAAATGGGATATCATTTCATTCACAAGCCAGCTTTTATCAGTTGATAATGGCCGTGTGCAGGGGGAAGGATTCAAGATCCTTTACTAGTTCCTGCAAGCCCAGAGACAGGGGTAAGGGTGACAACCTACAACCAGGCAGTTGTTGTCCCTCCACTGAGTAAGGCTTTCTTACATGCACTATATTAAAAACTCATGGAAAACTTTAAACTATTAAAATGCCATAGGTCAGTGAGCAAAGTATGTAAAGACAATTAGCCAATAGAAGGCATGGTTGATAAATACTTTCATCTCATGAGGGTTATTGAAAGGCCTTCCCCTGAACGTGGGAGAGAAGAAAATGAGGAAGCCCTCTGATAGTTGAGTTTGCAGTTGGCACAAAGTGTATCAGAAAAGCAGTATGCACAGCTACCTCATGAGGCAGAATGACTTTAGGGCCTTTAAACATTTTAAGTGTATCTGCATGTGAAGGTATTGACCTCCAGAATATATATAAGTCTATCAAAAGTAAGTCAGAGTATGACAGACCTGGCTTCAAATTCACAGTGTACTATTTAGTAGCTGTATGATCTTAGCAAGCTACTAACATTTCTATTTCCTCTTCTATAAAAGAGGAATATTAGTAGAACATGCCTCATAGGGTTGTAGTGATGGTTATATGATGTCATTTATATGAGGCACTTAAATGAGTACTCAGTACAGAGTAAATATCCAGTAAATAGGAGATACTTATTTTGCTATGTTATAGACAGTAAATGTTGGTGTCACATGAGAAAATAGCCTTGTCTTAGCTTTCCACCTATGTAAACAAATTAAGAGATATGCAATTTCTTTAAAAAAATTATTAAAATACCTTAAATGAACTCTTTCTCCCATCTTCACCCCACCAAGGCCGAATGGGTAATAGCCGAAGTGCCCTGAAGATGATTATGGAGGAATTACATGATGTTGATAAAGCAATCGAATTTGCCAAGGAGCAAGATGATGGAGAGCTGTGGGAAGATTTGATTTTATATTCCATTGACAAACCACGTAAGCATAAAAGCCATCTCTGGTTATAACTTTTTTTTCTCTCAGTGTAACCAGTTATGTCTAGATTAAAAACTATTTCAAGATACATTGGGTTAAGAAAATGGTAGCGTACCTACAATAAAAATAGGCCAGGTGTGTTGTAATGATTTCCAATACTCCTCCTGTGCTGGAAAACCTGGAGCCTCATCACTTTGCATTACCTGCATGTGATGAAGAACAGGTGGCTACACAGTTTATTAATTGTGTCCCCATGAGGCATATTTTTACCTGCTGCAAGCAAATTGAATAAATGTCATCTGGGTTGTGTTGGTGTGGTTTTTTTTTGTTTTTAGCTTGTATATGGGAGTGTTTATAGTTTAAGTGTATAGACCTTACCAGTCTTTTTTGGAAACATGTAACTGTTCTGGACATTGATGATATTTGGATGTTTGTGTTGTAGTATTTAGCCTCTTTCCTGCACTATTTTTATCAGTACAACACCCAGAGTTTGTATTTGTTGGTCCTCAGCTTGACTGTTTGCATTGGGTCTCCCATTTTGGAAAGGAAAAAACAAAAGCAGTCACCTAACAGAAACCCAACTCTTTTGAAAATAACTAGCAGTAGTGATTTGAAATTTCCTCTTTCCTTTTTTTTTTTTTTAAGTTTGGTAGGAAGTCTTTGTGTTCATGTAACTACCTTAATCTGAAATTGACTTTAATAACTATCCTCTTGACAATATAAAGAATCTCACTTGTAACTAGCAAGATAAAGTAGTAGTTTAAGGATCTCAAGAGGCAAAGTGATGTGGCAGAACATATCATAAACTTGAGGCTGGCCTGAGTGAATTTGGGCACATTACTTATTAGCCGTGTGACCCTGGAAAAATTAAACACCCCATTTCCCTTGTCTGTAAAATGGGGACACAGCATTCCTACCTTGCACAGTATTTGAGGAAAGTGTATATGATACCTGAGCCATAGTCAGTTGTCAATAAATATTATTTACACCCATTTGATGCTAAAAACTGTATTTTGAAGGCAAGTAATCATTTGTTCAACTGTTTTAAAACAGTTCTTATTTACTTTCTCCTTCATGTCTTAAGGAGCGTTAGTTCTTGGAAGTTTAGAAGATTAATTCTTAAGAGTTTAGAAATTCAAATGGTTTTAACACTTACTTTGAAGGAAATAATTTTTTCTTTGAGTTACTTTTGATCTAAAATTGCATTATATGCAAATTATGTGCAAATAAAATTGCATTATAATGTTGCTTATATGTTCATTGTTTTATGTGGTATTTTGTAGCATTTATTACTGGCTTGTTAAACAACATTGGCACACATGTTGACCCAATTCTACTGATTCACCGTATTAAGGAAGGAATGGAGATCCCCAATTTGAGAGATTCCTTGGTTAAAATTCTGCAAGACTACAATTTGCAAGTAAGTATCCTTTCTTGGACAAATGAGCATCTGAATTAGTTGACTTAGTACTGGATAAATATTTCTAGGGTTTATGTTAGGTATCAGTTAAAAACTTTCGATTTTATGGTTACATTTTATTTAGGCCCAGATATTTAGAAAACTGTTCAAATAGAGTAATTAGAAACATCACCTTTAAAATTGCGTTGTCCAGTAATACCTTAAAGGCCTTAAGAAGGCTATTTGATTCTTTAGCCATCTCCAATTTTCACTTGTTTTTGAGCAGACATTCTTACATTTGTATGGTTAATATAACATGGAATCGAGGCGAGTATGAAAGCAGTTATAGTGGCCATTAGATCGGGCCACCCCAACATTTTTAGGGAGAATAAGTATTGTATCCGTTTGAGGGAATTAACAAAAATGTTTTTCAGTAAGGTAATAATTTTTCTTGAAGCCATTCAGTAGTCTGTTGCCTGAAAGCTGTTAAAATATAGGATTTTATTTAACCTTTTGTCTGTTTTCTAGAATAGTGCAACTTTATTATCCTTGTTAAATCAGAATTTGTCATAAGAACAGTGGAACTCATTATTTTCATATAAATTATTATACTAATTACAAAGCATCTTAATCTTTTCCTTAAAAAGACTCTAGCAATTACTATTTTTCAGGATGCTGGTAACTTCTATAGAACTTGAATTAAAACATTTCCTTAAAAATTCGGACTGTTGTTCTTCCTCTAATTTACTTGAAAATGAGGTTTTATTAATAATGGATGAAATTACTTTCCTAGAAACAATTTTTGCAGGTAAAGCCAAAAGAAAAGGCTATTAGCTGAGGAGCATTATGATGTGAGATCCATTGGGCCAGGATTCACCATGCAGGTTGCAAAGTAGAGGTCTGCCTGCACTCAGGGTGACAGCCTTAGGTAAGAGGCAGGGTGGAAAGGAGAAGATATTGCAGGAACATTGGTGGCATCAAAAACAGATGTAAGAGATGAAAGGGATGGCAGAGCTGCAGGGACAAGAGGTTGTGCCAGAGAGTGTGATGTCATTAATGTTTCTGAAGCGGAGTCATGGTGTATACGTGTTCAAAAAGTGGGATGATGGTAAAGGTCATTTGTGTAGAATTAGTAGAGAAACTGAGGCCACAGCCTTTCTGAGTCATCCTAATGGACATGAAGGCCAGGAGGAAGAAACAAGGTGCTCTAAGCCAGGCTCCAGCTTCTCCACAGGGGACAGTAGTATTAACTGGACAACACGACTTTAAAAGTGAAGAAGTCTAAAGATGGGGGTGGGGGTGTGAGAGATCATGCAGCCTTCACTCCGGAGAGCTTTGTGGGAAATTGGGTTCATGGGAGAGAAATTGGTATTCGTTAAGCCAAAGAAGTAGATTACCTGTTCCGCAAAAAGCTTAACGATATATAGGCATATATTTCCAGTGGGATTTGGAGGTTTGCAGATGACCCAGGAGAAAGGTTATTGGAAGGAGAATGAGAAAGTCAAGAAGGAAATAAAAATATGGGAATGGGTTAATAGGCAAAGAGAGGTGAGGTGAGGAGCTGGCTTTTCATGCCACGCCCTAGGAATCCAGAAAGGTGACGTCCCTGCCTGGGGAAGTCACTAATTTTGAAGGTCAGATTGGGCTTTGGTGAAAGTGTTTTCAGTATCAGAACTTATAAGCCTCTGAGTGTGAGTGAGCTTGATAATGACCTTTACTTCATTGACCCTTACCAACCCCAGGCATGCCAGGATATGCTCTAGGTTTCAAATCCACATTTGATGAGAAGTCATTTAGGTGTCTCTGAACAACCCTCCCCCAAGGGAAGTAGTAAATAATTATCCCTCTGCCTTTCAGCTGTAGTGCAAGAAGCTTGCACTAGGTTAAAAGTTGTGCCTTTCTTTTTCGCCAGCCTCCGCAATGACTGCAAGACCACATAGTGCATCCCTATGACTAGGTCATTCTTCCAGAGAACCAAGCTCATGGGCACCACTGTGATCTCAGTGTTCATTCATTTTTAATAAATAAATTTGCATCATTCTGAGTCAGCTGGTAATAAAAATGAAATTATTATTAGATGCAAAATGAATGCCTAACATAAAAATATCTACTAAAGAAGCTACTAAATATTTTTTCTTAATTAGAGCTTTTCCTTAAGATATGTAAGTATGTAGTTCGGTAATGTGTTAAGGAGGTTCAGAATTATTTAGCTAGTGGGTCCAAAAAGCTGTGGTTGCCTGTGAATCCCCCAACCAAGGGGTGGCTTCTCAGAGGGTGAGGGAGAGATGAACAGGGAAGGCAGCAGAGCCTGTGGAAGCTGCTGCATCTGGAGTCCCCACTGGAGCTCAGGCATCTTGTTGGAGAATGCAGTCAGAAAATGCTCTCCGGGGGCAGGTGGTTCAAAGAATTCCAGGCATTATTTTTCCCTCACAGATAAAGAGTTTAAAATATTTTTCTGCTCTTTTTACATAATGTATTAATGACCGCTTAATGTGTTTCCTTTCTCTAGGCAACCTATTAGGGTTCACTGTAAAAATAAATCTATCCAGAGAGCATTTTGCAATTTCCAGAAGGATTTCACTTGCATGTTTTTATTTTATTCTTTTTTTATTTTGTATTTTATAAAACTATGTTGTTTTTCACATACTCTCACCTAGCAAAGTAAAAAATTAGCAACCCTATTCAATCTGAAAATTTGGGAGAAATTTTGCATGTTCATCAATTTCCAGGAATCTGGAAGTGACTGTGTGTGTGATGGGGCTGGGTGGGACAGTAACCCCAGGGGCTATCAAGAACCATTCAGTAATGTAGGGATCTATGGTCAGATGTTGGGGAAATGTTCTCACAGGGCTTCTCAGCACCTTTTCTTGCTGGTATGCATTGGGAATCTCTAAAGGGAGATTGACAATAGAGTATACAGCATTTAAAACTTGGGCACTGCTTTGGGAGATCATTCATTAGCCAGTTGTTAATTGGAAAAGCGGGTTAGAGAATGTTGTGGGAAAAACTTGAAATGAGTAACTCTTCTGCTTTTAGTTTCACGTTTTCTAAAATGTAACAGCTCTCTTCAACCGAAGGTTAGCATCATTAGGTTTGTTAGATGCCTATGACATGACATAGTTTAAGGAAGTAGTATAATCAACTACATCAGCAGTGTTTAATTTCTTTAACTTTCTATGTTTTTATACCCGGCTACCTTGTTAGTGTAATCACTGCACAAATTTTAAAAGCTTCATGAAGTCAGTAAGATGCAAGTGGCATGTATTGCACTTCATAAGCTTTAAATGTTCCTAGGCCTGATTTCAAGGACAAATAGCACTTATTTTGATATAACTTCCAAAACAATATGGTATCAATTATACTTCAGTTTTTATGTAAACTGACCAGTTTCCAGTTTATGCTACAAATTTCTAATGTTTTTACATTTTCTATTTTTAAAACATTATAAATTTAGCATGTAGTTGTTGAGCGTTTATGTCCATTTTTGTAGTTGGAGGCTTTTTTCCCTTGAGAATTTCAGCATCTTTGTTCTTAAAGACTTCTTTTGACGGTTTTATTTGACAAACATTTAATCTTCACAACACTTCTGTAGGAAATATCATCTTTGTTTTACAGATGAGAAGGTTGTCTCTCAGAAAAGTTAAGTGATTTGCCAGTCTGGGAAGGTGATGAACTGGGTTTGAACACAGATCACAGATCCTCTGACTAAATCTCATGCCTTTTTTAAATCAGTGACTACATTACCTTTTACAGCCACAAGTAATCTCTAAAAAATCTGCTAATTAGAGTGGGGTCTTAGTTTTTTTCATTATGGGTAACACCTCTTGGGAAAAGAAAATAGCAAGCATGTTTAACTTGCTTCTAAAGAGGTGTCATGGTGCAGTGGAAATCTCACCAGGCTAAGCCTCATGAGTCCCTGGTGTGAGTCTAACCCTTAAGGAAAGTTGTAGATGATCCTGAAGAAGTCATTGCACATCCTTGGACCTCTGTTTTCCCCAGAAAAATAAAAGGGAGCAGGGGCTAGATTAAACGTCCATCTTAGATGCTTTAGGGGCTGCAGACATTCTTAAGGCTAACTGGATCTAAGGCATTGGGTACAAAGCTGAATTGCCTTTAGGCCAACACCTGCCTAGTTAGGTTTCTCTACATTTCTCTCTGGAGCAGGATGTTCAGCTTTGGGCACTGGTTTGGGTCACAGGATTACAAAACTTTCAAAGATCACTACAGAAACTTAGCCTTTACAAGATGGACACAACACTCAGGAGTTTCCACTGTGATGGAAACTCCTCTGGACTTGTGTTATTGTGGTGATCGACCCCCATATTTGTATCCTTTTACACTTGGCAGAATCATGCCACGTGGTTCTCCCAGCAGGCCCTCGCCCCTGCTTTGCAGATGAGAAAGTTGAAGCTAGAAGATGTTGCATGATTTGCCCATGTCATGCAGTAGAGCCAGGATTCCAAGCCTGTGCACTTGGTGCTGCTCTGCCTCCTACAATTTGGCAGTTTTAAGTTTTCTTTTCATGGGTAATGCTTGCCATTACTCTTGCTTTTGATTTATGTTTTATTTTGTCTGTATCTATGACCAAGACTAGGGTTATGAAGTTTTGTTTTTATTTTTTATTTTTATTTTTTTGAGACGGAGTCTTGCTCTGTCGCCAGGCTGGAGTGCAGTGGCGTGATCTCAGCTCACTGCAAACTCCACCTCTCTAGTTCAAACAATTCTCCTGCATCAGCCTCCTGAGTAGCTGGGATTACAGACACGTGCCACCATACCCAGCTAATTTTTGTATTTTTAGTAGAGACAGTTTATCCATGTTGGCCAGGATAGTCTTCATCTCCTGACCTCATGATCCGCCTGCCTCGGCCTCCCAAAGTGCTGGCATGGCAGGTGTGAGCCACCGCGCCTGGCCTGTTTTTATTTTAGTTTTTTAAAGATAGATAATTCTCTCCCCAGCTACCAATCTAAGGGAGGCATTGCCCAACTTCCTTTTCCACCAACTTTCAAAAGTGGTGCGAATGTGGAATCTCTGCATATTGAAAATAAGGTCAACTCACCTGATGAGGGAGGGAAAATCCACCCTGTACTGTTCTTTTTCTTGAGATAGAAGCTTTGTAGATGAGATTTGCCACTCCCTATAATTAGGTTTAACTATTTGTGAATGCTTTTGTTTTTAATCCATGTATAAGACAAATATGTGCCAAAACTTTTTGGTGCTCATGCTTTCAGTTTTACAATTATGATTCTCATCCTCCTTTCTATTCTAGCAGTGTCTGTGAAGTGCCTTGAGGTACTTCATTTATGTTATCTCTGGATAAAAAGGGACTATCTACATAGTGCTGTTGTGTGGTCTTCCACATCATATCCTGTGTATCTCTCACTGCTGGGCCCATTTGGTCTCTGGAGATGCATTCATTGTACTGGCAGTTTATGCCAGAGTCACATACAGAATTGGCATGGAAGACAAATAGGCAACTGTTGTCTTTTAAAGAGCGGTGGACATGGTATTTGCAGACGTGGGCTCCTGTTCTGGCTTTGCCATTAACAAGCCTATTGAGACTTTGGTAAGGCACTTCAGCTTTCTGGAGCTTGGCTTCCCAGTTAGATTAAGCCAGTGTTTGTGAAGTCTGGCTGCACACCAGTATCATCTGGATTCTTGTATACGTTACATAGTTTCAGGCACCCAGCCCAGATCTGCTGAATGAGACTCTCTTGGGAAGGACTAGGGAGCATGTCCTTAAACCACCTTGATATTTCTTACACACCTAGTCTGGCACTAGTCTATGTATTGAAATTTGAGAACCTTGAGATTAGATGATCTCTAAAATATCTTTTGTTTCTAAAGTTCTTAACAGAGGCGTTTTATAAATATCTCTTTACATATTGAATACAGCTGCATATTTAATGTTAACTTAATATTTTAATGTAAGCCTTAATATTTATTTTGGGATCTAATAAAGCAGCTTAGATTTTTAGGTATAATTGGGGTTTATTTTTCACGGTTTTTTCTTTTGCCTCAAAAATGACATTTATTTAAAGAAAAAAAATGACAAATTGTCCATCCCTTGACTCCCTTCCCTCCCCTGCCCTGTTCCTCCCAACTGCCCCTTGGATTGAACCCTGGCCGGGGCTAGGTAGCAGGACAGCCCTTCTCAGATGAAGTCAGCAACACTGATGGGTGTCTTCTTAACAGAGGGGCTGTCAGAGGCCTTAATGTCTCATGGAATAGTTGTTTTCAAAGTGCCATATACTTGATGACTTATAAACACATTTATTCAGATACATGAGTACCTCCTGTGTCAGACAGTATGTTCTGTGCTAACAGGGCCTCCATTTGGTCTCATAGACCTGGGGATGAGCGAGACACAGCCCTTTGTTCATGCTGCTCATGATCTAAATTGATGTTTCTGGGAGAAGTAAAATGCCTTAACACTTCCATTTTGTTAAACTACGCACACCATACACACAGACACACACACATACACATATACACATGTACACACACAGAGACACACACATGTACACACACATACCTCATCCAAACTGATAAACTGATTTCAGACATCTCCATGCCTTCCAAAGTTATTTTCCCAAATTTGCATTTGCTGCAGTCCCCATAGTCCTTTATTTCCCATATCTCTATTTTGCAATCCAAATGGGATAAGAGGAAATAATGGCTTCTTTCTTACTAACCTTTTTTTGGGCCTACGTGGGTTTCTTTTTGACTCTCAGTATATAAGCTCCTAATTTTCTTCTAAGAGAGAGTTTTTGAATTTATATGTTCATGAAATAAACTTTTAAGACCAAATGAGATTTGTTGTTTTCCTTTTGAAATTATTTCAGTTTTGCCTTATCACAGCTTTTAGGTGACATAGGTGGCCTGTGACAACCAGCTGTAGCTTTTAAAATTAATTTGGTACATCCATACTTTGTGCTATTAGAAATTTAAATACAATTGTGTTTATAAGATTGTTTCTGAACTCCAACATAAGACCTTAGGATCTCTTTCCCTTCGTATTTCTCTGCAGTTCATCATTTTTATAAGAATCCCAGCCGAAAGCAAAGCTTTTTCAAGAAGAATTCAAGTCCCATAGCATTGTGACCTAAAGGAAGGATTAGAAATGAGGGGAAAAGTTTCTCAGTCTACCCTGTGTCATATTGGGGGCTTTTAAAACCAGGTAGCTGTCTGTCATTTGCAGTTCTAATGATAAGCATTGCAGTATGAACAAGGCAATGTCAGCAAAATGTTTAGTGTTCGAAGAATCTTTTAAAATAAAAATTTCAGAAACTTGGCAACTTTTGATGGCATTTTTCGCATGGCCGCTGTTTCTAATGAACCATAATAACTTTGCTGATATACAGTTCTTTTATTGCTTTATAAAATCTCTGTGGGTCTGGTGTTTTGCTTTTGGTTGGGATTATTATCAATGATGATGAACTGCAGAGAAATAAGGAGAAAGGGGGAAGATAAGGCAAATCTAAGTTCTCATGTTGATTTTCAACAGTCGTGTTGTAAATTCATTCTTATTTAAATTTACAGTAGCACAAAATATAATATGTAACAGGTTGTTTATAGAAGCCATAGCTGGTTGACTTCAAAATGACGAAAAGGGAAGAGTAAAGGTCACGTTGATAAAATATGTAATTTAGAAAAACTTAGAACTATGGAAGGAAACAAAGTAATATCAAGAAAACAAGAATCCTGGAGTAGGATGTAAGAAGAAATTGACCCCTAGATTTGAATAATCTTGGAAAAATATAGGAAAGTCCTGTAAGGAAAATAAATCTCTGAAAGATAATATTGTACTTTCTAAGCTATGCCTACAAGTATTTTTTGAGATGAAAATTAATACCATTATGAAGTTGAGGAAAGAAAAGACTGGTTTATCCTCAGTGAAATTCTTTTTGTTTTGTTTTGAGACAGGGCCTTACTTTGTTGCCCAGGCTGGAGCATGGCAGTGGTGCAGTCACAGCTCACTGTAGCCTTGACCTCCCGGGCTCAAGTGATCCTTTCACTTCAACCTCTGGAGTAGTTGGAACTACAGGCATGCGCCACTATGCCTGGCTAATTTTTTTTATTTTAATTCTTTGTTGAGACAGGGTCTCACTATGTTGCCCAGGCTGGGCTTGAACTCCTGGGCTCAAGAGATCCTCCTATCACAGCCTCTCAAAGTGCTGGGATTATAAGTGTGAGCTACCACAACCATCCGATTGTCAGTGATACTCTAATAAGAGACATAGGTTACAAAGCAAAGGTTAATAATGGTGCTGTTTAATTTACCAAGTAGAGATATTTCATAGAGATGTTTCAAACTAGTTTTAAGTTCTGAAAGTGATATCAGAGGCTGTCCAACACAGAGAATAAGAAACCAGGGTAAAACAGGAGGAAACAGGTGAGAAAGTTTTTAGTGGGTTAAAAATGATTGATCTTTGAAAGGCCAGTTAGACATACTTTGGAAAACAAAAACTACTTTTGGTGTGAAGGAGGACATAATCTTCAAAACTGCATGCTTATAAGCTTCTGTAGTCTATAAACCTTCAGGAAACATCACAAAATGTATTTGCAAATTCCATAAAGTTTAAGAAAAAGGCACGGGGAAACAACCAGCATAACCGTAAAAAACAAAGTCCTTGCAGACTAAGTTTTCAACACCTGAAATAAACAAAGAATACGAGTTTATATCAATATCTTCGAAAACTCAGAAGAACTGTACAATTTTCTAGGAAAATAATAAGTTGTAAAAGTTTACTCAAGCAAATAGAATAGACCTATAATCATTAACTAAATTACATTGGTAGTCAAAATGTATAGCTACAATAAAGGCACTTATTCCATAGACAGTTTTAGAGACAAGTTTTATCCTTTTAAAAAATAGCTGGCTGGATACGGTGGTTCATGCCTGTAATCTCGTCACTTTGGGAGGCTGAGGTGAACGGATGGCTTGAGCTCAGCAGTTTGAGATAAGCCTGAGCAACATGGTGAAAACCTGTCTGTACTAAAAATACATAAATTAGCTGGGCGTGATGGCTCATGCCTGTGGTCCCAGCTACATGGGAGGCTGAGGCAGGAGGATCACTTAAGTGCAGGAGGTCAAGGCTGCAGTGAGTTCTGATCATGCTACTGTACTTCAGCCTGGGTGGCAGAGCAAGACCTTGTCAAAAAAAATTAATTAAAAATAATAAAACTAAATAAAAAGCAGCTTCTGTGTTACATTTACTTTTCCAGATAATTGAATGGAAAAGTTCCTCAGTTCCTTATGGAATGCTAGTGTAACCCTAATACCAGCATTACGTGAGGGCAGTATGAGAAAATTATAGCCCTATCTTTTTTTTAAAAACACAAATGCAAAAATAATACATAAATCAATAGCAAATTGAACTTGACCATTTATTTAATTGTTAAAAGTACATCCATATCATAAATGTTATTAGTTCTCCCTAAAATAATCATCTGTATGTTCAATAAAATTTTAATCAAAATATCCAAAGAATTTTTCATGGAAATTAATAAACTGGTCCTAACTCTTAACATAAAAATTAAGAGTAAGATTATTATTCAAGAGGGAAGATATTTTTATTAGATATCCAACTTAATATGTGGGAGTATAAAATGCTATATAACCACTTTGGAAAACTGTTTGTCATTTACTTGAAAAATTAAACATACACCTACTCCATGACCCAGGAATTTCACTCCTAGGTATTTACTCAAGAGATGAAAATCAGTTCCATAAAAAGATCTGTACAAGAATGTCCTTTGGATTTCCTTAGTAGCCCTAAACTGGACATAACCTCAGCATGCATTAACAGGAGAGTGTACCTCAGGGTTGTTGCCTCTTGGTGACAAAGTAGATGCCGTATCACTAGGCTTTACATCCACACTTCATATGGCACATGCGGGAAGCAAGGGGTTTTTTCCTAATGAGGCTTTGCTTTTTGATTTGAAAGGGCTGCTTTCCCAGGCTTGATGTTTATCTTGTTGACCAGATCTATGTTACATGAGCCCCAGCCAGCTGTATATTTCAGCTGGACACACACTAAATGAAGTTGGAGTTGTGTTTGAAAAGAAGGAGCAGGAATGGTAGAGGGCAAGAAAGTGTCAGCTGTGTCTGTAATACTTTATTTTCTGGAATGAGATCTGAAGCACGTGGGAAAATATCAACAGATTTGTTAAATCTAGGTGGTAGGGACTGGGTCTTTTTTTGTTTTCAGTTTTTTTTTAATATTTCATATTTTAAAAAGAAAAATAGCACAAAATAATGAAAGATAGTGCTCAGATCAAGAGCAGCAGTGCTCAGTGCCATTCTGGTCATCGAAACCTGAGTAACAGAAGAGTGTGCATGTGCCCTAAGTATGTAAAGAACATCACATTTGCAAGTTAGAAGGGAGATGGGGAAGGTGATGATAGTCTGTGGTTGCGAAGATAGGCTGGGTAAGATGACCTTGAAACATAGCAGTCATCCAAAATCATGAGTGTGAAGGTCAAAAAGAGGTGAGGATGACCTGCTTACGCCAACTGCTGTGGCATCTGACTTTTGGCCATCAGTGTCTTTATAAAAAAGACACTCATGGGAAATTGCAAGTATGAATTTTTGAGGGTGAAATGAATGTGAACAACAGCACATTTTTCATGAGTCACTGATGGAGTTGCTACTAGGAATCCATAGTCAACATAATGCCTTGTCCTATGTCTGATGTTGAAAGCAATACCTGTAGATTGTAGTACATTATAATCTTGTACTGTCTTCCTTCACTTATCACCTTTAATTGCCTACACATTATTACAGATGTTATAGAATAAATGATTACATTCTATAGAGGATAGTCTCATATTTTGAAATACCTGCCTGGGATCATATAAATGAAACTTAAAATGTTTTCCTGTTTTTCTGATTGGGAGCCTTGAATTTTGACCAAATGAAGTAGGAGATAGCAGTAAGCTGTATTTGTGTACTTTCCCCTCTCCTGGCTGTTTGCCTCTGAATAATGAATTTTCCTAGAAAATGCTATCTGCAGGCGGACAGATTGTACCTGTTTAGAAAAATGTAATCCTGCTGAGGATATGGCTCCTTCCTGGTTTGCATATTTTGCTGTTTTCTTTTTTAGCTTGTAGACACAGTGGCCTCTGTCTAGACTGCTGGCCCTGCCTTTCTCTTATATAATTCATGCCATGGGCCTGGAGCACCCACGAGAGTCAGAGCCATTTTTTAAAATTGTTTTATCTGAGATGTTGTGGTTGAAACCATTACTCTTAAGTTTTTTATTTTTGTCTTGGAGGCTAAGCAGCTTTATATGTTTGCTTTTAAATTTATTTAAAGTTTCCTGACATCCATATTTCTTAGCTATCTTTCTTACTGTATTTGTTATTTTTCTCTTCTACCTGTATGTTTTAATGCAGTCTGTTAAAATTTTAATGTATTTTTTTAAAAATCCAAAAAAAATTGATTCCTGGTAGAATTTTAAAGAATAAAACTTCATAGGCAGTTTCTCAATTAATGTAGGAATACTAAAATCATGTAATTTCCTGTTCATCAATACTAGAAATGGCAGGCATAGAACTTTAATCTAGACATTAGTTTTGTTTTCCTGAATATTAATTTGTCTTTGTATAATTAGGGGAAAAAGGCTTTCGGCTGGATTCACCCAAAGCCAGTGCTCTTTGGGATTTTCAGAGGAACACGTGGACCACTGAGGATAGAGGGCTGCAGTTGGCTGCTCCCTTACTTTTCTTCCCCAGTGGCATGAATTTAAAACTTATGAAAGCAAAATGCCCATCTAGCTTGTCAAGTCGAGAGTGACTTCAGTATGAAGAAAGCCAAAGTGCCCCCTCTAAACAGTGGCACTTGCCCGTGAAAGACACATGCTTCTCAGCCTCAGAGCTGGGCTGTGGTGAGACAGCGCTGTCTGTTAATGTGAACTTCTATGATGTGACATGTGTAACTGCACATAACTGCGTATGATAAGACACATAGGGCCCAAAGGGAGAAGCCACAGGCACAGCCCCAGAGCGTCTCTGTCCTTCAGGCCTTGAGTTTCTCCCTCTGAAAAAGCAGCAACAAGTTCTGGTTAAAAAAAAATAATAATAATAAATGAAATGACATCTGGCTTATGCACACCTCCTGGAGCCTCTCAGTTTCCTACTAATACCTAAGAAAACCCAGCAAAGGGTGGGAGCTCACACTGTGCCCCACAGAATGGACATGAAAGGTAAAGTGTCGCCTGTCCCTGCTGTGTCCCCACCTAAAAGCAGGGGAGGATCTTGGACCCCATCGTGCCTCCAGTTCTGAAATACAACATTGGTACCAGCCAGAAATGGGCATCATCCTCCACTGTGTGCTTCTGACTTCTGAGGCTGCCAAAGCATTGTGATGTCTCTTGTCATTCTCCAGGCAGGAAGGGAGGAAATAGTAAAAAGCCTGCAGGGGAATAAGAAAAATGTGTAAAGAAACAAAAGCTATAATGCTGGGATGAAGAATAAAGAAAAGGACTCTTATGAGAGAATATTTGTATTCATGGTCATTTTTCAAACCCCTCCCAGGAGTCACCAAATTTGAAGGTTATTATAGTCAGTTAATACCACACACACACACACACCACATTCATAGCACTATGCTGAATGGTTTGGATTAGATTTGGAAAGAAAAAGATAGGTTGCATCCTCAAGGGGATTTAAGACAGAGATTGTATCTGTTTAGTTTATTATCTATACCCAGTACCCTATACGTGATAGGGACCCAGTACTTATTTGTGCAGTAAATAGATTAATTTATGAAATAAATTGATGATTTTGGAATAGCAGGTTTTCATTCTGGGTAAAGATCTGAAGAATGGAATGAACACATGATGTAGGAGCCAAAGTCTGCCCAAGAGGATCTGTATAAGGAAGCCCTCTAAAGTAGCAATAGGGTTAGTTAATATAGGGCCTTCTTTGCCAGACTTTGGAATTTATGTTTGATTATACAAATGCTACAGGAGCCCGTGTATGGTTGGAAGAAATGATGAAATGACGCACAGAGTAATGAGTGGATCCTGGCTGGCCAGGTCAGCCTGGCAGTGGTTTGGCAGGAAGAGGGTACTGAGGGCAAGAGAATCAGTGAGTGCCCCTTTTGAGTATTTCAAGCATGCCAGCTTTTGGAATCCCCAGTACAGTGTCCCTTCACCCCTCAGATTTGAGTCTACTTAAGATGGCTTTTCTTTTAAAATGTATGCATTAGATTCTGCTTCGTGAAGGCTGCAAGAAGATTCTCGTAGCTGACTCTTTGTCCTTACTGAAGAAAATGCACCGAACTCAAATGAAAGGTGTTCTTGTTGATGGTGGGTAAAATTGAAATAATCATATGGAACCACGTGCCCTGCTTTCAGAAATGGCCAAGCAGGTATAAACAGGGCATAATCCAAAGTATGTGTGTTTTCTTACAGAGGAGAACATCTGTGAGTCGTGCCTTTCCCCTATTCTTCCATCAGGTAAGAAGGTTTTCCCCAAAAAAATCCCAAACATGTATTTTAATGATGAGTGGAATCAAAATTTTGGAATTAGCCAACTACCGTTTATAAAACTATATAACTTTCAGAATAACCCAGTGGAGAGAAGTGTTGTGGCTTCCATCCTGCTCAGTGGAATGCTGGTGCTGCCATTGCTTAGAGCTGAGGTTCTCAAGCTCTAGGGTGAGTCATCGTCACCTGGCAGGCTTATTGGAACCCAGATCGCTGACCCAGTCAGACTCCCTAGAGTCTCTGGTTCCAAACTTCCAGGGCAGGAACTGAGAATGTATATTTCTAACAAGTTCCCAGGTAATGTTGATGCCACTGGTTCAGGGGCCCTTCTTTTAGAACTGCTAGTCTAGGGTAAAAACAAAATGAAAACTAACCATCAGCATTTAAATTTCAAGGTAGAAGAACCATATACATGTCTGGGAAAAAAAATTTATAGGTAGCATTCCCTTTTCTTTAGTGTTTTTCTCTGATATATGGTTCTACATGCCCAAGTCATCTCACATTTCAGTGGAAACATACATAATCCCTGCCATCTAATTGGAACTGTGAGTCTTTAAAAGACATAAGCATTTGTTTATTTCTAGTTCTTGGCAGATAGATATATGTCTTCATCTGTAATGAAAAGCACCTTCTTAAGGTTTATTATGACAGAAGAAATTTGCATAATTCAAAAGCGGAAACTAACAAAGCATTGTTAGGATGCTAACAAATGCTTTTCAAATATAAGTTCAGCATAACAAAGTACTAAAAGACCTAGTTGACCTCATGTTTACTTAGGATTAAAGGATTATTTCATGGGGCAGTCCATGAGAAGTTGTTCTACTTAGGTTCTTTTCTAGAGGAATTAGATTTGGATGTTTAAGTGCTTCTGTTGAAAACTGCATGGGCTCAGGTGAAGAAGTGAGCTTCCATAGCATTTCAGACAGTGTTGCAGCAAAAAGGAACCACATACATTCCCACTCTACAGTTAGATTTAACTCCAAATTTACTCTGCTGATGACACTAAATCTTACCAAAAATAAGCTGGCCACACAGAGCAGGAACAGATGAGGGGATCTGCCCAAGCACAAGTGCAGTAAAATGCAAGGTCACCACAGCCTGGGCTTGTAACCCAGGTCCGCCTCTGAGTCAGTGTGTGGTCTTGGCAAAGGTAGCAGGTGGACTGGCAAAGCATTTTTATGAAGCCACAGACTCAACTTCAGCTGTGGTGTATAATGATTATAGGGGTTAGGGGCGCATTGGCACATACACTTGCTGGTTTTCCTACAGTTGTCCTCAATGTAGTCTGGGTAAGTGACACAGAGGCTAAGCAAGTAACCTGTGAATCGCATAGCAACATGATTATAATACCTGTTTTGTGTCTGATCATACCACCCCTCAGGAATGCTTTTGTAAATAAGCCATTCTCTAAAGGCACCTTATTGCTGAAAATTAAACTGCAACTCGACTTTCAGTCGGGATTGGTTTAAAATGATCTTGCTTGTTGCATTAAGTTCTCCTCCTTTCTCTGCCCTCCTCGCCAGATGCAGCTAAGCCCTTCAGCGTGGTGGTCTTCCATTGCCGGCACATGTTCCACAAGGAGTGCCTGCCCATGCCCAGCATGGTGAGTTGGCAGCTTGGCACCTATCAACTAGAGGGAAATTAACACACTTAGAGGAATGTGCTTTAAACTGTAACCCTTCATCCTTATGGCTGTATGGGTTAAAAAAAAATTACAATGTGGATTTATATCACATAACAAAAATTAATCTAGTTTTCAAATGTAAAAATATTTAGAAATGTTCTATGTACTATAGTAAACATAAAAGCATACCCATTTGAAGGAATTCATTCAGGCCCAGTTGACAGCTGTCATGCTGTAGAGATGAGCAACAACAGTAGAGAGCCATTGTGTATCTTATGTGTTTCTCAGCCTGATTTGTGTTCCATGATGCTATCATTTTTTTAGTGTCATATTCCTCCAGGTCACATTAGACGTATTCTGCTGTTGGGTGTCCTTGGAGTCACAGAGTAACAGCTGATCTAGACTAAATCCTATGTTAACCAGAAATAAACTCCAGAGAAAGGAGTGCCATCCTATTACTTCCTCTCCACCCCCTGACTAACGCTACCTTAGTGTTTCTGAATATGAGAGTAGAAAAAGAAGATCATTTTTTAAATATGTGTTTTTAAATTGCATTTTTAGAACTCTGCTGCACAGTTCTGCAACATCTGCAGTGCTAAGAACCGTGGACCAGGAAGTGCAATTTTGGAGATGAAAAAATAGCTCATTTCTCCTTGTCAGTCTCCTTGTCACCACTCTTTTTGAGACTGTTTTTGCAACAACAAAAGCATTTGTTGACACTCGTGCTGTTAAGAGATTTGTTTATGTTTATATTATACTCAAAAACAATTTCTTCATCTATTCCTGTACTAATGGTTTCTCTTTGCAGTTCACAGAGAATTTGGGGCTCTCTTCATGCCTTGAAATTTTGGGGTCCATAGTGAATATTTTGTTATTTATTTGTTTGGCTCATTCTTTATATAGTAATGGAAACATAAGTCTAGGAGTTAGAAATGAATTTTTTAGACCTTAGTAAAACCATTTAACCATAAAATGGACAACTGAGAATTCTCCCAGCTGCCTGAAAGCGTCGCCAACTGTGGTTATCCTGCAAGCTGCTACCTGCAACTTGGACGTTGTTTCCACGTGCTCTGCTGGCTACGATTCTTGCATTCTGGGTTTGGCTTTTTTCTGTGTCATCAACTATGGTTATCCTCTAAATAGGCATTTAATGAAACATTGTACAAATTGTCACTCATTTGATGACACCTGGGAATAACATTAGCAGGCTGATGTCCTGCACCATTATGTTTACTAATCACATGTTCTGTGTGCTGTGACGACTGTCAAAGAGTATCTGGCCATGGCGGACACTCAGCATTTGTTGATTGAATAAATGTTAGCTCTTCTCATTGTGAAGGACTCACTTTTACTGGGATAAACAAATGCAGTTAAGAATTCTGGCACCCTTGTAAGGAAGAAAAGAGAGTTCAACACCTTCGAGTCTGAGCGCTTGTGGCTAGAGTTTGCCAGGAGGGAGGAAACCAGTGACCCTGAAAACTGAGGGTGCCTCAGGAGCAGTGGGACCACCTGATGCTGAAGGACGGACTAATGATGTTTCCTCTTGCCTTCTCTGGTGCCTCCATTGCCCTCATGGAACAGAGCATATCATAGAGGGAGAAAAGTCAAACTTGTAATTGTGTCTTACAGTTACTGGCTTCATCTTCCTTGGGATATATGGTCATCCTCTAATGAGTGTAAAAGTGCGCAAAACACATCCTTATTGTTCCTGATCTCTTAGTCCCATAAATGGGAACAAATACAGCTTTCTGCTTCTTTCTTTTTGGGGAAAGGACAGGGTGCTAGTGAGTACTGACAGCATGCCAGCTACCGAAGTCACCCAGCCATTCCCATGAGCAGCAGTTCATTTAATTGTCACAGCGTCGCCAGGAAGAAGATCTGATAAACCTAGGTTTACAGATAAAGAAAGCAAAATGTAGAGATGTTGTTGAGGTCACAGAGGTGACTGCCTAACTTCAGAGCAGGGCTTCTGATCCCTTTAAGAAATTACAGGGCCAGCCGGGCATGGTGGCTCACGCCCGTAATCCCAGGGCTTTGGGAGGCCTTGGCAGGTGGATCACCTGAGATCGCACGTTCGAGACCAGCCTGACCAACATGGAGAAACCCCATCTCTACTAAAAACACAAATTAGCCAGGCGTGGTGGTACATGCCTGTAATCCCAGCTACTCAGGAGGCTGAGGCAGGAGAATCACTTGACCCCAGGAGACGTAGGTTGTGGTGAGCTGAGATCGCGCCATTGCACTCCAGCCTGGGCAACAAGAGCAAAACTCCGTCTCAAAAAAGAAAAGAAAAGAAAAGAAATCATAGGGCCAAGTTCAAAGGAAATGCACAGAACATATCTTCACATTAGAGTTAAGAATTCTCTAGCAAACAACAGATTTTTTTGTTGTTGTTAGTCACAAATACTTAGAACTGGAAGGCTCTTTGTTATTATTGAATGTACCCCTCAGCCTTCTCAGCATTTCCTTATCCCAAGACTAGTGTGCTTTCTGCTACACTGCTAGTTTTCAGTTTTGTTCTTACCCAATTGTTTTTTCTTTTCAACATTACCAATTTACAGATTCAGTTTATTACATTTACATTAATCCTCACTTATGATTTGAGCAAGCTCATTTCCAGAAAAGTTTACTTTAAGATCATCAATAGGATTTGCTAATTTCAGTGAAGTCATTTTGCTTCAGGGGTAAATTATCCTAGTTACCAAGTCCTATTTGGACATAAAGAAAATCCTACTTATAGAAAAGGAGAAAATAATTAAACAGTCTTCATTTTTAAGTAACTGATTTAAAAGGAAAATAATAAAATATGTTCGTTTATCATTTCAGAAATTGCTGTAACACACTGGAAAATTCCTGAACAATATAGATTTTATCGTTAATAAAAAACACTAGCTTTCGTTCCTTAGAATGTCTTTTCTTTTGAATAAACAGTATTGGGTGATTTATTAAAGGATATTCAATCCTTTTTACTTTTCATCAACCTATAAGGGCTTAAATATGGCAAAATAATCCAAGTGTTAGTCAATTATTTTTCATGTGTGACTAGCCCAATTTAAAATATAGGTAAAAAGGAAACCCATTCCCCTCGTTTTGGGGAAGAACATAGTTGCAAAGTACACACTTCATAAGCTATTCTTTTTTTTTTTTTTTTTTTTTTTTTTTTTGAGATGGAGTCTCGTTCTGTTGCCTTGGCTGGAGTGCAGTGACATGATCTTGGCTCACTGCAACCTCCGCCTCCCAGGTTCAAGTGATTCTCCCGTCTCAGCTTCCGGAGTAGGTGGGAGTACAGGCACGCACCACCATGCCCAGCTAATTTTTTGTACTTTGGTAGAGATGAGGTTTCACCATGTTGCCCAAGCTGGTCTCGAACTCCTGAGCTCAGGAATCCGCCCACCTCGGCCTTCCGAAGTGTTAGGATTACAGGCGTAAGTCACCATGCCCAGCCAAGAAAGCTATTCTTGAAGTGTAAAACAGCCAGGTGCAAAATTATTTTGGAGTACTTTAGTTTGCTTTTGTTTTTAGCCAAAGGGATTTCATACTGGTTTAATTATGTTCATCCTTGAGAATTTTTGAGAAGTTTCCAACAGATTTGTAGTTCATTTTGCTGTTGTTACAATGTAAAGCTATATATAGTTGACCCTTGAACAACACAGGTTGGAACTGCAAGGATCCACTTATACATGGATTTTCTTCTGCCTCTGCCACCCTTGAGACGGCAAGACCAGGCCCTCCCCTTCCTCCTCCTTCTCAGCCTACTCAGTATGAAGACGACAGAGATGAAACACTTATGATGATCCACTTCTACTTAATGAGTAGTAAATATATTTTCTTTTCCTTATGATTTTCTTACTATTTTCTTTAGCTTGCTTTATTATAAGAATATAGCATATAATATAAATAAAATATAAAATATGTGTTAATGGTCTATTTATGTCACCAGTAAGGCTTCCAGTCCACAGTAGTCTATTAGTAGTTAGGTTTTGGGGGAATTATACGTGGATTTTTGACTGCATGGGGTGTCAGCACCTCATCCCCCACATTGTTCAAGGTTCTACTGTATTTTAATATTAAAAACCAAACATGCATTGAGTAATTACTATGTGTTAGGAATTATTAGAAGCACTTTGCTTATACTATTTAATTATATTAATGTATCCCTATGAAATTGGTGTTATTACCATCATCGTCATTTTATGGATGAAGAAACTGAAGCACGTAAAGGTTAAGTAACTTGTCCAGGGTCAGGTAGCTGATAGTGGAACACCTAGCTGAAATTCAAACCCATGCAGTTGCCTTCAGAGTGCCTGATCTTAACTGGTGCATATTTGATTTTTTTGTTGTTAAAACATACTTATTTGAGCTGTTTTGGTCAGTGGATAGAAAGCAAAATCCACTCTTAGAATAGAAAGGGATTTATTACAAAGTGTTAAATGGCTTACAAAATCATTGATGGGAATCAAAGAAACAATAAGGGAGCTTTCAGGCAATTCACAAAGCCACCCCACAGAACTGGGCTGCCCAGGGAATCACTGCCCCACCACCATCAGATCATGGGCTGCACATAGCAGTGTCAGTTGTCACTTTTAAGTAAACATTGGTAAATAAAAGTGTACACGTTACTCAGTTTCTCCTAAAGCCCTTTCTCAGTAACATTAAATCGTGTGTATACATATGTGTGTGGGAGACATTTCTATGTGCTAAATACTACATCGGTTCATTCTGGTTTCTATTATCAGGACACAGGCTACTAAAACCACCAATTTTGGTACTAAACTGTAACCCATTCCTGGCGCTCTTAGCTAAATGCTGATTTATGAAATCTGGAATGAAGTTCCTTCTTTTCTCATGCAGCACAGGTTTTGGAGTCATTAGGATCAATGCAACATTCATAGTAAAGATAAGACAGGAGCGAGAATGAGAAACTCAGCCTGCAAAAGCAGGTCTCCAGAGTTGGCCACTCTCCAGACCTTTCTTTACATTTACCCAGAATCGTGGTTCTTAATGAAAACAAAGTCATGCCATTCCCCTTCTCCAGTCCCATGGGAGTCTTTGTGCCCCGTGTGTGAAAGGGCTTGCAGTCTTTGGCTTGGCTTAAGCAACCCATTGCATTTAACTTCGCTGCCTCCCTTTTTCTCTCCCTGAACTCTGGCCATTGTGAGTATACTTGTGGTTCCCTTCACCCCTGTACTGCAGCTAGCCTTCATCCTCCAATACTCTGCTCAGACGGGACTCCTTGCTCACCCTGACATCCTCAGACTGGGTAGGAGACCTCTCACTTGTCCTCATATAGTACCTAGGGACCAATCTGCCTTGTCACACTGCATTGCAGTTGTCTGTGAAGCAAGTATAATCTTAGTCCACAAACTCAGGTCTACAAATGAATAGGTTTTTAAGTTTTCTCTTGAGTTCACATTCTACCTAGTGGCATAAACTTAATTTAGTTCATAGTAAACTCAGCTAAATGAGGCTTTTCTTGATTAGTTTAGGCACCCCCTTCTCTTCTAGGTTGCCTTGAAGTTTGGGTGTTGTGGCAGGAATGGTCTCCTTGTGCCCCAGAATCAATTAGAAGGAGGCAGGTGGTCCTCAGTGGAGCTCTGTCCAGGCCGGCATTGGCTGGAATGCCATCATCCCACCGGCCTTTGCCAGCATCTTCATCTGCTGCCATCATTTCTAGGATGTCTTCAGTCCCAGCCAGCTGTGGTCATCAGTCCTTGCGGTAACCCTGCTGCTTCTGACAAGCCCCTGCCACACCTCTGTCTGGGCTGGGAAAACTTGATGAACTACCTCATGGCTCTGATGGTGGAAAATGCAGACTTTGCCACGCAAGTTGATCTTTATTGCTTCCTCACCATGCCCAAGAGTCCATTAAACCTCTTTTTTTTTTTTTTTTTTTGTAAATTGCCCGGTCTTGGGTATGTTTTTATCAGCCGTGTGAGAATGGACTAATACAAGTTAAAACACTTTTTTCCAAAATTAATCTTTTTGCCCCAGTTATTCCAGATAGCCTCAATCTTTTTTGCTTTGATATTGACATGTCAGTGACATATTTTCAAAATTCCATCAACTCCTCTTTGAGTAGAGTGATTATATAATTTGTGATCCAAATCAGAGTACTTTGAGAGTATAAAGGGCATTATTAAAAATGACTCCAGGCCTGGTACGATGGCTCATGCCTGTAGTCCCAGCACTTTGGGAGGCTGGGGTGAGAGGATTGCTTGAACTCAGGAGTTTGAAACCAGCTTGGGCAACATGGAGAAACCCCATCTCTGTTTATATATATATATATATATATATATATATATATATATATATATATATATATATACACACACACACACACATACATATATATATATATATATATATATATATATATATATATATATATATATATATATATATAATAAATGACTCCAAGCAAACTAGTGAAACCATGACTGTTCCTGGCAACCTAAGAAGTATCTCATCCAGTCTCCACTGCGTAGTTCTATTGATGCAATACTGCATGTAACAGAATGAGGAAAATAATGTTACTTAAAGCCAAACTGGTTCTGCCTTCTCAGGGAAATTATGTAAGTCATATCAGAGGAAAAAAGAAATATTTATACTACACACTTCCACTTATAAAGACTGGTGGCTCAACAGAATGGAGGCTGAAGAGGAAGAGGAAACACTAAAACTTCAAAGCCTCCTCAAATTCCTTGCTCCTAAGCAGAGCAAATTATTGAATCTTTAGATAGGCAGGAATTAGCCTAGAGTTCCATAGAGGATTAAGAGTGAAGCTTTCTAAAGTGAGGAGAATTGAGAGGTGAGGGTTTTAGGGAAAGAGTCAATCAAGCAACCTGAGCAATCAAAGGGCATTTTAAGAAAGGAAAGGCTAATATTCCATTTTATGTTGCATTGCTGCTAAACCCTTCCATCTTCCTCAAATGTTCAGTAAAGTTTGGTATAAAGACGATGTCATCTCTGAGTAGTTTTTAGGGAAAACTGATTAGCTGTGTCCCACATCTGGGACCCTGAGGAGTAGAAAGAAGTGAACAGCAGGAGGCAGGATCTGGAGTCGAATGGAAACAGGAATTTAGGCCCACAAGAGACAAGAAGAATGTAAAAACCCTAAAATTTGCAGAAATGTCAAGAGACTAGTCTTCCCAAAGACCAGTGGAGAAAGGCATTGAGCCCGTTTTAGATGGATTCAAAAGACTGGGTGAACTCAGCTACATCAAATTACACATTTCTATCTCTGTTGACAAAATCTGGCTAAAGAGGGCAAATCATTTCAGTTTAGAAACTGCATACATTTTGTCACTAGGATTTTATTCTAATCTTAGTGTGTTTGGTTTTATAGACACATCTATGCCTCCTGGTTTATGATCCATTTACATCGTGTTCTGTGTGAAAATAAGAGACTTTGTAGATGAGACAAGTAAGGGTGAAAGGAACTCACAAATGACAGACTCAAGAATGAAAATTACTGTGTAATTTTTTAATAATTATGGCACAATTAATAGAGATGAAATGCAAAATTCTGCAATTATACTCAAAAAATTATTCATACAAGGATGAGTCAGGAGAGACTCGGTTAGTAGTCCAAATGAAAAGAGGCCTTGGGTAAGAAAACTGGAGCATTTTCCTCTGAAGTTAGATCTAAGTTTTAATCTCTGCTCTATCACTTACTAAGCAACAATTTACTTAACATTTCTAAGCTTTGCTTGCCTCATGTAAATGGGGTGATGATAATAACATCTACTTGGGAGGATGTCAACAGCATTAGGTGAGACGATGCATGCAAAATGCTTAGCTAGTGCTAGCACAGGAAGAGTAACTAGCACGTAGCAAATGCTTCACAAATGTCAGCATCCAAGATGGTCCCCTGATCCCCACCTCTACCAGGGTTGGTTTGTGTGACCAAAAGAATATGGCAGAATGGACAGAACATCCCTTCCAAGATTAGGTAATGAGACAGCAGCTTGATATCATGCCGTCTGAAAGAAGCCATGTTGTGAATGAAGAGACCCATTTGGTGAACAATGGAAGCACCCTGCCAAGAGCCATATGAGTGAACCTGGAAGTGATCCTCCTGTTACTGTCAAATCCTCAGAGTCAGGAATCCCAGCCAAAACCTTGACTATATCCTCATGATAGGCTGTGAGCTAGAACCACCTACCTACGCCATTCCTGGATTTCTGATCATCTTCTGAACTGTGTGAGATAAATGTTTGAAGTTGCTAAATTTGGGAGTTGGGGGGCACAATTTGTTATGCAGCAGTAGGTAACTAATACAGCAATCCATTAATAATCAGCCTGGTTTCTGTTACTTGACTACAAATATGGACCATCAGTGACTCCTAAAAATGAAAATTGAATGCAGCATTTTAATGGGCTATTCGTCCTATTCACAGAAAGTAGCATTCTCCATTCTGCATCTGAGAACACTTTGCTTAGGGCATTTTTTTAAAACAAGGATTTTGACAAAGCAGACAGGAGTCGTTAGGAGAGTGATCAAATTTGAAATCTTAAAATTTAAGAAACTAGTGGAGGAATTGGATAGTACATGATTTCAAAAACATGAAAACTGAGGACATTAAATGTGCAAGGGTTAGAAGTTTGTCGCATGCAAAGGGGAAAGTGAAGATAGCATTTTTTCACATAGTTTCAGAAGTCCAGTTGCTGAGGTTAATCAATGAAAGTTGTAGCATCAAAGGTTTAACATAAAACAACTTCCTAAAATCAGCCAGGTGCAGAGGCTCACGCCGGTAATCCCAGTGCTTTGGGAGGCTGAGGTGGGCAGATCACCTGAGGTCAGGAGTTCGAAACCAGCCTGGCCAACATGGTGAAACTCCGTCTCTACTAAAAATACAAAAAATTAGCTGGGCATGGTGGCATGTGCCTGTAATCCCACCTACTCAGGAGGCTGAGGCAGGAGAATCACTTGAACCCGGGAGGCAGAGGTTGCAGTGAGTCGAGATTGCGCCACTGCACTCCAGCCTGGGTGACAAAGCAAAAGTCCATCTCAAAAAAAAAAAAAAACTTTCTAACATTTGGAGATGTCCATCTACAGATGGGTGTGCCCCCTGGAGCTCTGCTCTGAGCCAAGGCTGGTGACCATGTGTCAGGTTGCTGCAGACAGAACTCTGAGCTGCCAAGTTGTTCTCTAAGGCCTCTTTCCACTGTAAGCATATCTAAATCCCCCTAGAAACAGCAGGTTTATCAGTTACTCTCACACTCTGTTATTTTTATACGCAGATCCTATGCCCATCTGTTGTGTGTCTGAATACCCACATCTTTGGCTAGCTTATTAATTCAGTGTCACTACAGGGTCCTTTCTTCTATCCTCCCCGCAAGGCAGGATCCACTTGTGTCTCCCATCTATTTTGCAGCTTTCTTCTCTATTTTGCTTGATAATGCATTCTTCAACGATAATATTACTAGTTCTCACAAGCTAGTTCTTTCCTAAAAGGAAAATTAATAAGAGTATGTTACCACAAGTGTTATGGGCTGAATTATGCCCTCCCCAAATTCATATGTTGCAGTCCTAACTCCATTACCTTAGAAGATGACTATTTAGAGATAGGACCTGTAAAGAGGTAAGTATGGTAAAATGAGGTCATATGAGTGGGCCCTAATCCAACATGATTAGTGCCCTTATAAGAAAAGGAAATTTGGCCGGGCGTGGTGGCTCATGCTTGTAATCCTAGTACCTTGGGAGGCCGAGGTGGGTGGATTGCCTGAGCTCAGGAGTTCCAGACCAGCCTGGGCAACATGGTGAAAACCCGTCTCTACTAAAAATACAAAAAATTAGCCAGGCGTGGCAGCGTGCACCTGTAGTCCCAGCTACTCGGGAGGCTAAGGTAGGAGAATTGCTTGAACCCAGGAGGCGGAGGTTGCAGTGAGCCAAGATCGGGCCACTGCACTCCAGCCTGGGAGACAGAGCGAGACTCCGTCTCCATAAAATAAAATAAAAAAAAAGAAAAGGAAATTTGGACACAGACATGCCCATGCACAAAGGAAAGACCATGTGAGAACACAGCAAGAAGATGGCCCTCTACAAGCCAAGGAGACAGCCCTCAGAAGAAGCCAAACCTGCCCAAACCTGGATCTTGGACTTCTGGCCTCCAGAACTCTAAGAATATACATTTCGGTTGTTTAAACGACCCAGTCTGTGGTCTTCTCTTAGGGCAGTCCTAGCAAACTAATACAACATAATTCCTTATTCTGCTGTTGGGCTCTGTCTCAGCAATAGGAACAGAATTCCACTTCCGTCCTAAGGGCTACTGCCTGAACTTCTGATAAACACAAGGGGGCCCACCTGAGCCCACTCACACATTGGATCTCTATCCAAAAATGCCATGTGTCTTTATCATTTCTCCAGGTAGGACTTTCCACGCTTTCTCTCCTATACTTTGATGCCAGGCTGCACCAAAATGTATAACTGAGAATTGCCTACTTATAAACAATGTGAAAAGGCTCAAGAACATACATTTCTAATTCCAAAAATTTAGAAAAGCTGCTCTTAAGAGCTTTAATAAAATATTTGTAAATTATATTACCATGATTGGAAGTTCATTTTTACGTAGGTAGCTTCTTTAAGATTTATTTTTATTTCAATTAAAAAACGTAGCCTAAAATTTAGATTCAAAACATATACTATACAAAATATATATATATTGGATATACAAACTTTCAGTAACATGATTGCATTAGGACTCTTGGTTGCAAGCGACAGAAACACAACTCAAACTAAATTTGGTCAAAGTGGAATTGCAAGAAGGATGGAGTTGTGCCTGGGCCTCCTGAACTCTGGTGATGCCAGGGCTTGATCTGCAAAGGAGATCCTTGTGCAGCCTGAGGAAGCAAGATTGACTTACTGGAGTTGAGTTGTCACCCACAACCTGCCATCCATGCACAATCCAGATAAACAAACTGAGGAGCCTCGGAGAACCACTGGTTGCCCAGAGGAGTTTTACCACAAGGATGGGCAGTTTGTCAGTATTTAAGCCGGGACTTTGAGCTGCATTCTCACATATTGCTTCTCCATTGTGAATAGTGTCAGCTAGAGTCAGGGCCATACTCGTCAATAAATAGGGACAGGGTATTAACTTAATATTAGGGGAGAAAGTGATGGCAAGTAAGAAAGGAGGGCACTCCCCTAGATGCCTTCTGGCTAATTCCTACACATCCTTCAGTTTAAACATTGCTTCCCCAGAATTGCCTTCTTTGCCTTTCCAGATAAGGCTACCTTCCCTGTTAAGTGCCTCCATAGCAACCTGGAGTTATCCAAAGATATTTGAGCCCTTGGAATAATTTAATGATTCATTTTGTTCCCATTAGACTATTATTTCCTAAAGAGTAAGGAGTGCCATTATTTGTCTATCCCCAGTGCCTCTGTTAAATGTCTGGGGATGGATATATGTAAAAGACACTCAAGTATCTGTTCACTGATGTTGTGGATTGGTTTGGATATGGTTTGTCCCCACCCAAACTCATGTTGAAATTTGATCCCCCAGGTGGTAATGTTGGGAGTTGGGGCCTAGTGTGAGGTGTTTGGGTGATGGGAGCAGATCCCTCATGAATAGATAAATGCCCCCCGACATGGGTAAGTGATTAGTTCCCTTGAGAATGGATTGTTAACAAGAGTCTGGCTCCCTCAGTTTCTCTCTTTTGCTTCCTCTCTCCCCATGTGATTACTTTGCACATGCCAGCTCCCCTTCCACTTTCTGCCATGAGTTGAAGCAGCCTGAGGCCCTCACCAGCTGCAGCTGCCCCTATCTTGAACTTCCCAGCCACCAGAATTGTGAGCCAAATAAACCTCCTTTTAAAATAAGTTACCCAGCTTCAGATATTCTGTTACAGAAGCACAAAACAGACTAGGACAACTGACTAGCAGGATAACAGTGGAGTTAACTGCATCAGCCCCAGGCAACTCAGACCCAAATCTAGTACCTAAGACAGAGAAGTATATTTAGTCACTACAGAAGCCTAATTTGGAATCAATTTGCATTCAGTCTCCCTTTCTTCTCTGTTCAAGTGCCAAGAATAGTGCTGTCACCATTGTGGCTCTGAGGTGGTCCAAAGAGTCTGGCATGATCCTTCCTATGCTATAAGGATATTAAAAAAGAAGGAGGTGGAGGAGGAGGAAGAGGGAGCAGGCAGGGAAAGAGGGAGAAAGAAGCAGCAGGAAAACAAAGTACTTTGCACACAGTGGGTTATCAATATGTATCTCTTGATTGAAATGCTCCCAAAGGGAGATGACACAACTTTGCTAAGTAAGGGCTGGCCCGTTCTAATCTTATCATTTTGCTAACCAAATCCAGAAGCAGAGCCAGACAGTGAAGAATGATTCGGCCTCATGGTCATCCAAAAAGTGTTCATGAAATTGGCAGTTTCCCAAGGGGTACCATTTTGTTTGATGCCCAATATGGAAGACCAACAGAGAAACTAAATTGTTGCTTGCTTTTTTAGCTTACGTTCCTCCTTGCACCTCAGTAGCAACCTCAGTCCTGTCTGAAATATCTTTGTTCCCTGCCACATAACCTTTAGATGACCCTGTATTCAAGGCTGTGCATCCTTAATACATAGTTAGGATGCTCCTTCAAGATCCCTGGAAACATATTAGATTGTAGTTTTCTTCCCAAACTGCCTACAATTTCTTATATTCATTTAAGATAGAAAAATGGCTTTAATAACCTCAGCAGCCTGGTCACTGGCAGTAGCCACAGCTGAAATTTTATGATTATAATTTTTCTTTGTGGCCACAAAAATAATGGAAATCTCATTTTTTTCCAGTAACAAATAGTGAGGTTCCTGAATGGAAAAGACATATTGGCCTTAAGAGACTTGAGCTAAGATTTTTCCTAAAACTGCATTTACAGTCCATCTGAGGCACAGTTCACAAGAAAAAGAGCCCCTTTTCCAATGGTCCCAGAAAATTTTCTCTATTAACTGTGATTGGCCCAGCTTGGTTTGCATGTGGACACTTGAAGCCACTAAATGGGAGTCAGTCCTATCCAAACTATATAGATTGAGAGGGGAGAGGAGGTTGGGAATAGGAAAAGTTACGGTGAATATATTTTTTAATACACTTAACCGGTATAGACCTGTTTACCAACCCCTATATTCTGCAGAGATCATTCGGGCTGCTACTGCGGAAAATATTTTAGGAGGGACTAGACCACTGACCATGAAGTCAGTGGTAATCCAGGCATGAGACAGGCCCTTGGGACCTGGACCTTCCTGGTGTTGATCACAGTGCCCTGTGGAAGAGGCCGCCCATCTTCCATAGGAGTTTGGCTCCACGTGTAGAACTATAGTCCAACTCAAACTGATACTGCAGATATTTTGAAAAAGTCACACGTAAAAATATTTATAAATGGAGAATTCAATATATTTAGCAAGAAACATGGGTCTTTATGAACAATTTAAAGATTAACATTGCTGGTAATATAGCATATTTATCAAAGCCCAGGAAGTGAGATGCAAAGATCTTGCTCTCACTCCTATCCCATCTGTGATTTGTAATTATTTTTCAAAGGAATGAAACACTAAAAAAAATGTATATAAGGAAAACATATTGCTTACTTCTGTTATCAGTGCAAATTAATATGAGAACTTTGGGTCATTTAGGCTGGATGATGGAACAACATGTACCCAGTGTATGGCTACGCTTGTACTAAGACCATCGGGTAAGCCCAAGAATTCCTGGACACAATATTTATATTTGAAGAACTAACGCCTACCTTTAAAAGGCGGACATTCTCCTTTGGATGGTAACACAGATATGTATTAGCCATAACACCAACATAGCAAGAGAATTGAGAAGCCGCTGGGACAAACATTCCACTGCCAGAAGTCCTGGACAAGAGACATTGATTTCACGCTTTTAGCACTGAGGGAGCAGATCCTGTGGGTCTTGACTATGTCTAGAAAGGGTTTCTTCTGAAGTTAGAGAAGGATGGGAGGATGGGGATCCCCAGGCCCTGCCAAGGGGAATATTTTTCCAGATCATCAAGCCAAGGGGCTCTTAGCCAAGACAGAAAAATCATTTATAAGCCTTTGACAGAAGCAAGAGGGTTGAGAATCAGGGGATGAAATTGCTTCAAATTTGAGGTGCAAAGCATGAGAGGCACCAGAAGTTGGAGAGTGACAGTCAGAAGCCAGAGGCAAAGAAATATATGAATAAATTGACTTTTGGGGAATTAATTTCCAAGCGCAGCCTCCTGCCTCAATGCCACCCTTACCTATTCCTGCTATGCTTCATGGGGCTGTATGCTATTCATTGTTACTATCTTTTAAAACGTTTTGTTACTGAAAATTTCCAACATATACAAAAATAGAATACTATCATGAATCCTCATGTACTCACCATCCTACTTGAGTAGTCAATCTTGTTTCCTCTATACTCACCTACCTCCCCCTACGCCACCAGATCATTTTGAAGCAAATCTTACACATAGTATTATTTCATTTGCAAATATTTAGGTATATATCATGAAAGGATAAGAACTCTTTTTTAATATTAAAACTATAATCTGATTATCATAACTAAACAATAATTTCTTCATGTCATCAAGTATCCAGTCAATGGTCACATTAACCTGATTATCTTACAAATGTTTTCTATAGTTAATTTGTTCAAGTCTGGAGCCAAGTAAGTCACGTTGATATATTTCTTAACTCTCTTTTCATCTATACGTTTCCTCCTCCTCTTTTTTTCCTGTTTGAATTTATTTGTTGGTGGTTTTTAATATGTTTTCTGATCATAAAGCAATTTATATTTTTATATTTTCATTGAAGAAAATTTGGAAAACATGAAAATGCACAGTGTAATTGTTCTAAAAATCACCCCAAATCCCAATATCCAAGATTATCAACATTTTGGTATTATTTCCTTCCTGCCCTGGTTCAAGGTAAAAGCTAAACAGAGAAAAACTAAGACACCATCTTGTGGCGAGACCTCTCATTGTCGTCTTACCCCACCCCCTTTTCCCATATTCTCTTTTTGGTTATATATATCTTAGTGCATTATGTCCTTACAGTAACTTCACAGCTCAAATGATATACCCATAAGAGTTTTGAAGCATTTTGCCAAATTACTCCGGAGAAGGGGACATGCCTTCCAGAACGACTCTACCAATCGGTCCTCTCGCCAGCAGTGCTTCAGAGCGTGAACATAATCTTCAATGATTAGTGGGGCTGGAATAGAAAATTGATTGGGTTGGAAAGGTCAAGGAAGGCTTTTGGAATGTAGAGATGCCAGAGCAGGAGGAAGAGGGCATTGGGGGCAATGAGCAGGAAGGGAGGCTGAGTGAGGCACATCAGGAGTGCAGGAAGGTGACTCTGGGAGATGGAGGGGTTGTTCTCAGAGCAGAGTCCTGTTTCTCGCCTCCTAATCAGACGGCAATGCAAAAGCTTGGTCTATTGAGTAAGGAGACATTAACAGACCTTTGTAAGCAGCGGGAAGGTGAGGATTGTTGAAGAATTCTGCTGACACAGTCTGTTGGAATACAGTTGTCTTGACAACCAAGAATTAAAACCCTTCCAGTGGGCTCAAGTCCATTCACCCAGGAGCTTCCTGATGGTGCAAATCAATCTGTGAGTCTGTCCTTGAACACAGATTCTTTCAGTTTTTTTTTTCTTGTTCCTGCTTGAATTTCTAATGAAAAAGGATATGCCAATTTCTTAATAAAAATGTATCCAAATCTTTTTTATTCCCTGACCAGATATTTCTACACATTGCTAGACTAGTCCTTTCCAAGACATCAACTTTTAGTGTAGTTACTATGCCTATTTTGTGTGTATTTGCCACTTTGCAATCTTGTATGTAGTTGTGGCTTAAGCAAAACCCATCTTTAATTTTGTAAATGTTACAAAAATAAGTTAGCACAGTTGTAAGTCCAAAGGAATACAAAAGGATGAAGATATGATTTCCTGCCTTCCAGAATTTTAGAAATTCCTCTAAATATCTTGAGCAACTAGGATCAATTTTTAAAATGAAAAGAAGGGTCAAATAACCCAAGTAAGAAATCGGCAAAAGATAGGAAGAAGCGATTCACTGTACAGCAAAAACAAATGGCAAAACAAGAGATAGAAAAAGCTCAACCTCACTAATACTTAGGGAAAAGTAATAAAATCTGCCAGGCTGTTGGCAGGGGGACAGGGAACAGATACATTTCTATACTGTAGGTTGGAGGTGTAAATTGATCACAGTTTTTTTTTTTTTTGGAAGGTAACTTGACAACATTAATTAAAATTAAAAATATAGATAGCCTCATTCCAGTAATTCAACTTGTAACTATGTATCCTAGAGAAGTTCTCACACTTGTACACAAAAAGCATGACAGCCGGGCACAGTGGCTCACACCTGTAATCCCAGCACCTTGAGAGGCTGAGGCAGGTGGATCACTTGAACCCAGGAGTTCAAGACCAGCCTGGACAACACAGACCCTATCTCTACAAACATTAAAAAAAAAAAATAGCCAGGAATGGTGACATGCAACTGTAGTCCCAGCTACTCAGGAGGCTGAGATGGGAGGATCACTTGAGCCCAGGAGGTTGAGGCAGCAGTGAGACGTGATCGTGTCACTGCACTCCAGCCTGGGTGACGGAGCTAGACGCCATCTCAAAAAACAAAAACAAAAAACCATGACCAATGATATTGTAAATATCAGTCAGTAAGGCCCACATAAACTATGATTCATGCTATGAAATTCTAGCAAGTACTAAAATGGACCAAGACATTGTAAAGTGTAAGGAAGCAAGCTGGTTCCACTTATGGACAATAAAACAAAGCAATCATGTTCTTTAGGTATGTATACAATCAAGTAAATGCATAGGTATGTGTGTACAATGCATAGAAATAACAGCAGTAAGTTACCTGGAGTGGGGTGAGCATTGATGGAAGAACCGGGAAAGAGAGGTTTTCTTTGGCTTTATACTTTGTTTGTCTGTTTGTTTGTTTGTTTATAAGTCAGGGTCTCACTCTGTAGCCCAGGGTGATCGTGCAGTGGTACAATCGTGGTTCACTGCAACTTCAGCCTCCTGGGCTCAAGTGATCCTCCCACCTCAGCCTCTCAAGTAGCTGGGACTATAGGTGTGTGCAACCACACCTGGCTAATTTTTTAAGTTTTTGTAGAGACAAAGTCTCATCATGATGCCCATGCTGGTCTTGAACCTCTGGGCTCAACTAATACTTTTTTATAAGAATATATTTATACATTACTTGAATGACTAAAAAAATGTATAAGAAGTGTTAAAAGGATCATCAGCAGTTATAGTTTATAGTTGCAGTTATCAGTTTCCTTCTTTTAGTAAGGAGATTGTATCTCTTTGACTCTCTCCTTGGAAGCAAATATTCCTTACGGCTTTGTATCTTCTAATTTGTAGTTGTTCCCTCAGTGTTTTACTTGAGTAAGAAATGAAACTGTCTTGACAGTTCTTCTAACAACAGTTTAATTCCAAGTTCACCCTAACCTGGAAAGAACTCTGTGTTGAGTGTCACTGGTTGGTGTATTTCTTAATTACATCAAAGGAAGATATTCATATCAGCTACTATTTTGATGTCGTTAGGTATCACTGTGACTTTGTAGTCTTGCTTAGTAAGGTCAGAGTACACTTTTAGAATGAATCTTCTGAGGCATTTTTCTTAGAACCAACTCAAGCTGTGCATTTGCCATCTCATCAGGCTCGTGGGTGATGTACTTTTTTAAAGAAGGCGGCAAAACTTGGCTGGCTTTCTTTTGGAAGGCGTGATTTTATTTTCTCAATCTGTGCATCTTGTGACCAGTGTTAGGATGCTGGAAAAGTAGTTAGGATCAATGATTTTAAAAAATTGACTTTTAATTTTAAGCTAAATGAAAAGAGAAAGTAAAATCATGTTTCTGTAGTCTTTTAAAGAAGATAATCTGGAAAATTTCATCAGCCAGCCAAAATCATGATTTTAACAGTGATCTTATTTTCCTGAAAGAAATTTACTGAAGATCTATAAAAATGGTTAGATAAAAATAAAAGAGGGAGGAGAAAATGTCCATTCCAGAATCCTGATCACAGATATGGGTGTAGGATGAGAGAGCATTTTGCAATGATTTTGAGATTACTGACAGCAGGTCTTGGGTCTCAGCATATGGAACGATGTGGATGTGTCAAATGTCTTCTGTCTGTTCCAACTGTGGAAATTCTAAGCTGCTTTGTCCTTTTGCTGTGTTTCAGTCTTATGTACGTGTTACCACCAGCAGCAGCTGTTTAAATAAAACAGGCACACTGAAATACATACAAAATAGGAATGGTCTCCAGTGTTACACTTGTGATAACTTATGATCTGGGAAAGACTCAGATTCTCTCTGACTTCTTCAAGCCCTTCATGGATAAAGAAAATAGAAGAGAAAAGAATGACTTGTAAATGGCCTACTAGAATATATCCCACATGTTTTTCTTACAATATAACTGCCTTGACCACTGGAACATGGCAGAGGTGACCAAGGCTAGGTCATAAAAGCATCATGCACTTCCATCTTGTTCTACCAGGATGCTCAAGCTCTAAGACAGCCCAGGTCCTGCATCCAAGGAGGCTCTGCATAGGTGGAGCAGATGACAGCCCCAGCAAAGACCCTAGCAGACAGCCAGCATCAACCACCACACATGAGAGTGACTCCCAAAATCACCAGCAGGGAGCCGGCAGGTCTGGGGTTCAAATCCAGGTGAGTCAGGAGCCTCATAGTAGCCTGTCCCATGGAAAAGCAGAAAAAATGAGTGCTGAGGGAACCTGGGGAACCCTCCACTCTTCTCCCTTTGTTCACCAGAAGAGGAAACTAAGGCCAGAGTGGGGAAGTGGCTCGCCCACCTTGCATAGCCAGAGCAGGACAGACCTGGACAAGACCCATGCTTGGCATTCCTGCTGTCACTCTGGGAAGACTCTATACTGGGAACAGAAGCAGCATCGTTAAATTCCTGCTCATCACTCAGGATCATCGTGGGCAAAACTATTTTTTAAGTGTACAATTCTGTCGCCTTGAGTTCATTTGCACTGTTGTGCAATTATCACCACCATCCATCTCGACCCCTTTCCTCATCCTAAATTGAGAAACTGTACTCATTAAACACTAACTCCCCATTCCCTCCTCTCTCCAGTCCCTGGCAACCACCATTCTACTTTCTGTGAATTTGATTACTCCAGGTATCTCATGTACGTGGAATCATACAATATTTGTCCTTTTGTGACTGGCTTACCATTCATTTATTGATGGTTGCTTCCATCTTTAGGCTGTTATAAATAATGCTGCTGTGAACATTAGTGTATAAATATCTGTTCAAGACTCTGCTTTAGATTCTTTTGGGTATATCCCAGAGCAGAATTACTGCATCCTATAGTAATTCTACTTTGAAATTTTTGAGGAATTGCCTGCACCATTTTACATTCTCACAGCAATGCATAAGTGTTCCAATTGCTCCACATCCTTGCCAACACTTGTTATTGTCTGAGGGTGTTTTTGGTTGTTTTTTGTTTTGTTTTATAAATAGCAATCCTAATGGGTATCATTTGGTATTTCACTGTGGTTTTGATTTGCATTTTCCTAATGAAAGACACTAAGTTTTTGGATGGTTGGTTACCTAGCCAATAGAAAACCTGAACATGAATTAATCACATTTCCCTTTAGCACTGCCTACGATAGACAGGCCTGTCTGTACAGAAATTGTTTATTTATTTATTTATTTAGAGACAGAGTCTCGCCCTGTCACCCAGGCTGGAGTGCAGTGCCACTGTCTTGGCTTACTGCAACCTCCGTCTCCCAGGCTAAAGTGATTCTTATGCCTCAGCCTCCCAAGTAGCTGGGATTACAGGCATACACCACCACTCCCAACTAATTTTTGTATTTTTAAAAGAGACAGGGTTTTGCCATGTTGGCCAGGCTGGTCTCAAACTCCTGGCCTCAAGTGATCCACCCGTCTCGGCCTCCCAAAGTGCTGGATTACAGGTGTGAGCCACCACACCCAGCCAGAAATCTTTTTTTTTTTTAGTCATTCTAGAACAATCTCCTCTGTCTCTCACTCTTCACATCCCTTAGGAGATACTACAGGCTCTTGTCTCTACTTTCAGAAGAACACCCCAATCCACCCCTCCTCTGTAACCCACTACTGCTGCTCTAGCTTAGTTCTTTGTGACTTTACACTTGGATTTAGTGTACCCATGAAGTAATTCTTTCTCAGGATTGACTGCAAAATTGGTTTTTGCAAATCTTGAGAAAAATCAGTGAAGAAATTGAGACAATGGAAAAAAGTATTATAATTCTGTGATGATTGAAGCTTAATAATCAACAAAGAGATCATTACTGTTTCAAGGGAATCCATTGACATTAAGAGCAGGAAACCCCTACAAGAGAGTCAAAGGTTAAGGTCAACATTTTGGGAAATGGGAATGGGAGTGTGGAGGAGGGACGTCATCCTCATCTAATCCAACAGTCTGGCTCGTAGCAGTTGCTGTGTTCCAAGAGTGTACTATGGTCCTATCTGCTGCAAGCAAGGATTCTTGCAAATCATAATAAATATTAAGAAATGTATACCTATGGTTCACTTTACATAAACCTTATGAGGGGGATTCCAAGAAATAATACATTATGAATGTAGAATAAGTCTTTAAATTGGCAATTTTGAAACTTGATTCTGTCTAGTAGTGTTAACCTTGCTAGGAGATCCAAATGTTAGGTTATTTGAATACTACTCACTTGTATTTCCTGATGTTTTCCAGTGTTTGAACATTTGCTGTAAGCTATAGTTGTTTATAAATACTTTAACAGAAGAAATGCGAAGAAAAGAAGCTATGAATATTGTTTTGGAATGCTTCATTGGGAAATTAGAAATGGATAAAAAATCTGAATTAGCAAAGCAATATAAATTATAAATTTCAATAACAAAACCAAAATCAGGGCAAGTAAACAAAATATTTTCATTGCAATGAAAAAAATCCTTTCGTTGGATTAAAAAAGATTAAACTTAAATGAAGCAGCAACTGCCCTAATATCCAACTTCAAGATGCTGTTTGGTGCAGTCTTAATTAACCAATGTCAATGTGAAATGAAAGAAATTTTTTCTACATTTGGAATGTTTGTCATGAAAAAAAAAACTGAGGCTATTAAGTAGGACAATTGGTGTTTGGTATATTTAACATTTCCATTTTAAGAATTAATAACTTTTAAATATTAAATATGGTATTTAAAAATTTTTTTTTGGTGGGGATACGGAGTCTTACTCTGTTGCTCAGGTTGGAGTGCAGTGGCATGATCTCGGCTCACTGCAATCTCCACCTCCCAGGTTCAAGCGATTCTCCTGCCTCAGCCTCCTGAGTAGCTGGGATTACAGGTGTGTGCCACCATGCCTGGCTAATTTTTGTATTTTTTTAGTAGAGACGGGTTTCACCGTGTTTGCCAGGGTGGTTTCAAACTCCTGACCTCAGGTAATCCAGCCGCCTCAGCCTCCCAAAGTACTGGGATTATGAGCCACTGTGCCCAGCCAGTATTTTAAAAATTTTAAGTGATTTTAACAGCGATTTGTTGCATGTTAATATTCTCAGCTTATAATGTTTTATTATCAGATAGAGAACATTTTTACATGTTATTGAAATATATAATCTTGTCACAATATATTGGTCCAATTTTTAAAGCTGTTTATTATTATATCTGTTTTTAGCAGAAAATTAAAATATTTAGTGTATAACCCATCCCAGAAAAAATAATTTACCTATATTATTATGCTTACTCATTATTATTCAAAAACAGGTAAATAAAATGTTTTGAAAATGACAGAATAGCTTGTGATTTGAGGAATTCATGACAATTCCAGGGAGTTCCACAGTTTTGTTCACAAATCCCAAAGACTAATCTATTGGGAATTTGGAAACACTGCTTGGCCTATAGCAGCCACTTCCTGGCTGGCCTTGCCTTTGTTTTCTGCCACATTCTGTCTGTGCTCCTCCCTACTCTCAGACAGATTCACCATGAGCCCAAAACTGTTCACATCATTTTCCCACTTGGAACTCCTCAGTGGCTTTCTACATTTTTGTTCACACACTCTTATCTGCATAAAAGTTTTTAGAATTCACCCCAAAATATGCATATTTATTTATAAATTGCATAAATGTACTGCTATGCAAAATCAGTGTGTTCATCTTAAAACAGGCAAAATGTAAACATTAAAAAGGTAAAAATGTGTTGAAGTACTCACAGAAGTTCTAATCTTACTTTCAGTAAACCAGTGAATCATTTTGTTAACTTTTAGGAGGGCATGCACTTTACTTTGAAGTTCACTGATTTAAAGGATAAAAATCCAAATTCCTAAGCAATTTTCTTCATGGTCAGTCCATTTCCCCAACCCCTCTGCAACTCCCTGCACTCTGAGCAAGTTGGACTGCCTGAGGTCCCTGTACGTGGAATGTTCTTTCTCATTTTTGCCATCCTGTACATTTTGTCTTTGCTGTCTGGGATGAACTAGCCTCCTAGTTTGCTTGGCAAACTTCCTTCTAACTTTTTAGCCTCAATCTAAACATTACCTTTTCCAAGAAGGCTTACTTAACTCTCTCTCTGGGAAGAGTTGGTAAATATTAGGTTGGTGCAAACGTAATTGTGGTTTTTGCCATTACTTTCAATGGCAAAAACCACAATTGTGTTTACACTGACTTAATAATACTAACCATTATTTTCATGATCATCCTAAAGTGTCCACTGCCATTCATGGATTGCCTTTGGGAGTCTGTGCATACCATCCCCTGTAATCTCTGCAACAATGCAATGAGACTTAGTGTTCCTTTTCTGTTGGAATAAAACAACAAAGGCTCAATCCGCCTGACTCTGGAGCCCAAGCACGAGGCTGCTTGTCTTCTAGTGACTTCTTTCGTGGCTTTTTCCTCATTGCAGTCAGTATGTGCACAGCTGTATCCCTCACAAGACAGGGAGCCCCCAGAGATCTGGGGCTGCCTCTAGCCCATCTTTATATTTGTGCTATTCAGCATCAGACCTGACTTATGAAAACACTCAATAAATAGTTGCTAAATAAATTTGTGAATAATTTTTAAAATAATTTCATGATCCTTTATAGTTTGTATATTGATGAAGTTCTTGGGCAAATTAATCCTTATAAGCAATTATTTATAAAGCATTTTTTATCATTAACTCTATGTATGTGTACACACAAATTAAGTAAAAACTCTCTTGATCTCTCATATCATCTAATCTGCTCCCTGTCAAGAAGTTATTTTATAGAATATGGAACACAAGCCGATTTTAGAATGCCATGACATGGGTTTCATTATTATTATTATTTTGAGACATTATTATTATTATTATTATTTTGACACTGTATCACCCAGGCTGGAGTGCCGTGGCTCGGCTCACTGCAACCTCCCCCTCCCAGGCTCAGGGAGGCGCCTATAGTCCCAGGTAGCTAGGACTACAGGCACACACCACCACGCCTGGCTAATTTTTGTTTTTTGCTTTTTTTTGTAGAGACAGGATTTCACCATGTTGCCCAGGATGGTCTCTAACTCCTAAGTTCAAGTGATCTGCCCGCCTTAGCCTCCAAAAGTGCTGGGATTACAGGCATGAGCCACCATGCCTGGCCAGGTTTCATTATTTGCTTAGCTGCAACTCTTCCAAAGTTACACAACGTTTATGAGCCACATTTTCCTCTTCAGTAAAGTGAAGTCATTGATAATATATACCTGTTGTTTGTGAAAATTATGAAGCATTTAGAACAATGACTGGTACATATTTATTGCTCAATATTTGTTGTTATAATTTTTAAAGATTTAAGAAAGTTCTTCTGGGGTAGGTGGCTTCAAGCTTCATAAAGTTGTGGCACCTGAGGGGTTTCACTACCTTAGACCTCTGGTCTCTAAACCACATCCCTGGGCCATCACCTTCACTCTCGCATTTTTGATGATCATCTTTTGTTTGCTAGTTAATTCCATGCCCTAATTCCATGCCTAATTCCATGCCGTTAGCCCAGGTAGCCTTCCAAAACTTCAGACTCGCATATCCAAATCCTACTAGATATATCCACTGTGACCCTTCTCAGTCACTTCAAACTCACCAGGTCTCAAACAGAAAGAATAGGGCAAAGGAAGAAAGGACCAGGGGAGGACACGGACTTGAAGGAGAGTTTGTTTCAGATGGAGGAGGCTTGAGCACCTTTAATGCTTGCAGGAAAGAGGCAAGTAGAGGGAGTGGCTGGAGACACAGAGTGAAGAGAAGCAGTGAGGGCCTGCAGAGACGGGAGTGAGAGGGAGTGGCCCAGGGGACAGGCACAGGAGGTGCTGAGACGTCCCTTCCCCGGTGGGGAGAGTGGGGGACACAGACCAATTGATAGAGGGGGATGCAGGAAGGTGAGTGAGTTCTGCCCAAAGACTGCTCGTTTCTTCGAGAAAAAGAAGAAGATGCGGTTTGTTAAAAACAGAGTAGGAAAAGGAGAGCTGGGCGCTGTATTCAAGTTTGAGGGTTTCAGGCTGCTGCCAAGGAATGGAGGATAAGCTGTCATGCAAGGCTGTGTGAGGAGCCTGATGAGGTCAGAGAACAAGTCAGTGCCCGTCCATCTCTGAGACTGTGACTTTCTCTCTGGTGCTTATTGGCCAAAGACTGGGAGAGGTGGGCTGTTAACAGAGCAATGTTGGCTCTTGGATCCAATGTAAGGGTGTAGATGGTTTACACTAGTGCGGAGTCAGAAGGCCAAGCATGTGTGGCCCATGAGTGGGCACATGAGGCCACACCTCCCACTTGAGGTGACTTCAGCTGTCAACTGAAGTAAGACTTCACAGAAAGAGCTATAACTGAAAAAAGTAATTAAAGTTGTCTAGCTTATAAATGCAAACGTAGATATTTATAAGCTCGTATGTCGCGTTAGGGCACATGCCCAGTGTTGGGGAGAAAACTGTTTTAAGTGTCCACCGTGGCAGCCTGCCCTTTGGCATCGCCATGTATAATCACTCCCATAAGATTTCAGGTGAGAGCTCCAAATCTTTCATCTGTAGTCTCTTTTTATACTATTTAAAAACTAAATATCAAATCGTTTGTCTATTTCCTATTTTCCCTGGAAGCTTCCTGAGGCTGAAATGATTTTGTCACTTAGACCGGTGTCTTGACCATCATTTTTTAAAAAATAGAACATTGAGGTATTTAATAAGCATAGAGGTATTGATAAAACATAGCTGTTTTATCTTCCTCTGATCACAAAAGCTACACATGTTCATTAAAAAAAAAAAATTAAGTGGCCGGGCGTGGTGGCTCACATCTGTAATCCCAGCACTTTGGGAGGCTGAGGCGGATGGATCACAAGCTCAGGAGTTCCAGACCAGCCTGCCCAACATGGTGAAACCCCGTCTCTACTAAAAACACATAAAAAATAGCTGGCGTGGTGGCACGTGCCTGTAATCCCAGCTAGTCGGGAGGCTGAGGCAAGAGGATCATTTGAACCCGGGAGGCAGAGGTTGCAGTGGGCCGAGATCACGCCATTGCACTCCAGCCTGGGTGACAGGGCGAGACTCTGTCTCCAAAAAAAAAAGTAAAAAAAAAAAAAAAAAAAAAAATTTAAAGCTGCTCCTAATTACAACACTTCATGGTAATCACTGTTAATACTTGGGAGTAAATATTTCCAGTTTCCCCTAGATATGTCATTGGTTTTCTTGGCCTGTGGTTAGCAATTCTGGCTCTGCTTTTGTCTCGATATTATGTTGTTGCCATACACCTCCGTACAAGCATAGTCCAGGTAAACTCTCCTCCTCAACCCAGCGCAAACCCTTCAAACACAGCAGTGGATTCCAAGTCTCAGGACTCCTTGGAAACTACAGATGGAAAGACTTCTCCACAGACCCTTGCTTGTCTGTGGTCTCTAAAATCCATTGCCAAGATGGGGCCTCATACTTGACCCTAGTGGGCACTCAATGTGTGTTGAGTTAATGAATGAAAGTTTTCCTTTGCTCCCTGTTCTGCTTGTCTTACCTGAGGCGATGCCGCATGTGATAGCACAGGATGAATGTTTCTGAACACAAAAAAGATGGAGCTGTTAGGCCACACCTGCAGAACAAACCTAGGATTTTCAGAAGGAAGTCTTTGGAACTGGCTCTGGTCCAGCGTTTCCCAGCAGCGCTCCGTGGAGCATCAATCCCCCAGCGAGCTCAGAAAACAAGGGACATGTGGTGAGATGAACTTGAGAAACACTACAAGCATATTAGTATATTTAAAAAGCATATTAATATATTTGAATAGCATATTATTAAAATCTGGGATTTTATATATTTTAATATATTAATTATATTGTCATATTAACTTGTATTTTACAGAAAAGGGAAACAGGCTGGAAAGGTGACGTGACTTGCTGAAGCTAAGGAGTACCAGACCCAGGCTTGACGGAGCCCCTCTCCGCTTCTGGGTCACAGCTCTTTCCATTTCTCCCTGCTTTCCCCTCTGGGTTTCTGTTACTTCTAAAAGACTCAGAGGGAAAGTTCTAAAATTGGACCAATGGGACGTTTTTAGCTCTTACCAGGCAGATTTTTCCACAGAGCTTGAGAAAGTTCCTGTAGTTCCAGTGCTGCGATCTCAAGATCCCAGGCTCGTTGCCAGGTGATTCCTATGCTGGCTGTTAGTTAAACACAGTCCAGGTAAAATGAAATTTTGTTCAAGGGACACTGCTTTCTATTTTACAAGGATGCTAGTAAATGGCCACTCCTTCTTCCATATTTATGTGAGTCATGTCTGTCATGTAATTGATATAAAATACCACACTGATTTGCATTCATATACAATTTCAGGGCATTCTTTCACTTGTCACAAAAATGAAGTTATCCACATACCTGAACTTTTAAAAAGTAATTTGTATTTTCCCTTGGAGTCATAAAAATTTTAAAAAAGAGTATGTCCAGTGAAATCTTTCTACATACGGGACATCCACTTGCCAAACCTCACTTAACTTTGTTGTGATTGTCAACACCAACGTTGAACAGAGAGACTCTCCAGCCACTGAGATCTACCCCAAAGGGAGAGACAGTATGGAGTGGCAGTGAGTGGCTCAGGTTTCAGACGGAGACATTTGTGTTATACTGGCCCTGTCATGTATAACCTGTGGGGTCTGGGACGGTTCACTTCACCTCTTGACACCTCAGTTTCTCCCTATAAAATGGGGATAACAATGCCTGCCTCCAAGACTTGTGGTAAGGATTTAAACAGCTTGGCCCAGAATAATCCCTTAATGAGTCATAAACGTCATTGCCTCATCTGTTTCTGGAAGTGTTTAAGATTTCTTTTTCTTCCTTTGTATTTTAATCAGAAACAGTCATTTTTTGATGCTTTCTGTCCCTGGTGTCTCTATCTCTTGGGGAGTCCTATCATTCACAAGTGCTCCAAATCTTTTGAATGCCCTTTCTAGCTTTGACTAGTTCCCCACTGTGGAAAGCCTACCTTTCTGAAACAGACTTCAAGGAAATTATAGCCTGCCAATCAGATGCACCCATGAGTTGGCTTGATTCGGAACACAGGGTGTTCCTATTTGAAGCCACCTGGTCACACTCAAAGCCAGTCAGGTATAATAGCTAAAGCTCCAAATAAAGCTAATCCCCTCAATCACACATGGCCTCCCCATCACACTCAGCAGGGAAACCCATTCCAATTCTTTCTTCCTCTCCCCCAAATGGCCTCATTGGAGCCCACCGGCTGCCACCCATGCCCCGGGGACTCGAGGACAGCTTCTGTCAGCTCCACTTGGTTCAGTCAGAATGATCCAGAGAAGTGAAGGGAGCTGGTTACCCAATAGACAGAGGTCCTTCACACCTGCAACCAGCCTTAGGCATATCTTCTGTGTGCTACCATGTGATAGAGTGATTGTCCCTTTCTTCACTATCAGAGGCCTCTTTCTGTTATCCTAGTCTTGGTACCTGCAGGATCATGGAACAAAGTGGATTTGGTGGGGACATGAGGGCAGAGACTCACCTTACCAAGCTAGATTTTCAATTAGGAAATATTCTTCAAAACCTTAAATTCTGAAAACAGACGTCTGCCTTGTCATGTGATCTTCACTACATTATCCAAGTTTCCTGTTTAGAACCATTTATTTCCTTAACTTTCATTTCCCACTTGATAAAAATGTGATCACAGTTGAGAACTGAAGTGAAAGGATGCAGTGTAGTTTAACCAATTAGAAGCTGGTCGGATGGGCTTGTGTTTGGCTTTGACAGAGTGGCTGATAATCTGACTTACTCAACTCTAAAAGCTGGAAAAAAAATGCCACCTCCAGGACTCCCATGAAAAAACAAAACAAAACTGTTTGGAGATATCAGAGGGCAAGCAAGGTAGTCAGGGCTTAGGAGAGAGAAAGGAAACTCACAGAGGTGAGCTGGGCCTCCTCCAAAGCTTTGTACCTGCAGAGCATTTGCCAATCCACACTGCAGGCGTAGAGGCCCAACAGAGTCCAAAATGAACCAGAGGCTGATACGGTCTCACCAGCTTGGGCAGGCCCAAATTGTTCAGGGCTACCAAGGCAGCTAGGAATTAAGGAGCCAAGTTCCTGAAGTGAGGGGAATTTGCAGAGGAAGGAGTTCCCTAGCCTGCATGGAATTCACCACTGAGACATTTGAGGGTACCTGAAGGTGCATGTTGCAAGTGAGAAACCAGGAAGACTAAGACTGATGCAGCCATTCAAGAGATCACTGCCTATGTACGCACCCCCAATGGCACAACAACTAATAACTAATGGATAGACAAACCCACAAAAATGACAAGCCATCCGACCATAAAACTGAGGAGCACGATTAAGTCGAAACTTTGCAAGCAAACTCCAGGGAAGAAAGAAAATATGATAGAAACCTATATTGTAAGACACCTAGAAGCAAATTAAAAAAGAAATGAGAGGCTGGGTGTGATGGCTCATGCCTCTAAATCCCAGCACTTTGGGTGGTTGAGGCGGGAGGATTGCTTGAGGCCAGGAATTCCAGACCAGCCTAGGTAACATATCGAGCCCCCATCTCTAAAAAATTGAGATATGAATGCACCACTACATTTCAGCCTGGGTGACAGAGTAAGACAATGTCTCAAAAAAAAAAAAAAAAAAAAAAGAAAAGAAAAGAAAAGAAAAAGAAATGTGAAAGGCGAATATTGAAGAAAACAACTAAAGTTACGGAGATACTTGTATAATTGAATCAATGAAGCGATATTTCTGATTTCTGGTTGGAAAGACAAATTATAAAGGTACCAATTTTTCCCACATTCATCTGTGTATTTTACACAACTCCAATCAAAATCCCTAAAGACTGCTTTTAAAACATAATAAAAACAAGTTCTTTTTTTATTTTTCTTTTAATTTTTTTATTATTATTATACTTTAAGTTTTAGGGTACATGTGCACAATGTGCAGGTTAGTTACATATGTATACATGTGCCATGCTGGTGCGCTGCACCCACTAACTCGTCATCTAGCATTAGGTATATCTCCCAATGCTATCCCTCCCCCCTCCCCCCACCCCACAACAGTCCCCAGAGTGTGATGTTCCCTTTCCTGTGTCCATGTGTTCTCATTGTTCAATTCCCACCTATGAGTGAGAATATGCGGTGTTTGGTTTTTTGTTCTTGCAATAGTTTACTGAGAATGATGATTTCCAATTTCATCCATGTCCCTACAAAGGACATGAACTCATCATTTTTTATGGCTGCATAGTATTCCATGGTGTATATGTGCCACATTTTCTTAATCCAGTCTATCATTGTTGGACATTTGGGTTGGTTCCAAGTCTTTGCTATTGTGAATAATGCCGCAATAAACGTTCCAAGTCTTTGCTATCGTGAGTAATGCTGCAATAAAGATACAGGGCTGGTTTCTCTGCAGCTGTAAGGTGACAGCTCTGGGATCCTGGGACAGGGCTACTGACACTGGTGGTGTGACTGCTCGAACTCCACACCTGCCTTCCTCTCCCTGATGCTGGGTGAGTGAGGCCTCCTTGGGGGTTGCATGGATCTCAGCACTCAACTTCCGAGCCACTTGTGCTTCTCCCACTATGCTGGGGTTCCCCTGAATGCAATAAACATACGTGTGCATGTGTCTTTGTAGAAGCATGATTTATAATCCTTTGGGATTATAAATTTGAAAATTATTAAGACTGATCTTGTTTCAACTTTAAGTAACATACTTAAAAGTGAACATTCCAAGTCATCTTCATTCAACCTCATAAAGCAAACACTCTCAGACACTCTGCAATAATGGGATGGCTGGGTCAAATGGTATTTCTAGTTCTAGATCCCTGAGGAATCACCACACTGACTTCCACAATGGTTGAACTAGTTTACAGTCCCACCAACAGTGTAAAAGTGTTCCTATTTCTCCACATCCTCTCCAGCACCTGTTGTTTCCTGACTTTTTAATGATTGCCATTCTAACCAGTGTGAGATGGTATCTCATTGTGATTTTGATTTGCATTTCTCTGATGGCCAGTGATGGTGAGCATTTTTTCATGTGTTTTTTGGCTGCATAAATGTCTTCTTTTGAGAAGTGTCTGTTCATGTCCTTCACCCACTTTTTGATGGGGTTGTTTGTTTTTTTCTTGTAAATTTGTTTGAGTTCATTGTAGATTCTGGATATTAGCCCTTTGTCAGATGAGTAGGTTGTGAAAATTTTCTCCCATTTTGTAGGTTGCCTGTTCACTCTGATGGTAGTTTCTTTTGCTGTGCAGAAGCTCTTTAGTTTAATTAGATCCCATTTGTCAACTTTGGCTTTTGTTGCCATTGCTTTTGGTGTTTTAGACATGAAGTCCTTGCCCATGCCTATGTCCTGAATGGTAATGCCTAGGTTTTCTTCTAGGGTTTTTATGGTTTTAGGTCTAACGTTTAAGTCTTTAATCCATCTTGAATTGATTTTTGTATAAGGTGTAAGGAAGGGATCCAGTTTCAGCTTTCTACAAGTTCTAAGTCAATATATGAGAATAAACCTGTGAGTGATTAGAAAGAAAACCTGTGAGAATGTTGAGAAATGTTTGAAAAAGACAGTAATGAGAATAGCAGAAATTAAAAGCATTTTAGAACTAGAAGAACAAAAATAGATATCACTAGATGGATTAAACACATAAGCGTAAACAAGCCACAAAATGCAAATTGTAGTAGTAAGCCAAGGTAATGTAGATGAATATATATATGATTTTCTTTTTTATGCTACAAACTTTGATCCATTTTGTATTTTTGTTGGATTTAAGAAGTGAGATAGGAATTAGCCTTTATTTTTCTGAAGTAGTTTGCTATTGACTGAATTCCCACACCTATTCTAAGTGATCATTTATCATATACCAATTTTCTGTGATTCATTCATTGTCTAATCCTTTCCCTGTACTATTTTAATTGCTATGATTTCATGTGTTTCTATGTGCAAAGGACAAACCTATCTCATTATTTTTTATTTTTAGAATGTCTTCTGGCACTTCTCAGTTATACATTATTTTACAAGACCTTTTAAACTATTTGATCAAATCACAAAAGTAAGTATTTTTGTTTGCAACTGCATTTAATTTGTTTGTAGATTTGAGAAGATGGGTGATATGGTTTGGCTGTGTCCCCACCCAAATCTCAGCTTGAATTGTAGCTCCCATAATTCCCATGTGTCGTGGGAGGGACCCAGTGGGAAGTAATTGAATCATGGGGGCGGTTTCCCTGATACTGTTCTCATCTTAGTGAATAAGTCTCATGAGATCTGATGGTTTTATAAGAGGAAACCCCTTTCACTTGGCTCTGATTCTCTCTTTGCCTGCCGCCATGTAAGACATGGCTTTTGCCTTCTGCCATGATTGTGAAGCCTCCCCAGACACGTGGAACTGTGAGTCCATTAACCTTCTTTTTCTTTATAAATTACCCAGTCTTGGGTATGTCTTTATCAGCAGTGTGAAAATGGTCTAATACAATGGAACACCTCCACATTATTGAATCTTTGGGCCCAATCAGAAGATATGTTTATATTTTTCTTAAAGGAGGTATATTTTCAAAGAAAGGGATAGGATATTTATAGGTTTATATCTATTTATCTGTATCTATTTATACATATATGAATAATACTATATATGTAAGTATATATAATATAGCATTATTCAGCTGTAACAATTTTTTACTGTGTAATCTGTCAATGACTAGAAGAGATTTATGTTACTATGCTTGTATTATTGTCACATTCTATATTTTCAGCAGGATTCTTATAGATAATCCTTGACTTCTTTACATCTGATTTTCATAAAAGTTAAACTTTGTTAAATGACTTTTGATTCCTCTACATCAGCTCTGATGTGCTGAATTCAGACTTTCCTACACAAACTGACCTCAAAACTCTCTGAGTTGTTTTTCATGGTGGGGGTGCCTATCAGCCAGTCAACGGTCCACTTCCTTTTTTTTTTTTCCTTTCAGCAGAGACGGTTTCGCTGTGTTGCCCAGGCTGGTCTCAAACTCCTGGCCTCAAGCAGTCTTCCTGCCTTTGCCTCCCAAAGTGCTGAGATTACAGATGTGAGCCACCATGCCTGGCTTAGAGTTCATTTCTGATACTATTACTCTCTTGTCTTATGAAATTATCTGAATATTAATTTGATCTCACCTTTATTATTTTATAAAAATGATCGTAACATCTAAACATAAAGGGGTTGATGCTGATGGTAAGAACTGTAGCTTTTTCATAAGATTAATTCTAATGCAATAAAGATGGAATTTATCAGAGGTAACCAAGTAGCAAATCCTCAGTTTCCTTCAGGCATTTATTATGAAAGTAAAGCAAAATTAATGAAACTACATGAACTACATTGAAACTATATTAATAAATATAGTTCCAGACACTGGAACATCAGTGTCTGGTGGAATATAATACAAGCCACACAGGTAATTTTAAATTTTCTAGAGGCCACATTAAAATATTAAAAAGATGGTTGGGCACAGTGGTTCACGCCTGTAATCCCAGCACTTTGGGAGACCGAGGCAGGCAGATCACGAGGTCAGGAGTTCAAGACCAGCCTGGGCAATATGGTGAAACCCTGTCTCTACTAAAAGTACAAAAATTGGCCAGGTGTGGTGGCACATGCCTGTAATCCCAGCTACTCAGGAGGCTGAGGCAGGAGAATCACTTGAACCTGGGAGGCGGAGGCTGCAGTGAGCCGAGATCATACCACTGCACTCCAGCCTGGGTGGCAGAGCGAGACTCCATCTCAAAAAAAAAAAAAAGAAAAAATTAAAAAGACACACATGAAATTAAATTTGCGATATATTTTATTTAATACAATGGATCCAGAAACATTATCATTTCAGCATAAAATAGGTATAAAAAATTACTAATAAGGCAATTTACATTTTTTTCATATTAAGCCTTAAAAAGCTGGTATTTATTTTACATTTACAGCGTGTCTCACTTCAGACAGGCCATGCTCTCAGACACTCTGCAGTGCTCAAGTATGGCCAGCGGCTGTTGTAATGGAGGGTGCAGACCCAGAAGGTAAGGTGTAGTTAGAAATATTGCCACACAGTAGCTCTCTTGGAATGAAATTCGCTTTGTAACTTAAAGGGTTTATCAGCTTTGGCATATTACATTTTCATAAACTTTTTCAAGAATAGCTTATAAATGAAAAGAATTGCTCACATGATGTTTTGATGCTATGGCTTCATGACAATTAGGAATCTCTTATGAACTTGACTCTTCAACCACATAAAGTTGTAAACCAAAAATAAAATTCTAAGGGCCCCCCAACCATTTGAATGGACTTCCTCCTAGGCCAGGGCAGTCTACAAGTTAACCTGAAGGATTGGTTCAGGCTGTGATGGGAAGTTGGGGTTGGACATGCCTCATTATACCTTCCAGCATTAACAGTAACACACATCCTAAGTCTGATAAGAAACATTTACAATCCACTGTCTGTGAAGCCTGCTACGTGGAGGCCTCATCTACATGATACAATTTTGATCTCCACAACCTCTTATCATAACCCAGACATTCCTTTCTATGGATAATAACGCTTTCAAGCAATTGCCAATCAGACTTTTTTTTTTTTTTTTTTTTTTTTTGAGATGGAATCTCGCTTTGTTGCCCAGGCTGGAGTGCAGTGGCGGGATTTTGGCTCACTGCAAGCTCTGCCTCCCGGGTTCACGCCATTCTCCTGCCTCAGCCTCCTGAGTAGCTGGGACTACAGGCGCCCGCCACCACGTCCGGCTAATTTTTTGTGTTTTTAGTAGAGACGGGGTTTCACCGTGTTAGCCAGGATGGTCTCGATCTCCTGACCTCGTGATCCGCCCACCTCGGCCTCCCAAAGTGCTGGGATTACAGGCGTGAGCCACCGCGCCCGGCCGCCAATCAGAAAAATTTTAAATCTACCTGTATAACCTGGAAGCCCCTCGTTACAGGAGATAGCTAGCCAGGCATGGGGTCGGGCAGGAGAGGGCTTCCCCCGCACCCCTACCAGGAAAGTCAGGTGACCATCAGGTGATGGTCAGGCGGTTGTTAACTGTCACTGGAAAATAATAATTGGTCGCAGCCAGCACCAGGGAAAGGCAATCTCCCTATGTTGATAGGAAACACCTGTGACTGGTAATCGGCAGCTTTCAGGAGTTGGGCGAGTCAGCTGGGGCGTGCAAATTAAGAGACAAAAGGTGGAATATGACCTTCCAGGGGGATTCCACCGGAAAAGGGAAGAAAGCCTCAGGCAGGCATTTGTACAGCTTCTTAAACACACTGTGCGTGCTCACCTCCCGAGCACAAGGAGGGCACCGCACATGTGGTGGCCCACCCTAAGGGAAGAATCATGGGAAAAGGGACGCAAGACCCGGGAAATATGCCGGCATGTAAAACCCCAAGTCCAAAGGTCAAATGCCTCACTTGTTCTTCTAAGTGTATTTTGCTTTCTTTCGTGCTCTACATCTTTTTAATAAACTTCCAGGCTGGGCATGGTGGCTCACGTCTCTAATCCCAGAACTTTGGGAGGCTGAGGCTGGTGGATCACCTGAGATCAGGAGTTCAAGACCAGCCTGGCCAACATGGCAAAACCCTGTCTCTACTAAAAATACAAAAATTAGCAGGGCTTGGTGGTGGGCACCTGTAATCCCAGCTACTCAGGAGGCTGAGGCAGGAGAATCACTTCAACCCGGGGCGGGCGGAGGTTGCAGTGAGCCGAGATCGCACCACTTCACAACAGCCTGGACGAAAGAGCGAGACTCATCTCAAAAAACAAACAAACAAACAAACAAACAAAAACCCCTTCCACTCCTGCTCTGAAACTTGCCTCTGTCTCTTTTTCTGCCTTAAGCTCTCAGTCAAATTCTTTCTTCTGAGGAGGCAAGAATTAAGGTTACTGCAGACCTGTATGATTCACTGTCTGTATTTGGATATTCGACGCCCCTAATGACACTGCCTTCAAGTTGTTATACCTTTCTGGACCGAACCAATGCATATCTTAAATGTATTTGGTTGATGTGTCATGCCTCCCTAAAATGTATAAAACCAAGCTCCACCTCAACCACCTTGGGCACACGTTCTCAGAATCTCCTGAAGGCTGTGTCACAGGCCATGGTTACTCATATTTGGCTCAGAATAAATCTTTTCAAATATTTTACAGAGTTTGACACTTTTCATCAACAAAGTAACACTCTTTGGCAAGTTTCCCCTGACATATTTTGCCCATCTGTTTATTTAAAATTTCGATTGCACTTGCTTTAGGAGTATCTCTTGTCGACACTAATATTAGTGTCGACAAGATGCACCGTTTTAATTGTATCTCATACAGACATTAACTCATTGGGTTTAATTTTGTGATTCAATACTTGAGTAAATACCATTTGCAGGTATTACCAGAGACAGTTTCATTCTCATTTTGTTTAAGTGTGCTTTCTTAGTTTGTATCTTTGCTACATGGCCTATATATTTTTTTTTTAGGTCATCTCACTCTTCTCCCTGTGGTAATTTGAAAATTATTAAGACTGATCTTGTTTCAACTTTAAGTAACATACTTAAAAGTGAACATTCCAAGTCATCTTCATTCAACCTCATAAAGCAAAACAAAATCTACTTCTCCCTGTGGAAGATGACAGCGCTCACCCACTTAGACTTCCTTCTATAAGCTTTAAGATTGCGTCAGAACATATTAGGATTTTTATGTGTCTGTTATCGTTATTTTTAACATTATGTAGCTTTTCGATAAATAGGTATAACATCTACATTCTGTACCATGAACATTATTTTTCTATTTTTAAATAATTTACTGTTTAGTCTCAGTCAGGGGTGGCCACCGAATTTTTAAGGCCCAGTTCAAAATGAAAATGTAGAGACTTTCCTCAAAAATTATTAAGAATTTTCAGATGACAACAGCTGAGCATTAAGCCACTTGAGGCCTGTTTCAGCACAAGGCCCTCTACAACCACATCCTAAGCCTGGGAAGATGGCACTGCTGCCGGTCTTTTCACACCCTTCCCCATTTGTGACTTAGTTTGATTTATCATTTGGTAGACTGGGTATAGACTTCGTACCAGTCCCTGCCCTGCTGGCCCTCAGAGTCCTTCCTTGCCCTTCCCCTGCTGTGCCCTGAGCCATAGGTTCTTGACTCAGCTGATTTTTCAGCTAGATTTCGCCAACAGGAATGTCTGCAAGAAACTGGAAGGATGGAGGAAGGTGAAGCAGAGTCTTTTTCTCCCAATCCATCTCAGTCAGCATCTCAGGCACCAGCTCCCCGTTGTCTAAAGCACTATCTCCATCCCCACTGGACAGGCCTGCCAGGATTCCAGATTCCTTCAGGCAACTCTGGCCCCTGGCCTGACTCCTTTGTCCAGACAGCCCAGGGACTGGCTGTTGGGCTAATCTTGAAGTGTCTTAATGTCATTTGTTATCTTAGCTCTTACGTCAACAGTGAAACTGAATTCCTTTATTCAATTCCTCCTGTTTCAAATACTCATGAGAAATATACTTCCTGATTTTATACAAAGAAGAGATGGCTGTCTGTTACCTTCATATGCAAATGACAACCTAGCATGATGTAAAATTCATGAGCTGTATGTGTTTGTTTTACTAAAGTTTGGAGCAGTGCCTCTCATACGTTAGCCATGCATCTGAATCACCTGGAGGGCATATTAAGACACTGATTTCTGAGTTCCACCTCCAGAGAATTCAAATTAGTATGTCCGGGATAGTGGTCCAGGATTTGGCATTCTAACAAGATCCCAAGTGATGCTGAAGCTGCCAGCCTGCAGACCACATCCAAGTGGCATTCCTCTGAAACTTGCTCCATTATCTGCCAGCATTTAATGCTACTTAGAAGATGTGTGAGTTCAGCCTCAGTTTTTAAGCTTAATAGGTGACAGGAGCATTCATAAGGCTATCTTTAACCTGGTAGTTCAGCAAGTTTTCCAGAATGTTGTGGCATTAGCCAGCCATTGTAAATTTTCTTCTTGATCAGATGATCGCTACCTTCCTTCATTTTAGAGAAAATTTCTTCTAAAATATTTTTAAGAATATATTTGTTTCTGTTTCATTTGTTCTGTCCTCTGTTTGAGGCAGAGCCACCAAACTATCCACATGTTGGCCTCTACTGTGGCTCCCTGCATGGTGGTTCTCCCAGGTTTCATGCACCTTGGGAGAAGCCCTGCTGAGCCCAGTTCTTCAAATAATTGATGGATTGGGAAGAAAACTAGGCACTCTGGTAACTTTATCCTCACATATATTTCCTTCAGATCTGTGGTCTACTTAGTGGAAAGTAACTCAGCCAGCCATGGGTCAGGCTGCTTGCAGGACCTGGGTCTCCATAATGCAAAGTCCATGTAGGCACCTGCTATTTCTTGATCCTGCCACCAGTGTCATTCTGTGGTGAGGAACTGAGCTCCTTTCTTTTCTTGGCTTCCCCAGATTCTTAAGTGCTATTCTCCAAATTGAAGGGACCTTAGAAAGATCTTCAAAAATTCCTGTGCTTTCTCTTCCCTCACTGCCTGCAACATGCTCTATGGAACTATATGTTGACTCTTCCCTCAACCTGGTCAAAAGTAAACAATCTATTGGCTGTTGTTTACAATCAGTGTGATATGGTTTGGCTGTGTCCCACCCAAATCTTATCTTAAATTGTAGCTCCCACAATTCCCACATGTCATGGGAGGGACCTGGTGGGAGGTAATTGAATCATGGGGGTGGGTCTTTCCTTTGCTGTTCTCATGGTAATAAGTCTCATAAGATCTGATAGTTTTATAAAGGGGAGTTCCCCTGCAAATGCACTCTTGCCTGCCACCATGTAAGATGTGCCTTTGCTCCTCCTTTGCCTTTTGCCATGATTATGAGGCCTCTCCAGCCACATGGAACTGTGAGTTTGTTAAACCTCTTTTTCTTTGTAAATTACGCAGTCTCAGGTATATCTTTATTAGCGGCATGAGAACAGACTAATACACAGTGAGAATAGAGAACATACTTGTTTTCTGAATAGACAAAGTTTTCTGAACTATGAATTAACATTTTTGTTCATTTAGGTCATTATAAGGAAGGTGTTACTTTTTTATTTCCCAGTAAGTTTTCTTTCCTAGTTTAAAGATAACTCATAAGGAGCAAGAGATTTTCCAGTATGAAGAGAGGAATAATGCAGAGCAGTTTTCAAGGAGTCGGAAGGAGCGAGGAGACTCTATAAACCACATTCTTACTCTGAAGTACTTTAGAGTTTGAGAGAATAAGTAGTTTCTACTTGAGATAAAAAGGAAGCAATGTCCTTAAGAGAAATCCAAGTTACAATTAAAATAAGGAGAGGCAAGGAACTGTCAATAAAGAAGCAGTCTATGGAAAAAGGGAAGTTTGCTAAAAATCATGTAGCTGGACTTCCAAAGCATAACTGGAAGTTTTATGCAGCATGGGAGGAAAAGGGTGTTGGGCCAAGGGAGAAAATTCAGAATCTTGTGATGATACAAGCACAGGAGAGAATAGGTGACCAAAGGAGACTATGATTTGAATGGCATTCAAAGAAACCAGGAATGTTCAGCAGAGAGGGTTGCTACTTCAGACAAAAGAGAGGGGAGGGCAGCAGCTTCCTTCATCATCTGATGGAGTTAGGCATCTCAGGTAGTGAGCAAGGAAGTCCAAATCTAGTCACTAGGTGCTCAGGAGTGGGCAGTCATCCTACCAGCTTGGACCCTGTGTGTCTGGTTCCAGTGAAGATTAAGTCATCAAACCAAGGGAGCACAGGGACCAAGAGGTAAGCTACAAAAACTACAGCTCTTCTCTGAGACATCCCCTCCAAGATCCTGTCCAGAGACACAGGAGGAGGCAATGGTGCTGGTCAGCGCTTTGTGCCATTTTGTGGCCTCTCCTACCTGCCCCCTCTTTTTGGCCCAAGTTCTTGTCCTGCCTGCTTACCCACCCACTGCCTGCCTATGGTCCTTCCCTCTGTGGTCTTTAGTGTCCTCACTGGTAAAATGAACATAACGTCTCTAATCATGCATATTCACGCAGTGAGGTAGATAATGTGAAAGGGCTTTGAACAATGTAGTAAGGGAAAGAGACTAGGATACTGACTTCCCATTTTCCCAATTCTTGCTTCAGAACTGCTCTCCTAGGCCCCAAGCCCCTACCTCTGTTAGCCCCTTGATCAATCTTTGCCTGTCCAGGGGCAAAACTACGTAATATCCCAAGAACAGGGACTAATATTACAGCCCCATTTCTTTTCTTTGCTATTTCCCATGATCACTCTTAAACCAAGAAACAGATCTTTTCTCTGATTGGTGGGGCCTCCTCACTAGAACAAAGGGGAGAATGTACGTTTCATAATAGGGATTCTGTGATGAAATGACCTAAGGAGATAAATGTACATTTCATAATAGGCATTCTGTGATGGAATGTCCTGAGGGGATAAAAGCTGGAGTCGGTCTCAGCACATCTCAGTTACTCATTTTGACTCGTTTGGACAAGTGAGTTACTACAGCGCTGATTTGGAAAAATGACTAGAAAGCTACCTCCAATTTCTCGGCCTCAACCCCAGCCTCATTTTCTTTCTGTTCCTTCCCGCTCTCGTCTTCCAGCCCTCCTTCCCCCCGTTACTCCTCAAACTTCCTGCCGTCAGCCTCCTCTCCAGAGCCGTCCAAGTTGTTCGATTTTCTGCCCTACCCGTTTGCCCAAGCTGACTAATGTCGCCCCTTCCCAGTACCCTACCTCAAGGAACTTCCTGCCCGGCCCTTCCTCTGTTACTACCAGGGCGTCCGTGTGCCGCCGCCCTGTTCGTCAGGCACCCCTTTCCCGGTGTCCCCCTATCTTTCCCCCTCACCCTCCTCATAGCCCTTCTTTCTAGTCCCCTGTACTCTAGTCCCCACTCCCTATCCAGCCACCCCCAACCAGACCTGACGGCTTGCAAATCTCACCCTGGAGAAATGGTTTCCCTCCTACTGGGGCAGTTCCCAGGCGGTCCAGAATTGCCAGGACTTGTGGATTCCCAGCAGCGACCTGGCAGACACGGGGAATCCAAGACCATGGCAAGCGAACATTCGGCCTGGCCTGCGCCTTTCCTCTCCTGCCTGGGCAGCCAGACTGCACAAGCCTCTGCATTTGAACTGGCTTCTCCGTGGAACTTGGTTTGTAACCACGGAGCAAACTGCAGGACCAGGGGCAGAGAAGGTAGGGGAGTGAAAAGCATCGAATCTGTTCTCAAGGAGGGAGGTGATTGGACAACGTGAGGTCTAGTTTTATGTTCATTATCTCCTGGGTTTGCCAGTTGATGGCGAGCCTTTTTCCTGGCAGTATCCAGAGGCGGTTCTAGTAAAGAGGCTGGATTCCGAGAGGCCAGAGCGGTATCATACGAACGCCGTTGCCTGGAGACGGAGTGGGGTGCCATTGCCTAGAGACTGCAGAAGGCCCGCAGCCAAGCGAGTGGTAAGAGGACGCCGAGAGAGCCCCGGACCCACGGAGCAGCCCCAAGGCTATGGCGGGACACCCGAAAGAGAGGGTGGTCACAGATGAGGTCCATCAGAACCAGATCTTGCGGGAGCTGTACCTCAAAGAGTTACGAACCCAGAAACTCCACACGCAGTACCATGTGAATCCCCTGCGCAAGGTTCACAGGATTACGAGGAAGCCTATGTCTTGGCATGATAACCTGGAGGAACCCGCAGACGCCAGGTTTCTGAATCTCATTCACCATGCTGCCCAGGGGCCAACGAAGAAGTACCCGGAGGCACAGACTGAAAACCAGGAAATTGGGTGGGACTCAGAAGCCTTGGTCGACCCAGAACGCCGTGACCACAGGATGAACCACTTCAGGGTCTACAGTGACATCACTCTGTACAAAGCTAAAATGTGGAGCTTGGGAGAAGATGATCGCCACAAGTAGCATCTCAGCTGTGGAGTCAGGCCCTGGATTTAATGCCCTAAATATCCACTGCCTAGAAGACTAAACATTATTTTAACCCCCCGTCCCCCATCCATAATTCATGGATAATGGCAAAAATTAGGAAGCATAAAAAATATGCGGAAGAAGGAAATAAAAATTGCCCATTATCTCACCATATGGAAGTGACTAATGTTAGCATTTTAAACCATTTGTTTTTAAAATTAATAATAAATTGCATATATTTATTGTGTACAATGTGATGTTTTGAAATACGTATACATTGTGGAATGGTTAAATCGAGTATCTCACATACTTATTTTGTGGTGAGAGGACTTAAAATCTATTCTCTTAGCGATTTTCAAGAATACAATACATTGTTATTAACTGTAGTCACTACAGTGTATGACAGCTCTCTTGAACTTATTCCTCCTAACTGAAATTTTGTATCCTTTAGCCAACATCGCCCCAATTCCTACCCCTAACCCCTGGTAATCACCATTCTAATCTCTACTTCTATGAGTTTGACTTTTTTAGATTTAGAAAATGTGGTATATTTACTTAATGGAATACAATTCAGCCTTAAAAAAGAAAGAAATCCCATCATTTACAGCAACATGGATGAACTTGAAGGACATTATGTTAAGTGAAATAAGCCAGGCACAGAAAGACAAATACCACATGATCTCACTTATATGGTGAATCTAAACATGCCGACATTTTTGCATACTTCTATATTTTTCTGTATATTTGAACTTATTGATCTTACGTTTTGATTAATAAAAGATTGTAAGCATGTATTTTCAGACAGGTGGAGAGAACTGACAGGAATATGATCCTACTTATATGGCATGAACATATAAGATTTGATTATGCCTCTTGTCCCAGTGTAATTACAAATAGTGCCTTCTTTCACTCTCAAAAGTCTTGGTGGAAGCAAGACTGAAGAAAGTTGGAGGAGAGGGTAGAGTTTTACAGGAAGTTAAGGAAAGTTAAGATAAAGTTAGTTGAACAAAAATAGTAACCATTATACTGTCGGTTTTGAAGCCACCAAAAGAAATTTAACTTAACATTTTAAATAATTAATGCTAATTATTATAATAATTATATAATAATTCATATAAATAATTAATGCTAATTATTCAAAATGTGGGGGCCAGGCGCAGTGGCTCACGCCTGTAACCCCGGCACTTTGGGAGGCTGAGGTGGGTGGATCGTGAGGTCAGGAGTTGGAGACCAGCCTGGCCAACATGGTGAAACCCTGCCTCTACTAAAAATACAAAAATTAGCCGGGCGTGGTGGCGTGCACCTGTAATCCGAGCTACTCAGGAGGCTGAGGCAGGAGAATCGCTTGAACCCAGGAGGTGGAGGTTGCAGTGAGCTGAGATCATGCCACTGCCCTCCAGCCTGGGCAACAGAGTGAGACTCTCTCAAAAAAATAAACAAAATGAAATTTGGGAAGGAGGAGAAAAGCAGGGGGGAGAAGTGTTAAGTGAGTTAAGTTCTTATCTTGGATGTTGCCCAAACAGGAACAATGGCACCACATAGAACACAGTTCTATGAAACTGCTCTTATGGAAACTCCATGGCCACTTCACACTATCCCTTCACACTTTTGATTTTGAGGACTACAGTCTAGCTTATACCTAGACCATAGAACCTCCACTACAGTTACTGCAGAATATCTCTACCCACAGATTGGCTAGAACATCCCATCATCCCTAAGTGCTAATTTTTTTCTAAGTTTTACCTAAGCAGTATGTTTGCTTGATAAAAACTAGGTCACATATGGGTTCTCAGTTTCAAGAGAGTCTAGGAAATGCAGGGTTTTTTGCTTGTTTGTTTGTTTGTTTGTTAGTTTGCTAGCTTCTGTAGTACGGGAAGGCAATAGAAGCTGTTGGAGTTTGCACTGAGTGAGCCAATTTGCAGGATTTTCCATAATCCACTGGCCTAAATAACACCTGTTGACAATATTTTAAAAAGTAAATATTGTACATATATAAAATGAGAAAATTTATACAGTAAAACAGGCATAAAATAAAAGGTAAAAGCTGCTTTTTATTACCCTTTTCATCATCTCTTCCTTTATTAGTTATCTATTGCTGTGCAATAAATTACCCCCAAATTTAGCAGCTTAATATAACAAAGCACCATTGTGTCACAGTTCTCGGGGTCAGAAGTCTAGCTGCTGCTTAGTTGGTTGTCTCTGGCACGAGGTCTCTCAGAGGTTTCAGTCAAGCTGTTGACTGGAGCTTCAGTCTCACCTAAACGCTTGACTAAGGGAAGGTCTTCTTTCAAGCTCACTCATTTGGTTTTTGGCAGAATTTAGTCCATCACAGGCAATGGATTAAGGGCCTGGGTTGCTCATAGACGGTTTCCTGCAGGCCTCCCCCGGTTCCTTGCCACAGGAGTCTTGCACAGGGCAGCTCACAATACGGGAATCAGAGGCCCTCTGAGTGAGCAGAGGAGAGAAAAGGCAAGAAAAAAAACACCCAAGTTGGAAGTCACAGTCTTTCTAAAACCTCATCTTGGAAGTGACATCCATTGCTTCTGCTGAATTCTGTTCATTAGAGGCAAGTTAGTAAGTCCAGTCTACACTGGATACGAGGGGATTGCACAATGAGGTGAACACTAGGAGGTGGGGGTCTTTGGGGGCCATCTTAGAGGCTGCCTCCTCTCCCGCCATGTGTCTTTCACCCAAAAGGAATCACTGTTAATAGTTTCTTATCATTCCTCTCAGGGAAAAACAAAAAGAATTGGATTTAAACCAATTATCCAAGATTAACCTGGAAGTGTTCCAACAGTTACTGCTAAGATCTAAATGTCAACCATTCCTAAGTAGCATAAATGTCATCCTAGCCAAGTAGACCAGATGAGCATTGAAACTCACAGCTTGCATTCAAGTAAAAAAGGTAAACAGTATAGCAATGGTAACATGGTGAAAGTGCCCAAGCGTGTGTTTACATTTTCACAAATGAAAAAATATCAACCATAGGACATATGGGCAATGCCTCTGAAGGAGTTCTTGAAAAATAAATTTGCTCAGAAAACATCTCCACCCCTGTCTCCACAAACATTGACAGAGAAGCAGAGTTGCTAGTCCATGATGCTGGTGTGCTATTAGTCCAATGGATAAGTGACAGAGACTGGTGTCTGCTAGGCCAGGTACCACACCTGGCCTCACTCAGTTATCACAGCCAACTTTGCAAAAGTGATATTAACTCCCCTTCAAGATGAAGAAACTGGTACTGAGATGTAAGTGACCTGCTGACATTCCAAGCCAAAGGTCTCTGGTTTCAATGCCTTTTTTCTGTCCACTTTACTCTCCAATAGCCGAGGTCTGTTTTGGCCTCTCTTCATTACTGATTTCCAAGCTATTCCACAACTTGAGTAGGCAGACACTTTCCCTTTATCTGGTTATTCAGAAGGAGAGGTTTCAGCTTTCAACTGCCAACCCCTCTCCAATGCAAACAAGGATTTTGGAAATAAGGACCATATGCTTCTCATCTGGCTCCAATCCATCTAGATATGTGATGCCTCACAAGGTCTGTTTCTCTTACAAAAGGTAGCAAATATTTAGAAATCATTCTTAAGCTATGTACACAGCAGCAGGACATCAGGTCCTGGCTTTTGTCCTATTTGAATTTAAATTAAGAAAGCAACTAAAAATAGATGGAAGACACAGCTATCTGGGGGATAAAGTCTACCACAAATAACACTTGTAGACAATGTCCAAACGTAACCAATAAACCATGTAATTACATTAGAGAGACTGCTGGGAATTTGAAATGACTAGAAGCTGTTTGATTTTAAAATTTGAGGTATCACTGTCTTTAAAATCTAATGTGTTAAATAACACTTCAGGATTAAGCATTCATTTAACAAACATGTATTGAATTTAGTACCAGGCAGAAGAAATGAAAAAATCCCATCTTTGGGATTCTAGAAGTCTAGGAAATAGAGTAAGATGATCATATAAAAATAATTACAGTACTCTTAGGGGGCATTTATTCTAAAATTCTTATGTTTCCATGAGGGACTTCCACCAGACCACGCTAGGCTTTTCTCCACCTCTCTCCTCTCCTCAGCCCTTCACTGGGGGTCAGTCACAGTGGATTATCTGATGAAGAGTTTGGAAGAGAAAAATGGACTTGCTTCTTTGCCTCTCTTTCTCTCCCCTCACTCCATTCCTACTGTTAAGCTCTCTGCTACTCTACTTCCAGGTAAACAGCATAGCAAGGCAGGTTCTGCCCATCTAAAGGGAGTGTAATTCAGACAGAAAAGTGTGGTACTAAGCCCCCATGCCCACACACAAATCTGACCTTCCAGAGTGCAGTCTGTCAGTAATGAAGCTGATATTTTCATTTCCATCTGATGTCACTGAATGTACATTCAAGTTATCTGGAATTATCTTTAAAACTAACAAATAGTGGTCTTCACCTCAGGCTCACTGAATCTCTGGAGGTACAGGAATTCAATAATGTGTCTCTCTTTGAACTAAGCAAGGAAGAGTGATGTTACTTTCTGGGCCCCTTAAAACTCCAAGAAAAAATACAGTTTGTGCTAAGTATAGGCGCTGTAAGACACTAAGGAGAGCCTACCTCTTCACAGTGGATGAGTAAGGACCTCACAGAGCGGATGTTATTGGGGCTAAATGTTGAAGCATCTGGAAGTATAAAGGCAAAGAGGGCAAAAAAAAATACTCCAGAAAAGAATATGAAAACTCACTGCATGAAAGTACATGTCACAGTAGGAAAATGGAAAATAATCTATGTGGCTTCAGGGTATGGAGGGTTGCAGGAGGTGATGAAAGGAGATTGGTGCTGTGTTGTGAAGGGCCTTGTAGGGACGGCATTATTAAATTCCTGTACCTCCAGGGATTCAGGAAGCCTGAGATGGAGACCACCATGTTTTAGTTTTAAAGACAACCTCCAGATAACTGGGATGTACATGCAGCTTCGGGAACCACTATCTTTCAGGCTAAGGAGTTTGAGCTTCATCTCATCCACAACACAAGGTCATCAGAGGGAGCTGACCACATCTGTAGAGGGATGCAGATGTGGTCAGTGTGGTGGCAAGTGAGGAAACTGTTGTAGGAGTTCAGGCTGGAGAAAATGAAAGGCAAAACCACAGCAGTTGGAAAGGGATGGAAAGAATGGGAATAGAGTCTAGGTACGTTTTTGAGGAAGGAGAGATAGGACTGTCGCCAGATGTGTAGTAAGGCATGTGGGTGCTGAAGGAGGATGAGGCAGACGTGAATGAGTGGAGGTAGGTGGTGCCATGTCAGGATATTTTGTCCCATAATTCTGCATCTCTCTCCATCCATCCACTCACTCATCCTCATGGAAGAAAGAGTGGCTGATCTCATCTAATCGGACCTAAGCAGCCACTCTTTGGACCAAGCTTCACTACTGGGTTAGGTTCTTGCATTGAACAGTGCTGCAGCTCTGCCGCATCTCCTCTGATACACTGTGCCTGGGTGAATAACACAGACCTGCCCTTTTCTCTGTGGACTGGATAAAAGGGTCTCTGAGATTCAAGGGAGGAGAACAGGTGGATGAGGTCTTGTGTGGTCATCCAGGTCTAAACTACAATCTCCATGTCAGCTTTTCAGCATTTGAAGTGTGGAATCAGTAGGGTAACTTTTCATCCAAATTTGCCTGGGAAAGACCTGGCTAAAACATGACCAGGCTATCTTTTGTCCTAAATATATCTGTTTTAAAGTCTTGCTATTAGTAGTTACATTAAAATAAGCTGGGATGGGTTTGGTAGACCTGCACTTTGTATTTCTGTCTGCTGCCATGATCTCAGCTAGGCATGGGTGATTTGCCTGTGCAGTGAGCATAGTTTTCATATTAACAAGTGAAAATAATCAGAGATAACTTATTACTCTTTCCCCATATGTATACAGACACAACATTACTTACATCTCCTTTTTCATGATGACACATACTGCTTTCAGATAAAACAAAGTGTTCTCAGCTACAAGCAGCCAATGACAACTTCCTCCTCCCCTCTCTGCAGTGGTGGAGAAGTATTTTATGTGGATGCCCGTGTGCCAGTGGGCTGTGCCTTGGCCCACGTTTTGGGGTACAGAATGCACAAAGGCTTCCAGGTGACTAGTCATCAAAATAAATAGGCGATGTGGAACATATGCAGAGGAAATAGAGGTTGAGCAGTCTTGCTAGAGAACACATAGAATAAAGTCTGTGTGGTTTTGGCACAGTGATTTTATTTTTATTTTATTATTTAATAATATTTGTTTAATTTAAAACATTTGTATCAGTTGCTTAAAATATTGAAGGTACATATTTAATGAAAAATTAAGTACTAAATTTTCAGCTACTGAAGAAGAGTCAACTTTTTGCTTCTTGTCAATTTCTTGCCTCTAAGCTCCAGATTCATATTTTTGCCTGCTCACTGATAATAGATCTGGGCCTTGTATACGTTTTCCTTTGCTGGCTGGCACAATGTTAAGCTTTGTAAGTAGAGACCACTGGAGAGACATTGCAGGAGGAAGGGGTTTCCTTCCTGGTTCCAGTGTGACTTACCCACTTCTGGATGGGGCACTTTTTTTTCTGTTTCTTCACTGCTAGGTTCCTACAGGTACAGCTTTCTCTTGCATTTGCCAGGAGCTTTCTGCAACCCTCAATTCAAGCAGTGGCACTGCAGTCAGGAGCCACTGAGAGTGTGGCCTACCCAGCTCGCTGCTCCCTGCACTCCTTCCTAAGCCCCAACCATGTGCACATGTGTGGTCACATGGGGATGGTCATCTAGTGAGCTGCCTGACCTTTATCCCATCCAGCCAGCCATGGAGCCCAACCCAAGCCTTACACATAGTGCAGTAGATTCCCACACAAGGTGGTCACTTCAGCTCCCAGTTCCAGTAGCAACTTCAGCAGTGCCCTGCTTCCCTCAGGGTGCCTGATTCCCTCTGTGTGCCCCCCATCAGCCTTGGCTCACCTTTGGCCTGGAGGGTTGACTCTGTTCCCCCCCCCTCCCAGATTGAAACACGACATGCCCCAGGCCTCGCTCCTGTGGTGGCACCCAGACTCTGCCCACTGGCCCACCAGCCTTGGCTCATCTGCACATAAACGTTTGTTCTTGCTTGCCTGGCCACTGTGGGCCAGCTCTGGCCTGGGCAACCTAGCAACCTCTCCACTGTCCACACCCTCTTCAATGAATTCTGAACCTACCCTTGGGGAGGGGCCCCCCAAAGTTGTTCTTTTTTATATATTTCCCTCTGCACTTTAGATTTCTCTTTGAATCTTCATAGTTATTGTCCTACCATAGCTTATTCATTCTTTGTATTAAATTATGAGTAGGCAAACTTTTTCTGTAAAGGGCCAAATAGTAAATATTGTGGACTCCGTGGGCCATACATCTGTGTCATGACTACTCACCGCTGCTGTTGTAACACAAAAACAGCCATAGACAATATGCAAATGAATGGGTGTGGCTGTGTTGCAATCACACTTTATTTATAAAAGCAGGTCCAATTTTGGCCTGTGGACAGTTTGCTGACCCTTGTATAAAACTTCTTTTATTTAAGCTACTGGGTGTTTTTTGCTTCCTGATTGATCTAGACTGATACAAATTCAACAACAAAAATTGAAGCAAAATTGGTCGGTGAATGCCCTGCTCAAACCTTCTCAGTTTATGCTCTAGCTGGTACATGTGTATTTGTCAGTAGACTGCTATTCACAGCTGTTCTAACTCACTTTGCCACACCTATAAGGCCAGCAGTACTTAGGGCACTACCCTCAGGAGCATTTCTTAGCCAATAATTAAAAGGAAAGAGGGGTATCAATGCCCCAGCTCCCTGGCCCCTTGCCTGGGATAGTGTGTTTTACAGCGATACCCAGAGCTTCCTACAAGGCTAAGCCCACCATATTAGCTAGCTTAGGAACAGCCTGTTACTGGCTGCCTTCACTTCTAATGTCATCTTCCCACTCTCCTGATGGTTTCCTGAACCTCTGAATGAACTACGTGCACTCAATCCTAGCCTCGGTGTCTGTTTCTCAAGGAAATTCAACTAAGAAAGGGATAAGTTATTTGTCTTTTGCTGTACTAATATAAATACAAATTTTTATGCAGTGCACTCATGGTAAAAAAAAATTCTTACTAAATTAAGAAAAACATAATTCACAATTGCATTCAAACATGTTGCAATCAAAATAACATCTCTACTTGTGAAAATTTTTGTATATACCAGTACAATTGAACTGCATTGTATGTGTGTATGTAAGCTGAGAGTGAAAACTAAAAACACTAATGAAAAGGCATACAGATTTTTATCCTTTGCTGCCCATCATCAACTGAAGTTTAGAAATGTTTGAGCCTTTGAAGAATTACTTTGTACATCAAATTAAGTAGTGTCTTGCAAATGGTATTGAACGTTTGTGTGATTAAGTAATCTAAAATCTGTCTGCATTTTGTTCCAAATATTTAACAAATGTAGCCCCCCCAATCTCAGCATTTGAAGTTTTTTTTAAAAAACTGCAGTTTGAAAACAATATTTGCAGGCAAAAAACTGTTGAAATGTTTCCTTAATAAAGCAATAGAGAAACTGAAAAAACTAAACATTGAGAGCTCAAAAGGAGTGTAACATTTCATTTTGAAATTCTATTATTATATTTTGCAATACCTTGCTTTGTAGGTAAAATCTACTAATTTTACATCATCTAAATTTTAATTTCTTTTAAAAGAATCATAGATACCTATTATTTAAAGAGTTTATCTTTTAAAATTAATTTTAACAGATAACAAAAGGAAAAACTAAATTAAACTACATCAAATTTAAGAATCTTTATGCATCAAAGGACACAACAGAGTAAAAAGGCAACCCACAGAATGGGAGAAAATATTCACAAATTTTGTTTCCAATTAGGGGTTAATATCCAGAATACATAAAGAACTTCTACAATTCAACAACAATCACAACCAAAACTCAATTGAAAAATGGGGCAAATTGAGTAGACATTTCTTCAAAAGACGTACAAATGTCCAATAAGCACATTAAATGATGCACTTTAGTGCCTATATAAAGACAGCATTTTCTCAATTTAAATATACATCATGGTGTACAGAGAAGAGTCAAGTGAACATACGAAGAATTTTAAATTTACTAACCATAAAAGGCACACTTAAACAAGTTTTGGAAAAAAATCAAATCATTTTAAAGGATAAGTTTTTTAGAAAAATATCAGTGGCAGAGAACAGATGTGGCTGAGAAGCAGATTACAGTAAGTGAATATGTACTAACAATCATCATTTTGCTTACATTATTTTAAATGCTCAAACAATATAAAAGTTTTCAAAAAATTTTATTTCATGTACATGAGACTGTGTTATTTTTATTTGTTAGAAATTAATTTATTTTTAAAAATAGGTTTCAGAGAACTATTTTATAAACTTATCATCATAAAACTATTTGAGGGTCAGTGAATATTTCAATTTATATACCCCATTTAATTTAGCAAACTTCTTTGGTCTCAAAAGCATTCTTGTTTAGATGATAAATGATAGGCTTAGCTGTTTATGACATTGGCATGCTCCTTGTTTGGTTATTGATCCTTGGCCCCTCCAGAGGGAATGCTGGAGAAAGAAAGGATGAGGAGTGGGTTGTGAATTCTGCCTTGCTGGTGCCTGGCCAAGTAAGGACACCGGCAAAACCAGCACTTGAGGATCAGCGTACTTCAGGGGAGGCCCACTTGTCACTATGCAGTGAGTGGTGGAGGCTGATGGGTGGCTGCGGCTGTGATGAGATTATTGGGAAATGAGATTCTCTTAGTTCCACTTAAGAATGCCTTCAAAACAAGGCAGAGCTTCCAACAGGCCTTCAGGCGGCCGTGGGGAGAATGTTGTTTTGCTATCACAGCTTGTTTTCCCCTTTAATCTGTTTCTCAGCCAGGAGAGCACACAGGGACATTAAACTACAAAAAGCAGCTACAATACACATCCGCCTTGGAGCTCAAGTGTGTGACATTCAGGGCTTTCGGCTCATTAGTGTTGCACAGAGGCAGGTGGCCCTGGATCTGTATCCCCAGATTGTGTCTGCAGAGCCAAGAAAGGAGCCGTGGGGAGACTCACTTCTTGGCTTCATTTGGCTTGTGCAGTCTTGGATTTACCTCCTCCTTCTCTTCATGTATCCGCTTGACTTGGGGTTGCTGATTATTTAACCCTTTAGTGTGTTCAAAATTTCATGAATCAAACTGTGGTTTCAGTCACTATGGGTGATGGAATTTATTTTATCAAGAAACAGATGAAGGTGCCTAGGGACTTATTATACAAGGACTATGTCATTCTGAGTCAAGGTGCATTCTGATCAATTGTATTCTCGTAGGTTAAATATTTTAACTTTCGTCCTTAGATGCTTCTGTGGGAGCATTCTAGTCTTACACAGTTGAACTCAGAAGTGGTCCTGTGACTTTCACTAACCAATGAAATAAGGGCAGATGCAATGCATGTTACTCACAGAGAAGCTTTCAGAGTCAGCACGTGATTCTCTGTGTCTCGTTTCTCTCTGCCCCAGCAACTGGCAATATTTCAGGTGGAGGCTGCTTCACTAGCTGGTCCAAAAATGAAGATGGCATGCAACAGAAGCAACTCACAAAAGACATACAATGTGAGTGAAAAATAACCTTTATCTTGCAAGTCCCTAAGATGTGCAGTGTAGCTTAGCCTGTCCTGACTCATGTGTAAATATTATAAAGTCAAAGTCTAGAAGCAAAATGTAGGTGTGCCTGGACACTTTGCTTATGGGAATCAGGGCTGCTCAGAGAGGCAGGGAAGAGGAGAAAAAGCCCAGTTAAAGTCAAGCCAGGGTGAAGCACAGCAATGTAGTCCCAGCCTGGGTCAGATGATGGGGTAATGGGAAGATGTTTCCTAGATAAAATTACCTCATTTAGATATGAAGAAGTGCAGAAGTGGGTAGAATTTGTTTGTGAAATAGATGTTCTCAAATGGACTGAGAACTTGTTCTACGTGTATATTTCATACTGGGGAGAACCCCAGAAGGTAAATTATGGATGATTATGTTAAGAAAAGAAATGTTTAATTCCAAAAGCAAAAATAAAAGAAGTAGAGAGCAGTCTGGTCCAGTATCCAGTGTTAGCCTTACATTTGCTAGAAAGAAAGTAGGACCAGCTGACAAGCTGGCCAATTTTTAAACTCAGCTGGGACTGCTTGAAGAGAGCAAGAAACAACAGAAGGAATCTGGGCTCTAGAAACACATCCCAATATCATAAGAAAGGAGTTGTCAGAAAGACGGCTTTCTCCTGCTGCAGAAGGCACCCAAGATATTCCAAAATTAGAATTATTTAAGAATCTGATGCCTTGCTTTGCTGTTTCTGACATCAGGACTGCCCCTGGAGTAATGGAGGTCTCAGTGTGGCCCAAATGGGTAAGGATAAGGAGTACAGGGAAACACAAGAAACACTTTAGCTGATGCTTTATGACACTGGCCCTCCTCATCTCTATTAGCAAAAGTGGCACTTCAGTTTCTGTTCTGCTACTCTCCCTTGTGGACATGATTTTGGCACATGGTGTTTGTATGGGGAAAGAGAGGATGTGACTAATAGGGCAGATCTGGGAAATCCTATGGCTGATCCTTTAACTCAGAATGGACATTTGCAGTCACGTGTTGCTGAACAACAGGAATACGTTCTGAGAAATGTGTTGTTAGGCAATTTTGTCATTGTGCAAGCATCCTAGAGTGCACTTACACAGACCTAGATGGTGTAGCCTACTACACACCTGGGTACATGGTATGGCCTATTGCTCCTAGGCTGAAAACCTGCGCAATATATTACTGTATTGAATATCATAGGCAACTGTTAACACAATAGCATTTGTGTATCTAAGCATATCTAAAGATAAAAAAAGTGCAGTAAAAATTAAGCACAAAGTATAAAAACGGTACGCCTGTATAGGGCACTTACCACGAATGGAGCTTGCAGGACTGGAAGTTGCTCTGGGGAGTCAGTGAGTGAGTGGTGAGAGCATGTGAAGGCCTAGGACATTACTGCAATTTATAATTGCAAATTGTAAACACTGTGCATTTAGGCTACACTAAATTGATAAAAATATATTTCTCTTTCTTCACTAATAGATTAACCTTAACTTACTGTAACTTTCTTACTTTATAAACTTTATTATTTTTTTTTTTTTGAGATGGAGTCTTGCTCTGTCACTAGGCTGGAGTGCAGTGGTGCAATCTCGGCTCACTGCAACCTCTGCCTCCCTGGTTCAAGTGATTCTCCTACCTCAGCCTCCCCAGTAGCTGGGATACAGGCGCCTGCCACCATGCCCAGCTAATTTTGATATTTTTAGTAGAGAGGGGGTTTCACCATGTTGGCCAGGTTGGTCTCAATCTCTTGACCTCGTGATCCACCCGCCTCAGCCTCCCAAAGTGCTGGGATTACAGGGTGAGCCACCGCACCAGGCCAACTTTAATTTTTTGATTCTTGACTCTTGTAATAACATGTAGCTTAAAACACAAACACATTGTAAAGCTCTACAAAAATATTTTCTTTATAACTATTCTTTAAGCTTTTTTCTATTAAAATATTTTTACCTTTTAAACTTTTAAAATTAAGTATGAAGGTCCACACACATTAGCCTAGGCCTACCCAGGGTGAGGATCAATACATCACTAGGTAATAGGAAGTTTTCAGCTCCATTATAATCTTATGGGACCACTGTCCTAGATGCAGTCTGTTGTTGACTGAAATGTTGTTTTGCAGTGCACGACTGCAACTGAATCAACCTCAACCAATGACAGGATTCGAGGGGTGAGCAGGAGTGATGGGTGTGTCTTAAAGGCAACTTTCAAAGAAATGAGCACATCACTAGGGAGATCCAGGGTGTGGCTGGAATAAACTGAGAACTGTTCGGGACAGTTTGTGGTAGGCGTGATAGGATGCACAGACAGCAGAGGAAAAGCTTGAGCAGCCTAAAGGGAGTGTGTGAGTTCTATCTGAGGCCCTGCCCAGCAACGTGGATTAAGATGAGCTGGCACCCAATGAAGAAGTGGGAGTGATAGATGGGCTTCAAAAAAGGCAATGCTCCTGCTTTGTGGGAAGATGTGAATTGCTGATAATTTGAAACAAAAAATGGTGAGTTCTGCTTTCTCTTCCCCTGTGACTAATGCTTTCATACATATACATGTGTGTGCACATGGCCACACGTGGACACACACGAGACACACAAAACCAAGGACTGACGTGACAAACATGACAAAGCTGGCAATGGTGAGCAGGTTGGTTTTGAGATGAAAGGACCTGGGGAGGGTAAACGCACCAGAAGAGCTGCTGGCTGGCCCGTCAAGGTAAAGATATGGGGCTATGCTGGAAGAGTTGGAAGATGAGGAAAAGTTTGGGGAACAGGATTTTGGAGGCAGGGAAGAGCATCATGCCCTGCCCCCTTGCCCTGTCCCCTGTCGGTCCCCTGGGATTGTTGGAAGGCTTCTTCTGCTTTCAAAGGTCTGCACCTGCACGTCTTGCAGGGGACTTCCCCATGCTCTCAGAGTTGCCTTCTCTGCAGGAGCTCAGAGTTCCAGGTGGCTGGGAGCTGGTGCCCCACCTGATGGCCCTTTACCAATGACTAGTGGGTGTGGGTGTGGAGTTGGGAAGAAGACTGCCTGCTCCCTGCCTCAGGTCCAGGCATCTCTGAGGCTCATTTATACTCCAAAGTTCACCTGAGGGGTCAGGCTGCAGCCATCCTCCCCACGAATCTGCCCGAAAGCTCACCCTGGCTTGCCTTCTTCCCCTTTGCCTCCCATTCCCCACCCTCACTCCCCTACTGGTTTATTTCCTTTTTATTTCTGAAAGCATTTTCTTAATAAATCATGTGCATCCAATTCTTCATCTCCGAGTGTTCTTTTGGGGAATCTGTCTGAAGACAATCGAGGATTTGCTTCTTGATGGGGTTTGTTTTGTGAGAGATGGAATCTGCAGCAGCCCGTGCTGCTCGGACAAAGTGATCTCAAGCTGTAGGGCGCACCAGGCGCTGGAATGCAGGAGGAAGTGGTTATGTTTCCAGAGGGTCACCCAATGATGAGGCTGGAGGAGGGCCCACCTAGGTACCTGAAAGTAGTCTAACTGCCACACACAAAAAAAAACAACGCTGGGCACATTTAGGGTGAAGGAGCTGAGGGAAACTGCTGCAGTTGAGTGCCAAGGCCAAGTCGATGTGGATGGAAATGGAGATGTGTGTGACTCCCTCACATTTCCACCCAAGTGTGTCAGTGCATGGAAGCAGGCACTTCTCCCTGATGCTGCCCAAAGATTGGAACACCAGTGCCTGTGGAAATGGAAGTGGGGTCAATAAGAGGTGAGCGAAGACCTTAGGATGGGAAGGAGTTTCAGAGAGGAAGCTAGGAGCTTCCACGGAGGTAATAGTTCACTTCAATGGAATATTTACCTCAATGAGATGAAGTTTTAAAACAGGAGAGAATAGAATAGCAGAAAAAGACAAGATCGATATCCAGTTATCCATGGCTGAGAAGGAATGGGTATGCATAAAGGGAAACGAGATTTGCTTTTAAAAATTCATTTTATTTATTTGCATACATCTGTTTTGTCACACACCTGATACTACTCTCACTCCCTGTTTAAAGGGTAGAAGATACTAACCTTGCAACCAGCCTGCCTTCCTCAGCTCCCTTTGTAACTTCAGTTAGAAGTCCTTATGATAGAAGCCCTGTTGTGGTGGGCTGCAAAGCCTTCTCGAAATCGCACCAAAAAGTAATGGGTACTAAGAAGATTTATGGGTAAGTCTTCTTGTCCACAAGTTTCTTTTAATTTCCTAGTAAAGGAGAGTGCATCTGGAGGTGTTCAGCACTCTGTTTTAGCTAGGTGCATGGGTACACAGGTGAGGATGGCTGTAGCGGTGGAGGGGGTGCCTATAGCCTGCGTCGTGAGCTTTCAGCCACAGGGCTCACCTCAATCCACTAGGCTGTGGGACCAACTCCCTAAGTCACACGAATGAGGCCTGAAACCTCTAGGGTCAGCTGTGCATGAACACAAAAACTATCAGCTTTTGGGTTGGTCCCCATCCTGGTCCATGTGAGTAGGGACTGCAATTGCTGGGAATCAGTCCTTTCATCTTCTGTTTCCAGGCTGAGGAAGCGAACTCCTGACTACTCAGACTGTTTAGACTAAATCATCCCTGCCTGGAAGCCCTGCTGTTGTTCCTTCAGTTCCAAAGCCTGAGTTCCCGTGGCTGTTAATCTCACTATGCCATCATCTCTGTCATGCTCCACATGACTTTGCTGTTGACCCATTTATAGGTCATGGAGCTGGTTTCCTGTTTGTTCCCATTGCCATTTCCAAACATTAGACATGAGCAGTTTAAAAAAATAAAACAAAACAAAATTCAGCTCTTTGTTGGCTCACACCATACCCTTGACCTGATCTCATGCTCAGTCCTCCCCGTGGATTAAATATTGTGAAACCTGGTTGCTAACCCTCCTCTCTGTCCCAAGTCCCACATCCTGAGTGACTCCAACATCTATTGGAAGAACTCATCTAACACTTCGGTCTCTCTGTTCTTTGATCACTCCGTTTCTAATGGCCTTCCCCTCCACAGTTCCCAAGCTTCCATCTCTAAAAATTATGGTGTTGGATTGAAGATGGGCCATAAATAATTACACTCCTCTTTTCTAATTAAGTTCTGAACGAATTATAAGATAAAGAAAGAGCAAGATAGATGGAAATGAATTTCTCATCATTATTACAGATGCTGAATTAGCCATGCAGCCAACAATAAGATTCCCGATAGTGGGCCCTAGAATTAAATGCATTTGCCTGGCTGAATGGGTACAGGCTTCTCCAGGAGAAAGTCAGCAAAGCAGATCAGAATGCGCTCCTTGGGGCAGTGCAAGGGAGAACATAACTGGGTACTCATGAATAACTTCTTCTCTCAGCTTACCAATCAGAGAAGCTCTTCATCTCACAGAGTAGAGGTGAATGAAGGACAAAGAGAACCACTCCAAATAAAGGCAGTGCCAGGAGTGGAGGATGAGTGATCCTTCCCACTGCAGCTTGGGCTGTGTTATCATCCAAACTTCTGTTACCTCCAAATCATTCATTCAAGCCTCCTACTCCTGGCTGACCACCCTCCATCCTCACTGGAAATTCTGGTCTTGTGACTCTCTTTTGTTCCTCTCCCTTCTATCATAATGTGGATTTCTTTTTAAGCTCTTGCTAATATTCTCTACTACTTTGATCCTCAGTATTTTCTTCATGTGTCCAGCAGAACTGCAACTCTCCAAGTTTCTTTTTTTCTACACTTACATTTAAATGGCCAAATGTATCAGTCTGTTCTCACCCTGCTATAAAGGACTGCCAAAGACTGGGTAATTTATAAAGGAAAGAGGTTTTATTGACTCACAGTTCCACATGGCTGTGGAGGCCTCAGGAAAATTATGATCATGGCTGAAGGGGAAACAAACACATCCTTCTTTACTTGATGGCAGGAAGAAGAAGTGCCGAGCAAAAAGGGGAGAAAATCTCGTGAGAACTCACTCACTATTACAAGAACAGCAGCAAGAGGGTACCTGCCCCTATAATTCAATAACCTCCCACCGGGTCCCTCCCATGACACATGGGGATTATAGGAACTATAATTCAAGATGATATTTAGGTGGGTACACAGCCAAACCATATCACCAAATATTCCTGGAGAAAGAAAGAGAAAGACACACAACAGAGCAGATTGATGTCACTTAAAATACAGAACTAAAGGAGATAGAGACACAAAACACCCTTCAAAAAATCAATGAATCCAGGGGCTGGTTTTTTGAAAAGATCAACAAAATTGATAGACCGCTAGCAAGACTAATAAAGAATAAAAGAGAGAAGAATCAAATAGGTGCAATAAAAAATGATAAAGGGGATATCACCATCGATCCCACAGAAATACACACTACCATCAGAGAATACTATAAACACCTCTATGCAAATAAACTAGAAAATCTAGAAGAAGATGGATAAATTCCTGGACAAAAACTAAACCAGGAAGAAGTTGAATCTCTGAATAGACCAATAACAGGCTCTGAAATGGAGGCAATAATTAATAGCCTAACAACCAAAAAAAGTCCAGGACCAGACGGATTCACAGCCGAATTCTACCAGAGGTACAAAGAGGAGCTGGTACCATTCCTTCTGAAACTATTCCAATCAAAAGAAAAAGAAGGAATCCTCCCTAACTCATTTATTAGGCCAGCATCATCCTGATACCAAAGCCTGGCAGAGACACAACAAAAAAAGAGAATTTTAGACCAATATCCCTGATGAACATTGATGCAAAAATCCTCAATAAAATACCGGCAAACTGAATCCAGCAGCACATCAAAAAGCTTATCCACCACGATCAAGTCAGCTTCACCCCTGGGATGCAAGGTTGGTTTAACATACGCAAATCAATAAACGTAATCCATCACATAAACAAAACCAACAACAGTTACCACATGATTATCTCAATAGATGCAGAAAAGGCCTTCAACAAAATTCAACAGCCCTTCATGCTAAAAACTCTCAATAAATTTGGTATTGAAGGGACGTATATCAAAATAATAAGAGCTATTTATGACAAACCCACAGCCAATATCATACTGAATGGGCAAAAACTGGAAGCATTCCCTTTGAAAACCGGCACAAGACAAGAATGCCCTCTCTCACCACTCCTATTCAACATAGTGTTGGAAGTTCTGGCCAGGGCAATCAGGAAAGAGAAAGAAATAAAGGGTATTCAATCAGGAAAAGAGGAAGTCAAATTGTCCCTGTTGGCAGATGACATGATTGTATATTTAGAAAGCCCCATTGTCTCAACCCAAAATCTCCTTAAGCTGATAAGCAACTTCAGCAAAGTCTCAGGATACAAAATCAGTGAGCAAAAATCACAAGCATTCCTATACACCAAGAACAGACAAACAGAGAGCCAAATCATGAGTGAACTCCCATTCACAATTGCTACAAAGAGAAAAAAATACCTAGGAATCCAACTTACAAGGGATGTGAAGGACCTCTTTAAGAAGAACTACAAACCAGTGCTCAATGAAATAAAAGAGGACACAAACAAATGGAAGAACATTCCATGCTCATGGATAGGAAGAATCAATATCGTGAAAATGGCCATACTGCCCAAGGTAATTTATAGATTCAATGCCATCCCCATCAAGCTACCAATGACTTTCTTCACAGAATTGGAAAAAACTACTTTAAAGTTCATATGGAACCAAAAAAGAGCCAGTATAGCCAAGACAATCCTAAGCCAAAAGAACAAAGCTGGAGGCATCACGCTACCTGACTACAAGAATACAGTAACCAAAACAGTAACCAAAATAGGGCAGGGAACATCACACACCCTGGCCTGTTGGGGGGTGGGGGGCTGGGGGAGGGATAGCATTAGGAGAAATACCTAATGTAAATGACTAGTTGATGGGTGCAGCAAACCAACAACCAACATGGCACATGTATACCTATGTAACAAACCTGCACGTTTTGCACATGTACCCTAGAACTTAAAGTATAATAAAAAAAAAATACATGATCAGCCTCAAATAGGCCCTCAACACTGGTCAGCAGAACTATTAAACTTCTCTGAGCAACTCATCCTCCAACTCTCAACAATGACTACTTCAAATCACGCCCCATCTTTCCTTGAAGATTTTTTGTTTTCAGCAGATGAGCCCATTTCCTATTTTACTGAGAGTTGTGAAGCATCAAAAAGGAACTTCCTGAACTTTCTAACACCAAACCTATCTAATTTCCCCTCATCAGACCTGCACCTCTTCTAATACATGGCCACACCTCCTACTGTGCCTTAGAGCCTATTCACTCTTGCTATTGCAATAATGCCTCACTATCAAATATCCTTTTCTTTAATCTACTGCATATTCAGCCAGTTCTTCTCAACTAGATGCTTCCCATTACCATATAAATGTGCTCGAATCTCTTTTATCTTAAAAATAATTTCCCTTCAGCGTGATACGATTGGCGAGGGACCACAAGAAATTCTAAAGTTCTGGTAATGTTCTTTTCCTGAAGGTGGATGTGAAGCCATGGATATTTATTTTTATTCTTTAAACTGCACACACACACACACACACCTATCTATACACATACATATATATGCATATTGTATATGCTATTTCATATATAATTATTTTCATAATTAAAAAGGTAAAGCAAAACAAAGCCCTCTCTCAATCTCAAATTAGTTTTTAAAAATAATTTCAACTCACATTTTAAATTAAGGCATTACATGTGCAAGCTGGACATACTGCATAATGCTGAGGTTTGGGGTACAATTGATCCCATCACCCAGGTACTGAACAGTGTCCAATAGGTAGTTTTTTTTCAGCCCTTGCCCCACTCCCTCCCCGTCCTCTATAGTAGTCCCCAGTGTCTATTATTCCGTGCTTTGTGTCCATGAGTACCCATTGTTTAGCTCCCACTTATAAGTGAGAACATGCAACATTGGGTTTTCTGTTCCTATGTTAATTCACTTAGGATAATGGCTTCCAGCTGCATACATATTTCTGCAAAGGAAATGATTTCATTCCTTTTTATGGCTGCATAGTATTCCATGGCGTATATGCACCATATTTGCTTTAACCAGTCCACTGTTGATGGGCACCTAGGTTGACTCCATGACTTTGCTATTGCGAAGAGTGCTGTGATGAACATAGAAGTGAATGTGTCTTTTTGGTTGAATGATTTCTTTTCTCTCAGCTATATACACAGCAATGGGATTGCTGGGTTGAATGGTAGTTCTTTTTTCTTTGAGAAATCCCCACAATGCTTTACACTGTGGCTGAACTAATTGTACATTCCCACCAACAGTGTGTAAGTATTCTGTTTTCTCCACAGTCTTGCCAGCGTCTATTGTTTTTTTTAACTTTTTAGTAATAGCCATTCTGACTGGTGTGTTGTGGTATTGATTTGCAGCTCCCTGAAGAGTAGTGAAGAGAATTTTTTCATGTTTGTTGGCTGCTTTTCTTTCCTTTTTTTCTGTTTTCTTTCTTTCTTTCTTTTTTTTTTTTTTGGATGGAGTTTCGCTCTTGTTGCCCAGGCTGGAGTGCAATGGCGTGATCTCCGCTCGCTGCAACCTCCGCCTTCCGGGTTCAAGCGATTCTGCTGCCTCAGCCTACCAAGTAGCTGGGATTACAGGCATACGCCACTACATCCAGCTAATTTTGTATTTTTAGTAGAGACAGGGTTTCCCCATGTTGGTCAGGCTTGTCTCAAACTCCCGACCTCAGGTGATCCACCCACCTCGGCCTCCCAAAGTCCTGGGATTACAGGCGTGAGCCACCTTGCCCAGCCGGCTGCTTTTTTTCTTTTTTTTTCTTTTGAGAATATCTGTTCATGTCTTTTGTCCATTTTAAATAGGGTTATTTGGTTTTGCTTGTTCGATTGCGTAAGTTCTTTATAGATTCTGGATATTAGACCTTTGTCACACGCAGAACTTGTGAATATTTTCCCCCATTCTATATGTTGTCTGTTTACTGTATTGATTGTTTTGCTGTCTAGAAGCTCTTTAGTTTAATTATGTCCTACTTGTTAACTTTTGGTTTTGTTGTAGTTACTTTTGAGGACCTAGTTATAAATTCTTTTCCAAGGCCAATGTCCAGAAAGGTGTTTCCTAGGTTTTGTTCTAGGATTCTTATAGTTTGAAGTCTTACATTTAAGTCTTTAAATAATCTTGAATTAGTTTTTGTATTTGGTGAAAGAGAGGGGGGCAGTTTCTTTCTTTTGTATAAGGCTAGCCAGCTATCCCAGCATTATTTATTGAATAGGGAGTGCTTTCCCCATTACTTATTTTTGTCGACTTTGTCAAGGATCAGATGGCTGTAGGTATGTGGCTTTATTTCTGGGTTCTCTATTCTGTTCCATTGGCCTATCTTTCTGTCTTCGTACAAGTACCATGCTGTTTTGGTGACTGTTAACTTACAGTGTAGTTTGAAGTCAAGTAATGTGATGTCTACTGCTTTGTTCTTTTTGCTTAGGGTTGCTTTGTCTATTTTGGCTCTTTTTTGGTTCCATATGAATTTTAGAATAGTTTTTTCCAGCTCCATGAAAAATGACATTGGTAGCTTGATAGCAGTAATATTGAATCTGTAGATTGCTTTGGGCAGCATGGCCATTTTAAGCATATTGATTCTCCCAAACCATGAGCAGGGAAAGTTTTTCCATTTGTTTGTGTCATCTATGATTCTTCCAGCAGTGTTTTGTAGATCTCCTTGTAGAACTTGTAGTTCATCTCCTTGGTTAGATGTATTCCTAGGCCCTGCCCTGCCCTGCCCTGCCCTGCCCTTCTCTTCCCTTCCCTTCCTTCTCTCGGCAGCTATTGTGAATGGGATTGCATTCCCGATTTGGCTCTCTGCTTAAAGGTTATTGATATGTAGAAATGCTATTGATTTTTGTACACTGATTTTGTATCCTGAAACTTTACTAAGTCATTTATCAGTTCCAGGAGACTTTTGGTAGAGTCTTTAGGGTTTTCCAGGTATATAACCATATCATCAGAAAAGAGAGGTAGTTTGACTTTTTTCCTATTTGGATGCCTTTTATTTTTTTCTCTTGCCTCATTGCTCTGGCAAGGACTTCTAGTACTATGTTGAATAAGAGTGGTGAGAGTGGGCATCCTTTTCTGGTTCTCAGGGGAAATGGTCTGAGTTTTTGCTCATTCAGTATGATGTTGGCTGTGGGTTTGCATAGATGGCTCTTATTAGTTTGACATATATTGCTTCTAAGCATAGTTTCTTGAGGGTTTTAATCATGGAGAGATGTTGAATTTTATTAAAAAACATTTTCCACATTGTGATGATCATATGGTTTTTGTTTTTAGTTCTGTTTATGTGATGAATCACATTTATTGATTTGTATATGTTGCACCAACTTTGCATCTCAGGAATGAAGCCTACTTGATCATAGAGAATTAATTTTTTGATGTGTTGCTAGATTTGCTTTGGTAGTAATTTTTTGAGGATTTTTTCCATCTATGTTCAGCAGGGATATTGACCTGTAGTTTTCTTTTCTTGTGTCTTTGCCAGGTTTTAGTATCGGAGTGATGCTGGCTTCATAGAAGGAGTTAGGGAGAAGTCTCTCCGCCTTGATTTTTTGAAATACTTTCAGTAGGATTGGTATCAACTCCTCTTTGAATGTTTGATAGAATTCGGCTGTGAATCCACCTGGTCCAGGGCTTTTTGGGTAGGTAGGTTTTTTTTTTTTTTAATTACTGATTCAATTTTGGAACTCAATATTGGTTTATTCAGGGTTTCAATTTCTTCCTGATTCAATATTGGCAGACTGTGTGTTTCCAGGAATTTATCCATTTTCTCTAGGTTCATAATAGTCTCTGAGGATCTTTTATATTTCTGTGGGATTGGTTGTATGCCACCTTTGTCTTTCTGATTGTGCTTATTTGGATCTTCTGTCTATTTCTACACTAATCTAGCTAGCAGCAATTGATCTTATCTATCCTTTCAATGAACAAACATTTGGTTATGTGATTATGTGCATGGATTTCGGGGTCTCAACGTTGCTCAGTTCTGTTCTGGTTTTAGTTATGTCTTTTCTTCTGCTTGTGTAAGAGTTAGTTTGTCCTTGTTTTTCTAGTTCCTTTGGGTGTAATGTTAGAGTGTTAATTTGAGATCTTTCTAACTTTTTGAGGTAGGTCTTTAGCACTATAAACTTTTGTCTTAATGCTGATTTTGTTGTGTCCCAGAGATTTTGGTATGTTGTGTCTCTGTTTTCTTTTATTTCAAAGGATTTTTTATTTCTGCTTTATTTGTTTATCCCAAAGTCATTTAGGAGCAAATTGTTTAATTTCCATGTAATTGCGTGGTTTTGAAAGACTTCTTGGTATTAATTTCTGGTTTTATTCCACTGTGATCAGAGAGGACGTTTGGAATTATTTTGATTTATTTGAATTTATTAGGACTTGCTTTATGACCTACCATGTGGTTGATTTTGGAGTATGTTCCATGTGCAAATAAAAAGAATATATATTCCAAGGTTGTTGGGTGGAGTTTTCTGTGGATGTCTATTAGATCCAATCAGTCAAGTGTTGAATTTAAGTCCAGAGTTTCTTTGTTGGTTTTCTGCCTTGATAGTCTGTCAATGCTGTCAGTGGGGTGTTGATAGTCCTCCACTATTGTTGTGTGACTGTCCAAGTCTTTTTATAGGTCTAGAAGTACTTGTTTCGTGAATCTGCGTGCTCCAATATTGGGTGCATATATATTAAGGATAGTTAAGTCCTCTGTAAATTGAATCTTTTATCATTATGCAATGTCCTTCTTTGTCATTTTTTACTGTTGTTGGTTTAAAATCTGTTTTATTTGATATAAGAATAGCGACCCCTGCTCTTTTCTGTGTTCCATTTGCATGACAGATTTTTTTCTCCAACTCTTTACTTTGAGCCTATGAGTGTCATTTCATGTGAGATAGGCCTCTTGAAAACAGAAGATGAATGGGTCTTATTTTTTTAAATCCAGTTTGCCACTCTGTGCCTTTTAAGTGGGGCATTGAGACCATTTACATTCAAGATTAATATTGATATGTGAGGTTTTGATCTTGTTATGAAGTTGTTAACTGGTGGCCTTGTAGTTTCTATAGTGTGGTGCTTTATAGGGTCTGTGGGCTATGTGTGTTTTTGTGGTAGTAGGTATCATTATTTTGTTCTCATGTTGAGAAATTCCTGAAGGATCTCTTGTAAGGAAGGTCTACTGGTAATGAATTCCGTTAGTACTTGCTTGTCTGGAAAATATTTTATTTCTCCTTTGCTTATAGAGCTTAGTTTGGCAGGATATGAAATTCTTGGTTGGAATTTCTTTTCTTTAAGAATACTGAAAATAGGCCTCCAATCTCTCCTGGCTTGTAAGGTTTCTTCTGAGAAGTCTACTGTTAGCCTGATGGGGTTCTTTTTGTATGTGATCTGACCTTTTTCTTTTGCTGCCTTTAAGATTTTTTTCTTTAGCATTGACTTTGGGCAGTCTGGTGACTATATGCATTGATGATGTTTAGTTTGTACACTATCTCACATGTGTTCTCTAGATTTCTTGTATCTGGATGTCTATCTCTCTAGCAAGATTAGGAACTTTTCTTGAATTATTGCCTCAAATGTTTTCATGGTTGTTTTCTTCTCTTCTGTATCTATTGTTAATGTCCAGTAATTCATAATTTTGGTCACTTCACATAATCCAATATTTCTTGAAAACTGTGTTCATTTTAAAAAATTCTCTTCTCTTTATTTTTATCTAACTGGGTAGTTCAAAAAATCAGTCTTCAAGCTTTGAAATTCTTTCTTCTGCTTGGTGCAGTCTGTTCATAAAGATTTCAATTGTAGTTTGAAATTCCTTAGGTGAGTTTTTCAATTCCAGAAGTTCTGGTTGATTTCTTTTGAAGATGTTTACCTCTTCCTTCCTTTCCTGGATTGCTTTAGAAATGTCTTTTTGTTGACTTTCAACCTTGTCTTGGATCTCATTGCTGCTTACTTGCAATCCATGCCTTGAATTATTTATCTATCTAGCTATCATTTCTGAGTTTCCATTTTAGTTAGGGACTATTGCTGGGGAGCTAGTGTGATCCTTTGGTACTGTCACTACATTCAGATTTTGCCAGGTTTCTTGCACTAGTTCCTTTTCATCTAGAGATGCTTGCCCTTCTAATTTTAGTAACTATTTTCATGCAGGTAGAATTTTTTCTTTTTCTTTCCTTTTTTCCAATAATATTATTGTTTTTTTCTTCTTTCCCTTTCCTTCCTTCCCACCCCAGGGTGTGTGACTGTAGAGAATGCTGGGTAGGGTCTTTTGGCTTTGCTTGCGTAGCCCTATGCTCTTCTGTCACCAGGTTTTATATTGGGCTGTGCAATTTGACCTACAAGCCAATAGATGGCGCTTATGGGTAAGAGCTGGCTGTGTGGCCCGGCATGGTGGCTCGTATCTGTAATCTCAGCATTTTGGGAGCCAGAGGAAGTAGGATCCCTTCAGTCCAGGAGTTCAAGAACAGCCTGGGCAACATAGCGAGACCCTGTCTCTACAAAAAATGAAAAAAATTGCTGGTCATGGTGGCATGTGCCTGTGGGTCCCAGCTACTTGGGACAGTGAGGTGGGATGATTGCTTGAGCCCGGGAGGTCAAGGCTGCAGTAAGCCATGATCACACCACTACACTCAGGGTGACAGAGTGAAAACCTGTCTCAAAAAAAATGCTATGTGGATGGGAATATATGTGATCCCATCCACATAGCATTTTTTTTTTTTTTACTGGAAGAAGCTCTCGCTTGCCTCAGGAAATGGGTTGATTCATGGAGTGCACGGTGGTCTGAGCTCCCTCTTCAGCCCCAGTGGAGGGGAGGAAGCAAGATGGGCAGGGCCAGACCAGGCAGGTCCACCTGTAGGTCCCCTGATGGCAGGCACAAGTACCAGCACTGAGGGAGAATCCAGTGGATGGCCACCTCGCATCCAGAGGTGTGCCTCGGCATGGAGCTGCAAGACCTCCTCATCCCTGAGTTCTCTGCCTGGAGATTGGGGTCAGCCTAAACTTCTAACCCAGGAGGGTAGGTGCTTCAGACGCATGGAGATTCTGCCTGGGTGTAGAGTGGGGAGGGCCTCCTGCACCAGGATCTCCGCACAGGAAGATTGGGGTGACTCAGACTGCTGTTCCAGTGAGCAGGTGTCTGAATGCCTGGAGATCTGTCTGGCATGGAGTGGAGAGGGCCCCTCTGCACCCAGATCGCTGCACGGGAAGGGTGGGGCGGCTCAGGTTGCCAATCCAGGCAAACAGCTACTCAAATCACTTTTTATCCCACCACTGCATATCTCTTTTCTCCTTCACAACCAGATTTCTTGAAAGAGATGCCTAAAATTTTTGTCTCCACTTTCTTAACTCCCAATCTTTCCTCAACCTATTTAAGGCTGAATGTCATGGCCCATCACTCTCCCATTCCCACAATCACTGCCCTGAACCAGCTCTGATAAAGTCAACAGTGATCTCCCTGTCCTCAAATACATCCAATGATGTTCAGACCTTATTTTACTACATGATTCAGCAATGTTCTTAAATACTATTAACAACTTCCACCTTCTTGCAGCTCTTCCTCCCCTTGCCTTGGGTGCTACCACATTCTCCTGGTGTCCTTTCTACCTCTCTGATGCTCCTTCTTAACCTAGTTGGTGGGCTTATCTGCTACTCAGCCATTAAAAGTGAAGTCTGTCAAGGTGGTCTTTTTTCATTATATGCTTTCTTTCCAGGCAACTGTATCCAAGATCATTAATTTTAACTGCTATCTGTAAGCTATTTATATCTAGTTATGTCTTTGGCTCAGACATTTCCTTTGAGTTCCAGATGTATATATCCAACCACCTATTTCATATTTTCCCTTGATATGTCTCAAAGGTATTTCAGACACCTCATGTCCCAGACTGAACTGAGGCTCTTCCCCCACAAATCCTGTCTTCTGCCAGTGGTTCCTGTCTCATGAATGACTCACGCATCTTTTACTGGCCATCTTCTTTCCCACCATAGGGCCTTTGTGCTTCCTGATCTAGCTTCATGATATGTTCTTTCTTCTCTTACCTTGGGTAACTTCACAATTCTTTATTTGTCATATGTCTCTTCCGCAGAGAAATTTTCCATGACCCACAAGCCCAGGTCAGCTTTTTGTATTACATTCCTTTTTACCTGGAACACTGAACTCAGTTGGAAGGTTTGCTTGTATTAATTAGCATGATTATTGAGTAAACCTCTGGGACTCCCACTGTTTGGTCTGTCTTAGCTGCCTCCCCAACAGAACCACCCCTGTTATTGTTCCAGTATGTTGCCAGTGCCCAGTCTAGTGCCTGACATACATGGAGCAGATGCTCAATAATAGCTGTTTAAATTACATATGTGCAAGCATAAATGGTTATAAACATGGTTAGCATAGAGTGTGATACAACTTACTCCCTATGTAAAATTTAAACAATTTGGGTGCTTTTTCTATTTTGGGATGTGGATGATTTTATTATGTGCTGCTTTTATTTGGTGTATGGTTAATATCAGGGGAGAGGTAGATTTCAGTGGCATATTGGATACTCTAATGCACCTGGAATTATTATAACACTTAAAGGCAGATAAGATCCCAGGGGCCCAACAGGAAGAAGGTAAGGAAAACTACTCCTGAAAAGTAACATCAAAAGCCCCCCATTGCCTTCCTCTTTTGCAAAACAGCCTATCTGGCTAAAAGCTAAAAGTTTATAATGGGATGTGGATTATTATGGTAATATGAAGTCAAGGAGGTGATTTGAGAAGAAGACATAATGTAGACAGAGGCTTAGTCTATATAGACTTTGGGCAAAAGTCTCTTTCTTCGAGATAGGCTTTACATGTTGCAATGCCCGCTCTCCTGAATATGAAGAACCTTATGAGGACCATGAAACTGTTTTAAGGTTCTACAGGCAGATTTATCTTTTGTTTTTGTACATTCCCATATAATTTAGAAATTTGTTCTAATAGGGCTGGTGCAGTGGCTCACACCTGAAATCCCAACACTTTGGGAGGCTGATATGGGATGATCTCTTGAAGCCAGGAGTTCAAGACCAGCCTGGGCAACATAGCAAGATTCCATCTCTACAAAAAAAATTAATACATTAGCCCCATGTAGTGGCATGCACCTGTAGTCTCAGCTACTCAGTGGGGCTGAGGTGGGAGGATCACTAGAGCCCAGGAGTTGCAGGTGACAGTGAGCTATGATTGTGCTACCACCCTCCAGCCTGGATGACAGAGTGAGATCCTGACTTTAAAAAAAAGAAAAAGAAGATGTTCTAATAGGATTTAGAAAATAAGAGTCCTGGGGGCTGGGCGCACTGTCTCACGCCTGTAATTCCAGTACTTTGGGAGCAGAAGGTGGGCAGATCATGAGGTCAGGAGATTGAGACCATCCTGGCCAACATGGTGAAACCCCATCTCTACTAAAATACAAAAAATTAGCTGGATGTGGTGGCACATGCCTGTAGTCCCAGCTACTCGGGAGGCTGAGGCAGGGGAATTGCTTGAACCCAGGAGGCGGAGGTTGCAGTGAGCCGAGATCCCGCCACTGCACTCCAGCCTGGCAACAGAGCAAGACTCCATCTCAAAAAATAAATAAATAAATAAATAAGAGTCATGGCAAAGGTAACCGAGGGGCACTGAAACCATCCAAGAAGGATGATGGCAAACATTTATATAGCAGTGATTATAGTCCGGGAACTGTTCCAAGGGTTTAACATATATTAGCTATTTTGATCCTCAACACAACCTTATAAAAGAAGTATTATTTTTATTCTTATTTTGGAGATGAGGAAACAAGAGCAGAAAGGAGCTGAGTAACTTATGCAAGATGATTACTGTTGTGCCATGGTTATGAACTTTCTCAACAGGAAATGAGTTTAGACATGAAAAAAAAGGCAGACTACTGTGTTCCATAAAATGAACAAATAAGAGCAGGCGAAAGGAAACCTGCTGACAGCCCCAGAATTAAGATAGACTCTTAATGGGGTGGTTGTTGACTTAGAACTGGGGAGGGGCACAGTTCTTGCTTTGCAAATTTGCCTCCTCTGAAGGTTTTCTTACTCCTTGTGTGAGTATTTTCATCTGTCTATATATGTCCTAACATTCTGCAGATTCTTCTCAACACATTGAAAATATGAAGAAAATCCTCATTGGCCTGCAGAATGAGACTGATGGGACCTTGTGGGACTGATTTTTTTTTTTTGAAAGAGCTAGCTGAGGTTTTATTTTGTACAAAAAAAAAAAAAAAAAAAAGCAGTTGAATTGTTTTGTAGCTGGAGGCATGGGCAAAGGGTGTCCCCAGGCAGTAAACTCCCCCGTGGGTGGGCTGAGAGCTAGGGGTGAGCCTCAGGTGGGTCTCCTGTTCCCTTTGCTCCCCTGCACAGCGGCCTCCCTCCCCGGCTCTGGGGCAGCCACAGGAGGGGCAGGCTGGGAGGGGCTGTCGCAGCTGTTCACTTGGGCAGAATGTCAGAGGACTCGGACGCCAGCTTCCCATCGCGGGTCTTGATCTTCACAGCCACGGCCCTGGTGGAGCTGGTGTGGCTGAAGGAGCTGGAGCCCGCGCCAGAGCCAAAGCTGGAGCCCAGGCCGTAGCTGAGGCCGGGGCTTGTGAGGCGCCCGTAGGAGAGCTCAGACCACCTGCATAGCCACAGGTGGTCTTCGTATGGATACTCATGTTCTGCATCCCAGACTCCAGCCAGCTCTCCTCGCCCTCCAGCAGCTTCCTGTAGGCGTCCAGGGCCAGTTCCTGTACTCACGCAGCTGCTGAGCCATGTCCTGCTTGGCTAGCTGCAGGGCGGTCTCCAGCTCAGACAGCTTGGCTTTGGCACCCTTCATGGCCAGCTCCCCGGGCTGCTCTGCGTCTGTGACGGCGGCCTCTAGGGAAGCCCTCTGGCCTTTGAGGCCCTCAATCTCAGCCTGGAGCCAGCTGATGTTCCGGTTCATCTCGGAGATCTCAGCCTTTGTACGCCCCAGGTCATCCCAGCGCTTCCCAGCCAGCATCTGCAGCTCCTCATACTTCATCTGGTCCGTGCTCTCAGCCTCAGTCAGGCTGCGGTTGGCGATCACCTTGTACTGAGCCTTGACCTCAGCGATGATGCTGTCCATGTCCAGGGAGCAGCTGTTGTCCATGGACAGCACCACAGACGTGTCCGAGATCTAGGACTGCAGCTCCTGGATCTCTTCTTCATACAGCTGCCTGAGGAAGCTGATCTCTTCAGTCAGCGCTTCCAGGCGAGACTCCAGCTCTACCTTGTTCATGTAAGCTTCACCCACATCTGAGGAGAAATTCATTCTCCATCTCTGTACGCTTATTGATTTCATCCTCATACTTTTTCTTGAAGTTCTCCGCCAGCCTCTGCATGTTGCCAAGCTCTGCCTCCAGCTTCGGCTTCTCCTGGCTCAGAGTCTCCAGCCGCTGCATAAAGTTGTTGATGTAGCTCTCGAACATGTCCACGTTGCTCCAAGCCATCTTCTGCTGCTGCAGGAGGCTCCCCTTGGTCTCCAGCATCTTGTTCTGCTGCTCCAGGAAACGTATCTTGTCAATGAAGGAGGGAAACTTCTTGTTGAGGGTCTTGATCTGCTCCTTCTCCTGGGTGCGCATGGCCTGGATGTTGGGGTCCACCTCCAGGTTCAGGGGGCTCAGCAGGTTCTGGTTGACCATGACGGCAGTGATGCCTCCCATGCTGCTGGCCCCACCATAGCCTCTGCCCAGGCCAGCCCGGAAGCTGGTGCTGCCCACTCGGGAGAAGCTTAAGGAGCTGAGGTGGGCACCAGGCCCACTCATGTGAGAGCAGCTGCTGAAGGCCCGGAGGCCAGAGGTGGACACCTTGTAGGACTTCTGGGTCACCCTGATGGACATGGTGGAGGCAGACAGGCTGAACAAGGCAGAGATTCCAGGAGTGGAGAAGCTGCTTCTTGGTCTGAAATTTTTTCTTTTCAAACATTGAGGTAAGGTGGAATCTGAGAGCATAGAAAGATTGTGATCACAGGTGGGATCCAGCTACATGTGGATCTTTGCCATTTTACTTGGAATCAAGGACCATTTGGATCATGCACTAGGTGTGTCTCAGAAAGCACAATACTGGGGAAGATCATTCTCCTCTTTGCAGAGAGAGAACACAGAAGAAAAAATAAGGGCATTCTTCATTTAGCTTGATTCACTTCTCCAGTGACACAGATATCCAAAATTGAAGCAATTTGACAAGAGCCAAAGTTCTGAATGTTAGTGACAATGGGAATATACTCAGAAGATGCACTTAGTGTCAGAAAAGTTGGGAGACAAATGTTCAAGATCCTGAAAGCAGTAAATGGCAGCTGTAAGGATCTATGGCAGCCCAGGAAACAGTGGCCCAGAGACCCACATTAGAACCCCACATGAGAACACTGGAGGACAGTGGCAGGAACAACGTGTCGGTGAGGGGTCCTTCTGGAGGCCTGCAGTGTCGGAGCCACCCCACTCCCCAAGCCTCTTGTGATTCTAGGTCAGGGACTGTTGGAAGCAGTTCACTAGGACAATGCTTGGGCTGCTGATTCACTCCCCAGGGAGAGTTGGATGTGTGAGCAACTGCAGCACACAGGTCTTGCAGCACACACTGGAGAGAGCTGGGGAGGAGTGGAAGGTGGTGACCTTATGAAAAGAAGAGATTTGAGTGAATTCTGAAGATTAAGAGCTGGTGCAAGAAAGGCAGACATGATCAAAGAAACAATGAAAGATGAGAATAGATAAAAGTGTCTTCTAAGAGGCAAGAAAGTGTGGGATAAGATCAAGTTACCATTAGGGACAACACGTGGAGATGCAAAAGGTGCTCTGAGATGTCCTCCTATTGCAGGGTTGACTTAGGTGAAAAAGTTCTGGCAAGCCTACCCTTCATGGCTCCAGATAAGGGTGTATGGAGGTCAGTTCTATATGAGGACATAAAATAAACCATGCATAAACAGAAAGATACACTACATTCCTGAATGAGAAAATTTAATATTATGAAAATATGAATTTTCCCATTAAGTAAAAATTGAATGCAATCTAAATGAGGACACTGACGTGTGTGCTTAAATTGGATTAAATAAACTTAAAGTTCACATGGAAGAATAAATGTTCAAGAATAGTCAAGAAAATGTGAAAAAAAGGACCTTAGAAAACATTAAAATGAAGTGAAGTCTCTGTAATAAAAACAGCATAATATTATCATAGAAGTAAGCAAAAAGATAAGTGGAACTGTATAGAATACAGTTCCCAAAAATAGATTCTGCAGCCTTTGAGAATTTAATAGATAATAAATATATATTAATTTATCACAGAACAGTGGTTTATTTAATAAATAATATAGGCAAAATCAGCTATGTATTGGGAAAGAATAATTTTGGTTCCTGCCTCTCATTTTACACACAAATAAATTTCAGGTGGATCAAAATCTTAAAGGTAAAGAATAAAAGGATGGAACTTTAGAAGAAAATGTAGGAGACCATAAGTACAAGTTGGAGATTGATGAAGCAGGAAACCTATAAGCTATTATAAAAATTAGTCAGATTTGATTTTTATAAATATTAAGACATTTTAAAAGGTGAAATATAAGACATACAAAAGTAAAGTACAAATAATGGATTGGGGAAAGTGTGTAATGGATCTAATAGCTGAAGGATATATTAAGTACAAAGAACTATATTAATTATAACTGAAAAAAGATGATTAATAGAAAAATGGGCAGAGATATAAGCAGGCAAGCACAGAACAGCAAATCCAAATGTCCTGGCAGAACAACAACAACAACAAGTCTTTCAGCTTCCTAGTAGTCAGGGAGAAAATACATTAACTAACAATGAATTGCCACTGTGCACCAACGATATCAGCAAAAATTACAAAGGACTTTCACCTATTGCTGGTAAGACTGTCAGGAAAATGGGATCCTCATTCACTGTTGATGAGTATGTGAATTGTTCAATTTTTTTGAAGGCAATCTGCAAAATCTGTTTTTTTTTTTTAAAAAGGAAACTAACACCTGGAAATCTAATCCCTAGATACAAAATTACCAATACAAAAAGAAGTATGCACTCAGATGTTTATTTCAGCGTAATTGTGGTACCCCCAAATCCTGGAAACAAGGTAAATACACATTAGCAGGGAAATGGTTAAAGAAATTGAGGTATATTGGACCAAGGAATATCATGCAGGTACTAGACCATCACTAGAGCTACACTAATTGACTTGGAGGAATTTTATGAAACTGTTAAACTAGAAATGCAAGATGCAGAGGAGTACGTATATATAAGATAATCTCATTTTTGTGAAATTTATGACCACAAAAAGCCCCTTGATTTTACATATATGTGTGTATGTATGTTGTATAGCTGTATGTTTTAATTTTATAAAAATATGTGTTTGTTCATAAATATACACAAAAAATATTATGAAAGAATTGTCACCATAAAGTCAATAGTGGTTACTGCAGGACATGAGTTTTCTGTGTCTCTAGTATCTTTTTAGTCTGGAGACAGGCCATGGAGCAGAGTGAGCTCTGGAGTCAGATAGGCTGGAATTGAAGTCTAACTCAGCTGCCTTTTAACTATGAAATTTACTTAATCTCTTCATGTCTCAGTTTCCCCACTAGTAAAACAAATTTATAAGACCTAACTCATAGGTTTGTTATGAGTATTTCATTAAATGAGTCAATATTTAAAGGACCTAGATGAGGGCCTGGCACACAGTAAGTACTGTATAAGTCTTTGTTAATTAAATGTTCACACATTGCTTAATTTTGCTGTAACCGGAAGGTATTATTTATATAATCAGAAAAAACAAAAAATGCCAGGCATGGTGGCTCATGCCTGTAATCCCAGCACTTTGGGAGGCCCAGGAGGGTGGATCACCTGAGGTCAGGAGTTCGAGACCAGCCTGGTCAAAATAGCGAAACCCCGTCTCTACTAAAAATACAAAAATTAGCCGGCTGTGGTGGTGGGTGCCTATAATCCCAGCTACTTGGGAGGCTCAGGCAAGAATCACTTGAACCCCGGGTGGGTGGAGGTTGCAGTGAGCTGAGATCACGCCACTTCACTCCAGCCTGGGGAAAAGAGTGAAACTCCGTCTCAAAAACAAAAACAAAAAACAAACAAACCAAAAAAAACACAAACACACACACAAAAAAAAAACCAAGAAAAAAGAAAAACAAAAAATGTAAATGACTTTAAAGAAACAGACTTGGGTATTGTTTTAGTAGAATTTTCTGATTTAAAAAAGCATACAATTAAAAACAAAACTTTTCCCCTTCACTTTCTATAAAGTAAGAGTAAAAAACCCAGAAGTTTTCTTTCTGGAAGGAAAATGAGAAAGGATAGAAGAGAGGGAGGGAGGCCAGCTGGGAAGGTGGGAAGGGAAAAAAAGAGAAAGCTGCATGTGGATCTCTATGGAAAGGTCTCTAAAGAATAATAACTGGCACATGTCAGGTGCAAAGCCATGTGGATAGTATGAGCCTTTGTGTAAATGAAGATGAAGGTGATGTGCACTGGGTATATGCTGGCATACATATAAAATGCCTTCTGAAAGAAAAGTAAAACAGATCTTAGTAGTAGTTACTTCTAAAGACTTTGAGGGGAGAGGAAAGGAATATAAAGTTCTCACTATATTGTGCCTTTCTCTATTTGTGGACTGTTCTAATTACATAAATACATTATTTCATTTTTTAATTTCTTTTTAAATTTTTATTAATTTATTATTATACTTTAAGTTCTGGGATACATGTGCAGAATGTGCAGGTTTGTTACATACATATACACGTGCCATGGTGATTTACTGCACCCATCAACCCATCATCTACATTAGGTATTTCTCCTAATGTTATCTCTCCCCTAGCCCCCCACCCCCATGACAGGCCCGAGTGTGTGATGTTCCCCTCCCTGTGTCCGTGCGTTCTCATTGTTCAACTCCCACTTATGAGTGAGAATATGTGGTGCTTGGTTTTCTGTTCCTATGTTAGTTGGCTGAGAATAATGGTTTCCAGCTTCATCCATGTCCCTGCAAAGGACATGAACTTATCCTTTTTTATGGCTGCATAGTATTCCATAGTATATGTGTGCCACATTTTCTTTATCCAGTCTATATCATTGATGGGCATTTGGGTTGATTCCAAGTCTTTGCTATTGTGAACTGTGCTGCAATAATCATACGTGTGCATGTGTCTTTATAGTAGAATGATTTATTATCCTTTGGGGTATACCCAGTAGTGAGATTGCTGGGTCAAATGATATTTCTGGTTCTAGATCCTTGAGGAATCATCACACTGTCTTCCACAATGGTTGAACTAATTTACATTCCCACCAACAGTGTAAAAGCATTCCCATTTCTCCACATCCCCCCCAGCATCTGTTGTTTCCTGACTTTTTAATGATCACCATTCTAACTGGCATGGGATGGTATCTCACTGTGGTTTTGATTTGCATTTCTTAATGACCAGTGATGATGAGCTTTTTTTCATATTTTTTTGGCCACATAGATGTCTTCTTTTGACAAATATCTGTTCATATCCTTTGTCCACTTTTTGATTGGGTTGTTTGTTTTTTTCTTGTAAATTTGTTTAAGTACCTTGTAGATTCTGGATATTAGCCCTTTGTCAGATGGATAGATTGCAAAAAAATTTCTCCCATTCTGTAGGTTGCTTGTTCACTCTGATGGTAGTTTCTTTTGCTGTGCCGAAGCTCTTTAGTTTAATTAGATCCCATTTGTCAATTTTGATTTTTGTTTCATTGTTTTTGGTGTTTTAGTTATGAAGTCTTTGCCCATGCCTGTGTCCTGAATGGTATTGCCTAGGTTTTCTTCTAGGGTTTTTATGGTTTTAAGTTTTACATTTAACTCTTTGATCCATCTTGAGTTACTTTTTGTATAAGGTGTAAGGAAGGGGTCCAGTTTCAGCTTTCTGCATATGGCTAGCCAGTTTTCCCAACACCATTTATTAAATAGGGAATCTTTTCCCCATTTCTTGTTTCTGTCAGGTTTGTCCAAGATCTGATGGTCTTAGACGTGTGGCATTATTTCTGAGGCCTCTGTTCTGTTCCATTGGTCTATATATCTGTTTTGGTACCAGTACCATGCTGTTTTGGTTATTGTAGCCTTGTAGTATAGTTTAAAGTTAGGTAGCATGATGCCTCCAGCTTTGACCTTTTTGCTTAGGATTGTCTTGGCTATACTGGCTCTTTTTTGGTTCCATATGAAATTTAAAGTAGTTTTTTCTGGTTCTGTGAAGAAAGTCAATAGTAGCTTGATGGGGATAGCATTGAATCATAAATTACTTTGGGAAGTAAGGCCATTTTCACAATATTGATTCTTCTTATTCATGAGCATGGAATGTTTTTCCATCTGTTTGTGTCCTCTCTTATTTCCTTGAGCAGTGGTTTGTAGTTCTCCTTGAGGAGGTCCTTCACATCCCTTGTAAGTTGTATTCCTAGGTATTTTATTCTCTTTGTAGTAATTGTGAATGGGAGTTCATTCATGGTTTGGCTCTCTGTTTGCCTTCATCCCTGGGATGCAAGGCTGGTTCAACATATGCAAATCAATAAACGTAATCCATCATGTAAATGGAACGAAGGACAAAAACCATATGATTATCTCAGTAGATGCAGAAAAGGCCTTTGATAAAATTCAACCCCCCTTCATGCTAAAAACTCTCAATAAACTAGGTATTGATGGGACATACCTCAAAATAATAAGAGCTATTTATGACAAACCCACAGCCAATATCATACTGAATTGGCAAAAGCTGGAAGCATTCCCTTTGATATCCGGCACAGACAAGGATGCCCTCTCTCACCACTCCTATTCAACAAGTATTGGAAGTTCTGGCCAGGACAATCAGGGAAGAAAAAGAAATATGGGGTATTCAAATAGGAAGAGAGGAAGCCAAATTGTCTCTGTTTGCAGATGACATGATTGTATATTTATTATTTCATTTTTTAAAATGTCATAAAGAACTATGGATGATAAGATTATAGGCCATTTTATATTTTTATTTCTCTTTATTAAATATGTCACAAATGTTTTTTTTTTGCTTTTGTTAACAGCTTTAGTGAGATATAATTTACACACCATACAGCTTACCCATTTAAAGTGTAGAAATCACTGGTATATTCACAAAGTTGTGTAACTATGACCGTCATGAATTTTAGGATACTTTCATCACCTCCGAAAGGCTCTTAGCTATCTTCCACTTATCCCTTTGTGGCTTCCCCAGTCCTAAGCAACCACTAATCTTTGTTTCTTTAACTTTATCTATTGTGGACATTTCACATCAATGGATTCATACAATATGTGGCCTTTCATGTCTGGCTCCTTTCACTTAGCTAATGCTTTCAAGCTTCATCCATGTTGTAGCATGAATCGGTACTTGATTCCTTTTTATGGCAGAATAATGTTCCATTTCATAGATATGCCATATTTTATTTATCCAATGATCAGTTGATGAATATTTGGATTATTTCCACATTTATGCTATTATGAACAAGGCTGTTATGATTATTTCTGCCCAAGTCTTCATGTGGTCATATGTTTTCATTTCTCTTGGGTATGTACCTAGAAGTGTAATTACTGGGCCGTATGGTAAATCTGTGTTGAACTCTTTAAGAAACTGCCAGACTATTTTCCAAAGTGGCTGCAGCATTTTACATTCCCACTGGCAGTATATGAGGGTTCTAATTTTTCCACATTCTTGCCAATACTTGTAATCTGACTTTTAAATTATAGCCATCTTAATGGATGTAAAAATATTCTTTTTTAAAAAACAAAAAACAAAAAGATGAGTTCTAGCCTTAAATGGTGAATTGAAACTTGTCTAAACATTTTCTTTTCTCTCAGTATCTAACAGAGTGTGCAAAAATAGTTAAAACCAGAAAAACAATGCCAATTGTAATCAAACCAGGAAAGGACTATAAGCTAATTCAATAAATTTCAAAAATTAATGTCCAAAGAAAGAAACAAAAAATTCTTGAGCACACCAGGCTGAGCTCTTACTTCCACCTCTGTCCCCATACACAAAATTCATATTGGTAAATCAACAAAACCATGTGGATTTTAACTAATGTTCTCCACCCAGAGAGAAGCAGCCTGAGTGAATAGCCTTATCTTTGCTTTCTTTTCACTTTTGCCCAAGACCTCACTTGTAACCCCCTGGTGCTGCCACCTGGCCCAAGCCACCATCATCACTATCATGCCACCTGCATCACTATCATGACGCCTAATTGGCTTCCCTGTTTATACTCTTGCTACCTACAGTCTATGCTCAACAAAATGATCCCTTTAAAATTAAATCAGATAATGTCACTACTCTGTTCAAGAAAAGCTTTGATTCCACTCCTGGCAGATATCCAACATAAGTGGGCACACGTGTGTGCCAAAAGACACATATAAGTGTCACTGGCAGCTTTTATTCTCAATAGCCCCAACTCCAAACAAGTCTAAATGTTCATCAACAGATGAGATAAATTATTATATATTCATACAATATTCATTTTTAAATTTTTATTATTTTATTTTATTTTATTGAGACAGTTTTGCCCTCACCCAGGCTGGAGTGCAATGGTGCGAGCTCAGCTCACTGCAACCTCCACCTCCTGGGTTCAAGCGATTCTCGTGTCTCAGCCTCTGGAGTAGCTATTCATCTAATAAAAAAGAACTATTGCTCCACAAAACATTATGCATTTCACAGCCATGATGCTCAGTGGAAGAAGCACAAAGGAATCCATACTGAATGGTCCCATTTATATTAAGTTCAAAAACAGAAGAAAGAAATCTAATCTTTGAACATGATAGTCAGAAGAGCCATTTCCTTTGGGAAGGTATTGACCAGGAGGAAACAATGAGGAGATTCCTGGGGTGCTGCTGACACTCAATAACTTCTGTGTGGTGACTATATATTTGTTGACATCAGTAATATCCATTGAGCTGTATGCACTTAAGATCTGCGGACTTTACTGTATGAATGTTATACCTCAATGTAAAAAGCAAGAAACAAAGAAAGAGAAACAAAGTGAGAAAGAGAGAAAGGAGGGGAGGGAGGGGAGAGGAGAGGAGAGGAGAGGAGAGAGGAGAGGGAAAAGGCTGGCTTCTCATCTCATTCATAGTAAAAGTCACAGTTCTCACCATGGCCTAGCAGCCTATGTGAAGTGCCCTGTGTCCTTGATTCATCCCTGTCCTATTCTCTCTCTTGGTTGCTCCACTCAAGCCCCAGAGGCCACCATGCTCTGCCTGGAGCACACCAGGCATCCCCCGATTGAGGGCTTTTGTGGTGACCATTCCCACTGCTTAGAATATTTTCCCTCTATTTATCCGTGTGGCTCCTCCTTCAAATCTTTGGTCAAATTTCACCTTTGAGTGAGACTCACACTATCTATCCAATTAAAATGGCCACTGCCAGTGTCTCCTTCCCCCGCACTTTTCATCCTTTTTATTCTCTGTGATGCATCTATAGCACTCATCGCCTTCAAAGGCACTTATCTAATGTTTTCGTACGTATTGTCTGTTTCCTTCACTAGAATATAAGGCACAAATACAAGGATTTCATGTGTTTTGTTCCTCAATGGATCTCAAGTACTTAGATAAGTGCCTGGTACATAGTAGACACTGAAAAAATATTTGTTGAATGAATGAGTAAGTGAAAAGTGGAGGCATTTAAACGAAGACTGCACAGAGCCTCCCCTAAACTTTCTCCCACCCTCTGCCACTTTTCCAGCATTAAAAAAAGCAGGCAGAACATGAATTGCTCGGTCCTCAAATTGGACTTGGGGGAAAGAAAACAAGCTTAGTCCTAGATACAAAGGGAAGAAAGTCAAGAAATCACTTACATTATATCAGAAAAAAGAGAATGCCAGGGTGGGACCAGGGAAGCATAATTAAGATGAAAAGAAACAGAACAGTAACCTGTAAACATACCGAGAAAAAATAAGTTAATGTAAGAAATTGTTCATGCAAAAGACAAACAGAACACCATATAGATAAAAATATAACTCAGGGAACAGAAGGAAATTCCTCAGAGCTTCTTTTTGCTGTAAAACAAGTTACTAAAAACATGAATTCAATAAAACAAGAGTTTGGAATCATGCTTCTGGCAATGATGGACTATTTTGTAGTAGACCAATTCTCCTGCTGAGAATGTGTAGACTAGCAGAGCAGATTAACATGCATGCATACACACACACACACACACACACACACACACAAGCACACACACACACCCATCCGAAGGCATCAGAGAGCTACCAAGGCAGTGAGTACTTGAGAAGGCAGAGAGAAGAGAGGTAGCTGAGGCTGACATTTGGTACCATTATTTCCCCTCCAAGCTTTTTGGTTAAGAGGTGATGGCAAGGCTAGGAAGTTGAGGATAAATCTAAAGCTTAGGGAGAAAAAGGCTAAGCAGAACTTCTGTAAGTCTCATGGGGCTGGGATATAACAATCAAACTTCAGACCCGCAGAAGAGGAAGAAACCTGGTAAGAAACACCTTGAGCATTCAGTTGGGATCACCAAAAGCATAGATACTCTAAGTGATGATAAATCATAAATTGCCCAGCCTTTACAAAAATAAAAATAAAAAAAGTTTGAATGAGCTCAATCTCTATTGGGATTAAGAAGATCTTTATTCCTCTATCTGCTCACTAAATCTTATTCAGAGTAAGACATCATCGTTTAGAGCTTCAATTCATCTTGACAATATATTGCATGCAATGTCTGATATTCAATCAAAAATAACCTGGCATGCAAAAAAAAGAGAAAAAAGGAAGGAAGAAAAGAAAAAAGGATAAAAGGAAGAAAAGGAGGGAGGGAGGGAAAGGAAAGAAAAGGAGAAGAAAAGGAAGAGGAAAAAGGAGAGGAAAAAGACAAGAAAATATTTGCATGGGAAATCCAAATATTAGAGTGATCAGACAAGAATGTTAAAATAATGATTAAAGCAATCAAGAAATTAAATGACAAAATGGTGACTATCAGCACAGACTGGAAGTTCTACCCAGAGGAGAAGAAGTCATTATTTGAAAAAGATACACACACATGTTTGTAGCAGCACAATTCACAGTTGCAAAATTGTGGAACCAACCCAAATGCCCATCAATCAACGAGTGGATAAAGAAACTGTGGCATATCTATATGATGATATACTACTCAGCCATAAAAAGGAATGAGTTAACAGCATTTGTAATGACCCTGATGAGATTAGAGACTATTATTCTAAGTGAAGTAACTTAGGAATGGAAAACCAAACATCGTATGTTCTCACTGATATGTGGGAGCTGAGATATGAGGACGCAAAGGCATAAGAATGATACAATGGACTTCGGGGAATTGGGGGGAAGAGTGGGAGGAGGGTGAGGGATAAAAGACAACAAATATGGTGCAGTGTATACTGCTTGGGTGATGGGTGCACCAGGATCTCACAAATCTTCACTAAGGAACTTACTCATGTAACCAAATGCCACCTGTACCCTAGTAACTCACGGAAAAATAAACTTAAAAAAAGAAGAATTAAATGGGATTATAGAACAGAAAGATAGAAAAACTGAAATTAAAAATTCATAGGCTGAAGGAGTTTCACTACCGATTAGGCTGTTGAAATTGTGAAACATCATTGTTTCTGCCCAAACAATGATGTTAGATAAACTAAAAATTCCTCTTCTCTAACGACATTGAAGGGCTGTAAACACATTGAGGTCTAAATGATCGACGTTGCAGAGAAGGGCAAGCTCTTTCCAAGTGAGGAATGCCCAGCAGCCATTTCCATGTGAGGGAGTAGTTGTCTTGTCTGGTGGCATGCATGTGCCCCTCAAAAACCCCTTGAAGGAAGACCTGTTAGTGCAGCGGTTGGGAATGCTGTCAGATGACAGATTTGGGCTATTAATCCTTTCAGGGGTTGCTTCAGCTGCAGAAAGCCAACTCACCCAAAGTCATGCTTTTCTTGGGGCAGTCCATATCCAATGACTGAGGCATTTTGGCCCAACCCAGGAAAATTGTGACTGGCCATTTTATTCTAGAACTCTTTGTGGGGTTGGTTGAGGCTATTGGGTCTGCATTGCAGGTTGACTTCCCTTTCTGCCTAAATCTGCTTTTTCTCTCTCCCTTCCACGGATGTTGGTTTCTAATAAGCTTTCCATCCATTAGACTCTGTCTCAGAGATTGCTGCCTGGGGAACTTCACCCATGGCAGTTAATGCCTGGAGTGTCCAACAAAGCGAATATTCAAGTCGGGTTTTGGAGCTCAATTGCCTTCTTCCCAGCTGGCAGTGAGGACCCTATATCCTTGGTGATAAGTGCCACGTAACTTGTGGCACAAGGTGACAGTCCAGTTGTGAAAACTTTCACTAGTGATAAATGCTGACGGTACACACAGAAGGGGAAGTCCTAGCTGGTGAAACGCATCAGCCAGCCTTTGAAGTCCCAGAGAAATAGTAACTAAAAAGACAATGGTTGGGAGGCCGAGGTGGGTGGATCACCTGTGGTCAGGAGTTCGAGACCAGCCTGGCCAACATGGTGAAACCCCGTCTCTACTAAAAATACCAAAAAAAAAAAAAAAAAAAAAAATTAGCCAGGCATAGTGGTGGGCACCTGTTATCCCAGCTACTCGGGAGGCTGAGGCAAGAGAATGGCTTGAACCCAGGAGGTAGATGTTGCAGTGAGCTGAGATCACCCCACTGCACTCCAGCCTAGGCAACAAGAGTGAAACTCCGTCTTAAAAAAAAAAGGACAGTAGGATTAGATGCCTGTTGCTAAACTCATTTGACACTTTAGAAAAAGATAAGGAAAGACTAAAAGCAGTTAACTGGCAATTGAAAGATCCATGTAAACATCAGGATATTTTTTCATTGTAGGAAGCAAGGAGGCTCTGCAGTGGCCTGCAGTGAAAGTGCAGAGAAAGCTGAAGATGGGGCCCAGGACTTAATCATCAGAGAAGCAGAGCACCTAAGGTTAAACTTCTAGCTATGCAGGCCTGCAATGCCAAGGTCAGAAGAAAGAGACACTGACACATGGGATGAGACATCTACATTGAAAACCCTGAACACTGAAAACCTTAAATATATACATTTCCCTGAAAGTTCTGAGCCTTCAGGAGTCCATCCTTCCCCATCAAGAGACCCTTGAAGACAATCCAAAGGCCTCTCCCTTGTGAGGTGGGGATGTGACTCAGGATCTGCTCCCTCCCTCCTCCCTTGTCATTAGGCCTGTCACTAGGGAGAGGTCACAGGATGTCTCAGCCTGAAAATGCAGACAATATAAGGCCTGAAAATCGAGGAAAAGTCCTATACCACAAAGGATTGCCATTCCCAGATAGAACTTCTGGCAGGGGCCAGGGGTGCATGTGTGGGGCTGGATTCTGAGTGCTTGACAAGGGGAACTCTGAGCATAAGACTGGGTAAGGGAGAGTCTATAATATATTTGCACTCTTCCAAGATATAGAATTTACTACCCTGCAAGGACTCCTAGAAGCATGGACAAAATGATGGCCTACACCTCCTCACTTTCCTCTGCTAACTGAGGGAAAATGTCTGAACTACCGTAGCCCCATATGTAAAGCTAGCCCCTCCAGATTCAACAATTCTTTCCTACTTTTTCTGAGTTAGTGGTGGCTAGAGCTATCCCTTAGTCTCACTGTGCCTGCATCATGGTCTGGGGAAGTAAGACATCACCTCCAAAACACTTGAAACTGAAAGATAGCTCAAATTAATTAAATCAGAACCCCAGATGCCACCCAGATGACATCCTGAAGAGATCAAAGAGATGAACTCCTGGAGAACCTGGAAAGGAGAAAGAAATCTTATAGTCTTTAGTATCCTGGTGAAACATTTGCAGAGCCCTGATGGAGGAATGGGCCTGACCTCACTCTCAAGATAACCATTTCTGAGCTGGAACTAGCCAAAACTGCTACTGATCCCCTACCCAGCTTAACTCCTAGTGAGATAGAAGAGATCATCCCTTTACTTTAGCTATCTGACAAAAAAAGGTGTACTGTTTTTGGGAAAAATGTTATTTGATTCAGTCTCTTCTCTTTTGTCCATGATATATGTATCATAAAATTTAAAAAGTATAAAATATGTGAAGAAGCAGGAAAATGTTATTCATAATTTAGTTTAAAAAAGCATTCACAGAAGCAGACCTACAGATGCAGATGACACAGACTTTGAAATTAAGAGTCATGAACTTTCATAGTCTCTTTTCTTAACTTAGATATTTAGGGAATAATCTCTTATTTATTTGAAGCTTGTAATTCCCTCAGTTTTTTTTCCGTATCATACTGACAAAAAATGCAAAATCTTGACAAAATTGGCAAGATTGTAGGGAAACAGGCACTTTCATATATTGCTGGTTGAAATATAAAATGCTATTATCCCATGGAGGAGAATTTGGCAATACTGAGCTAAACTACGAATGCATGTATTTTTTTTTGACCTGTGGATTTCACATCTAAGAACATACCCTGAAGACACATGTTTAACAATGTGAAAAAGCATATGCAAAAGCTATTCATTGCAGTATTGTCATTGTAAAATACTGTAAACCACCTAAGTATAGAATAAAGAAGATTGTTTTTACTGGCCAGGTCTGAGATAATTTAAGCATTAAGGTAGATAAGAAAAATAATAGTTGGTTGAATAAACTATGGTACATGCATACTATGGGGTACTATTAACTTGTTTAAAAAATGAGAAACATCTCCATGAACTGAAAGGGAGAAGTTTCCAGAATTTATTTAAAAATGAAAAAAGAGAACATATGCAATATGCTATCTTTTGTGAAAAAAAAAAGAACAGAAAACAAGAAAATATACACATATCTGTATAATTTTGTAAAAAGATACAGAAGACTGATAATACAAAAATGAATGAAACTGGTTACTAATTAGGGAAGGAGATGAGCGGGTAGGGTTGCAGGGGAGGGGAAGAAATGATGTTTCTCCGAGTATAACTTTCTATACAATTTTGACTTTTAATTGTATGTGCATGCTTTACATATCCAATAAAATGAAATAAAATTTCAATGGTGGGGGAAAACCCAAACTAAATGCAAACAGTAACAAGTGAACTTAATGGCTTTCAATTAGTAAAGGAACTTCCCTGATGAAGTTAAAAATTCTTTTTATTGTGGTAAAATATGCATAACATAAAACTTATCATTGTAACCATTTGAAATCTGTATCTATTAAAAGATTTTTCTTTTTTAAGAGACAGGGACTCACTATGTCATCCAGGGTAGTCTCAAACTCCTGGACTCAAGCAATCCTCCTGAGAAGCTGGGGCTACAGGTGTGCACCACCATGCCTGGCTCATCTATTTTAACCATTTTTAAGTGTACAGTGCTGTGGCACTAAGTACATCCACATTGTTCTGAGGCCATCACAACTATCCATGTCTGAAATACTTTTCATCTTGCAAAACTGAAACTCTACACCCATTAAACAACAACTCCTCATTGCTTCCAGCACCTGGCAACCACCATTCTACTTTCTATCTCTGTGAATTTGACTATTCTAGGCACCTTAGATGGGTGGAATCATACAGCATCTGTCCTTTTATGAGAAGCTTATTTCACTTAGCACAATATCTTCAAGGTTCATCCATATTGTAGCATGTACCTGAATGTCATTCCTTTGTAAAGGGGACACAAATACATTGCATGTATATTATGCATTTTGTTTATCCATTCATTAGTTTATGGACACTAGAGTTGCTTCCACCTTTGGGTATTGTGAATAATGCTGCTATGAAAATGGGTGTACAAATATCACTTTGAGACCCTACTGTAAATTCTTTTGGGTATATACTCAGAAGTGAAACTACTGGATCATATGGTAATTCTATTTTTAATATTTTGAGGAACTGCCATACTGTTTTCTATAGCAGCTGCACCATGTTATAGTCCCACCAACAGTGAACAAGGATTCTACTTTCTCCATATCTTCATCAATGCTTGCTATATTTCTTTTGTTATTTTTTTTTAATAGTAGCCATCCTAATGGATGTGAGGAGATATCTCACTGAGGTTTTGGTCTGTATTTTCCTAAAGATTAGTGATGTTGAGCATCTTTACATGTGCTTATTGGCCATTTGCATATCTTCCTTGGAGAAATGTCTATTCAAGTCCTTTGTCCATTTTTTAAATGGGTTGTTGGTTTTTTTGTTGCTGAATTGTAAGGGTTTTTTTGAAAAATATTCTGGACATTAATCCTTTATCAGATATATGATAAGCAAATATTTTTTCTGATTACATGGTTTGCATTTTCATTCTGTTGATAGTGTCCTTTGGTGCACAAAAGTATTTAAATTTGATGTAGTACAATTTATCTATTTTTTCTTTTGTCTGTGCTTTTAGTGTCATATCCAAGGAATAATTGCCAAATCCAATGTCATGAGGCTCTTCCCGTACATTTTCTCCTAAGACTTTTATAGTTTTTGGTCTTATGTTTAGGACTCTGATCTATTTTGAGTTAATTTTTGAATATGGAATAACATAAGTGCCCAACTTCATTTATTTGCTTGTGGATATATCATTTTAGCAACACTGTTTGTTGAAAAGATTGTCCTTTCCCCATTGAATGATCTTGGCACTTTTGTGGAAAATCAATTGACCATATATATAAAGGTTTATTTCTGGGGTCTTTATTCTATTCCATTGGTTTATGTCTGATTTTATGCCAATATTCCAAATAAGTTTAGAGCACAGTACTTTGGCTTTGGTCTGAAGAAATACCTGTAATCAAATCTTGAACTATTAACAGGCTTGTTTGTTGTAGTGGTATGAATATTCTGAAACTATTTTGTGGGTATTGTAGAACTGAGCGAATGAGTGAATATAGTGAGGTTGTTGGGGCCAGAGCAACACAGAAGATGGGAGATAGAAATAAATACATAATGGGGGAAGGTAAACAACAACCTTGGACAAATTCAAAGTAGAGGCATCAGTATAAACATATTTTACACACACTTACACATACACACATTTGTATATATATATGTTGTCCACTGAAAAACCTAGAAACAATGACACACTGCAGCAATAAGCAAACTGAGAGACCAGATCTTGGTTTCTAAATACCATTCACTACTCAAAGGAACCAGGGGTCCATGAAAGAGTGCTTATTCAAGGGCTGGGGCAGAGAAAATACAAGATGTACCTGGAACATCTCATTGTACCAGAAGAAAATAAGAAAGTATTCAAAAATGATGAAGATATATAAAAAAAATTTAAGGGGATTTCACTGGCCAAATCTGGGATAATTGGAATATCAAGGTAAATAAATAATAGACAACAATAAAATAAGAATCTGTGAGTCCAGATAATAAATAATAAGTTAATAAATGAATGACAAGAAGGGGAATGCTCTTCATACAGTAGAATGCTGACTAATCGATACAGTAGCAATGATGGATTTAGAAAATCGCCGATTATAAGCCATCATAGTGAAAAGAGATTTAGGCAAGAATCATGATGCATGCTCAAGTGGGAGAGGGAGAGTGTGACAAGAGACAAGATATTGGCATAGTCTCAAAGTATCTCCTTACGAGTTTCTTTCTTATTTTTTATAATTGGGAAGCAGGTAGCTGTAGAGTGGAGAAGCTTGACAATACAGGTGTCTATAATTAACTTCATCAGTTAGAGGCAAATGGCCCATATTCAAATGTAAAAGTCTGGGCTTTGAGAGTATGGCTGAGTCAGTATTAAGATATCTTCAGAAACACCTCAGTGTAGGTACAAGGCATGAAAATATGGGAGGGTGAAGAAACAGAAGATGCTATTTTGGGGAGGAGAACTGAGGAACACATGTCTACTATGGGCTCAGAGCTCTACACTGGAACCACAGAGAGAAGGGGACTAGCCCGCTGCCCTGATGCCACTTCAACAGCCAGCAGCAGCCTCCACCTCCACCTGCCTGCGCCTTCCGGGTTGGCTCCAGCAGCTGTGCTCACGCTTCTCCTTGGGCCACATGTATTGGGGTGATTGGTGGGCAGGGTGTAAAGGCTCAGCCACATCAGCCAGATGGGGACACTCTTGGCAATGCTCAGGATGGAGCCCTTGCTGGACTGGACTTCTTCCTCTGCCAGTCCTGCTTCCCCCGCTTCCTGTCACAGGCTCGTTGATCTGTAATCAATGTGTACCCAAACTCCATCTCAGCCTCTGCTTCCCAAGAATCCAACTGGAAACAGGCTTATTGGAAAGCTACTGATTTTTCCACTAAATTAAGAGGGAAAATATGGACAAATAATACACTTAAAAAATACATTGTTTCAAAAGAGAGCAACAGATGAACACAGGCTGTTCCAACTAATGAAGATCTTGTTTTTGGAGATCTGTGTCAGTCATTTGGATTGGGGGATGAATTTTCCGAGATGCCCTATTTTGAGAAGAAACAGGTTGGATTCCATATTAGTTCTCTAATACAGGCCTGCTGTAACAAAATGGTTGGCTTGAAACAACAGAAATTTATTCATTCACAGCTCTGGAGGCCAGAAGTCCAAGATCAAGGAGTCAGCACCGCCATGCCCTTTCTCCTCGCTCCTATGGCTGACGGCAATCCACAGTGTTCCTTGGCGAGCAACTTTATAACGCCAATCTCTGCTTCTGTCATCCCATGGCCTCCTTCCTGCTATGTCTGTCTACACATGGTGTTCTCTGCTCTGTGTGTCTGTATCCATATTTCTTCTCTCCTAAGGACATCAATCATATTGGATTAAGGGACTACCCTACTCCAGTATGGCTTCCTCTTAACTTACGTCTTGTATCTGTAAAGACCGTGTTTCCAAATAAGGTCATATTCACGGGTACCTGGGGTTAGGACCTCAACATATCTTTTTAAGGGACGCGATTCCATCCACAACAGATTTCCTCCTAGATTAGCCCACTGAAGACTCTTTAGGCCTGAGCTTTAATGCTGAACTGTAGCAGTTACACTGAAAGTAACAGAAATAGGAACTCCTCCCTCCGTCACTACCTAACTCCCTGATCTCCCTGGAGGCGGCTCCCAGCAGCAGCGTGTTCGGGGCCTTTAGAGAAAAGAAGTAAAGAAAGTGAGGAAAGTGTCAATGTAAGACCAGCCAGAAGGTTGTGTGGCCTCTGGAGAGGGAAGAGGCTCTACTGCAAGCAAGTTGGGATCTGTTTACCACAAGGGAGAGCACCATAATTAATCCAGGCTTCCTGCATATGGAGTCATACCCATAATCCCGATGAGGGTGAGCAGTGAGTTGGCTTCACCATTACCCAGGGGCTTTTGCTGAAGTAAGGGCTCTGAGTGGTGGCACATTGTAGTGGGGGATCCCATGGTGCAAGGTAATCCCTCTACTGTGCTGGTGGCCACAGCTCCAGGAGCAGCTTTGGGAGAGTCCTTGTGTTCAAGGAGGGCGGGAGGCAGAAAACAGCCGGGTGAGGGCACAGGAGCTGCCATGCAAAGGTGGGCACATCTAGAAAGCCATATTCATACAAAAATATAAATGTGGATCAAGTTAACTAAAAATAGGTTCCCTGAACCAAAGAAGTCTCTGCCAATATATGATAAAGTTAAGCATTTGTTAAAAGGTTTTGAAGTAGCTCACTGTTACAAAGCTGGGGTTTGTCCAAGCTGGAGCTATAAAAGCAATTACAAAGGTGCTCTCAGTAGCACAAATGTGCTGATTCTCGCATTGTACATGGAATTTTTATAGCTTATTTGTGGATGGAAAATAGCATCAAATATTTGCAGGAACTTGTCTCTTTCTTCAGAAAGAGTTGTGGCTAATTAGAATTTCTGTTTTATTTTGCTCCCTGACCTCTCAATTGGCTTGTAAGCTATTAAGTGATGCACAAGCAATTTGTTTGGGGTATAGGAGTCGTTTTGCATCTACTTTGCATAAAAGCATCAAAGATGGTATTCAAATATGTTTAAGTTATTAGGCAATTTAAGACAGTGTCATTGTTTTCTTTAGTGGCCAATGACTCTGTGTAAAACAAAGCTCTTGCTTCCTATTTAGCATTTCAGGATACATTAGTGATGCATTATTAATGTATTAGGAAGTTGTTATTTTTAGACAAACAAACCTATTTGGTAAAATTGGGAAAGAAAGAGAGTATTCATGCAGGCACAATTTAGTAAAAATATATGTGGAGCTAAAATGTATACACTTGGCCTAATTTGAAGCATGACTGAGTCTATTTTTGATGGTTTTCACCTGAAATGCAGAAGATACTCAGTCAATATATATTTTTGAAAAACATCCTACTTACACTACCATTTTCAAGTGACATTTGTGAGAGAAAATAAAAGTTATTTGATTCTTTGAACAAAAAGCTAAGTATAGCAAGTAGTCATAATTTGATTGAGAACCCAATTTCAATTAGGTCCTGCAAATATTTAAATGGAATGTCTCTTCAATTATCTACACAATGACACAAAGAAACCAATAATTAGAAAAAACTTGTAGCTAATTGGAATATGTTTTAGCATATAAATCACATTATATATGGTGTTATATTATAATTCTTATGAGTGTTAGCAAAGTCCTAGAATTCTCTAAGGCTCTAAATTGGACTGCCAAGATATAAAGATAAGAGAGATAAACTTCTGTGCCATTAAAACATGTGGAAAATGAGTTCTGTGATAATACAGTGGTAATTTTGGGGCTATTCCATCCATTATCAATATCTGTCATAATTCACATTTTGCACATTTTGACTTATCAGCCAATTTGAAGTGCAACTTGGAAGGAAGGTGAATCAGAAGTGAAAATTGACTCAGGAATTCTGCCTTGTATGGATGAAAATCTGGAGTTGGTGTTGTGATACTTTTTGTGAAGCCTACCTAAATAAAGATTGAATATAATTTGATGTCTAAGCATGTCCCAGAAATTAGAAAGAATTGTGGTTACTTTTCATTAACAGTAAATCTATAGGGATTGGATGGATTGTATTTTTCCTTGACTGAAGGGGGAGAAAAATGGATAGCCAATACTAGGAAGAGGTACAAGCCATCAAGAAATTGTGGACATGTCCTATGGTTGGAGAATGAAGGAAGTATGCATGAAAGCATGGCCCTACCACTTTGGAGTTGAATGATCCTGCTGAGATCATCTTGTCCTGTAGACCCCCCTCCTTTGGCAGCGTAGTGTTGCAGTTCTGCAGAGGGCCCTTAGAGAGTGTGGGGAGTAAACAGTGGCCTAATGGGTGGGGCTCTGGGAACCCAACACTTTCTGCAACCAGAGAGGCCCATCTGATTAATATATTTGGGTTTTACATAACATTTTGTGTGAAGAAAAACTCTGCTGTATGGAATAACAATGTTTAAAGTCATTGTAGTTGGGACCTTCACTCCCCCACAACCTCTGTTTCAGCAGCATTATTAAAGAATGGAAATAAATAAAGATCTACAAAGCTACACATTGGCACATGTTTCAGGGGTCTCTTTTACCTGCATTATCAGGTTTGGCAAACTAGATTCATCCACTCTGTGAGCATCTGTGCAAATCCAACATGCCAGTTTTAGGTTTCTAAAGATACATTGGGGAAGAATTCATGAATCCTAGCTCAGGGTTCTTAAGGAGTGGGTACGTCCCCACTCTAGCATGCCAGGCATCATCGTATCTTGCATGATGGATGCTCATGAGCTATTCTCATGCATACATGCATTTTCCAACAAATATTTACAGAACAGCTACTAAATACCAGCTAAAGTGCTTAGTCAATATTCCAGAATGGCTAGAATGAGCCACCTGGCAACCTGAAAGTGGACACCGATTTACCTTTCTGTTGGAGTGAAATGTTTTGATAACAGTTTGCATGTAACAACTTTTTAATATGCTCAGCATGTATTCCAAATAGAATTATTAAGAAATGACAAGCCTCCCTTTTCCACCTATGTTACAGAACTAGATTTGGGCATCTGAATAATAAGAAAAATTAATAATTTGCAATTTTATTTTAAAATATATTTATTGAGTTCCAAAAATGTGGTTGGGTGGGGTGGGAATAATTACGGGACAGACAAAAGCTGGTACTTTGGTGACTGAGGGCTTGAGCTCTAAGGAAGCAGAAAAAAGTAAATCTGGTACTCGGAACTCCTGTCCCTTGCCTGACAGAGGGAGGGCAGTGATGTCTGCAGAGGGAGCTGTATCTAAAACCAGTGTAGGTGGCTCTGGGGCTCACAGTGCAAGAGTGACTATGGATTGATATTCTCTAGAACACTTCTGGTGTATTCCAGCATTCTGAGACTTGTATCCTCATAGTCAAGATCCCAAGGTAGAGCTGAGATTCTGAACCCTGTATCAGTCAGGGTTCTCTAGAAGGACAGAACTGATGGAACACATATATATATGTGTGTTTTTAAGTATTAACTCACACGATTACAAGGTCCCACGATAGGCTGTCTGCAGGCTGAGAAGCAAGGAGAGCCAGTCCGAGTTCCAAAACTCCAAAACAAGAAATTCAAGTCTGATGTTCGAGGGCAGGAAGCATCTAGCACGGGAGAAAAATGTAGGCTGGGAGGCCAGGCCAGTCTCTCTTTTCACATTTTTCTGCCTGCTTATATTCTAGGCACGCTGGCAGCTGATTAGATGGTGCCCACCCAGATTAAGGGTGGGTCTGCCTTTCTAAGCCCACTGACTCAAATGTTAATCTCCTTCGGCAACACCCTCATAGACATACCCAGGATCAATACTTTGTATCCTTCAATTCAATCAAGTTGACACTCAGTATAACCATTACAGCCCCAAAGGCCCCTGTTTGAGGGAGGTGACTCAAATTCCTGGTTTCTGAGCATAGCCTTTTTCATTGAATGTTGACCAAGTGGTGGATTTTTTTTTATCTCTCTGAAATAAACCTCTGTTTACTTGGAGTGTTATAAGTAGGACTCATCCAAATTTGCTCAGAACTTTCCCACTGTTAGCACTAAGAGTCCTGTGTCCTGGAAATTCCTTAATTCCTAAGGAAACTGGGGCAGATATTTATCCTAGGGAAATAAGAGCCAAGCACATAGACCAGGTGTTCCAGGTACCTACTGTTTTATAATAAAGCATTATAAAAGTGATCGACTCATAAAAACTGTTTTGTTTGCTCACATTCTGCACTCTGGCTGGGATTAGCTGAGTGGTTCTTCTGCTGGTCTTGCTGATGGTTGCTTGTGTGGCTGCAGCCAGCCAGTGAACTGATTGGAGAATGGGCTCAGCTGGGACATCTTGGCTGCTCTCTCTCTCTCTCTCTCTCTCTGCGTAATCTCAGGGCCTCTCCCTTTCTGTATGGCCTCTCCTTGTTATTTTATTTTATTTTATTTTTGCAGCAGGGTAGCTGAATTAGCTGAATTTCCTATATGGTGTCACAGGAATCCCCAGAGGGCAAAACTTGCCTGGTTTCTAGGTTGGGTGGGTGGGGGGGGGACTGGAATTACCATGGCGTCACTTTCACCACATCTTATTGATTAAAGCTGGCCATAGCATCATTCTAGAATCAAGGTGAGGGGACTACAGGGTGACACAAGAGTGAACACCAGGTGGCAGCTCGCTGAGGTCTACCAATGTAACAGTTTCCCCCAGAGGTACAGTAGGATGCTCACCTGGACTCATAGGATTCACTGTGAGTGACCACTTCTGACCTCTGTTTGCAGGGCACCACCTGACTTCTTCTCCTCACACTCTCAGTGAGAATGGAATATGAATAGTTTGACCACTGGTCAGAGCCAACAAGAGCTCTAGGTGTAGGGCAGGTTTATCCCTATTATTCGTACTTCTCCCAAGCATTAATAAGAATAATAGGGATGGTGAGTCCCTGTTAAGGTTGCCAAAAGGTTTCCAAGGAAGCAACAAGTTAGGGGGGACTGGGTCTTCCATGGTTGATGCGAAGCTATAAGGGACTTGACTGTTCCATGCACCATTTCTTGAAGAGTAGTCTATTCTAAGGTTTCTGCCCAGCACAGGAATTTTGGAGATGACCAAAACACATCGCCTGTCTTCCGGAAGCTGACCTTTCTCAACGCGGACCTCCCCGCCCTGCTAACTCTTGTTTTAAAGTTTAAACAAGTGTCAGCGATGGTCTCTCCCCGCTTTGCTCTCCACACGCCTCTCTCCTGCAGCTCTGACTTCGTTGGTTTCCCAGCCAGGGCCCCTCACTGGGCTGTGAGCCTCCTGAGGGTAGGGCGACCTCCATACCTTCTTCTGCAACACCCAGGGTGTATGGAGGGGCCTCTGTTAGCTGGAAACTTTTGGGAGCAGCAAGGGACCAGCCCCATCAGCTCCACTTCAGAGCAGTTCCAATCCAGCTGGCTTCCACATCCCTAGGGTTCTTCCCTTTTTTGTCTCCCCTATTTCTTTTTTTGCTGGAAAGAATCAGGTCCCCTCACTCTCCCCAAATACAAACTGCATTAAAAGAACCCCCGAGCTGCCCCTGGGCCCAGGGACTTCTGCTAGGCTTGGTTCCCTTTCTCCTCTCGAAACTCTTCTATCATCGAGGAGACAATCTGGCTTCTGGCTTTTCCCTCTCTTTTTCTTGGCCTCTTTCTCTTTCTTCCCCCGCCCCTTCTCCCCATGTCACAGCCAGTCCCGACGCATCCCGCCCCCGCTCTGTCGCTTTAAGCTGGTCCCGCCGCCGCGCCCCGCCCTCACCCCTCCGCGCTCCGCGGCTCCCCGCCGCTTCTCCCGCTCCTCCCTTGCTCGGCCCTCTCCTCCTCCTCCCGCTCCTCCTCCCGCTCCTCCGCGCCGCCGCCAGCCCCGCTGCGCGCTCTGCTCTTCGCAGCTCCCCGGACCCGCAGCCATGGCCGACATCAAGACGGGCATCTTCGCCAAGAACGTCCAGAAGCGACTCAACCGCGCGCAGGAAAAGGTCAGCGGCGGGCGGCCGGGGCTGGGGCCGGGGACGCCAGGCGGGGGCTTGGCCGGAGGGCACCGGCTGCAGCTGTGCGGGGCCCGAGCCTCGGGGTGCGGCGCGCTGCGGAGCGGGGCCGGGGCCAGGGACGCTGGGACGCCCTGCCCTCAGCTCGGTGACTGCCGCAAGGCGCGACCCGGGCGCCGCGGGGAGCGGGTCGGGAGGACGCAGCGCCGGGGACCCGCAGACCCTGGCCCCGGAGACGCCGGATATGTCCAGCTCCGGAGCCGGCCCCGGGTTGCCGCTCTCCTGGCCCCAAGCCAGGCAACAGAAGTAGGAGGTGCGGCAGCTTGCCCGCTGCGCCCGGAGCAGAGCGCATCTCCCTGCGCTCGCATCTCCCCGGGCCGGCTCCCAGCGCGCCCGCAGGCAGCTCGCGGGGACGCGGCCCGCAGATCGGGGCGGGAGATTGCAGCAGCCTTCCTTCTTGCGGGGGATTTTGTGGCTACTTAAGTGCAGCAGACACGAACGATTTAACAGAGAAGCCACCAAAAATCTCCCAGGACCAATAGGGTAGGATCGTGATCACACAGTGCTGTCTGGTGAGTTCTGGAGTTCAAAACAGAGATCTAGATATACACACTTTTAATTTTGGTCTATATGTTTGTGTCCCTTTTGACTCCAGTGTCCTTCTTTAGAAGGTCAAAAATAAATATGACCTGAACCTAATAGTTCCTTTCTGCATATTTCTGCACAAAGAAGGACCTTTTATTGCATTTTAAAAAATCCAGATTGCACAAATTGGGTTCTCTGTTGTTTTGCAAGTCCCTCAGTAAATTGCGCACAGTAATTTATTTTTTTTCCCCAGAGACGTGCATGAATGAAACCCAGGTCCGTAGCAAGCACAGCCCAAAGCAGGTGGAGGGGAGTTGTACCAGGCACCAGGCTTGCCTGGCTTCCCTGGTGACTGCTGTATATGACGGCCCTGAGGTCTTCATTTGTGTCCTGAGCAAAGGACATTTCCTTTATATTGTAGCTTGAGCATTGTACTTGAAAATCAACACCGGCTAATGAGCCCCATGATTGGTATCACTTGAACTGTGTTCTCTTTCACGTGGCAGTATTTTCCGTCCCTAGGATATGGGGTGTTTAGCGTTTTCCTGTTTTACTGGAAGTCAGATTTGCCATGTTGCTCAGGATGGCAATGAATTTCCCTCTTCAGACCCAATCTCAATCTCAGGCTGCCTCCCAGTTCCGGCTGACCATGAGTTGCTGAGCAGAGGGGGCACTGATCCCTTTTGTCCCCAGGCCCAGAGGCTTGGTGGCTGCCTCTAGTCCCTCCCTCCACACATGCACACTCTCCATGCAGTAAGAGGATTGTATTTCTTTTAATATCTACCCAAGCTCATCCTGAACTAAAGTGATCCTCCTCCTGCCTCTCCCTCCGCAGCTGAATTAGCAAGGCTGCCTGCTGCCTTCCAGGCCCGGGTTACTTGTGCAGAAAGTAGCCAGGGATCTGCTGGCTTGGGATCTGGGCCAGGTTTTGTCATCCTTTTTCCACACTTCATTTTACCCACTTGTAGGTACTCCTCCTCCTGCCTTCCAAGTAATTACTTGACTCTTCGGTCTGAGGCTTTTCACTGAATCCACTTTCCATCTGTGAAGGAATTTAGTGATATGGTCTGCCTTTTCACATATTGAATTATTTCTTAATCTAGGTCACCAGCTGTTAATATGCTCAAAATAAATGAAAAGAAAACCTAATCTCTTACGGAGCATTCAAGTCCTGTGAATTGTCAAAACTCACTTTTTCACGATCAAGGTCAAGTGTACTTTATGACTGCAGTTGTGGATGGTGGTCAGTCTTCTATGGGAGCGGGGGTGAGAGACCCTCTTGGGGGTTTCAAGCGTCCTATTTTCTTCACTGGGGAAAGGTGCTGATGAAAAGTGCCTGCCGCACCTAGTATAGAGGTTCAAACACTAAGAGGCTGAGAGTATAGGCTCTTCCCCAGGGTGAGTTCTGCCCCCCTTTCTGAGTCTGTGTAGCATCAGGATATGCTTGGCACAAAGAGAAAAGGGCATGTTGGCATCCAGGTAAAGCAGCCCAGCCCAAATGGAGGCTGCTGGAGAAAGGAAAGCACAGTATGTTACTGTCAGAGGCTCCATTAGACATATCCCCACGTGATTCCCTCTTTCTACACCTTTGGCCTCTTCCTCTTCTCCAGAGAAGACTCTTCATCCCAATAACTATAGACCATATATGTCCCTGAGACCCTTTGCTTCTTGTTTTTACAACCAAATTTTCTTAAAAGAGAGTCCACTCCCTTGACTTTCTTATCATCTGTGCTTCACCTAAAAGCTTGCATATGTTTAGGCTCCAACTGCATGTCTGAAATCACTTTTAGAGGTGACATGGCTTTTTAGGAATTTTAAATACGTTTTTTTCTTACTGAAAGTCAGTGAAGATTCATTGGAGAAAGGCTGAAATGTATTAGTCAGCAGAAAAAAACCACAAGGCTGAAATGTACATATAAGCAGAAAAAAACTCCAGCAAATTACGAAGCACATAATTCTACTACTCGGAAATTTTACTACCATTTGATATGTATCTGAGTAGATCTTTTTCCATGTGTGTATGTATTTATACAACCAAAACAGGCTCATTGCTGTATAGTTGAAGACCTGTTTATTTCACTTCATAATTATGAACATCCTTCTATACATGTACATATTTTCCATCAATATTTTAAATTATTGAACACTATTGGAATGTATGGATTATACTGAATGCCTTATCTTTTGAATATTCATTTTTCCAGTGTTTCTATATGGAAATACAAGTCAGTGAGCAAATTTGTAGGGAGAATGTTTGCACACCTCTTTAATTATCTCCTTAGATAAATTCCTAGAAGAAGACTTATTGCATCCAAGGTTTGCCTATTTTTATTATAGCTAGATTGCCTTCCAGAAAGGTGTACCAATTTACATTCTCATCAGCAGTCCATGAGACACTTGCCAACTCTGGATAATAAAATTTAAAACAATGTTTAGCTATGTCATTGGATAAAATTTGTTCATGATTAATTTCATTTGTTTGATTTTTAAAAAGCAAACTTTTGTGCATTCGTGTTTTTGTTCTTGAATTGTGCTTTTATATTTCTGCCCGTTTTCTGTAGCAATTCTGTCTTGTTATTAGTAAGGGCAAAAACTTTATCAAGCCTAAGGGTTACAACCATTCTTTCTTCCTTTTCTATTTACTTTTAAATTGTTTGGTGATTTCTACTGAGAAAATGTTTTTGTTGATGTTTTATGTATATCTGCTTACATCTATTGGTTGGTTTTGTCTGGTTTCTCTTTTGCGTGGTTGAATTAGTCAGGATCCTGCTACATGCAGGTGTCAGAAAGCTCAACCCAAACTGGCTTAAGGAAAAAAGGAATTTAATTGCTAATAATAATAATATCTAACAATTTATATATGGTTCTTGTACATATAAATTTAGATTAGCTTTTAATGAATAAAAGCTATATATTCACATAAGATATATGAATATCTTACCTATAGTAGCCTATATACATATTCTTATACATATGTATATGTAAAAGTATATGCAGACCATATCTTTCCTTTAGCTTTTTTTTTTTTTTTTTTGAGACAGAGTCTCGCTCTGTCACCCAGGCTGGAGTGCAATGGCGCGATCTCGGCTCACTGCAAGCTCCACCTCCTGGGTTCATGCCATTCTCCTGCCTCAGCCTGCCCAGTAGCTGGGACTACAGGTGCCCACCACCACGCTTGGCTAATTTTTTATATTTTTAGTAGAGATGGGGTTTCACCGTGTTAGCCAGGATGGTCTCGATCTTCCTAGTAGCTGGGACTACAGGTGCCTGCCACCACGTCCGGCTAATTTTTTTTTTTTTTGTATTTTTAGTAGAGACGGGGTTTCGCCATGTTTGCCAGGATGGTCTCAATCTCCTGACCTCGTTATCTGCCCGCCTCAGCCTCCCAAAGTGCTGGGATTATAGGTGCGAGCCACCGCGCCCGGCCTCCTTCAGCATTTTTACAGAACTCTTTGGTATAACTCTCAGTGGCCCAAACTGGGCCTTGTGCCTATCTCTGGAAGAAAAAACATCTCTGAGAGCAAGGGCCAAGACCACGGGTTGGACTGGTTGAATTGGGCCTGAGTCATGAGCCAGTGCGAAAGCCAGGAATGAAGATTCCCCTGAACGATATGGACTCTTAGTGGAGGAGGTAGGGAACTTAGAGTACAGAATGGGGAGTGGACACTGGGTGGCAAAATAAATGATATTCACAGAGGCGTCCCTGAAAGACCTTCTCCATCCCAGGTTTATATAAATAATCACATATTTAATATTTGTTTAACATTTTTATGTGTGCAGTTAAAAAATATGTTAGTAAAAAGCTTATCATGAAAAACTGTATATCCTTCGCCTACTTTTTGATGGGGTTGTTTTTTTCTTGTAAATTTGCTTAAGTTCCTTTTAGATTCTGGATAATTAGCCCTTTGTCAGATGGATAGATAGCAAAAATTTTCTCCCACTCTGATGATAGTTTCTTTTGCTGTGCAGAAGCTCTTTAGTTTAATTAGATCCCATTTGTCAATTCTGGCTTTTGTTGCAATTGCTTTTGGTGTTTTAGTCATAGAGTCTTTGCCCATGCCTATGTCCTGAGTGGTATTGCCTAGGTTTTCTTCTAAGGTTTTTATGGTTTTAGGTTTTACATTTAAGTCTTTGATCCATCTTGAGTTAATTTTTGTATAAGGTGTAAGGAAGGGGTCCAGTTTCTGTTTTCTGCATATGGCTAGCCAGTTTTCCGAGCACCATTTAGTAAATAGGGACTCCTTTCCCCATTGCTTATTTTTGCCAGATTTGTCAAAGATCAGATGGCTGTAGATGTGTGGTGTTATTTCTGAGGTCTCTGTTCTGTTCCATTGGTCTATATATCTGTTTTGGTACCAGTACCATGTTGTTTTGGTTACTGTAGCCTTGTAGTATAGTTTGAAGTGGGGCTTAAAACCTAAATGATGGGGTTCATAGGTGTAGCAAACCACCATTGCACATGTATACCTATGTGACAAACCTGCATATTCTGCACATGTATCCCAGAACTTAAGGTAAAATTTAAAAAAAAGAAAGAAAAATAACAGTCCCCTGTTCCCCTCTCCTCAACCTACAATCTTGTTAGAGGCAATAGTGCTAACCATGAGATTTCTCAAAAATATGCTTATACAGCTATTTCTTGATCTATCTTTTAATGTATGGTGAAGATATGTAAATTTAACTTTTTTATTTCTCCTCTAGTTCTTCCCCCAATTATACACTGAACAAAAATTGTTATTGCAAAAGATTACATTTTAAAGATTGAAGTCCAATTTTTATTGAATAAAGTGCACAAATCTTAAGTGTTCAGCTTCATGAGTTTCTATGTATATGGATATCTGCATAGCTACCACCCAGATAAGTAACAGAATGTTTCTTCCATCCCAGTTACCTACCATTTCTTTTGCCTTTCTTGTTCTTTGTCTTTTTATGTTCATACCTTTTAAATTACTTTACTCTCTTTTCCCTGATGAGCACCTTTACATGTACTTATTGGTAATTTTGATATCTTCTTTTGTGAAGTTTCATTAAAGTCTCTTGCCAGTATTTTATTTGGGTTGCTTGTCTTTTTTCTGTTGCTGTTTAGTTTTCTATGTATTCAGGATATGAGTTCTTTATCAGGTGGACATCTTATATTTTCTTCCAGACAGTGCCTTGCTTTTTTACTTTCTTAGTGGTACCCTTTGATGAGTGGCAGTTTAAAGTTTTCATGAAGTCTTATGTGAGGATTAAGTTTTTCATGCAGCTTTTTGTTTTTCCTGGAGTTAATAATTGCCTTGCCTTTAAAAATTTGCTTATTTTTTAAATGAACTTTAAAAAGTTGTTTCTTCTTGCTTCATCAGATATGTCAAATGTTTATCAATATTATTGTTCGAGGTTCAATATATCAAATAATGTAATTGCTCATTTTCTCATCCTGGAGATATCCTTTTTGGATGCCTCTGCCCTTTTGTGGTAATCTGGGCTGATTTTTCTGTAGACCTGTTGCATACATGTCATCCTGGGTCTTCTTTTGCCAGTGTTGGGGTTGAGGAATGGACCTGAAATCTCAAGTATCCTATATTCCCGGGCTTTCAAACAGTCCCCTGTTGTCAGTGTTGTGCTTCATTCTTACCTTCTATGGTGTGTGGTGTGTGGTGGGACCAGGTCCTAACCCTGAGTGTGTTTGTGTGTGTAACTGTGTGGTGATAATTGGTTGCTTTTTCATTGGTTGTTCCTGTATAGGCACACTTTTTTTTTTCTTATAGTTTCCTCCATTCTGCTGACTTGTTTCCATTCTTTCATCTTTTTTAGCATCTGTAAAATGTATGGAACTCTTGTATTCACTAATGCTGGCTTTCCTGTTCTTGTCCTTGTATGTTCATAATTTTTTATTCCTTTACTGTCGCCTTAGTTGGGCTTTGGAATGAGATGGAAATAAGCACATGCAGTCAGCCTGCCATGTTTAACGAAATGCCTTTTTATTTAAATACTTGATCTCTCTGGGATTTATTTTTTTATTATTTTTATTTATTTATTTTTTTGCCCATCTTCTTCTATTTGTGAAATCCAGTGGCATTTATTTGGTCTTAACTCTCTTTGACCTCTATACAATATTTAAATCAGTGAAGCACTGCCTTTAAACATTTTTTTTTTTTTTTTTACCATGACTGTAGTGAGCAGGATACTCGGGAGGCCGAGGCAGAAGAATCGCTTGAACCGGGAGGGCAGAGGATGCAGTGAGCCGCGATTGTGCCACTGCACTGCAGCCTGGGCGACAGAGCGAACTCCATCTCAAAAATAATACTAATACTAATACTAATACTAATAATAATAATAAGGGAGTTAGACTATTTAAATTCTAAGGACCTGCCCAGTTTGATATTCTTTGTGTCATTTTCTCTGTCCCAAGTGATTATTATATAATTGTCTTAGGTGCAATTTTTTTTTCATGCATTACATCTTCCAAACTAAATTGTAGGTACTTGAGGACAAGGACCAAATATCTTGCGAATTGTATGTACTCAGTGACGATGTACTGATTTGCCTTTCCATGTCCTTGCTTGTTAACCTCCCACTCCTGCAAACACATTGTCTTAAAGAATCCTTCCACAATTCTTTCTGTGACTTTTGTGAAATTATCATAAGGGTTTCATCGTCATTTGCTTTGTCATTTTGTGAAAATAGTACAGCAAATGTAATTACCCTTATGGATTCTATACATGGTGGGAATGCTATAAATATTAGGCTGAATCATGTGGAATTGTCATATTTGTGAGTCAAACAGTCAAATATTGGCAGAGTCATGTGCTTCAGTGCAATGTTGATTGAGTGATATGGTAAGAAAACAATGTTGTCTCCTTCCATCTGTCTGGTTGTGTGACATTTGGATTCTTTTTCGATTGTCGCTTTGCCGATGCCTGCATTTTTTGTTCTCAAGGAGAAATATTGTGGATGGTGTGCATGTATAAAAAGAATGGGCAAAGGAAGATCCTCCTCTGTCAAGGAGATTTGTACTGTGAGGCCCAGGGCCCATCTGTAGAAGAGTAGTTTATATGGCCACGTTTACTTCCGAGGACACTTCAGAGACCAAATCTCTGAGACATATTGGGGTTTCTCTTTTTTCAGATCATCTGAAATCTCTTTTGTTGCCTGCATCTATATTTTACAAAGCTTATGCCTTCTTTTCCACTAGGGTTATTTTCTCTGGCTGTATTAGAAACTTCAAAAATTAAAAATAATAATTATGGGACATTCTTAACAGAGTAGAGTTTCCTTCTTCTGCCTTTTTTATTAATGCAAACATATATATACTAATGTATCCTTCTTTCTCTAGGAATGAGTACAACAGAAAATAAGAACTGTAGGAACTCAGATTTTAACATTAATAAAAGTTACCATTCTCCTTTAACACAAGCATATTTGGTTACATTTGAAAACTAGCTTTTTTAATAGACCAAACAACTTGTCATAGCTGAGATATTTGTATAAACAATATGGCCCCCTTTACTTGGTGTATGAAATTAGATCCCATTTCTTTAAATATTCGAATTAAATGATTTCTCCTTCCTACCCAATTATTATGAAAATCTCTTACTCCTCCCAGGGGTCCCTGTCTCTTGTGATAATTTCAGGAACCCATGGTGAGTTTCCCTTCTTTAAATGAGTCAATGGTTTTTACTACAGCCTTGTGAGAAAGGGTCCCTAATGTGAGTCCAGCATTCGGATACCGTTCTTATCCCTGGATGAGCACTGCAGGGAACAAGAGCACAGTACGGTGCCCTCACCAGTGGGTCTTAGGGTGGAGGCAGGAGCTGGAAGCCTCTCTCTCCTGGGTTAGACTCAGCTTCAGTATGTCTGAGCTCCACATATGTGAGCTCTTTACAAATGAATATCCATGAATATTATACAAACCATTCCCAAATTATACAAGCCATTCTCAAATTTACTTGTGCATATACACATACAAATTCCCCCTCCCCCAAGATTTGCTCATAGTGCCCGTGTTCCAAAGTTAGGAAAGATTCAATATCCTCACACATTGTGCCTAGAATTATCTATTTCATTCCACTCTACTCTTCCACTTTTGAGAAAATTATCTTTGGGACATACTAAATTTATTCTAAGCCCACAATTTGAAAAACACTACCCTAGAGGACCTCTGGTATCCATTCCTGTAAGTTGACTATCTTTTGGGCCATTGCAGTTCATCTAAGGGGATGTGTTTGTGCGTGTGTGTGTGTGTGTGTGTGTGTATGTATTCATACATACAAATATATAGTTACATATATTACATACATTCATATATATGACTAAATTTCAAACAGGAAATATTGTGAAGTACCTTAGGAGAAAATAAGTAGAGAAGGGAAAGAATCTTTCTTAAAATGATGCATTTTTCTGATATTTTAAAGTCTGGAAATTTCCACCTTACTGTCCAAACACAATTTTAAAAGACTTTCTAGCCATTTACACTAGGGGCCACCTGCATAGAACTTCTGAGAAAATAAGTGGCCCAGTGGGCTCCTGTAAAAGGGACAAAAGATGTAAAGATTCCTTGTGTTGCAGATATAATTTTTCCTACATTCTCAGTAAATGGCTAACATTTACATAATGGAAATGCTGTCACCACAGAGTTTAAGGAATTTACCCATGAAAGAATATAGTAAGACCATCTATACAGCATCATGCAAAATTGAAGTGATAATAATCACGATTTTCTGAGACTGCATCTATGGGCCACCTTTCCACATGGAAATGCTGAAACATCATTCTTATTGATTTGAGATCTAAATTTAAGTGTACTATTTGGCTGTAGATGTACTTCCTGAACACAAATTGACCAAATCTCTTTTGAGGAATGATGTCGTATAAAGCCATGGATAAGATCTTAGTTTTGAAATATTTGCTATGTGATAATCATATATCAATTTTGATCACCCTGAACCTACTTAGAACAGATGTACAAAAACGAGAAAACCACCATTTTGGTCATTTACATCTTACTCTCATGCAGTTATTTAGTTGAAAGCTGAGTTCATAAATGGGAAGAGCTTGAATATATAATAATTTAACAAATTAATAAATATATATATGATTTTTCCCTATCTTTACGTGCCTATAATGATTTAATAAAATATGCATAGACCCATGCATAAATGCACTTTTATCAAGGCACCTAAAAGTTGTTGAGTAAAGGATGTTAAATTCATATGCTTTATTAGTTATCTATTCTATTGTCAAGTCAATTTGGTAGAATTCATTTATTTAGAGCCATTTATTGAGAATCTAATATGTGGAAGGCACTTTCTAGAGACTCATAATATAGCAGTTGACAGAGCTGTCCTGGTTGAGCATACAGAGCAGCAGGAGTTGATAGTGAGATAAACTTTTGCACACACTACTAAGTACATAGTTATTAGTTAAAAATAGTAATTTTAACTTATGTATGATAAAAATACAGTTCAGTTTGTAACTAGGGAACTAATCTAGAGTCAGAGGATTTGAACACAGTTACTTAAAGTAGGTAGATTTCAAGCTAAGATCCTAAGAATGAATTGTAGCCATCAGACAAGAGGAGTAAGGGTGTGCTGATTACAGGAGTCAGGAAGCATTCTATACCTCTGACACTTTGTCCTTACTCCTTGAGCATAAATAAGAACTGTAGAATAGAGAATTGACTGCAGACACTGGCCTTATAAATGATCTCTTCTCTCATTTGGATATTTAACTAGGCAAAGTGGACCCTAATTGGGTCCACTGCTGTGGTAGCAGTCCCTCGTTTGTGTGATCAGATTTTTACCCTTACCTGTTGAAGGGTCCTTCTGGGGCATAGTTGCCCCCTTGACACAGAGCCAGGACACTGGTTCAGAGCTGACTTGCCCTCTGAACTATCTGTCATCCAAAATCCTTTTTTACAACAGCAGTAAACTCCAACCCAGTATGCTTTCATGGATTTGTTGAGAGAAGGGTCTCTTATTTTAAACCATCAGAAATCCAAAAAAAAGAAAGCCCTTATCAAATTCTTAAGTGTCACCCATCTATAAAGATGCTTTTGTCTTTAAAAGTCTTAATTGCATTTGGATGCCTAACATTTAATCAACATTTAATCAATTGCACGTGTGTGTGTGTGTGTGTGTGTGTGTGTGTGTGTGTGTGTGTATGTATGTATATATATAGCATAGATGCATAGATGGTCCAAACCTTGGGAGGATCTCCCAACTTATGGCAGCACTGCCTAGGGTGTTGAAGAACAGTGTAATACCTTTCCCTGTAATTACTCTGTAATTCCTCAATATATGAAACATCTGTGTAAGACATCCTGCTTCTTTAACACACACACACAGACACACACACACACACACACACACACATATATATATCTCCAATGAATTGGTATATAATGTACACGGGGGTGGGGCAGAGAGGGAAGGAGGGAAGGAGAGAGAGAGTGAACGAGCGAGAGAGAAATATAATTAAGGCTGGCAACTTGACTTAATTATGGGTATTGACTTGATTATTTTGCAGGCAGTGGTCTTGGACTTAGGAATAATCAGCTTCAGGTGATTTGCAGCTTGGAAGGAATCCTAAATTAGGGAAGAGAATCTTTCATAGCAGACAATCTTTTCCTCTATCTGATAATGGTTACAAACCTTTAAATAGCGTAGATGGTCCAAACCTTGGGAGGATCTCCCAACTTAATGGCAGCACTCCTAGGATGTTGAAGAACAGTCTAATACCTTTCTCTGTAATTACTCTGTAATTCTTTAATATATGAGACATTTGTGTAAGACATCCTACTTTTTTAACCTACAGATTTTATAACACAATATTTTCTCTGAGAGTCTCTAGGAAAATGGTATCCAGAGTTCTGTTTCCATCCCTTTACAAAATGCTTGTGACCATGGGGACCACTGGCATTCCTAAACTATAGGTTGAGACCTAAGTCCTTGTAGGGCTCTCCTGGGGATGTATATTGGCCCATAGTTGTTCCTGTTAAGCATAGACAGTGAATCCATTGTAGGTGGAGAAAATATTTTATGTGACTTTAATCTTTTAAAATTTGTTGAGGCTCATTTTATAGTCTAGCATATGGCCTATCCTGGAGAATCTTCCATGTACGCTTGAGAATAACTGTTTTTTGCTGTTGTTGGGTAGAGTGTTCTATAGATGTGTGTTAGGATGAGTTGGTTTGTTTTCTTGTTGATCTTCTATCTAGATGTTCTATCCATTATTGAAACTAAGGTATTGGAGTCTTCAGTATTGTTGTTGAATTGTCTATTTCTTTCTTCCGCTCTGTCAGTTTATCCTTCATGTATTTTAGTGCTCTTTTATTAGGTGCATAGTTACATTTGTTACGTCTACTTCATAGATTGACCTTTTGTCATTATTAAATGTCCTTCTTTGTCTCTAGTAGTAACTTTTGTCTTAAAGTCCATTTTTATCTGATACGGTTATAGCCATTCCAGTTTTCTTTTGGTTACTATAATATTTGCATGATGTATCTTTTTTTTTATTTAAGAGACAGGGTCTTGCTCTGTCACTCAGGCTGGAGTACAGGCACGATCATAACTCACTGCAGCCTCGAATTCCTGGACTCAAGCAATCCTCCTGCCTCAGCCTCCTGAGTAGCTGGGACTACAGGCACTTGCCATCATGCCTGGCAGCATGAGATATCTTTTTCATCCTTATACTTTCAACTTATTTGTGTCTTTGAATCTAAATGTTGTCTCTCATAGACAGTATTTTGTTAGATTTTTTGGATCAATTTTGCCAATCTCTGCCTTTTAATTGGAGTATTAAGTCTATTTACATTTTACATAATTAACTGAAAAGACAGGATTTATGTTTGTCATGTATATCTTATTTCTCTTTGTTGCTTTATTTTTCATGCCTGCTTTTGGTGTTAAATAGATATTTTCTTGTGTGGTCTTTTAATTCCCTTGTTGTTTCTTTTACAAATAGTTTTTGAGTTATTTTCTTAGTGGTTGCCCTGGGATTACAGTTAACATCTACATTTGTCACAATAGAGGTCAGATTAATACTATCTCAATTTCAATAGTATATAACATTTTTCTCCTGTGTAGCTCCATTTTCTCTCTTTTGTTGTATTGTGATTGTCAAACACCTTACATGTTTATATATTTTATGTTCGTCAACAAGATTTATAGTAATTGCTTTATGCAACTCTTTTTTTTTGAGACAGAGTCTCACTCTGTCACCCAGGCTAGAGTGCAGTGGCATGATCTCGGCTCACTGTAAGCTCTGCCTCCCGGTTTCATGCCATTCTCCTGCCTCAGCCTCCCGAGTAGCTGGGACTACAGGTGCATGCCACCACGCGTGGCTAATTTTTTTTTTTTTTTGTAGAGATGGGGTTTCACCATGTTAGCCAGGATGGTCTTGATCTCCTGACCTCATGATCTGCCCGCCTCGGCCTCCCAAAGTGCTGGGATTATAGGTGTGAGCCACCGCGCCTGGCCTATGCAACTCTTTTAAATCAGATAGAATCATAATGAGTTATAAGCAATAATGCATTTATACTGTCTTTTGCATTAACCTATGTTGTTACTGCATATTTCAAAAATATATTTTTCTTATGAAATGGACTCTGTTTAATAAACAATTATTAACTCATTTGCTCATTAAAAAATAAAGCAAGATCATAGTACGAGATGTCCAGTGTTACTAACACATTTATTAAGCATAACTCCAGCTAAACATAAAGTAAAGTAATATAAGGAACTAATTAGTTTTTAGCCATAGTATAAATAAAGTTACACTTACTGTCTGCTAACTGGTTTGGATTATTGAGGAAATGTTTCATACTCCCCTTAGTAGTTTTACAATTCCAGTTTTTTTTTCCATTCCATAGTTAGGAGCTACTAAGTATTACTTATGATACCTCAAGATATATGCAACATCTTATAACTTTTTTCTGGGTGCCTGTAACTTTTATCAGGTTTTCAAAAAGATCTGTGACTTAAAAAGCATAAACACCAACAATGAGTCTAAAGTATTAAGGGACTCTTGGCTTAAATATTTCTGCAAAACTTGAAGAGCAGGAAGGAGAATTAAGTCATCAGTGGATGACAGAGCTGCTGGCACCTGGGCACCCAGCATGGTTTATTCTTGGTTTGGTTATGGTCCTTGCCCTTGAAGACTCAGATTTTCTAGGTCCCTCAGGATTTGGCCCAAGTATTGTGATAGTTTCAACATAAATGCGTGGTGCACGCCTTCTGCCACTCCAGGTTCCTTGTCACACATCTCTAAAATAATTATTTTGATCTGTTATTTAAGGGATAACAAAATTTCTTAAGGTAATTCAGTTTTTGAGTCACCACAGCCTATGACTTTTTCTAGTTGTCCATTTCATGGCATCTAGAGATCTCTGTTTAGAGGTGGCCCAGGTAAATGAGAGGAACCCTCTATCAGAGGTGACCAGGGGAAGTCTACATTTATTTCCAACGTACATTAGATGATGCCCTGTAGAGTTTGGGTGTAGATCAGCCCCCTTGGGGTAACACACATTCCTCTCACACCTTGCTTCCTTAAATTGAAGTGGAAAAGACTGTGCATGTATGTTGTTTTGAAGCTTTTATAATGAGGTATGAAATACATGTAGTAAGTAGCAAAAATCTTAGCCGTACAGCTTCATACATTTTTATATATGTAAAAATTTTATGTAAAATACTAAATCAAAATCTATATCTACATCTACATTATCTATATTTATATCTACTTCTATCTGTATCTATATCTTATCTATATCTATCCTGTGTTACTGCTACTCAGATGAAGTCACAGGGTAATTCCAGAATCCATTAGCTCCTCCATGCCTCTTCCCAGCTAATACCTCCTCTCCTCTGCTCACTTCCTACTACCAGGTAGCCACTATTCTGATTCTAACCCCATAGATTAATTTCAGTTGTTCTTGAACCTTGTATAAATGGAATCATATAGTATATACTCTTATGAATTTTACTTCTTTTGCTCCTCATCATGTATTGAGATTCATCCGTATTGCCATCTGTAGGAGCAGTTCCTTCTTTTTTTATTGATAAATTATATTATAGTGTACAATATCCCACAATTTATTTACCCATTCTTCACCTGTTAGGCATTTTGTCTGTTTCCAGTATTAGGCTATGGTGAATAAGGCAGCTGAACACATCTTATACATGTCTATTGGTAGAAAAAACCACTTATTTATCTTGGGTTAATACCTGAGAGTGGAATGAATGATTCATTAGGGTAGGCCCTCTTTAGCTTTTAGAGATGGTACCAAACAGTTTTCCAAAGTTGCATCAAATTTATAGTCCTGTCCACAGTTGTGAGAATTTAGAAAGCCTATATTTTCATGTTCTAAGTTTGATTTCGCTGAGTTGTATTTTTTTCACTCCTGCATCCCCATGGGACTCATATTTGTTTAGTGATAATTGATTTTATCTTTATATATTTCACACATAATCGTAGGGACGTTTCTCTCATGAACTGTCCACATTTTGTGTTTGAATCAGGTGGGGGAGTGGTCACCATTTTAAACTCAGACTACGACTTGCTTGTGCAGAGGAGATGTACACATGGTGTCTGTGTAGATGATTGGGGGAAGGATTGTGATACAGCTAATCTCGTGGTGTCAGAGGTTCTTTGGTGTGCTATATTCTGCCTCCTGTCCTCTGGGAGCAGTGTCCTATGCTCACATGAGTGGTATTCCCTGCATGTATATGTGGTTCATTAACTCACGATCTCCATCTTTGGCTCTAGCAGAGGCCAGTGGCATGGCATGCACCCACTGGCTCAGGCTCACCTTCATTGCTCTGCCATCTGGCTGCACTGACATTGGGCTCTGATCCCCAGCCCTTGCTACAGAACCACGTGGCCACTGCTACAGTAGCTAACCTGCTGTGTCTTCACTACATGAGTATTAAGGGCAGCTGGGGTAATCTCAACTTCAGGTCTCCTTAGCCTGGCTACACTGTGCAGCTACAGGATGTAACTGTGCCCTAGGCTGGTGAGAGGGGCAGCCCAAGAAGTGATCTTTCCAGAGTGTTCAGTGGGGCATAAGGACTGTAGCTCCCCTCTGACCCTGACATTATCCTCACTTCTCAGGGAGGAGAGGAGAAAATTGGGGTATATTTTCTTCCACTTTTGTTACTCTTTTTTGCAGAGGGGAAGGCTTTCTTCTTCCTTCTGTTATATCCTCCTGTGGCAGAGCTTGCCAGGCACCATGGATGAAGGGGGCACGTTCATTCCACTTTGGGAAAGAGGGCTCTATGAGCTGGGGCTTCCAGGTTTTATCTCCCTTTTTAGACTTAATGAAGGGTAATGGAAAATTTGCACTCAAGGTATCTTAATTCTTGTGCCAAGTCCAGTTAGAATAAAGAATTGGGTGTTTCCCCTGCTAGGCTCTGTGATGAGCAGTCCCATATATTAACTCATTTCACCCTCGTAGTGAACCTATGAAGTAGGTGCTATTATTATCCCTATCTTACAGATGAACAGACTGAAGCACAGAGATGAATGGTTAGGCAATTTGCTTGAGACTACTTAGCTAGTTAAGTATGGAATTGATCTCGGAAGTCTCATTTGACTTTGCAGTGCAATGTTCTTTTCATCAGTTCTGGTGAAGTTATTCTGCAATATTGAGTTGAGAGAATGTCAGGTGTCATGTAGTGTAGGGGAGTAATTCCAAGTGGTCTGGCACCTGAAAAGGTTTTATGCCTTTACATTTCATTCATTGCTTTACGTGTCATTATACTTATATCGCTGGGACCTTCCAGTTACCTTCTTTTTAACTTTGGAGAGGGTTTTCTTTAATATACTGGACTTTCCTAAAGTGGGGCAAACTGATGTGATAATCAGCTCTTTTTGGTTGCACAGTAGTTATATCCCAGCAACTTAAACTGCTTTAATAAATCTGATGCCTAAGGTCTTGTGGGATCTGGGAAAGAGGCACTTCTACCTCGGGGCCTTAGTGCCTCGAAAGATGGTTTGGAAAAATCATAAAGAATGCTTGAGTATCTGAGTTAATTTCATTTCTTACAAGATGAACATCTTACAAAACCTTTACAGCTCATCTTAAGTTGAACACCAGAAATAAAGATGTGCCTCCAAATATGACCTTACAGACTGAGAAAGATGAGAGCAAAGCCTGGATGCATGTGCTCTACCAATTGGCAAAGGGCCGATTTCTCCAAAGGGCAGATGTTTCCCAGGCCATCAGAGAACTCATGCGTGTTCTATATCTGCTTCTTAGCAACTTCCATATGCCAAGAATTCTGATTTCCACTTAATTTAAGCTTACTTCAATAGCTCAATTTTCATCTTTCCAGGTGCTTTTCCAGAGCTTTCCAGTTCAGTCAATTTTACATGATCCATCATGGAAACTGCAGGATTGTTTGCCAATTGCAATTCTTTTCCTTACTATATGTCAGAGATTGCAGGTTGCCCCCAGTATCAATTCCTCCCTTTTCATTTAGTAATAAAATTCCAACTTTTGCTGGGATATAACTACCCATATATGATAAATGATAGCATTTCACAGCATCATTTGTGGCTAGATGTGTCATGTGGCTAAGCTCTCATCAGTGGGAGATGTGCAGAAGGTGCATAGAAAACTTCTAGGTCTTGATCCTAAGGGGAGAGGTTTGTGTTCCACTGCTGCCTTTCCCTTTCCCGGTCTTTGGATGTGGATGTCATGGTGGGAGGTGGGGCTGTGACCTTTAGACTATGGGGTGGACTCCTGCCATGTCACATGTTGAGTACAGCAGGAATATGAGCATGGAGGAGCATGGGTCCTCTGTACTATGGAACTGCTGTGGCATCCTGGGTTCCTTACACTAGCACAGTTGCATGAGGAAGCAGGAGACTTCTATATCTACAGAAGCTGCTATTTTTTTTTTTTTTGGCTTTTATTCCTGCAGCTAAACCTCTGTCCTAAGGTTTACTTTGAACCGTTTGAAATTGCCATTTTTTTGTGAAACAAAATTTGTCAAATATCAGCAATCTCATACAGTTCAACTTAAGAATATACTTTCACTTGTAAAAATTGAATTTTGCACCTACTGTCTGAGGCTGCATACTGTGGAAGTGGAGAGCATTTTATGAAAGGTTCAGAGATGATTCAGGCACGGTGGAGAAATACTCTCCGCTCAGAACAGCGGATAATGAGCAGGTGCTTGATTGCTTAGAAATTATCCCGATTATCTGTTAAAAAGATTGATCTCTTTAGTTAAGACCTCCTTGGAAGCATTGTCAGGTACTTTTAGTCTAATTGGTTGGAAGGCAGCCACCTCAATACAGAGCTTTACAATTTGGCCCCTGGGCAGTATTTCTACTTGAATTGTGAGGTGAAAGTTCTACCTGTATTGGGTCCTATGCCGTGGTAGGTATGATGATGCTATAAGGGGACTATTTGGAGTTGGCCAAGACGTTTTAGAAAGGGTGACTTTGGTAAAATATAAGCTGAAATGCTAGAATTACAGAAAGATTTTGGTACAATTTATTTGGAAGCAGTTCAGAATGATGGGAAGACCTTTGGAATGAGTCAATTATGGATTCAAATCCTGACCTTCTCACTTCTCAGCTGTATGGTCTTGGTCAAGTCTCTCTGAACCAATGTTTCGACTTTAGCAAAATGCAGAAAATGATGCTTTTTTTTTAAGGTTGCAGTTAGAGTCAGAACTAATATTTTAAGTACTGGCACGGTATGTAGTATTTCCATAGAATGTAAATGGTAGCTATTTTTATTTTCTTTGGATTTCAATGTCTTTCTCAAGGTGGCAAATTAGGGCTATATTTATATGCTTTTAACCTTCCTTTAGAATAGATGGCATAAAAGAGGATCTAAGTGTATAACCCACATATCTATTTGAACCAAATGGGGAAGCACCTTGTTTAAACTTTGAACACGTAGTATATAACACATATTTCCTTTGGTCACACCCAAGTGTTCTAAAGAGGTGTCCCAGAACTGCAGATGGGGACAGACCATTTGACATCATCTACTGGCTCTCGGGTACCCTCATCTTCAACCATGGGGAAAGAGACCCACTGGACCTTTTGAAAAACCCTGATTCCCCTTCCTGCAGAGAACCATCTTTAGATAAGACCAAGATAGAAAGACATTTCCTCTCTCGCTCTTCTTTCATATGGATAATCTATCCATATCAGTGTTTCTGAGGCCCTTTGAGAAAACTGTTTAGGCTGTAGAAAAGGACTGTGTTATGTGGGTAAGATGTAAAAGACACCAGCCTTGCCCTCTATTGAAGCTCCAAAGCCCCCTGTGAAACTCCAGTGGCATTTTCACAGTGATATTTGTAAAAAGACAAAAACAGGCCGGGTGCGGTGGTTCATGCCTGTAATCCCAGCACTTTGGGAGGCCGAGGTGGGTGGATCACCTGACATCAGGAGTTCAAGACCAGCCTGACCAACATGGAAAATCCCCGTCTGTACTAAAAATACAGAATTAGCCGGGTGTAGTGGCACATGCCTATAATCCCAGCTACTTGGGAGGCTGAGGCAGGAGAATCACTTGAACCTGGGAGGTGGAGGTTGTAGTGAGCCAAGATTGTGCCACTGCCCAAGAGCAAAACTCCATCTCAAAAAAAAAAAAAAAAAAAAAGAAGAAGACAAAAAATCAGTCTTAGCAGTGTTTATTGAACTTAGAATGTTAGAGCTGGAACAGAAGTGAGCAATCAGAGGCGTGTCCTTAGACCTGGGTCATTTACTTAGTCCACTTATTAAGCTGTGTAGACAGACCGTGTTTGAGGATTAACACCCAAAGGTTCATCTCTTTTCCTGTGATTTAGCTATCTTGTCAGTAAAATCAAGGTTTTAATAATTAGCTCCTATTACTAACATTTATGGTATAGGGAATTAATGAAACCTTCTGAGTCCCATGCACCGGAAAAATATTTGAGACACCTGCAGGCAAGATGAACTAATGTAAGCAGGAAAAGTTAGGTGTGAGGACCTGTGGCCAGTGGGTAGAACTCAACTCTTGGTTTAATTTCTGCTGGGCTGCTGCAAATAACAGGTGTGGAATTATTGTTCCAGCCAGGGTACAGAAGCCAAAGTGGTATTTCCTACTGTGGCTCTGCCTTCCGCAATGGAGACTGAAGGTTTAGCCATTAAGGCTGTATGTAGAGGTGAATCAGATATTCACAATCTTGGAGAACAAATATGATTTCACTGTCCAGATAAGAGATGTTTACGTCTTGTAAAAAAAAATTATTGTGGTAAGAACACTTAACATGAGATTTGCCTTCTTAACAAATTCTGAAGTGTACAGTACAGTATTGTTAACTATAGGGTACAGTGTTGGACAGCAGATCTCTGGAACTTATTCATCTTGCTAAGCTGAAACTTTATGCTCATTGATTAGCAACTCCCCATTTCCCCCCTTGCATCTCCTGGCAGCCATCATTCTACTCTTTGATTCTATGAATTTGGCTGTTTTAGATACATCATATGAATGGAATTATGCTGTATCTGTCTTTCTGTGATGAGATTCTTTCGCTTAGCTTAATTTCAAGTTTCATCCATGTTCTTGCATATTGCTGAATTTTCTTAAAGGTGGAATCACATTCCATTTTATGTATGTATCACATTTCCTTTATCCATTTATCTACTGATGGACATCTGGTTTGTTTACACCTCTTGTCTATTGTGAATAATGCCACAGTGAATATGGGAATACTAATAGCTTTTCAAGATTCTGTTTTCAGTTCTTTTGGATAAATACCCAGAGTGGGATTGCTGGATCATTAAACTTGATATTTGATCTAATGTCTGGGTACCATTCACTTCTCTGTTTTTCTTCCTTTCTATTCTCTCATTCTGCTGCTCTGTCCTTATACTCCTTAACTCTTGTCTCTATGAGCTCATAAGTTGAAATTAAATGATTTTTTTTGTTTGCTATGTTACTAAATGTTTTACATTCCTTTTTATTTATTTATAGGGCAAATCAAGATGGATAGACACATGTTTAAAATGTGTCTCTTCCAATTACTTGTTATTTGGCAATGGAGTCTCCCTAAATTTCACTTTCCTCATTTGTAACATTTGTAAAACACTTAACTTAAAGGATAACTGAAAGATTAGTAGATAGTGCAAGTAAAAGTCTAGCATAGTGCCTGGAATATAGTAAGTTCTCAAAACATGGTAGGTTCTATTTTTTTAATAATCCAAGACTAGTGTTTTATACTTTTATTAGAATAAAATGTCAACAAAATTGGCTTTTTATTTGTATGTGCCCCTCTGTGGATTTGTGTTTTCTGTAACTCACTGAGTTTCTTTTTTCTTTTCTTTTCTTTTCTTTTCTTTTCCTTTCCTTTCTTTTCTTTTCTTTTCTTTTCTTTTCTTTTCTTTTCTTTTTTCTTTTCTTTTCTTTTCTTTTCTTTTCTTTTCTTTTCTTTCTTTCTTTCTTTCTTTCTTTCTTTCTTTCTTTTTTTTTTTTTTTTTTTTTTTTTTTTTGAGAGAGCTTAGCTTTTGTTGCCCGGGCTGGAGTGCAATGGTGCGATTTTGGCTCACTACAACCTCTGCCTCCTAGGTTCAAGCAATTCTCCTGCCTCAGCCTCCCGAGTAGCTGGGATTACAGGCATGCGCCACCACATCCAGCTAGTTTTGTATTTTTAGTAGAGATGGGGTTTCTCCACGTTGGTCAGGCTGGTCTCGAACTCCCGACCTCAGGTGAGGTTTACAGGTGGGATTTACAGGTGGGATCCCTCAGGTGGGATTACAGGCATGAGCCACCGTTCTCAGCTGAGTTTCTTTTATATTATGTGCTTTCCTCCTTTTACTGGTTTTTGAACAGAGTAAGTTTTTGAAAAAGCTTATGGACTGGATGAATTAATGATTATTGAGTGCTGTCTGTATGATCTGTAACTAAATTTCCATTTTTAGAAATAGATACTTTACAATTGTGAATGTAATATATATTCATTAACACAGCACCTGCAATCTATTACCCAGGGGTAACCACTATTTAAATGTATATATACACCTTATACAGTATGGCCCCAGCTTTGTTAAAAAAAAAGATAAATTTTACAAGTTGAGATCATACAGAAGATAGCCTTAGATCCAGATCTTTCTGCTTAGCACCTCTTGGTTCGGTCCACTTGGAGAATGTGGTTTTTAATGGGTGTAATAAGGATGGACCATTGTTTGGACCCAATTCTTCACTGACTGCCTTTGTGGAATTCCTGGGATGTCCTCAGGCTCTCTACAGTGTGCCAACAGTTTCTGACAAAATGCCTAAAGTGCTTCAGCCAGTGGTCACTGTGGCTGAGTTTGGGCAGGAGGATTTCTAGGTATAATCAAGCATGGTGGGGAGGCTTAGCAGATGCCTTTCAGGGTGACTTCGAGGGCCTTTATTGGCACCCAAGTTAAACAGAAATAAAAGGAAACCTCCATCGAAGGAGAGAGCCTGTGTTTCTCCAAAACCAGCTCTGCTCTTGCCCTCCTGTGTGCTGCGTGCATATTCCTGCTTGTGCTGACTTTGATACTATTAGCTGGCTCTGAAAACAGTTCCTATTTATCCGAGTCGAGCCTGAACACAGAGAGCTGATTTCAGCAACTGGCCCCTCCCTCCGCCTTGTGATCAAATGATCACCCTCTTCTCACAGTCATCTCACCTTTCCAGCAAATGGGATTGGGGCCAAGAGCCCACTGGGCTTTTACCAAAGCTTTGCTTTGGCTTAAAATATCGCTCTTTGCCTCATGATGATTTATCATTGACTACGTAAAGCACGTTCATATAGCAACAAAAAGACACTAGCTCATTTAAACTGCCCGTTGTGTTGCTTAGAACTCTCATATCTCCTTTGCCCTAATTCTTCTGTAGGAATATTCCTAATGTGGGCTTGCCTAGGGGAAATGGACAGGTTGAAGAACATGGTCATTGCATAATTTCGATTGCTGATGTGTACTGCACATGTGGGTTAAAACCATGAATCACACCACAGATGACAGTGTCTGGGGGCCAGGCCTTCCACCATCACTTCTTGCAGCCCTCAGCCTTCTTTCTCCTGTTTGATGTCAGTATTGATTATTGGTGTCTGTAGTGACAATTATTGGCATCAATATATTGGAGGATTGGGGAGATACACAGCAAAGGCAAAAACTGTTAGCCTTTCTCGTTTCAAGTCTGAGGGTTTTCAGGGAGCTGACCAGGATAATAGATGTGCTACAGAACCCCAAAAGCCTAGAGAGGGGTCAAAATAGTATGTTAGGAAGACAGGGAGCTCCCCAGTGAAAAAAGGTGGAAGAAGGGGGCAGAGAGGAGAGATACCTTGCCAGGCAATTGTTTATTGTCTAAGTTAATCTTCACTGGCAGAGAGAGCACGTTGCCTTCAGTTTTACCCATGAGGACACCAGGAGCAGAGAGATAAAGGGCTGGATGGTCAGAGCTGCTGACAGTGATTGTGAAGCTGCACCTGGGAAAGCTGACCGGGAGCCGTGCTCAGATACTCACAATCCTGAATGCCACCCAGGCTGTGTCTTATGCACAGCAACACCCACGGGTGCTCTTACAGGGGTTCTAAGAAGAGCCACAGAAAATCTCTGAAGGGCCAGGCGTGGTGGCTCTTGCCTGTAATCCCAGCACTTTGGGAGGTGGAGGCAAGAAGAACACTTGAGTTAGGGGTTTGAGACCAGCCTGGACAACACAGTGAGACCTCATCTCTACTAAAAATTGAAATGGAAAAAAATTTAAAAAAAGCAGAGAAATAAAATCAATGTGACAAATTAAGAAAAGAAAAAGAAAATCACTGACTTATATCAGCCTTTTCTCCAAGGGGGAAGCTAAAAGAAAATTCTGTGTTTTAAGTAATTTTCATAAGGCTTTGTAAATGGAGTTTAACATCAGGAATTCATCCCACAAAGTCCTGGGTATTGGAAGTCTCAGGTCCTATTTTCAGTGCCTTCAGTGGCCTATGTAATTCAAATAAACTGAGAACATTGTGCAGGGTTCCTTGTCTTCATCCTTATAGCATCTGGACCCCCTGCACTTTCATTTTATTGTGCAGTCATAGATATCGATGACTTAGCAGATATTAATTAAACCATTTTCCAGTAGTAGAAACAGAGCCTCTTGGTTTCTTTTCCTCAACTGCTTTCCTCCACTTACTATACTCCTACCTTGCTTCACCGGGGGTCCTGAGGTCCCTGAAGGGGTCTGTCACCCTCCTGCTGTTGACCACTGGAGCCTCTTTGATGGTAGCTTGAGAAATCATAAAGGGTATTTACCTTTTGCATTCAAAATGTATTATACATTAATGGACATGCACCATTTATGTATAACCAAATAGACATTTAACTATGTTAGCATTTTGCATGTTCTGCTTTGGAAATTTAGCTAAAGTGGAGCTCGTAATAAGAAAATGAGGTGATTTGAAGTGCTGGTTAGTTGCTTTCATATTGGGTGGATCTTCTATGAATATTTGGGACCTTTAGAAATTAGTACTGAAATTGAGAAATTTTCGGTTGGTAGAATTTAGGGCATTTCTCTGAATGTGTCATTTCTAAGTCACCATCTCCATTAAAGAATGCTTTTCTGAGCCTCCTTGGATCCCTCAAAGCTAGGTGGTTGTCATGGGAATTAGTCACATTTTGAAGAGTTGGGCACTGTAATGATGAAAAACATGGGGATTTCTCAAAGGAATTGAAAACAAGTGTTCAAACAAAAACTCGGACTTGAATGTTCACAGCAGCATTATTTATAACAGTCAAAGGTAGAAACAACACAAATGTCCATTCACTGAGGAAAGATAAATAAAATGTGAAAATTCATACAGTGTAATGAATATTATTTAGCTTTAAAAAGGGATGATTGGCCTGGCACGGTGGCTCATACCTGTAATCCTAGTGCTTTGGGAGGCCAAAGCATGAGGATTGCTTGAGGCCGAGAGTTCAAGACCAGCCTGGGCAACATAGCAAGACCCTGTCTCTACAAAAAAGTTTAAAAAATTAGCCAGGAGTGGTGGCATTTGCCTGTGGCCCCAGCTACTCAGGAGACTGAGGCAGGAGGATGGCTTCAGCCTAGGAATTTGAAGCTGTAATGAGCTGAGATTGCACTACTGCATTCTGTCCTGGGCGACAAAGTGAGACCCTGTCTCACAAAAAAAAAAAAAAAAAAAAAAGAGAATGACGTTCTGAGACGTGCCACAGTATGGATGAATGTAGAAAACATGCTAAGTGAAAGGAGTGGTCACCAAAGGCCACATAATGTATTGTAGATATTCCACCTATATGAAATAGCTAGAATAGGCAAATCCATAAAGACAGAAAGCAGATTAGTGTTTGCCAGGAAATGTGGAGAGGGAGGAATAGGGACTCACTGCCTAATGAATACAGGGTTCTTTTTTGGGATGATGAAAATATTCCGGAACTAGACAGTGGTGACGGTTGCACAACAGTGTGAATGCACTAAATACCCCTGAGTTACACATTTAAAAAGGGTTACAATGGTGAATTTCATGTTATTTGAATCTCACCACAATTTTTTTAAAAAGCAAAAAGCAAAAAACAAATCCCTAAACCAAAGATACCCCAAAACCTAAAGCATGGGGACTGGGCTTGTACTGACCTAGTACAAGACCTAGGTTTGAGTCCCAGCTCTCCCATTTACTTACTGTGCAGGCTTGCACGAGTTCCACAATCTCTCTGAGCACTCATTTCTTGATTTGTAATGTAAGGACACGAGCGTTTTCTACACCACACAGTTGTGAGGAGTAAGTGAGGTCATGCATATGAGGGATGGCCATAGACTCGCACTGAGGGGCTTTCTTTCCTACGAGTTTAGACTTCTAGCACTCAAAATAACATTATAAAGGCCAGGTGCGGTGGCTCACGCCTGTAATGCCAGCACTTTGGGAGGCGGGTGAATCACCTGAGGTCAGAAGTTTGAGACTAGCCTGGCCAACATAGTGAAACCCTGTCTCTACTTAAAATATTTAAAAAAAAAATAGCTGGGCATGGTGGTGGGCACCTGTAATCCCAGCTACTCGGGAGGCTGAGGCAGGAGAATTGCTTGAACTGAGGAGGCGGAGACTGCAGTGAGCCGAGATCGTGCCATTGCACTCCTGCTTGGGGACAAGAGTGAAACTTCGTTTCAAGAAAAAGAAAAAAAGAAAAAGAAAAAACGAAAAGAAAACCATTATAAGTCTCCAGTGAATATTGGATCAAAATTCTAAAAATCAAAAGAAATATTAAATGGACTCTACCTTACATTTTCACAGAGAACCAAATGTGACCTCCACAAAAGCCTTAGAAAGTTCCAGAAGTCTCTGCTGAAGGTTCTCAAAAAGGGGCCCAAAGGCAAAGTACATTGACTAATATACAGCAGAATGTTCTAGAGATGCTTTCCGTCTCATCTCTTTTCCATCATTTCATGTGTCATGGCAGTGTAGCCCCCTAAAAACCCCTTTCTTCCTCTTGCTTTCTCTCTCAATACCCAAACTTTAGCCCATGTTCCCCTCGTCCCCTCACCTTTCCTCTCTTGTCCCCTTCTCCCACCCTTTCTGCTCTGAGTGGCTCTGCCTCCTTACTGCATAACAGTTTATCCTCTGTCTAGGCCTTTCTGGTTCTGTAGCCATACTTATTATGGGATCAGTACCCAAAAGGCTTCAGACTTCACTGAAGAAAAGCTAATTGCTTTATCTTTGCCACAGAAATTTGTGTTTATGTGATAAATATCCTTCATTAATCTTTACTAACTTCCAAATGAATCACCTGTTAATCCTTTGTCATTTTTATGAAGGATGGAGGGAATAAAAATGATAGTCTACTTTGACTAATCACATCGTACCTCCAAATAAAGAAAACTATTAGGAAAAAAAAATGAAGGAAAATGCTGTTCTTAGAGACAGCCTGAGAAGAAAAGGGTGAGAAAAAAGAACTTTGAATCGGCCATCATTTGCTTTAGATGACAAAGTCAGTCCTCCTGAGGCAGAGGGGAGATTGAAGAGGGAACATAGTTCATTTGGTGTAGAGCTTTTATAACAGGGTAGATTCCTGGTAATAATAATAAGAGCTGGGTCTTTGGATGAAGGACTCTTCCAGTTCTCAGGAACCTTAGGAGGTAGTTATTGAGGAAGCTGAGGCTCCATGGGATGAAGTAATCTATTCTACTCATGTGAGCAACACATGGCTGAGCCAGGATCCCAACCTAGGCCCGTAGACTCATCCCAAGCTCTCAACTGCCCTGTGCAGGGCTGGGGCAGTGTGTGCTCGTCCTCATTCTTGCATATCTCCTTTCTCTACCCCACATCAGCACACAAGCATTGCCCAGTCCACAGACATGCTGGGCTTGCCGAAGGTGCAGAGGCTCTGGGCTGGGGGATAGGAGGGTTTATCACCTTGTCCTTTGCTCTTGTTGCAATCTGTCCTGCCATCATTGGATAGTCAAAATTCGTCTGCCTGCACAATGTATGATTATTCGTTTTCTAGATCTGTTGCTATGCATTGTTTCTGTGTGTGCCTTGTTGGAGATAGTGCAAAAATCTCCTATTTACAAAGATCTTAGAGCACAGGTGAATGAGGACCACTCATCTTCCCCAGATGTGGTTTTCACAAATGACCACATCATCCCATTTCAGACAGGCACAATCACACTTGTGTGTCTATTTTTTGAAGCTTCCTGGAAATTCTCTCAACATCTTAATCAGTATAGGATATAATTCTCCTACTGTAATTATTTCTGACATGTAACCTAAATTCTTTCTGCTCCACCCTGCATTCACTGAAGAGAAAGGACATCACGTTTGTTGAATTACACAGTCACATGTTTGTCAGATTTGTCAAAATGTGCATCTCTTTTCTTATTTTTGCTTCCAGGATGAGAGCACGGTCTGAATACAGTTTAGCTGGATTGGTAGCATTGTCCACTCTGGGACCTAGCAATCCTTTGAGGCCTCAGGGAAGTGTCACATAAATGACCAGACTGCATGAGCAGGGAGGGCTGAGCTGTGATGCTTGGTCTACTGGATCTGACAAGCCCTTGGCATGCTGGGTTTCAGAACCTCCATGGAAGACTGATATGGAGGCCTGGCTCTTCTTCTGCACACTCCATGTAACTCCATTTGCATAGTCTAGGGGCGTTAGAAACCAACCACTGTTTTAAGCCACCATGGAAGCATGTACGTTCGTAGCTGTAGCTTGTACCTAGCTAACTACCAAATATGGTTCGGGTGCTAGGAAGGATCTGGCACCCATGGAGTCCAAAGGAGGTTGAGAGAATAGAAAAGCATTTCAAAGCTGGTTCATGTAGCCTCTTTCTTTGCTTTGAAATTCTGAGAAATGAGGATTGTGTTTCTTAATGTGATTTTTATGTGATATTTTCTGGCTTGATTTTAACTTTTTATTTTGGCATAATTTTTTTTTTTTTTTTTTTTGAGACAGAGTCTCACTCTGTCACCAGGCTGGAATGCAGTGGCTTGATCTTGGCTCACTGCAACCTCCACCTCCCAGGTTCAGGGGATTCCTCTGTCTCAGCCTCCTGAGTAGTAGGGATTACAGGCGCATGCCACCATGCCCAGCTAATTTTTGTATTTTTAGCAGAGATGGGGTTTCGCCATGTTGCCCAGGCTGGTCTTGAACTCCTGACCTCAAGTGATCCACCTGCCATAAAGTAGGTTCAATATTTGCAATGAGGAAATAGATATGGTACTATTTTCTCATCTCTGGACCTGATTCAGGTGTTGTCAGTTGTGCTCTTTACAACATCATATCCTTTTAGTTTAATCTCAGGCAACTTTCAGCCTTCCATTGGGCCGGGATATTGACTTTTTGAAGACGATACACCAGTAATTTTGGAGAATGTGTCTTAATTTGGGCAGTCTGTTTCCTCAGGATACCATGATTTAGGCTACACAATTTCAGTGGGAATACCACAGAAGAGAAGCAGTGTTCTTGGTGCATCATTTCAGGGTGTCACGTCAAGGTATTGAAAACTGTGGTAGGCAGAATAATGTACTCTCAAAGATGTCTACATCCTGATTTCCGGAATTTTTTAATATCTTGCCTTACCTGACAAAAGAGACTTTGTAGATGTAGTTCAGTTCAGGATCTTGAGATGGGGAGATTATTCTGGATTACTGGGGTAGGCTCACTGTAACCACAGGGATTGCTATAAAAGCAAGAAGGAGGCAAGTGAGTCAGAGAAGGAGATGCGACCATGAAGCAGAGGTCAGAGTGATGCAGGGCCATGCGCCAAGGAATATGGGCAGCCTTCAGAAACTAGAAAAGGCAATGGAAGGATGCTCCTTTAGAGCTTCCAGAAGGAGCACAGCCCTGCCGACAGCTCGATGTTAGCCTGGTAAGACTCATTTCAAACTTCTGACCCCCAGAACAAATAGTTTGTGTTGTTTCCAGCCACAAAGTTTGTGGTAGTTGTTATAACAGCTATGGGAAACAGACACAGAAATCAATTTAGAAAGCTGGGCTACTGAGCTGAGGTGGAGGAGGCTCTGAGAGAGGGCTGCCAGGTGGTCAGGGTGGGCCTCTGTGGACCTTGGGACAAGGTGTCTCATCCCCCTTATTGGCGTCTGTGGTGCTGCCCACTGTTGGGCTGTAGAGTGTCTGGGCTGTCCTCAGATGGCTTGTGCTTAACATCCTCCATTATCAATGGCATAGACAGGGTGAGATGACCAGGTTGAAGGACTTTTATTTGCTGCCTTCCTTAGGGCGTTTAGATCCACATAGAAAATTTGCTAATGGTTTTGCATTGATACCCACAGGTAGTTATGGTTTTGCTTTTGGGATCTGAGCAATACACAGGCCTTCGGTAGTTTTCTGGGGTTCTTTATAGGATCTTATAATGAGGGAGTAGAGAAGGTGAGGAGAGTGCTTGCTCACCTCAAATATTATATAAATTATGTTTGCTTTCTTCTTGAGAGCTGCCAGCAATCTGATTAGTCCATATTGCAAAAGTGAAAACAGACACTCAGAGAGCTTGAGTCACTCAGACAAAGTTACACAGTGGAGCTGGGATTTCCAGGCAGATCTTTAGCATTTTGAGGTCCTAGTCTTTCCATTCCATTACCTTACCTCTGAAAAATACGACTATGTTAATACTTTGAATCCAGCAAGCATTTACTGAGCAGAACTGTGCTATAGATACTGGGAGGGCTTGAAAGAATAAGAAAATGAATAAGGCATAGTTTGGATTTTCAAATATCATAAATTTAATTATTAGAATACAGCTTTGAGTGTCCTAGATCATGAAAAAAGTAACCGTTTGAGCTTAAAGGCCCCTTCACAAAATGGAACTTGGATTAAGCAAAGAGAAAAAATAATTTAAGTGTGAAATAAGACAGAGGTCTTTGGCCTTATCTCCCAAGGGAGGTTGCTTTTAATGAGATGCTATTTTAACAGATCTGGAGAAAGAAGTGTAGTCAGACACCTGCTTCTTGGGAATGAGGGCTTCCAATTAGTATCAGAGTGAATTCTCGGGACAACTGTTGCAGTAGCGAAGAAGGGCCAGCCATGGTGGCTGTGGATGAGGCCTTGACATTTGGATGCCTGGACATTCTCTCTTGATTTCTATTACAGAAGGGCAGGTTTATGGCTGGGCACAGCTGGTAAGGTGGCACTGCTCACTGACAATGGGAAAGGCTGTTTTGGAGCAGGAGAGGAGATCCACTGGATAACAAGGACCTCAGGAGAGTTCGGCGTCTCTGTGCTAATGAGCTTCAAGGAAAAGATGTGAACTGGCATAATGAGCAATCATTTGTAATCGTCTTTTGAGTACAGTTTCCTGCTTGGCAGAAGACAAGCTGTATCTGTGGCTCACTGCCAGCATGGGTAATGTTTGTGGTAGTACCTGTCACTTTATAACAGTGTCTTAATGTCTTATGCAAATTACCTTATAACAAAGATTGAATAAAGAACACCCAGCCAAAGCTAACTCATGAATGCAGATACCAAATCTCATATAGAAACACTGACAAACTGAATTTAAAAGGGCACTGAAAGAATTAACCTCTGTAACCAGGTAGGAGTTGTCTCTTCGGTGCAAGGATGGTTTAATATTTAGCATATCATTTAATATGTTAGGTTGAACAATAGAAAATTACCATACTTTCTAGGTAAAAAATGGTCAAAGATTGACATTTTCCTATGGTTCAACATAAAAGTGTAGCCAATCAGTAAGTAATAATCTCAATAGATATATAGAAGTTATGATAAAGTTCACCACTCATTCCTGTTTTAAAAATAAAACCTTTTTTATGGTAAAAATATTAATATTAATCTTACGAGAACATCAGAGTATGCTGACACTGAAGTCATTGTATTTAAAAATCGGGAATATGAAGAGGATTCCACCATTAAATACTATTTTTTAATGTTAATCTGGAATTTCTGGGTAACTCAAAGAGGCATGGAATGGAAGGAATATTATAACAGGAATGTGACATGATAAACAGATACAAAGAAAAATTTAAATATTTGCTTAAAACTCATGATTGGCCTAGATTGTTCTCAAAAGAAGCAATAAAAATAATTTAGAAAGGTATGGGAAAGGTAAGATTAATTAATAATAAAATAAATGCATTTAAAGTGGGATTTTTATCTTTTATTTTTTTAAACTATCACAAATAAAAATGTATTTTAAAAACCTTGTTACCTCTTGGCGAGGACTGAATCCAAAGGCCACTCTCAAATTGTTGTTTGGGAGTGGTCCTTAAAGATGCTTACAACTTTTGATTCAGTGATTCCACTCTTAGGAATATATTATAAGAAAATAAAAAGATACAACGATATTTTATATCACAGTGCTCTGTATGAGGAGACTCATAACAGTGGACTGTTGGAATACTATTGGAAAGTAGGGGCTTTGTTAATTCATTTATACTAAAACTATTTATTATTTTACTATTAAAATAATATTTACAATACATAAATATTTAAAATATTTCAAATTTAATATTAATGATAAAATATTAATACAAGTGCATGCTACAGAACAAATACAGACCAAATACAGACCAAATTTGATGTATAAGAACATAGCAATTTATGTAGATGTAATATGTAGATATATATTTACCGTTGACCCTTTAACAATGTGGCGGTTAGGGGTGCCAACCCCGCAATGCAGTAAAAAATCTACGTGTAATTTTTGACTCCCCAAAAACTTAATTACTAATAGCCTACTGTTAACTGGAAACCTTAACGATAGTACAAACAGTTGATTAGCATATATTTTGTATGTAATGTGTATTATATGCTGCATTCTTACAGTAAAGTAAGCTAGTGAAAAGAAAATGTTAAGAAAACCGTAAGGAAGAGAAAATATATTTACTATTCATTAAGTGGAATTGGATGATCATAAAGGTCTTCATCCTCAACATCTTCACGTTGAGTAGGCTGAGGAGGATGAGGAAGAAGAGGGGTTGGTCCTACTGTCCTATAGGTGGCAGAGGTGGAAGAAAGTCCATGGACCAGTGCAGTTGAAATCTGTGTTGTTCAAGGGTCAACGGTATATAGAAACAATGAAGTTCATGTCCCTGCATTGCTAAAAGCAGAAATCACATAGACCACATTCTCTCCACAACTCAAAGAATTAGAAAATAATTGAAAAGGTTTATCACAATTTACTTGAAAAATTAGAAAGATTTATGTTAAGTAACTTAAGTCAAAGAGAGGAAATCAAAGCTACATTTAGGCACTATATAGAAATTAATGACATTGAGCACGTTACACACTAAAGTCATGGGAGACAAGCAAAGCTATATTCAGGGAAAAAGCAGTTGTTTTAAATGCTTTTATGTTATACAGGAAAAGATAAAATTAAAGAAAATGAGTGTCTACTTAAGAAGCCAGGAAAACCCAATCTAAGGACAGGAGGAGAAAGGAATATCAAGATTACAAGCAGAAATCAAGGAATGAGACAATAAAATAATACCAAAAAATTAATCAGTTAAAGTACAAATTAATTCTTTGAAAAGGCTAATAAAATAAACATAACTAAGATGACAAATCAAGAACAGAAGCTGGAAGCCACATCAAGAAAATACGGAATTAGAAACAGGCTGATAAACCTATAAAATATAAATTATAAATTGGAAAATTTTGGTGAAAGGAAGTAGACCTTGTGTTGTAAGATATTAAAACATTGCATCACGCCTGTAATCCCAGCACTTTGGGAGCCCGAGGCAGGTGGATCACGAGGTCAGGAGTTCGAGACCAGCCTGGCCAACATGGCGAAACCCCATCTCTACTAAAAATACAAAAAATTAGCCAGGCATGGTAGCAGGCACCTGTAATCCCAGCTACTTGGGAGGCTGAGGCAGGAGAATTGCTTGAACCTGGGAGGCAGAGGTTGCAGTGAGCTGAGATCATGCCACTGCGCTGAGATCATGCCACTGCACTCCAGTCCAGGTGACAGAGTAAGACTCAGTCTTAAAAACAAACAACAACAACAACAACAACAAAAGAACAACAACAACAACAAAAAACATTGCGAACACAAGTAATGACTTAAACAGACTAACTTAACAACTTGCTTTCACTAAAAGGAAGTTGACCTTATCTTGTTGGATATTAAAATATTACAAATATAAATAGACAAATCAGTGGAAAATTATGGAAAGTTAAAACATAAAGTCAAAGGTATGTAAGAATCATTCAATAAATCTATTTGGGCCAACAACTCATCATTTGAAGAAAAAATGACCCCAGCTTTATTCTATATGCTCTATACAAAAATAAGTTCATAGCTAAGATGAAGACTAATGTGAGGAAGATAAAATAAATGTTCTCAGAGGATAAGGGTGGGCACATGCAGGGACTGAGGAAAGGGAACTCTTTCTGAGCCAGGTGCCAAGGCAGATACTACACCTGAAAAGATTGCCAGATTCCACCCCATAGAAACACAAAACAAGAATACAAGTTACCATAAACAAGATGGAAAGATAAAGCTATTTTCAAATTTTAAGATATCTCAGCATATGGTATTAGTATTTTCCATTGAGTTGTGATGGGTGGGGTTTTTTAAGACTGGCTAAGCCTATTAGACATTAATGTCACATCCTGTGAGTATCATTGGTATTTGGTAGGAGTAATTTTTGCCTCTGCTTGTGAGAGTTGATAAAAATCTATTTTCATTGTGGAAAAAAATAAAAAGATAATTCACCTCAGCATGGGGAATGTATACAGTATTTAATTCTGCTTAAGAAATCTCAGACAGTGAATTACCTCAGAGCATATCTCTTGAATTAAAATATTCATATTTGACTGTATAACATATGTTTTACCTTGAAGTCCTAGTTGCAGAGCTGATTCAGAGGCATCTAGGTCAAATACATGATCTTCTGATGTCAGTGATTCATTATAACCCTTTTCCTGTTCCTCTTATGGGGCAAATATTCAGTAGAGGGCAATTATTTAACATAATATAACTTTCATGATGACAGATTCCTGTTAAATGGAAATACAATCATATATACAAATCTGCATGAGTTGTATGAATTCATATGTCATAATCAAATGGATGACTATGAATCTGAAACTTTTATTATTTATTGTATGAAAACCATGGGCTGTTTTTTTTCCCTGCCCTTTTAGTTTACTTTAATGGTTGACAAGAACTATGTGTGCTTTTTGATAGTCAGCTCAGAGGTTTATCCTGACTCAAAATGGAGTAGCATACATGAAATGATGTAAAATCAAAATGTTCACTTATTCAATGACTATTTGTTGCATTGTTGCTATGGGCCGGGCGGCAGGGGACTTTGTTCTGTAAGAGTTAGTGGGAAACTGTTGAAGCCAGAGAGAAGTATGATCAGATGCATGTGTTTGAGAGGTCATTTGGACACTGGAGTAGAGAATGGGCTGAAAACAGAGAGATAAATGCATAGGCCAGAAGGCCATCTACCTCAGGGTGCTGGCAGTGGCCTGAAGGTGGTGGATGGAATGGAGGGTCCACTGGGAGGTAGAATTGGTGAGATTTGTCATGTGGGAGTGGGCAAGAGGTATGGTAAAGGACAGTTTTAGATTTCTGGTTTGAAAAAATAAATAAAGAGGAAGAGGCTCAGAATCCCATCCTTTCTCATCTTTCCCTTCCCGTCACGTTTCATTTTTGTTTGATTGTGTTTGACTGCATCAGGCAAACATGAAATTATAGAATTACAACATGAAAGCACAAGTTGGGGCATGTTTATAATGTAGGGTCCCAGTTTAAGATTTGGGTGTGAATAATCCACTCTGCCCTCTCCCTTTCATGTCCTCCCACCTCTCAGTAGTGTCTCAACATACAAAACTTTTACCCTCTACTGCCTATACTTCTTGCCTGATAGGACTAATAATTCCCCGGGCTCCTGATTTCTGTCTGAAGAGCCAATCCTGTGTGTGCCCAGGCTGGAACTGAGACAAGAGGCTGGAGGAAGCCCACTGTTGGCTCCTAGAAGCTGGTTGCTTGTAAGCAAACTCTACCCCTCCATAGACTTATTCCTTCTCTCCCACAGGGCAAGTAATAACTCCTGTTTCCCGGCCACTTTCAAACCTTTCACACCAGTAGCTGTTCTCTCACACTTGCTCACATCCAAGCTAAAGTTGGAGTTTTCTCAGTTTGGAGATTTCTCAAAGAAATTAAACAGAGCTACTATTTGACCCAGCAATCTTATTACTGGGTATATACCCCAGTGAAAATAAATCACCCTACCAAAAAGACACATGCACCCATATGTTCATCACAGCACTATTCATAATAGCAAAGACATGGAATCAATCCAGGTGTCTATTAATGGTCGATTGGATAAATGTGGTACAGATACACTATGGAATACTATGCAGGTATAGAAAAGAATGAAATAATATCTTTTGCAGCAACATGGATGCAGCTGGAGGCCAATACCCTAAAGGGATTAATGCAGGAACAGAAAACCAAATACTGCATGTTCTCACATATAAGTGGGAGCTAAGCACTGAGCACACATTGGCATGAAGATGGGAGCAGTAGACGCTGGGAACTACTAGAGGTGGGGGTAGGAGCTTGGGTTGAAAAATTACCAAATGGGTACTGTGTCACTACCTGGGTGATGGGTACAGTCATATCCCAAACCTTAGCATCAAGCAATATACCCATGTAAAAAACCTGTACATGTAACCCCTGAATCTAAAATTAAAAATGAGATAAAAAAATAAAGTTGGACTTTTCTGGACACCCTGATTGATATTTGTCCTAAAACTCCTTTGGGAGGATTCTTGCACTTCTCCACAACCTCTACTCTGTATTCGGGCTTCACTGGCCATTGTGATACCCTTTATCTATGAGAGAAACATGGCAGGGACTATCCTCCTGGCTATAGAGCCCTTCAGCCCAGACTGCAGACATATCTTTTTCATACAGCCTAATTTCAGCATGACCTTTGTCTTCCCAGCACCTCCCACCTGTACAGCACTACCCCATGTACCTGGGCCCCTAATCTGCCTCCTGCTGAGGGAAAGGGGGAGCTGTGATATGTGGAGGAGAGGAAGGGAAGACACACAGGAGTGAAGCCCTGGGGAGCAGTTTGCTTGTGTCCCCAAAGCAGGGGCGGGGCAGCGTCGTTGTGTATCACCAGGGCAACCAGGGCACAACTCCCCTCTGTCCCTCCCTGGTCATGGAGCTCAGAGCCCTGGCCATTAGCAGACTCCTGTCCCTGTTTTCCTCTAGCAAGTTTCTCTCATGGAGGGCAAAGGCTGTTTGTGTTCTTTCTGGTACATTTCACATGTAATGTACACCACAACAGTGGCCTAAGCATCCGTCTTAAAATTCTTTCCCCCCCTTGTTTTTTTACTTCCATCTAATCTCTGCCTTAGATTTCTTTAAAGGGTTTAATTGCCTTTGCATCACCTAAGATCATCATTTGAAAAAAATATTGCTTAAAAATTTAGAAATAATTTAGAATAAGCAGCACTGATGTCTTTATCTTGCTTCCTTTAGGGGAAATTTGGGATGCAGATTTGTTTGTTTGGCCCATAGTTTTTTTTTAAACTATACATGTAAATATCAGGAGAATCCACATAGTAGTCTCGATTTCATATTTCTCTAGAAAAATATGAAAATGTGGTAATACTGGCTTGGCTTTCCCTCTTGAAAGCAAACCATTGGAGTGGAAGAGATGCCACCCCATTCATACGTACCCCTTCTTCCCCAGATGAAGCCTTGGCAGATCACCTACATCTACTGAGTCTCAGGTCTCTTAACCATAAAACAGGACAATAACCAAGACCTCACAGGTTGTTAATAGATCACATGGAATCAAAGCACCTTGCACAATGTCTGATACCAGGTAGGGAAGCAGTCAGTGTAGGTTGCTGTCCTCCAAACAGCTGGTATCTAGGGTTAGGAGGAAAGGGTGTTTTAGGAAAGTGTCTTCGGGACATCAGTAGAAGTTACTTGGAAGGAACTTGGAATTCACTGGGATCATTCATGTATCTTGTAATATGGACCTCGCAGAAACCTTGTCACTCTAAACTCCTTTCTTTCTTGCCCCACATCCATAACATCAATAAATCATGGCAGCTCTACTTTCAGGACATACCTGGAATTCGATCGCTCCTCACCACTCTGACCCAGGGCACCATCATCTCTTACCTGATTATGGAACTGGTCTCCCAGCTTCGCTTCCTGCTTCTTCCCGTGACCCCCTGCACCCTTACTCCACACGACCACCAGCATGCTAACGCCAAGAGCTTGTCAGGCCTCCTCTCAAAGCCCCGGTTGGCTCTCCATGTTGTCCGGGTAAACCCACCGCTCTCGCCATGTCCTACAGGCCCTCATCACCTAGCTGCTTGTTCCCTCTTTGACCTCATTTCCCACCACCCTCCCGCCAGCTTTGTCTGTTCCTTTTCTCTCCCGTCTAGCTTCCTTCTTATACCCTGAGCCTTACTATCATCTCACGCACTATGTGTTTTACTTACTTGTCTTGTTATTTCTCTACCCAGTTGAATGCAAGCTCTGAGTGGGGATTTTTGACTGTGTGTTCACTACTGTACTACTGTATCCCCAGATCCCTGAACAGGATGCAGCATTTCAGTGGGTGCCCCATACATGTTTGTTGATGAACGAATGAAAGTGAATCAAAGCAGGACCGAATGTGGCATTCTTCTTTGCAGAGCAAAGCTATCAAGTAATGCAGCAAATTAACATTTGTTATTTTTATAGAGGCAGTTAGCTCCTGTGATGGAACTGAGAGCAATAAAGGGAAAATTACAGGTCCTTTAATATTTTCATTTGACTTAATGTAAGAGCCACTCAGGAACGCTGCTTGTTACCCTTTGGATGTAACCTCTGTTAATTCAGCCGGGCTTGCTCCCTTGAAACGTACATTTGGTAGGGCACACTGGGAGTTGCTTGAGCTTTTGTTTTTTTCTTTTCTTTTTCTTTATCTTATTGTTTTTGAAGACTGCCAAAGAAAATTAGTAGAAATGATTCTACACTGAAAGAATAGTTTCTGCTTCACTAGAGTGAAGTAGATCCTTTTACAGATACAAAAATAAGTAAATGTTTACCCTATTGTTAAGATGCTTTATGGTTTCTTGCCTATAAAAAGCCTTTCATTTGTATCATGTAGCCAACATATTTATTATGCCTCTACTGTGTGCCAAGTGCTTTGTAAGATATAGAGAGAAGTAGTGAAACAAAGTACTTGCATTGTTTTACTACTTGAATAACTTTAATTGGATTTCAATTACAATTGGATCACTTGCAATTTAGTTGGAGAGATAATGCAGGTTCAGAAGAAGTTACAAGAGGAGGTGTGTCAGTACAATAACAGAGCCCCAGCTTTAACAGCAGTTGGGGCTAGAATATGCCGCAGGTTGGCCTTGGCTTCTCAAAGCAATGCTCCTATTTATTCAGCTGTGAAGCAGGTATTGCTATTTCCTCTTTATTGATTAGTGAACCGAGATGCAGGGAGTCTCAGTAGCTGGCCCAGGATCACCAGGTGAGACCACACAGTGGGAGAAACTGATTTTTTTTTTTTTTTTTTGAGACGGAGTCTTGCTCTGTCTCCCAGGCTGGAGTGCAGTGGCATGACCTCAGCACACTGCAACATCCACCACCTGGGTTCAAGAAATTCTCCTGTCTCAGCCTCCCAAGTAGCTGGGACTACAGGTGCCCACCACCATGCCCGGCTAATTTTTATATTTTTAGTAGAGACAGGGTTTCACCATATTGGTCAGGCTGGTTTGAGCTCCTGACCTCAGGTGATCCACCCACCTTGGCCTCCCGAAGTGCTGACATTACAGGCTTGAGCCAACATGCCGGGCCCAGAAACTGAATTTTAACTGAGATCACTGGACCCAAGGTCATTTCTTTTTCTGATCAAACATGGCTCAGAAGGGGCCATGGTAGCTGTGAAGAGGGAATGATCATACCTTGCTTGGGATAGGCCCCCAAATCTGGCCATAAACTGGCCCCAAAACTGGCCATAAACAAAATCTCTGCAGCACTGTGACATGATCATGATGGCCATGACGCCCACGCTGAAGGTTGTGGGTTTACCCAGGGTGGAAAACCGCTTAAAGGCATTCCTGAATCACAAACAATAGCATGAGCGATCTGTGCCTTAAGGACATGTTTCTGCTGCAGATAACTAGCCAGAGCCTATCCCTTTGTTTTGCCCCATCCCTTTGTTTTCCATAAGGAATACTTTTAGTTAATCTATAATAGAAACTGTTTATCACTGGCTTACTGTAAATAAATATGTGGGTAAATCTCTGTTCATGGCTCTAAGCTCTGAAGGCTGTGAGTCCCCTGATTTCCCATTCCACATGCTATATTTCTGTGTGTGTGTCTTTAACTCCTCTAGCGCTGCTGGGTTAGGGTCTCCACGACCAAGCTGGTCTCAGCAATATGTGCAGCGAAAGACATCAGAGAAATGTGAATGGCTTTACACAGACCTCAAGGGATATAGTTGGTTCCTTGGGACAAGTGTCAGGGCAGTGAACAGAATTAGGGAGGTGGTAAAGATGGCATGCTGAGGACAGCTGTAGGCTTGTCCGCAGTTTGGTTATGTGTTTATTGTTAGTGGTGGAGGGATGATAAGGTTTGGGGGAACTTTGCAGAATCGTTCCACTTTTGGGACCCTTTCTAACTTATGAGAGCCGAGTTTATAGAAAGGAGCCATTTGGGGCCAGGCGTGGTGGCTTATGCCTGTAATCTTAGCACATTGGGAGGCCAAGGTGGGTAGATCACCTGAGGTCAGGAGTTCAAGACCAGCCTGGCCAACATGGTAAAACCTCATCTTTACTAAAAATACAAAATTAGCCGGGCATGGTGGCGCACGCCTGGAATTCCAGCTACTAGGGAGGCTGAGGCAGGAGAATCACTTGAACATAGGAGGTAGAGGTTGCAGTGAGCTGAGATCATGCCATTGCACTCTAGCCTGGGTGACAAGAGAGGAACTCCATCTCAAAAAAAAAAAAAAGAAAAAGAAAAAGAAAAGAAAAGAAAGGAGGCATTGGGCTTCCAAGATTCTTAAATTATTCTCTCTTGGTTGAGAAAGACAGTTTGGCATAATTTATTTATATTTGAAAATTCCCTTAGCTTTAGGGAACTGGAGAGCTTGCCATGGGAATCAGAGGAGACCTGGTAACCTAGCCCTATGATAATGATATTTACCGCATTCTCCTGAATATAAGACAACTGGTGAGAAGATTCCCTCTCAAAATATCCCTCCTGTTTATAAATGAACTTTTAAGGCTATACTGCAAATAGGTGAATGTCAACTTACAATATTAGTGTATTAATTTAGTAACATTTTGAAATCGCTTATAATATAAAATTATATCTTACCTTCGAGGTGGGACATTTTTACTCTTACATTTTATGAAAGTTATATTAGTCTTTCACATGCATCTATGGCCTTGTGGTCATTGTCCTCAATAGAGCCACCTTTTGAGTTATCCCACTTAGTTTTCCAGGGAACTTCTGAGAGACAGGACTAGCTGGATTTCCTAGGCTGACTAGGAATTCTTAAGCCTAGCTGGGGAAGGTGACCGCACCCACCTTTAAACACGGAGCTTGTAACTCAGCTCACACCCAACCAATCAGGTAGTAAAGAGGGCTCACTAAAATACAAATTAGGCTAAGAGCAGGAGGTAAAGAAATAGTCAAATCATCTATCATCTGAGAGCACAGGGGGAGGGACAATGATTGGGATATAAACCCCAGGCATTCGAGCCGGGAGTGGGCAACCCCCTTTGGGTCCCCTCCCATTGTATGGGAGCTCTGTTTTCACTCTATTAAAGCTTGCAACTGCACACTCTTCTGGTCTGTGTTTGTTCTGGCTCAAGCTGAGCTTTCACTCACCATCCACCACTGCTGAATGCCGCCATCACAGACCCGCTGCTGACTTCTACCCCTCCAGATCTGGCAGGGTGTGGGCTGTGCTCCTGATCCAGCGAGGCATCCGTTGCTGCTCCTGATTGGGCTAAAGGCTCACCATTGTTCCTGCACAGCTAAGTGCCTGGGTTCGTCCTAATCAAGCTGAACACTAGTCGCTGGGTTCCACGGTTCTCTTCTGTGATCCACAGCTTCTAATAGAGCTATAACACTCACCGCATGGCTCAAGGTTCCATTCCTTGGAATCTGTGAGGCCAAGAACCCCGGGTCAGAGAACAAAAGGCCCACCTCATCTTGGGAGCTGGAAGAACAAAGACCCCCCAGTAACACTTCAACACTCCATCAATGTCATTTCAGATAAAGCACTCTTTGAAGCCCTGTGTGATAGTGTCCCTTGAAATTTTATTTCGAGCAACAAGAACTCATTAAGACAGTTTACTGTTTTTATCCATTCTGTGATTGTTGGTGATTTCCACCCACTGAATTGTTTTAAGTGATCTCTAAAATCTTGCCTATGAGGAGGTCCAACATTTGCAATTTTGTGTTCACAGGTGCCCTTTCTGGGCATATAAAACTGGCATTGATTAAGGATGTATCAGGTTGGTGTGTTTACGCCAAACTAAACTTTCACATACTCAATTAATAATTGAGAGCTACGTAATATGAAATACTGTGTCAGCAATCAAATGCAAAGCCTGTATTCTTAGAGATATAATTTTAATAAAACCTCATCTTCAGGTTGGGCAGAAACAGTATTCTACAAAATTGTTGTGATGAAATAACTAGTGGCAAGAATACATGACATTTTATGTGACCATTATGGTTTGGATGCAGCTGTTTTGATGCTCGGGGTAGGTTGACACAGTCTGGAAGCCAAGCCATTAAACATTCTGCTATTTAAAAAAATTACCAACTAGTGTATGAGACAGGCAATCTTATCCAATATGTAAGCTTTACAGTCACATCAACCCTGAGATGAGGATTAAGGTAAAAGTAGGAATGAGAGATGGAATGAGGAATTCGGTGGGATTCAGAGATGGGTAAGTGATGGTGTGAGAATTAGATGCAATCTAGAAGTAAAATTATACCTCACCAAGAGTTGAGTGTTGACCATATTCATTTATTCTAGAAAAGGATATTGCTTGTTCTTTATGAAGTGTTCTGCTCACACTTGCAGTTTTTATGGTCTGAATCTCTGATTATCTTATTTCTACTTTAATGTTGGATAGTCAGACTTCAATATCAATTAAATTTATTAGTTGAAATTGGAATTTGATCAATAGGAATATGGTATTTTCTATTCTAAAGAATGGACTCACCTACTTTTGTGAGTTTTAATTATATGATTAAAATCATAATTATTCTTATAATTTCTTGTTAAATTATTATTTCAATTAATTATATTTGTTTGACTGTGTAGTAGTCAGTGGTTGTTTGGGGGCAGGAGAGGGTGTGGAGGAGGGTGTTTGAACTTCAGATGCCCATTAAGTATTCAATTAATTTTTAACAATTATGGCCTCAATCCTAGTAAAATATATATTCAAGTTAGTATTACAAGTCTTCTTTATAATGATAGTTTGGAAGTAATAATAACATTTAGAATCAAAGCCAGTTCTAATAGGTTTTCTGAAAATATCTGTTTTTTCCCCCCGATTATCTTTTTTTTTCTAATAAATACACATAACTCTTAATCCAATATGGTGCCCCATAATTGGAGAGTTGGTTAGGTTCAGAACAGAGGCAGGGATGTGAGTAGTGCATATTGGCAAAAATTTTAAAAAAGGAGTTTTACATCTTGACAGGCTCATTTTGATGTGGTGCCATTAACATGTCTGGCACATACAGTAGACATTTAGTAAATTTTAGTGCCCTTTGTTTTCCCAGATCAGTTCACCAAGAAAGGAAAAGCAGTATGGTGATTACACATATGCCTGGTGTTCTGAAGCTTTCTTATATCTAGGAAACCAAGATTTAATGGAGAAGATTCAAGATGATATGGATCCCCACTATGTATGGCTTATTGAGAGAGCGATGCAGAACTAAAGTTGGGAGAAAAATACTATTTGGGATAAGATGGAAGATATTATCCCATCTTCCATCTTAATTAATAGTAATTAATAAGGCCAGGCGTGGTAGCTCACGCCTGTAATCCTAGCATTTTGGGAGGCCGAGACAGCTGATCACTTGAGCTCAGAAGTTTGAGACCAGCCTGGACAACATGGCCAAACCCCATCTCTAGAAAAAGATACAAAAACATTAGCCAGGTGAGGTGGCGCACACCTGTAGTCCACCTACTTGGGAGGCAGAGGTGGGGGGATCGCTTGAGCCCAGGAGGTCGAGGCTGCAGTGAACCGAGATCACGCCACTGCATTGCAGCCTGGGTGAAAAAGTAAGACCCTATCTCTCTCTCACACACACACGCGCACACACACACACACACACACACACACACACACACAGTAATTAATAAGCTGTTTAAAGTTCAGCATTTTGAAGCTGTGGAGCCTAGCTGATCACCCACGATTATAGAGGAGATTAATATTAGAGTAAATACTGTAGGTTAGGGTTAGAGAATGAGCACCGTTGGCAGCACAATTATTATGACAGTTTTCTTTTGGAATGGACTGAAGACATTGGCATACACATGGTATGATGTTTCAGTATATCAAATCAGGGCCATTCTTGCACCACCTTCTTGTACTATTTGAAGGTTTTTTCCATTATGTAAGACATTTGCTAATTAAATATTTTCTTCAAAGAATTAAGTTCAGAGGACTTACCTTTGCATTTCCCAGCCCCCTGTGAATATCTTAGGTTATAACATAGTGCTTTCTCGTTTGCAAACTTTCATTATTTAACTGTCAAAATCTCCCCAAATACCCTTTCAGGTGATTTCAGTACAAAATGTGATCCAAATATCAGAGAGCCTTTTATTACCTGGACTTAAATACCACAGATAACTCAGGGAGTTTAAGCTGACAGTTTCTCCTGGAACCACCTCTTCTGAAGCACGTTTAGATCGATGTCAAGATTGGTTTTTGCTGGCACTAAATAGTCACAGCTTTGAAACCTCCTGACCCACCTGCCCCAGGAAACATTAGCACCCAGAGCTGTTTCCTAATATTAAAGGTGCTTTGAAGTACAGTAAACAGTGTCGACTCAGTGTCCAGATGAGCATGGCCACAGCTCCTTGATTTGTTTATTCTCTTCAGGAGCGAAAAAAGTTATAAAATTGGTGAGAGCCCCACAGTCTCAGATTTTAACCAGATATTGCACAGGTACTGGTCATTTTATTCATTAGCACACTAGAGATTCAGAATAGGTGTGGATTTTATGTGTGTGTGTGTGTGTGTGTGTGTGTATTTACACAATTCCTAATATTTGGGTCAATAATACTTGGGACCAAAGTGTGTGATAGGAGAAATAATGCAGACTTCGAAGTTAGGACAACCTGGTTTCTAATCTAGACTCTGCTGAACAAGCCATGAAATCTCTCTAAACCTCTGTTTCTTCATCTGCAAGTTGAAGATAAAATAGATCTATCCTGTTGGAGATGAAAGAGAAGACATGTAAAGTGCTTAGCACAGGGTGCAGGATAGCACAGATCATCAATAAATAGTCATGATGAGGATAATGATGAGAAGCAGAACTGGGACCTGTGTCCCCTACTTGGTGTGGCCGAATGTAGACTGTGTGTACCTTTGTGTTTCTGGTTGGAGCCACCTGCTGTCACTTGTACTCTGCATCAGCTCTAGACCCCTCCTTCCATGTCAGACCTTGTATTTTTACATGAATGTGATATATATATATGAGAAAAGATCAGTCTATGTTGCTTAGAGCTAACTCACTAGCAATTGGCCCTTTCATATCTTGATTTGTTGCAAATGTGAGTTACTGTTTAGAGTAGTTTTGAAATTGAGCAGATGCTGTTGAGTTGATATATTCTGTGATTGGTACCACAAGGTAGAAGAATCTATGTTATTATAGAAAATACAAAATTTGAGACACCACTGTAGTTCTGACAGAAGGCTTGTTTTGCTCAGAGAATGCCCTTTTAAAAATTCTGATGAGATTGACATGTGACACAAGAATGGCAGAATGTTGATAAGGGGTTGAAGCTGGGTAAACGGTTTGTGGGGGTTCTTTATACTGTTCTCTTTACTTACGTGTTCGTTGGAAAATTTCCACGATGAAAATTTTCATATTTAAACAAATGCTGGGATGGTTGCCTTCCTGTTGAAATATTTGGAAGTCCAGGCATATTTTAGTTCCATGTCTGGACTTCATGTGGCCATCTTTTAGGTGTAATTTAATGTAGCATGCCATTATTTGTAGGATAAGATTATTTTAAAGGGTGAAAAAGGTGAAAGCTAAATTCAAAAGAAATGTGTGAAAGTTATCTCAGTGCAAAGAGATGAAGCTTAGAAAAAAATCTCTCAGGCTAGCTGCTACTTCACTATCCCCTGGTTTAAGGATTATGTAAATGAAATCTTCTGTGTATCCACAGCTATGCATACATTTATACTTAATGTTCCCATCAGAAGAAGTAATCAGTGCTGAAGCATTATTGAGATTTAGAAATTCTACCATATACCACACTCAAATGGTGAAAAATGTTTCAAAAATAGCCCTTGCTGCATTTAAATAGCCTATTAAGAGTAGACAGGAAAATTCCACTGGCACGGTGGACCGTGAGGCTATTGGACAGATCCATGTATTAAAAGCTTAGGCTAAATTTGGCTCTGTGGTGTGTAAAATAACAGCAGAACCTAGTATAAAGCACTTTTTCTGCATTGTTTCCTCAAAGATCCATATGTGTAAAGGGAATGTATTTTTCTTAAGCCAGGCTTGTGTCGTCAGGACCTGGTACTACAGATGACTTGAGCGCGGCTGTCACCATCAAATGACAGCATCTTCTTACTTTGCAAAAGCCCCTGTGAGTGCCCTAGTTAGCAGAGTTTATGCATCTCCACTCCCCACTAGCTGGGAGCTAGTGGCCAAGTCATATTCCCTACTGTATGTCCTGCCAACTGGAGAAAGGATACTTGTTCCCTTCTTTCTCAGAGTAATGGCTAAGGGCATCCACCTCGAGTCAGACCTGAGTCTGGCACTGCCTCCTAATAGTTTTGAAACACATGGCCTTGTAGATTCTCAGAATCCTCACTGTAAAAATGGAATAATAGTGGTATCTATGCCATGGGGTTCTTGTGAGGGGAAATGAGATACTTCTTACTTAACTGGCACCCCGTAAATAAACAGTTGTGTGAATTGTGATGATGATTATGATGATGAATCATGGACTGAGAAGTCTGAGGGTTGGAACATGTAGCTTGCTGTTTCCCAAGGTTGGAAATTGCCACCTTTCTTGGTTGTCATGGAGAATTCAGAGATGAACTTTGTAATTCTTACTCAGAAGGGATAGGAAATTTTTGTTTAAAGCTTGAAGCACGTGGGAGAAATGTAGACCTGATGGCTATTTGAAATACACATATGCCCTTGCACACTGGATTCAAGCCCGATATTTACATAATGGCCATTTTATTTAGGTAGAAGTTGCAAGATTTCAGCTCCATCTGCTCAGGTCTCTGCTGAGGCAGTGATGGAATCAGGCCGTGTGCCCCGGAGAGTGCAGAGGGAAAATTTCCAGGAAGGCTGATGCCTGGGAATGTTGATTCCCTAGTTCTCTCGTCAGAAACTGGCCTTCCAAATCTCTAGGAGGTTCTTTTCCTTTTCTGCCACATGACGTGATTCATGATCATATGCCAAGAGTGACCTACCAGTTCAGGAATGGCATATCTCTGCAGGGAGCTTTGATTTTTGGCAGAATAACTGCCTTCAGGGGACATCCCCTCATGGACGGCATTGTCAGAAAAGGACGGTGTTAGGTGGTAGTAAATGACTAACCTCACTGCGGCGACATCTCATGAACATGACCACATCTTGAATGATATTCAGGCCTCAAAGCAATGACAGCCATGCAGCAGTGCCACATTTCTTACTAAACGAAACCATATCCTACTAAAACTTCCTACTACCAGGGCTCCTTGCAGAAATAGCTGATTCTAGGTGTGGGTAGGAAATGTATAAGATGCATCTGGAATAGCTTGTTATCCCCTGAAGCAAGGAGGCTGTCAAAGACTACCTGGAGTCACTTCAAAAGGACACAGAGGCCAACATGAAGGTGCTCCCAGTAGCCTGAAATGCTGCAATAAGAGCATGAAAGGACAATGACTAAAATGAATTGAAACAAGTCAAATATATAAAAACAAATGGGCTCTTAATGACCTTATTTTTTTAAAAAAAGAAATGCACATGTAAAAATAAACTGGTTATAAGCAAGTCTTTTCCATGGATTTAGATTGTTGCTAATCAAATTCTAAACCCCGGAAACACATGACCATCCTGTCTCTCTCTAACCCTGTCATTATAGAGCAGAACTCAGTAAGTTCAGAGATGTGTCAATGGCAATGGTAGTAGCAGGGTTCTTTAGGGATATTTTTCAAGAGTTGTTACTCACTGGAAGGAAGATTATAGGACTTGGTGGGTAGTAAGCAGTGCAGGGGCTTCTGGCCCCCCTCACTCTGCCTCCAGGGCACCCAGTGCATGGCTGACACAGCTTTATCCCTCTCTATTGCAGTTTTGTTCAGAATTTGTTTCCCTAGTGGACTGTGAGCTTCCCTGGGGGCAGGGGCTCTGCTTTATTTTCTTTAGTATTCTTATTGTCCACCACAGTGCCTGGCACACAATAGCATTTAGGAAATAAATACCTGATAGAATATGTCTATCCTGTACAGAGGGGTTCATCCTCAAAATGAATGCAGAAGGCTTCACTATGAATGTCTACATGTAAGTATTGTCTCAATAAATCCTTTATTCTCTCTTGCTTTGAACAAGTGTTTTCATATTATTATTTCAAGTTTAAGTATTAAAAGGTGTGTGGCTTGTGCTTAGTTACTGAAATACTAAAAAAAATTCACTATTTATTGAATAGCTACTTTTCGCTAGGCTTTCTATTAGGTTCTTTGTATAGCATATTTTATTTGATTGTCACGAACTTATGAAATCTCTACTTGAAAGATTGAAGAATAAAGTCTCAGAGGTGTCAAGTATGTTGCCAAAGTCACTGAACTAGGAAGTGGGCAAGCCCAGGTCTGTTGATTTCTAAAGTTATCTGTTCTTTTTACTACACAGAGATACAGAAATGTAATCTTGGGCTCTTCATATGTTTTGAGTGAAAGGGAGCTCTGATGCATATTATCCTTGAAAATGAATAAGCGGGATGGTGGTGATTCTTTTAACCTTAATCTTTTATTAAAATAATTCCCTATTCCCATCAGTAATAAACCATGAGATTGTCAATACATTGTTGACTCTTATGTGTGGTGAACCATTCTAAACTAAATTTCCCCTTAGACAAAAATATAATAATGCTAAAGAGAATTTGAATCTATGGACCAAATTGTGCTTGAGTGAAGGATGGTCTTATTCATTTTGACATCCGGCCCTGAATAAATAAGGTTGTTTCAGGCTAGAGCTTTTCAGACAGTCACATATTGCACTGAATAGAATCAGCTTTTGACTAGGACCCTGTGCGTCCCCGATGTGACTTCTGAGGCTAAAGCTTTGCTATAAGTATATGCATGCATGTCTGTCTGTCTACTCAGCCATTCTCAAACTTTTTGATCTCAGGACCTCTTTACAACTCTTAAAAACACCTCCAAAGAATTGTAGTTTATTTTGGTTATATTCATTAGTATTTCCCATATTAGAAATTAAAAACATTTAAAACATAATACACAAGCACACATCTCATTAGCTGTCAGTACAGGATGTCATCTATATGTCATGGAATCTTTGAACAACTCTGCCATAAACTTATGAAAGAATAAGAGTAGTTTTGACTCTGTTGATGCATGGAAAGCTCTTGGGAACCCCTCAGGGGTGCCTGGACATGATCTAATAATTCCTGATCTATATGCTTTTTTATTTCTCCTCTTCTATCTTGAACCCACCCTAGTCAGGCTTTCTACATGACCATGGCACTTAAACTGCTGTCAAGGTCATCAGTGACCTCCACCTTGTTTAATTAAGTGGTCACTTCTCCATCTCTTAGAATTATTTGGCACAATATATCATTTACCCATCCTTGAACTATTTTCTTCATTTGGCTTCCAGGGTACTAGACTCAATTCCTTTTTAGCTGGTTCCTTTTTATCTCTTTGACTTCTTAATGTTGGAGTTTCCCATGGCTCAGGCTTCGGGCTTCTTTTCTTTTTTTAATCTATGTTATTCACTCTGTGGGGACATCATTCAACCTCATGTTTTTATATACCAGGCATGTATTTCCAGCCTCAGCCTCTCTTCTGAACTTGAGATCTGTGTATCCAGCTGCCTACTTGACATCTCTTCTTAGGCATCTAATAGCATCTCAAACTTAGTGCATGAAAAAATGAGCACCCCATCTCCGTCTTCTGCAAACCTCTTCCCCCTATAGTCGTTTTCACCTCAGCAAATCCCATCTTTCAGGTTGCTCAGTCCAGAAACATGGAGTCATTCTCGAGGCCTTCTTTCATGCTTCTCATCTCGTCCATCAGCCAAGCTCATCTGCATCAAATTCTAAAATAGATGTAGAATGCTACCATTTTTACACCTCCACTACTACCAACACCGTAACATCCTGCCTGAGTTACTGCAGAGCCTCTTAACCGTCCCTTGTCCTTTCCTTGCTCCACTAGAATCTCTTCTTCACACAGCCATCAGTCTGTTCCTGTTAAAAGGTGAGTGAGGCTCTATCGTGTCCCAAACATATCAGCAACTTTTCATGTCACTCAGAAAGAAAGCCAAGGTTCTTTAAAAAGGCCCACAAAACCCCATCTGACCTGATCCCTACTTCCATTACCTCTTATAACCCTTCCCTGCCAGTTCCCCTCTACCCACACTGACATCCTTGTGGGACCTCTGGGCTTTTGCACTTACAGTGTCATCGTCCTAGAGTGCCCGTCCCCATTTATCTGGAGGGTTCACTCTGTTGTCGACCTTAGATCATTATTCAAATATCAGCTTCTCAAGTGAGGCCTTCCCTTAATACCCATTTTAAGATTGCAATTCCTCCAACACTCTTTCCCCCCTTTCCTGCTTTATTTTTCTCCCTGGCACTTTTTTTTGCCATTTAATGTATGACGTATTTTAATTATTATTTAAAATAATTGCCTCTCATTTTCCAACCACAGCTGAACAATCTATTATGACAGCCATTTCTTTTGTCTGTTCTTCTATTGCTCCTCAGCCTTGAGTGTGCCTGGCACCTACTAGAGTATTAGTAAATATTTGAAGTGAATGAATGAATGGAAAGTAGACCATTTTATGTCTTCATGTTGAGAAATAATTTATAAACATATCAAAGAAATATAATAGGCTTAACCCAGTCTAAACTCCAAGTTTTTCCAGAGTATGCAAAATAAGGTATAATTGAAAAAAGTCTTTTGTAATAAGATGTGACTTTGATCAAAGGAATGTCCTAATTTTATTCTGAGGTTAAAGTACAGACTTATACCTACAAAGTTAGGTGCTTTGGGCATAAATGGATTTTGTGGTAGAGGAACTTCAGTGTGGGGCTCTGCTTTGAGAACAAGTACAACTATTCCTGACTTCTCAGACCCTTATCGTCATCGTCATCATCATCATCATCATCATCATCATCATCATCATCATCATCCCATATCTCTTGGACTTCTCATCCTCAGGTCATAGCACTGATATGGAGGGTGAATATCACAGGCTGAGGAAAGTGGGCCAGCTACAAATCTGGTCCATTCGTACAGAGCATCATGCCTAATACTCCTGGGGTTTGGCGACCCCAGGCTTGATATGGGAGGACGTCCAACCTGGAGAGTGGGCCACAGGGGTTTGGTGATGTCAATAGATGTTGTGCAAAAAGAGGTGAAGTTCAAGAGAAACTAATCTGGGAGGTAATCAGTTAAAGTTTCTGTTTTCCCAGGGCCTTTATTTTGCGATTGTGCATTGTAAACCCCTAATAAGGAGATAAAGAATGCAGGGTTTTACATGCTTAATGGAATTCAGAGCCTTTTGTTCTTGTAGCATCTCACTGGGGGAATTCAGGAATATAATAATGAAGCTTTACTATTTATATTTGTTAATTTTTTTCATCTTTCCTCTGGCCTCCAATATTAGGAAGAGAAAGGCATAAAAAGTAAGTAGAAAAGTCTTATAATTAAGCATTTTTTCCTAGTTTGGGATCAAAATCTAGGAGGGTATTTTATTTATGTAAAATTGATGTAGTGCTCTGATGAGAATCTGTAAATGTATGTGAGCATCAGAAGTCGACTGGACATTTTGGAGATTAACATTTTGGAGATTCATCAATGTGTTTATGTGACAGTGCTTTTTACCTGAGTGTTTATTCATGAGTCTGGGACTGGTATGCATTTTCTGGCGAACATTGTGTACATTTTCTTGATCTTTTGTGTTTCTCTTTCCCTAGGCATAATTTACACAAAAGGTTTGGTGAGAGAGGAGCTAGCTCAATGTTACATTTAGGTTATGTAGGGATTAACATCAATACTTCAGATTTGGTACAGATATAAAAGATGTCTTCCCATGATCAACTTTGATTATTTCATTCTCCTCTAAGGAATTATTCTGGGAGTACAACAATTGACATAAATGTCATTGCACTTGTGACACAACTGTTGCCTCTTTTGTAAGAAGAGTTTTGGACCAGGCATTTCTTAAGTCTTAGGATATTGAGTTATCTCTTAAGATTTCACTTCATGCCAACCGATACCTGAACATAAGTCAAGATAATATACACTAACAATTGTAGCTACTGCTCTGGAGAAGATAGCCTATACTTGATGTATATTACATTGTAAAGCAACTTAGGATTTGTGGGTTTGGAAATGAAGCCAACTTGATTGGTTTGTCACCCATACCTACGTTGAAGCTTAAGGATGCTGATCTGGGAAGAATGGCACTGGAAGGGAAAGCAAAGCCAACAGGTGGTAGAGAGTCTGGCCATGTTTCCACTGGACCAACATCCCAGTGGAGAGTGGCCACTGGAGACAGCCCTGGACTGGGGCCAAGAATGGGTGTTTTGGTCTCTCCCCTTGTCAAAGACACTGCACACTACAGAACAGCTAGAAACCGGTGATGGACACCAGCACAGCAGGTATGGAAATCTCTTCTGGGTGTTTTGTGGTCTTTCTATCTGTCCTTAGTTGGCTTAGAGTTGTAGTTCTTGCAGTTTGGTCTAGGGACTCCTGGGGCAGCCCAAGACCCTTTCAGGGGCTTTGTGAGGCCAGCATTATTTTCATAATAACACTAAGATATGATTTGCTTTCATCACTCTCATTCTCTTACAAGTGTACAATGGAGTTTTCCAGAAGCTGTATGACATGCAATATCTCAACAGATTCAAAGCAGAAGTAAATAAAAGAATCTAGCTGTTTTTTATTAGGCTGGAGAGTAAACAGTAAAGATATTTGTAAAAATGTAAGAAAAAACCATTAAAATGTCATAAGATGTTATTATATTGACATGTGATGAGTTTGTTAGGGGTTTCTTTAATTTGTTTTTTGTATTTTTTAGAAACAGGGTCTCACTCTGTAGCTCAAGCTGGAGTGCAGTGGTGTGATCATAACTCACTGCAACCCAAACTCCTGGGCTTAAGTGATCCTCCTGCCTTAGCCTCCCAAGTAGCTAGGACTGCAGGCACATGCCACAGCATGTGGTTAATTTAAAAAATAATTGTTATCATAGTGATGGGGGTCTTGCTATGTTACCCAGGCTGTTCTCAAACTCCTGGCTTCAAAAAATCTTCCCACCTTGGCCTCCCAAAGGGTTGAGATTACAGATGTGAGGCTCTGCAGTTCACCTATTGTGAGTTTAAATGATGCAATATTTAAAAAAAATTTTCGTTAAAATCTAATATGATAAATACTAACATATCACTTGCATAAGCCAAAGTTCTTTGGGAATTGTTTTCTGCACATGTATTTCCCAAATATTGCATGTATTTTTATTTACTAAATCTAACAACATAACTTGCTAAGTCCTTGTATTTGCAGTAGGTTTTAGCACCTGCTGTTTGGGGAGAGGGTGGAGACACTGCAATTCTTCTTACTGCCTGTTCAGTGGGTACTGGAACCAACTTTAATAAGTAATTGCACACTTGATTATTCTTGATGTCTTTCTTTCTGACTTTGCAGTGGTGGGTATGATTTTCTCCTGGAAAAGTTTGGGGGCTACTGGAAGGGCATCACCTATAAGTGTGTGGCAGTGTCAACAACTGATTTCAGCCCAATCTCTGTCATTTATCACTAAGTACAGTGTAGTCGTGTGTTGTCACTTATAGCAGAGCCTGCACAGGTGACGCAGCTATCGTGTTTGTTTCCAATGTTAAGCCCTTGGTATTTGCTAAGAGGGATGTAGAGATGACTTCCAAGAGGCTTCACAGGTATTATCTTGACTCATTCATTCATTCATTTCTCCTTTCCTCTTTTATGTTCCGTCTTCCCTCCTCCTTTCCTTCCTTTCTTCCTGTCTTCTTTCTCTTTTTCCCTCCCTTCCTCCTTCTCTTTCTCTCCCTTCCTTCCTTTTTTCTTCCTTCCTTCCCTCCCTTGTGCCCTTCCTTCTTTTCTCCTTTCCTTCTCTTCTTCCCTCCCTCTTTCTCTTTTTTTCTTTCTTTCCTTCCTCCCTCCCTTCTCCTCTCTCACCACCTCCCTATTATTTGTTCAACAGCTGTTTGCTGCATTCATTCTGTGGTGTATGAGACACTATGTTAAGTGCTGGTTTTCAGGAGAAAACAAAAAAGGTGATATTCTTGCCTTCAGGAAACTTGGTCAGTATCCAGAATTCTTTGCAGTCAACTTACGCTAATCAAACTCGCAAGGGAATAAAGAATCTAAACCACAATGGTAATGTGCTAGTTCAGAGTGGGGTGGCATTCCAGTGGATACCCTTTCTTAGCATCTGCTTATGGAGAAGCGAAGACTCGTATGAGAACTTGTAACTGACAGGGCGGGGGCTGGAACTACAGCCTAGGGATGAAGAGGGAGGTCATGGGAGTAAGGCGATTTACTCCACTGCATGCAGTTTGGAGACCTGGCCACAGGTGTACATTTGTCCACATGCTTCTCTTGTTATTTTGATTTTCCAAATTAGTTTTTGGATGTCATTTGTTCAGCAGTTTTTAGAAAAATTATAATAAAGTAGCATATCCTCTGCCTATGCCTGCTACATAAACATCTATTTCTGAATTTCTGAATTACACACTGGTACAGTTGACTTGTATGTAGACTAGAAAAGAATAAGGTGGTTGACCAGAACCCCATATAAATCCTCTTTAAGAAATAATAATAATCACTACTAGCTATCAAAAGCATATCATGAGCCCTAGATGTATTATTTCATTTGGTTTCTCGGAACAGCCCGGCCAGGTAGATATTATCATTTCCTTTGTATAGATGGGAAAACTAATTTCAGGAAGCTTAAATGACTTGCCCAAGGTCACACAACTGTTGATTAGCAGGGTCCGGATTCTGACTGTAAGTCCAGCTTTGTAACCACATGCCTAGCACATTGTCCCTGTGTTAGACATAGTAAAGACTTAAGTGAGATCTCTCAGGCATGAGTCTGGGGGTTCTGTCTCGTTTCTTTAGCCTGTTTTAAAAAAACATAAAAATAGAAAAGAACAATGAGCAACCCCCATGCCCTATTCTTTTGCCTTTATCTCCTATATTCTGATAAATAAGACAAAGATCATGATTATCTGGCCATCTAATTCACACTTTTCTCCAGTTTTCTCCTGAAAACCAGCACTTAACATACGATTTCCTGGAAGGCCTCAGATGGTTAATTCTAGGAATTCTCGGGTGGCTAAGTATGAAAACAAGAAAAATAATGAAGATAGAGCAGCAATACATTATAATGAAAATTGCCATAGTTTAGTATCTGAGGATATTAAATCAAACATGAAGGACTGTTGTGTGGAGAAGGGATTATTACTTCTGCCCTGGGGATATAAACTAAGAGGACCAATAAAAAGAATTATAAGCATGAGTCGTGGAGCTCAATATTAAGAAGTTGTTTTGTTTTGTTTGTTCATTTATTTGTTTTTTAATTAGACCTTTCCAAAGTAATATGGACTCCTTTGAAAGGTTTGAATTCTCCAGCAATGATGGTTACATCAAAGGCATGTTGCGAAGGTGTTTGGTTGTCAATTGTGTTCTTTATGTCCTGTGATCTTACATAGCACCACATCTCAATAGGTGTTCAGGAACTCTAGTCACTAGGCAGTCTATCCCAGAGGCTTATAAAATGTTTGCCAACTTAGAATTCGAAGGCTCCTTTTAAGAGAGTAACTTACAGAAGCTAAATAAAAACTATAACAGTGGTGGAGGAAGTTCCAGGGGGTGCCTTTGCCACCATATCCCTACCAGGTTAGGAAAGGCAGGGCAGCCACTTCTCTGCTTGGCTCTGATTTCAGGTGAATTCCCCTTAGGAATAGAATGAAAGTGAGTAGCAGAGCCTGGGCAGCGATCGAGAGGTGGAGATGAACAAAGTGGAAGGAGCATCAAGACGGCTGTATTAGTCCATTTTCATGCTGCTATAAAGAACTGCCCAAGACTGGGTAATTTGTAGGAGAAAGAGGTTTAATTGACTCACAGTTCAGCATGGCTGGGGAGGCCTCAGGACACTTATAATAATGGTGGAAGGGGAAGTAAACATGTCCTTCTTCACATGACAGCAGGAAGGAGAGGTTTAAATGAACTTTGTTTGAGAGGTTTGAGTGAAATGTTATAAAACCATCAGATCTTATGAGAACTCACTAACTATCATGAGAATAGCATGAGGGTAACTGCCCCCATGATGTAATCACCTCCCATGTGGTCCCTCCCCCAACACATGGGGATTACAATTTAAGATGAGATTTGGGTGGGGACACAGCCAAACCAAATAAATGTCCTTTGGAGACTTCCCTTAGAATCCTTGCTTTGACAATATAATGCTCATTCTCCATTTTCTACATTCATAAACATTTTGAAAATTAATATTTAATTATACCAGTATTAATGACTGTATTATCTAGGTTAAAAAAATTAAACTGTTATAGATAAGACTAAATATTTTTTGGTACTATATCCCCAGTGCCCAATGGAGGGTCTATATAGAGTAGAGTTGAAAGTACGTATTTGTTCATGTTTGAAAGATGCAACAGGAAACTTGAGATCTGGGTATACTTACACTTTTCCATCACTGTGAAATGTTTTAATAGTGATTTTTTTTTTTTTTTTTTTTTTTTAGACAGAGTCTCGGTCTGTCACCAGGCTGGAGTGCAGTGGCGCAATCTTGGCTCACTACAAACTCCACCTCCTGGGTTCAAGTGATACTCCTGCCTCAGCCTCCTGAGTAGCTGGGACTATAGGTGTGTGCCACCATGCCCAGCTAATTTTTGTATTTTTAGTAGAGACGGGGTTTCACCATGTTGACCAGGAAGGTCTTGATCTCTTCACCTCGTGATCTGCCCGCCCCGGCCTCCCAAAGTGCTAGGATTACAGGTGTGAGCCACGGCGCCTGGCCTTAATAGTGATTTTTATTAAGGTAATAGTATTGAATGATAAATTTGGAAGGCCTAGAAAAAAATAGAATAGAAGAATAAAAATCTCACCCATCGTCCTACCACATGAACATAATGTTGATAATCACTCCTGTTATTCTTTTATTTATCCCTAAATATTTATTCTTGTAATAAGTGTTCTTTGTTACATTTTTCAGGCCACCCGTTTTCTCTCCCTTGTAAGTGGCAGAGGCTGTGTGAACAGCAGCTGCAATTGCAAATCTCATTTCAGCTTCCTAAATCTTGTAATTAGAGGAAATCCTAATGAGGGAGCAATAGTTTGGCTGAAATTCTAATTTTCAGTGTTGTTCTGGGTGTTCATTTGCATCTTGAGGATCCTGCTGTTTGAGAGGGGCCGCTGGAGAGCATGACTCATGGTCTGCCGGCCAGATGCCGTGGGGAGCAGAAGTCTCCAGTGGAGAGGTTTTGATAAATCACCTCTCAGTTGTCTTAGTTATTGAATCTGTAAGTGTGCAATGGGAATAACAGACTGCTTCATCTCTGTCGTCTGGCACATATGTGATGTCAAGGAAAATAAGAATATATGTGATAAAGTTGGCATCACTCGTTGTGGGAAATCAAGATGATTCAGTAATGTTGCTAGGGTTGTTAGCTGACTGTTCAGGATAGCAAAAAACAAAATTTTACACCTTTGCCTTATACTTAACATCAAAATCCATTCCAGAGGCAGCATGGCATTGTGTTTGAGCACTGAAATCTATGTAGAACCTGGACTCCAGTCCAAGCTGTGCCACTTATTAGCAAGTGGTCAAGTTACTTCACCTCTATAGGCCTCTATTTCCTCATCTGTAAAATGGGGATGATAATAGTAGCTACTTCCTTAGGACAGTCATGAAAATTAAATGAGTTACTACATTAGTTACTATTTAGAACTATAATCTAAAACAATATTTGGCACAAAGCAGGTTCCATACAATTGTTTGGTATTATTAAGTGCTTTAAAGCATTAACTATTTTTATTGAAAGAAACCATGAAATAATCAGAAGGAAATATAAATTAATCAGAAGGAAAAATAAATTCAGATCAGGAGAGTCTCCCTAAGCATGCAATCAGTGCAAAAAACCACAGAGGGCTGATAGATTTGACTACATGAACATTAGAAGTCTGTATTGTATATGTCAAGAAAGCAAAGTATAAATTTTAGAATATTGAAAAGTAAATAAAGACACACAATAGTTACAACATGTCTGAAAAACATGGAGTTAATAGGCTTTAAACCCAATATGCTGTGACACCAAAGCTCACACCTTGGATTCATGTTATATTTTGGTTGTCATTAGCCCATGTTCAAAATTATGCTTGTGTGCCACTCATAGGAGTGTATGTATGTGTATACATACATGTATGTATTTCTTTCCTGCTTTATCCATAAACTGTTTAAGTCAGTTTACAATAATACAAAAGGTACAAAATAGCAAAAATTAAAAACAAGAAAAAAGAAAAAGTAGAAACCATGTAAGGAGGACTGAGGCTGAACCAGTTTGGCCATGATGGAGAGTGTGACATGGGAAGCCCGAGCAGTGCCACAGCCCAGTGTCCACAAGCCCCAGTCTTTGTAATTACATCAGGGAGGTACAAATATTTTTGATATTGACAACAGCAGAAAATTTCTTTTCAGAGCCTTCAAAAGAGAGTACGGACTATGTAATGAATCGGAATCTTGACACCATTTTGTCAATAACACTAATCATGATGACATATTTCATTCTCTGGGTGTAGGAGATGCTACCACACCAAGGCAGGGTACAGTAAGGCGCTTTTTGCTGTTGGGGATGCTGATATTGTGCTGGAGCTTGGAGGCCACGGTCCTGGGCCTGCTTGTCTTCAGAGGCCATGCTCACGCTTCCTCTGCCCTCTGTGTTGGGGGTGGGATGGACACTGCAGGCTGTTCCTATCCCACACTCCCTGTTGGTTGGCTTCTTGGCTTCTGGCTGGGATTGGCCAATGAGAGGTCCTGCTGGGAGACCAGAGGGTCAGAGGAAGTGAGAAAACAAGGTCTTCCTCCTGCTCCCACTTCACATTGGGTGGCTGCTTTACCAGCAGCTTCCCATGGACTGGCTTCTGGTGCCAGCTTCTTTCAGGTGATCTTGGCCCTTGGGCTCATTAATAACATCACCTCCTCCCTGATCCCTTCAGCTCAGATATGGGAACAGCCTTCCACATTTGCTAATCTTTGGAATACCTGACTCTTCCTTATTGGCTTTTCAGCCCCTGCATCCCCTGTACAGTCGTGTGTGGCATAATGATGAGGGTAAAATGAGGAGAAATCGTTAGGCAATTTTATTGTTGTGTGAGCATCATGGATTGTACTTAAGCAGACCTAGATGGTAGCACCTACTGTACACCAGGGCTGTATAGCATAGCCTGTTGCTCCTGGGGTACACACCTGAACCATATGTTTCTGCACTGAATACTGTAGATAACTGTAGGACAGTGGTAAGGATTTGTGTATCTAAACATAGAAAAGGCACAATAAAAATATGGTATAAAAGATAAAAAATGGTACACCTGGCCAGGTGTGGTGGCTCACACCTGTAATCCCAGCACTTTGGGAGGCTGAAGTGGGCGGATCACCTGAGGTCGGGAGTTTGACACCAGCCTGACCAACATGGAGAAACCCCGTCTCTACTAAAAATACAAAATTAGCCAGGCATGGTGGCACATGCCTGTAATCCCAGCTACTTGGGAGGCTGAGGCAGGAGAATCACTTGAACCTGGGAGGCAGAGGTTGCGGTGAGCTGAGATTGTGCCATTGCACTCCAGCCTGGGCAAGAAGAGCAAAACTCCATCTCAAAAAAAAAAAAAAGATAAACGTGTATAGGGTACTTATCATGAATGGAGCTTGCAGGACTGGATGTTGCTCTGGGTGAGCAATGAGTGAGTGGTGAGTGAATGTGAAGGCCTAGGGCAGCACATGACTGTAGATAATAAACACTGTACACTTAAGCTATGCTAAATTTATCAAAATCATACTTCTCTTTCTTCACTATAACCTTAGCTCACAGTAACATTTTACTTTATAAACATTTTAATTTTTAGAGGTTTTTTGTAATAACAGCTCCAAACAAACACATTGTACACCTGTACAAAAATATTTTCTTTCTTTATATCCTTATTCTATAAGCTTTTTTCTAGTTTTAAATTTATGTATAAGTATAAATATATATATTTATACAGAATATATATATTTTATAGAATATATATTTTATAGAATATATTTATATAGAATATATATTTTATAGAATATATTCCATATATTCTATATAAATATATTCTATATAAATATTCTATATATAAATATATATATTCTATATATATAGAATATATATAAATATATAAAAATATATATATTCTATATGTAAATATATATATTCTATATATAAATATATATATTCTATATATAAATATATATATTCATATATAAATATATATAAAAATATATATATAAATATATATTTAATATATATTTATAATTATATATATAATTAATATATAAAAATATATAAATAATTATATATAAATATATATATTCATATATAAAAATATATAAAAATATATATATTCATAAATATATAAAAATATATATATTCATATATACTGTATATATGAATATATATATTCAATATATGAATATATATATTCTATATATATTCAATATATGAATATATATATTCTATATATATTCAATATATGAATATATATATTCTATATATATGAATATATATATATTGAATATATATATATTCTATATATATATTCTATATATATAAATATATATATATATATAAATTTTTTTGTTAAAAACTGAGACGCACACACATTAGCCTAGGCCTACACAGGGTCAGGATCACCAGTATCACTGTCTTCCACCTCCACGCCTTGTCCTACTGGAAGGTTTTCAGGGCACTAACATACATGCAGCTGTCATCTCCTAGGACAACAATGCCTTCTTTTGGAAGGTACACCTCCTGAAGGACCTGCCCAAGGCTGACTTACAGTTATTTTTTTTTAATCGATGGGAATTCACCCTAATGATAAGAAGTATAGTAAATACAGAAACCAGTAACCTAGCCATTTTTTATCACTATCATTATGTTCTGTACATAATTGCATATGCAAGACTTTTATATGCCTGGTAGCATAGCAGGTTTGTTTCCACCAGCATCACCACAAACACGTGGGTAATGCATTGTGCCATGATATCGCTATGGCTGCAACATCACTAGGTGGTAAGAATTTTTCAGCTCCACTACAATCTTATGGGAGTACCATTAGATATTTGATCTGTCTTTGACACAAAACATTATTATGCGGCTCATGACTGTACTGTAAATCCTTGAAGTGGTTTCTGCTTTTCTGATTGATACAAACATCAGAACTCACTAATCCAGGAGGTTTCTGGATGATCATATGTTGTCTCACTAATCTGCAAAATAAAAACCAATGAGAAGCTTGAAGACTGGCCTCACCATCAAGTCTGCATTGCTAATATAGGATTCATTACTTAGTTTAAAATTGTTCTTTGTGCTACTTCTTTGAGTATTATTTTCTCACCAAAAGACTGCATTTAGGTTGAGATTGAGTCTTGCCAACAGACTTGGAGTCCTGGGCCTCCAATTCCAGGACTCGTTAAGGCAACTTCCGGGCAGGTTGCAGTGTTATAATCTACTTGAACATCCATTTACACTCAGTACAGTGTTGTGTAAGATTTTTGCTGTCATGGAGAATTACCATTTAGATTGAAAAAATGAAATTCATTTGTTTCAGTAATTTATTTCCAAGAAACTTATGACCTGACAAATGTAACATAATTATGATATTTTGGTTTTCTGTTTTTATGAAAATTGCTTCCATTTCTATGTTAATAAGAAAGAACATATACATAATATCTCAAAAGACCTATTAATGCCACTTTTTTATTGCCTCTAAGGCTGTGGTCAGCCTAATCAAAATGGTACTCATAACCAACCTCTCACACGGATTACTCTGTTTATACCTCCCCACCTGTCAAAACCCTGGCTGGGATTTGCTTTTCATCCCAAAACTTTCTGAATTCTAACTTCCTTGAAAATTTCTTTTAAAAAAGTGTTTTCATTTTATATATATATATGTTATATCAATTTATTATAAAATGGAAGCAGCCCTATTCCAGCCATTATTTTTCTTTATGTTCCTTTTTTTTTCTGTTTCGGTTCTACTATGCTTTGCACTAACGGCAAGTACTTCTATCAGGTGGTTCTGTTTTTCATATGTGAGTTGGTGTTTGTTTTCTTTAGATACAAAGGTATAATCACACAAATACGATATTTGTAATATAGATAGATATGAATACACATATTAAAATTCTAGCTATCATTAGAAATTATGTGTATAGTAATTTAAAAAATACTTTTTATGATTGTAAATTGCATACTTAGTGTTCCTAATTTGGGGGCATTTCTTTTTTTTTTTTAAACAGTAGAAAAAGATAAGATGAGAGTATTTGTACAAAAGTCATTTCTGGGTTTTAGACTATTACTTTAGGTAGCATAAATTATTTCTCAACTTTCATATGATGCAGGTTATATTTATCAGCAAAAATAGATGAGGGTTGGATTACATTATCATTTTAAAAGTGTAATGTTAAAACATGTAGCTTCTAATGGCAATATAGTTACAGCTGAACAGCATGGACTTTGCTGTTGGAGGAACCTGGTTTCTGAGTCTCATTCTGACCCAGATGTTACCTTGTGCCTCTCTAAGCATCAGTTTTTATATAACTCAATAATAATAGCATCTGTATCACCCATTATGTAGAGCTGTTACAAAATCATTGAGTTTCCTTTGGGCAATTCTTACATGTTTATAGACCCGCCAGTGTCAGGGTTCAGCTCTCATTAATTCCATTCCCTTCCATTGGTCCCTCCTGCACACATGGCCTAATGCAAACTAGATGTCTTGCTGCTGGGCACAAGGTGTGGTAAGTCAGTCATGGTCCTGGAGTTGGTGTGGATATTAGGCACTGCCTGCACTTCTGTGCCTGCCCCTTATGCCTGTGACAGACATCAATAATCAAATACAGCACTCTTCCTGTTGCATCAAGGAGCAACTTCAGAATAATTAGTATAGTCATAGTAACCGTAATAATGCCTCTTCACCAGTTCAGCAGCCATGTGTGATAACACTTATTTGCTTCAGAATTTGGGGAGATATTAGCTCAAACCCATTACAGAGTAGTCATAGCTTTAGAAGGAAGGATTCTTTTTTTTTGGAGACGGAGTCTCGCTTTGCCGCCCAGGCTGGAGTGCAGTGGCACAATCTTGGCTTACTGCAACCTCCACCTCCCAGGTTCATGCCATCCTCCTGCGTCAGCCTCCTGAGTAGCTGGGACTACAGGCACCCACCACCATGCCCAGCTAATTTTTTGTATTTTTAGTAGAGACGGGGTTTCACCATTTTAGCCAAGATGGTCTCGATCTCCTGACCTCGTGATCCGCCTGCCTCGGCCTCCTAAAGGATTCTTTACATATTAGGAAGTATACATTATGTAAATGGTGTACCTAAATTGGCTTAATTTGAATTTGCACGTAATACCCCAACAGTAATAAGGAAAAATTGGTTTTGTTTTAAAGTTAGTGTTTCTTAAAAGCTTGGGGAGCGTGAAGACACTTGGAAAAGTTAAATTGGAATGACATTTATTAAATCTGTAGGATTTTAGGGGTATTGCCAATGAAATCTAGATCAAAATAATATGTAACAGGAAAATATAAATATGAATAATAGAATATATAAATATTTTCATTCATACTTGGTATATTGTTACAGCTGCCTTATTAATTTTAAGTGCTATCAAAATTTTCAATATAGATTCAAATGGAGAGTCATAATAATCACATGGGTTGATTATTATTATTACTATGGAGGTTAGAGGAATGATGTAAACACAAAACTCAATTTCCTGGCTTAAAAACTATTCTAATTATTTTCAATTTGAGCTTTTCTGAATAGTGCAAAGCAGCTAAAACATAAGCTTTTCCTGCAGTTGAAAGCTTAGGTTAGTAACATCCATTTGATGACAACATATTTCTGCATGGGCAGAAAGGTACTCTTACAGAATATGATTTGAAGGATTCATGGATAGCAATGCATTGTGATAATAGTTCTATCTTTGTGTATTGTATTTTATTTTTTTAATTTTTATTATACTTTAAGTTCTAGGGTACATGTGCACAATGTGTAGGTTTGTTACATAGGTATATATGTGCCACGTTGGTTTGCTGCACCCATCAACTCGTCATTTATATTAGGTATTTCTCCTAATGCTATCCATCCCCCAGCCCCCAACCCCTGACAGGCCCTGCTGTGTGATGTTCCCGCCCTGTGTCCATGTGTTCTCATTGTTCAGCTCCCACCTATGGGTGAGAACATGCGGTGTTTGGTTTTCTGTCCTTGTGATAGTTTGCTGAGAATGATGGTTTCCAGCTTTATCCATGTCCCTGCAAAGGACATGAACTCATCCTTTCTTATGGCTGCATAGTATTCCATGGTATATATGTGCCACATTTTCTTTATCCAGTCTATCATTGATGAGCATTTCGGTTGGTTCCAAGTCTTTGCTATTGTGAATAGTGCTACAATAAACATACATGTGCATATGTCTTTATGGTAGAATGATTTATAATCCTTTGGGTATATGTCCAGTAATGGGATTGCTGGGTCAAATGGTATTTCTAGTTCTAGATCCTTGAGGAATTGCCACACTGTCTTCCACAATGGCTGAACTAATTTACACGCCCACCAACAGTGTAAAAGCGTTCCTATTTCTCCACATCCTCTCCAGCATCTGTTGTTGCCTGACTTTTTAATGATCACCATTCTAACTGGCATGAGATGATATCTCATTGTGGTTTTGATTTGCATTTCTCTGATGGTCAGTGATGATGAGCATTTTTTCATGTGTCTGTTGGCTGCATAAATGTCTTCTTTTGAGAAGTGTCTGTTCATATCCTTTACCCACTTTTTGATGTTTTTTTTCTTGTACATTTGTTTAACTTCTTTGTAGATTCTGGATATTAGCCCTTTGTCAGATGGGTAGATCGCAAAAATTTTCTCGCATTCTGTAGGTTGCCTGTTCACTCTGATGATAGTTTCTTTTGCTGTGCAGAAGCTCTTTAGTTTAATTAGATCCCATTTGTCTATTTTGGCTTTTGTTGCCATTGCTTTTTGTGTTTTAGTCATGAACTCTTTGCCTATGCCTATGTCCTGAATGGTATTGCCTAGGTTTTCTTCTACGGTTTTTATGGTGTTAGGTCCTTGCATATTTTAATAACTAATGACTTGGGAGGCTGAGGCAGAAGGATCTCTTGAGCTAGGAGTTTGAGGCCAGCCTGGGTAACACAGAGAGATTGTCTCAAAACAAAAAAAAAACAATAAACAAGACAAAAGAAGACATTAATGAGTTTCAAGAGATTTTGAGCTCCTTGATAGCCTGACAACATTAGGATGAGATGCTTTTGTCTCAAGGTGCTTTTCCCAAAATCATTACTATTGTTTTTGGTCATAGCAGTTAAGAAGTTTTACCTCTAAATAGGTAGAAAATACTACAAAAGCAAACAGGTCCCTGAAATAAAACAAAAGCAAAAATAAAAAACAGAGAGTAAGGGAAAGGAGCAGGTGGTGGGGGACTTAGGAAGAAAGTTTTGAAAAAACACATTTCTTCTAAAGGTGGTCCCTGTTAATATTTTCATATGAAGATATCTTTTCTTTGATTTTTAAATGGAAAGTGATAGTTTTGTAAATGTTGCATTGACTATTATTTCAGTGTTTTTAGCCTAGTAGCATTTTCTCTTTTAAATGGAACTGTTTTACAAAAAGCTGATAAAACTAGGGGAAAAGATAAGAATGGGTGATGACTGGTTGAAAGAGAGGGATGGGTTGAAGGAGGTGAAGGACCCGGAACTCTTGCAGCTCAGCCTCCCTTTGCTTTCATCTCCCACTGACGTGGGAATTGTGACCTCCCCACCCACCCCCACTGAATTGTGACCTCCCCACCCCCCAAATTCATATGTTGAAACCCTAACCCCTAGCACCTCAGAATGTGACTGTATTCAGAGCTAGGGCCCTGAAAGAGGTGATTAAGTTAAAATGAGGTCATTAGGATGGGCACTAATCCAACATAATTAGTGTCCTTATAAAAAGAGATTAGGATTTAGACTTTACTCAGAAACTATGAAAGAGCACGTGCACAGAAAAAAAGACCATGTGAAGAGGTATCTAGGGAGTAGCCACCTGCAAGCCAAGGAGAAACCATCCTGAGGAAACAGTTGATGGCACCTCGATCTCAGACTTCCAGTCTGCAGAACTGTGAGAAAGTACATGTTTGTGTTTTAAGCCACCCAGTCTGTGGTATTTTGTTATTGACAGCCCTAGCAAACCATTATACACACTTCTTAGCTTAAGAAGCATAGCTCATGAAAACAGGGGCTTGGAATAATATGGCTTGAAACTCTAAATAAAATTATAATAAATCATATTAAATTATTTAAAGGAATCATTTATGTGGACAAAGTAGGATTCATCCCAGGAAGGTTCTTTTCTTTTTTTTTTTTTTTTGAGACGGAGTCTCGCTCTGTCACCCAGGCTGGAGTGCAGTGGCACGATCTCGGCTCACTGCAAACTCTGCCTCCCGGGTTCACGCCATTCTCCTGCCTCAGCCTCCCGAGTAGCTGGGACTACAGGCACCCGCCACCACGCCCGGCTAATTTTTTGTATTTTTAGTAGAGACAGGGTTTCACCGTGTTAGCCAGGATGGTCTCGATCTCCTGACCTCGTGATCCACCCACCTCAGCCTCCCAGAGTGCTGGGATTACAGGTGTGAGCCACTGCGCCCGGCCGGTTCTTTTCTTTTTATGGTATGCATTTATAGATAAAACTTATGTTCACCTTGATAAGGTTTTTTCACCACTTCGACCTACAAATAGCCATTCTTAATTCAGAAGGATGCCTGAGAACAGAGGCAGTATATTAAGTATTGGGAAGGAGACACTTTATTTCCTGTAGATGGTAATTCACTTTCCATCTATTAGGTAATAGGAGTGAGCTGAATATCTGAGGATTTGGATCATCCCAGCATCTTTGAGGGTCTCCTGGTTTTGTGCTGTCCTTTGTTCATGATGGTGGCCCTGAGGCATGGCTTGTTCCCCATGGTCTTTGGGCACCAGCTCTCTGGTCCCCAGGTCCACATGCTCAGTACCTTCTCTTCTCACCTGTGCTCTGTTCCTCTTACCTCACCACCAGCCCTCTTACCAGGTCCAGGTGGCCACCACCTTGCCACTTGAGGACTTTTCTCTGCAGCTGCTTTTCTGTCAGGCTGTTCCACAGCCCTCCCATCTCTCACACTGCCCTGCAAGTGGGTCACAGTCTGTATAGTCCCTGATCCCTGCTTGACGTGTGCAGGGGTTCTGTCACCTCATCTCCACTTTAGTCCCTGGGTGATGGTGATGGAGCCCCAGACCCATCATCTGAAACTACACAGCATCTAAACCCTAGTTATGCCCTTGCTTTCACATAATTTGTGGAGATATTTTACTTCAACTACACATTTAATTAAAAATGCTAGGGATTTGTTCTAATTCAATAGAGAAACTGTGAAAGAATAGTTAAGGAGAATAACCCTAAAGAATTATTTCATTATTGTAAAAAGTTGGAAGCGACCCAAGTGTTTGTCAAGAAGGGAATGATTGATCACACCAGTTGGGGTCTATTCATGGGGTAACATATTATGGAGTGACTAAGATGCTTGAAAAATGTGTGGTGAGGTGATAACATTCTTAGGATATAATTTGAAGGAAAACATGATTCCAGAAGTGTAAAAATAAATAAGTAATCGCAGTAAAAGAACATAAGAAAATATGTCAAATGCTAATGGTGGTGTTTGCTGGTCTTTGAGATAAGAAATATTTCTTTTCTTTAGACTTTCCATGTTTTGGTAACAGAGCACTTATATCTAAATCAGAATTATTCCTAACACTTTTGGGATAATTTTTGTTTTCAAATATGATTCATTTAAAAGTAATGTGTATTATTGCTCTTCTCAAGGTATTTTAAAGTCATGGATCATATGTAAATCTTTCATTCCCCAAATATTTACTGAGCCCCCAAGAGAAAGACTGTAGCTCACAGCTATTCAGATCCTGGGGGCCAGATTCTTAGACTCAAAACCCAATTATAGTACTTTTTGGTTGTATGACTTTTGGAAAGTTACTTAAGTCAGGCCTTTCCTTTTGTGGAGCTCATAGCCTCCTAGGAAATTGAGGTGTGAATACTCACCAAATACCATAGAATGAAATAATTTAATCATGATGTGTTTGTTAAGGCATCTGACTTAGTAGGTTCTCAAATAGAATTTGAGAATAGTATTTGAGAATAAGTGATTGAAATAAATAAATGAAAAAGAATTGGTTTAGAGAGTCTTCTCCTTACAGAAGACTGGTTGGTTCTATGGGGGCATTTATGTGTGCAATTAATAGGCTGCCCCTGGGTGAACCATGGAAAGTAGTTATCCATTCACTCATTCATTCATTCATTCATTCATTCATTCATCATTCAGTGCTTAACAAGTATCTGCATGTGTAGTGATAGGCCTGAAAAATCTCTTTCTAATGCCTTTTCTTTAGAAAACACATTTTAATTCAAATAGGAAAACATAACATGCTTAACAATTGGTTTCCCAACTGGGTGCAAATGTAGTTGACTTCAAGGTACTAGGGTTGAATTCAGGTACTCGTGGCTATGCTCAGTAAGGAGAACTTACAGAAACATTCAGGTAAGCTGTATCTGAGACTAATGATGGCTTGGAATTCTGTTTCAAGTTAAGCTTTACCCCTTTAAAGAAGAGGAAAAATAAGTATGAAGACACACTCCTTGCATTGCTGATTTTTGTTTGTTTATTCCTTTAGCTGCAATATTCTTAATAATGGCACATCACAAATAAAAGATGCTTTTGGTTTTTTTTTCTTTCTCTTACATTTTCACTCCCCTTTTCTCCATACCCCTCTCCTCTCCCTCCCCTCTTCTCCCTCTTTTTGTGCTCATATCATGATTCCTTTGAGTATTTTGTTACAATCCCAATATTGCCTCAGAGGCTGAGACTGTGAGTCTTACCAGCCCCTCTGGACTTAGGATTCCTCAACTTTTGCCTCGGATCTGTCACTTTCATGGTGTGAAAGGCCTTTAAGTCTTTCTTCCCTTCTCTGCTGTGCCAGTAGCTGATAATACATATTTATGAACTAGCGATTCCTTCTTGATGCTGTCAAAGTATTATAAACGACATCACCCCAATTTAAGACGTGCTTTAAAATTAATTGATTTAATTAGAAAAGGAAACTCTAAAGCAGTTAGCATGGCCTCTCCCTGTCAGACAACTAGCTGCTTAGTGCTGCCAGACAATGATGACTTTCTCTTTTGAATGTCAGGTTTATTGGAAAGAATAGAAAGTGTCAATGTGTTTTGCTTAGGATTAAACAAACCATTTTTTTTTCTTTCTCTGTCTAGGGAGGTTGCTCTGTGCTTACCTTGCTGACTTTTTTCATTTTTCTCTTTTAGCCTCACGTTTCCTTCCATGAAATGACTTTTTTCTTCCTCTCCTTCATTTCCACCTATCTCACTTCCCCACCTTGTTTTCTACTTGGCCCTCATCTGAAGTCCCACCGTTTTTGGAAAAGTCTTCTGTCTTAGTCAGCCTCGGCTGCCATAACAAAAAAAAAAAAACATATAGACTGGGTGGTTTAAGTAACAACACTTTTTTTTTTTTCTTACAAGTCCAAGATCAAGGTGCCAGGAGATTCTGGGTCTAGTGAGAAGCCTCTTCTTGCTTTTGCAGATGGCCACCTTCTTGCTGTGTTCTCTTATGGCAGAGAGAGGAAACGCTGGTGTCTGTTCCTCTCCTTATAAGGACGTTAATCTCATTATGGGGGCTTCATCCCAAGGACCTCATCTAAACCTATTTGCCTCCCAGAGGCCCCATCTCCAAGTACCATGGCATTGAAGATTAGGGTTTCAACATATGAATTTCGCTGGGACACAAACATTCAGTTCTCAGCACCCTCCTTCATCTGAACCGGAAGTGGTTCCACCTTTCTCCTTCATTGAGGGTTCAATCAAGTGCCAGTCATGAAGCTCTGTGGTTTTATTTTTCTCTCCTCTGCTTCTCTCTAAACAGGATAAGCTCAGGAATGCCAGCATTTCGCCCTCTTTCTGTTGTGCAGTGCCTAGCACAATGCTTGACACATGTTGGCACTCTGCTTCTTGACTGAGTCAGTGACTGATGCATGACCCATTGTGCTGGTACCTCTGGGCTGTACATATGACACTTTCTGGAGGATAAGACAGGGCTAGCAGTCTAACCTCATGAGAGGAACCAGGTATTGCTCATTTAGCTTGGAATGTTGATAACTATTAAACAGTCATGCTTTCAGGGCTGGAGGGGAACTTCGTGGTTCGTTATTCAACACCTACCTATTTCCAAATAGGAAAGATGAATATAGGAGAGGTTCAGTGACTTGCTGAGATCTCACATGGCAGTGGCCATATGCCTTCCCTGTTAGTTTAACCACATGCCTGCTGTGGGTCTTGGTTACTGGCCTGCAAATACTGACATTTAAGTGCTTCAGGAAAGGCTAAGCATCTGTTGATGCTTCATTAAAGATAACTTTTCCTAGTGAAAGAGTTAACTTGCTTTAATTGAAAGCATGGGTTTTTAAAGTTTCCTGATAGCCCAAGTTTGAGAGAACAAGTAATAAATATAACATATCATTTAGCCAATGGCAGAGGTATCACATTCTGATTCTAGAAAATAAAATAGCCAGACTTCAGCCTCACCCCAGACCAAGGAAATCAGCATCCCTGAGGATGGGCCTAGTGCATCAGTATTTTTTCGAAGCTACCCAGGTGATTGTGCTGTGCTGCAGCTAGCCTTGGGAACCACCCTAGGAGTGGTACTCAATTCAAAACTGTTGGGAATGAGGTAGGCTGCAAACAACACAAAATAAAACAAACAAACATGCATTGTGCTACTGGCTTGGATTTAGAACAAGTTCTCTTCTTGAACAGACATAACCCATCTAGCAGTGCTGTCTGGATGAGAGGAATGTGGCCCAAGTTACGTTGTGCTACTGATAATACTGCAAAGATGTCAGAGCTTTACTTTCTAAATTCTTGTGCCAGCTAGCTTGCACTGTGTAACAAACCATCCCAAAACTTAGTGGCTGAAAACAACAAATGTTTATCATTTCTCTCAATTCCATGGGCCAGGTGGGAATTCTCCTGGTCTGGGCTGTCTCAGCTAATATCAACTGAGGTTGCAAGTTTCTGGGGCTGGATGGACTGATAGGTGGTTGATTCGCTATTGGCTGGGGCGGTTGGGATGAGATGGCTGTGTGTACTGCATCATCTAACAAACTAGCCTGGGTTTGTCCACAGAGAGGAGGGCCCAGGATTCTTAAGCAAAAGAAAGTATAATCATGAGTAGGGACTTTTCAAGCCTCCGCTTGCCTATAGTTTGTTAAATTCTCATTGGCCACAGAAAATCACTTGGCTAATTTCAAATTCAAGGGTGGAGAGATAGCCTTCACCTCTTCATGGGAGGAGCTGAAGGGTCACACTGCGAAGCAGACTGCATACAGGAAATGAAAGATTTTGTGGGCCTTTTTGTAACCACAGTATACCAATGAGCAGAATTCCATATGAAACAGAAGAATTATCTGTGGATGCCACTTTTGTTTTATCATATTGCTTTGTGCTTCAAGTGGACTGGTTAGGTGATCCCAGCCACTAATCCATGTATACAGGCGCCATAGGTGTCAGCTGCAAGAGGAGCATGATGGGATCTCCTGACCTGAGATGATCCACAAACTCGGCATACTGAAGCAGGAATAGGTTATCGAAAGCACAGATCTGGAATTCTAGTCCCAGTTCTATCACTTACTAATTATGCGACATTAGGCCAATTACTCCAACCTATAAGCCTCAGTTTTCTCATCTGTAAAATGGGACTAGTAATGTACCTATATTATAGGGTATTTGTGAGGCTTAAGTGAAATAAAGCATGCAGCACCGTTTTTGGCACAGCATAAGTATTCAGTAAGTGAAGTTGTGAAAATTAGACATCCCCAAGTGTCAGAGAGACAAGGTGGAACTTCCATTTGTTTCTATATAGTCTGACTCAGGGATCCAGCTGGTCATGTGAGCCTATTGTCAGTGAGGGCTGACTGGGGTGTATTGCTGGGATCCCTGGCTCCCCATTCCATCGGGAAACCCAGTGTGCCTGACTTTCTTCCAGGACATTCTGTAGAAACCACTGTCTGTTGTTCTCCGGCCTAAAAATTAGATTTACACCTCATCGTCCTTCATCTATATTCACCTTGTGCGGGTGAGCTGTAAATGAGGCAGTCCTTTGACTGCTCTGTTATTTGCTGTTGCCATAATCAGGAGAGAAGCTGAAGTAATACGGCTGGGTAACTGGTTGTGATTTCAGTAGTGGGCCTGCTGGGTTTGCCCACAGGCCGTGTTACAAAATGCTGGCAGCTGGCAAGCTGCACACTTTGTGGGTCCCTAGGAACCTGAGAAGGCTGGAAAACACATGAATTATACAGTTTGACAACGTGAACATGGAAAGGGCATGTCCTTTGTGACTTTAGTTTTTCATTAAATGAACTGTTCTTGGATTCAGAATCTATATATAAATTTCCTTATGTCTCACTGTTTCCTGTTTGGTATGTTGCTGCCAGTATAGATTAAAAGGAGTGACTACAAGTAGAAGAATGCAAAATAAGCTTCTTTATGCAGGTCTGTTTCTTATATACGTGCCAATTGCAAAAACAGGAGACTGTTATTTTCTTTCATCAATTGTCACTCTAGATGCCTTTTGTCCCCATGTTGACTGGCCTGGGTCACCGGAGTACAGTGTGTCAGCAGGATGTGTCTCAGGACAAATGCTGAACCAGCATCAGCGTCTTTCTAAGGCAACTTTCTTCGAGATAGGAAAATTGTTACATAACATGTTGTTTTATATCTCTTAACCAACAAACATTCCATTAAAAGGAAATGCTTTATGTCTTTCTTAACCAGGTGTTTACTAACCACCTCCTCCCTCCTTCCCATCATTATTCCTGTCTTTCCCACCATCTTGCAGACTAAAAATAGCATTAATCAGTGTTTAAAACTGTTCCTCAGATTTAACGTTTGGCATTGGAGACAACTCCTTAGGTCCAGAAGAGTTTCAATTCTCTGAGCGAGCAAAGATGCAGTATAAAACCAGACCGCTAATTGCAGAGCTGCATTGCCAAAGGCTCTCTCTTTGGAATCCCAAGCAATGGATTTTGGCCAGGTGCACTCCACCTGCTTCTGTCGCCTGTGGGTGGTGCAGAACCCCTGGTATATGGCAGCCCCAAACCATCAGTGCATTGCCCTTGAGCTGTGTGTTGTGGAACTAGATCAAGAACCATCTGTTATGTGCTCTTGATTAGATGGACTTTCTCTAGAAACTGTGCTTAGAGTGTTCAGGAAGATTCTTTACTTTAGCACTGAAGTCAAGATGGAGCATTCTGAAAATTCATAGGCAGCTTTGTGGTTACTTTGTCTTGCGGTTTTTACCTCTTAAATGTTTCATGGATCTTTCTCTTTTTTCCTTTCCTGTATTTTTCTTCATATAACATGAAATACTTTTTTTTTTTTGATACAGGGCTTCATTATCACCCGGGCTGGAGTGCAATCCTCCTACCTCAGCCTCCTGAGTAGCTGGGGTCACAGCGTGTGCCACCATGCGTGGCTAATTTTTTTTTATTTTTAGTAGAGACTGGGTTTTGCTATGTTACCCAGGCTGGTCTCAAACTCCTAGGCTCAGGCAATCCACCTGCCTCAGCCTCCCAAAGTGCTGGGATGAATTACTATTTAAAATTATTTTATTCAATTTTTTTTAACTGTCTCTCACAAGAGAATATAAATTCCATGGAGGAGGGCCTTTGTCTTGTTCACAGCCGTTATCTCCAGAGATTACAGCAGGGCCTGGTGTGTTAGTCTGTTCTCATGCTGCTAATAAAGACATACCAGAGACTGGGAAACTTATAAAGGAAAGAGATTTCATTGACTCACAGTTCAGCATGGCTGGGGAGGTCTCAGGAAACTTACAATCATGGCCGAAGGGGAAGCAAACACATCCTGCTTCACGTGGCAGCAGCAAGGAGAAGAATGAGTGCCCAGTGAAGGGGAAAGCCCCTTATACAACCATCAGAACTTGTGAGAACTCACTCACTATCAATGAGAACAGGGATAGTGGGAAACCGCCCTGATGATTCAATTATCTCCACCTCATCTCTCTCACAAAATGTGAGGATTGTGGGAGCTACAATTCAAGATGAGATTTGGGTGGGGACACTGCCAAACCACATCACCTGGGTTAGGAACTACTATACCCATGGCTGTGATAACTACTATAGCTGTGTCACTTTCATGTAATCACGTGTAGTTTAAGTAGTTGTGGGATGAATGAGTGGATATAGCTATTCCCGCGCCTTTGTTCAGTTTCTCTTTCTTGCCTGCTGTTTTGTCCCATGCTTCCCTTGTTTCCCACCCCAAATCAGTCCTCTACACAGCTGTCCTGGACCATATCATCCCCTTGTCCTCCTCAAGGGATCCCTGTTGCTCTTGGGAATTTGGTGTTGTGGTCCGAAGACAATGAACTGAAGCATAGTATTGTTCTACGCTCATGCTTCTCTTTCTTGCCTCTCTTTCATTCATTCATCCAAGTCAATTTGCTTAAGCATATGTACGCCCAGATACTGAGCATGGTACCCAAGAGTTAGTTTTCCCCTCTTGCCATCCTCCGTCCCTCCCACTCTGGTAGTCCCCAGTGTCTGTTGTTGCCGTCTTTATGTCTAGCACATAATGGGGATAGCGGTATACCAGACAAAGCCCTTTCCCTCATGAAACTTACAGTGGAATTGGGAAACAGATACCAAATGAGGAAACAACTACATAAATAATGTAGTGACATTTGCTGTGATGAAAAATAAAGCAGAGCAGGGGGCAGAGAGTGCAGGAGTGGAGGGTGGTGTGAATGATGTGCTTTCTCCTTTGCCAGAAGCACCTTTTCCCTTCCCTTCTGCCTGAGTCGCCCCCAGTTATCCTTTAAGAAGAAGGCTGAAAGCCCTCCTTGACTGCGGGACTACAGTGAGTGAGGGCCTTCGCTGGTATCTCCCCATATCTGGTGAGTGAGCCCGTCAGGCACACTGGGCTTTACACTTACTTCATTTCTGAAACCCCATCTCAGCTGTGAGCTCCTGAAGGCCTGGGCAGTTTCTCATTCATTTTTTTTCCTCTTATGCCTAGCAGGGTCTGGCATACAGCAGGTGTCTAATAACAGTAAAATTATGCAATGCTCACATCAGTGCTTCGGCTAGTATTTTCTTTAGGGGAACCAAAAGATAGCAGGAATTCGATCACATTTTTTTAAAGGTTGGGATGTTCTTTTCAAGGCTGTTTTGTTGAATAGCTTTCTTTTTCTTTTCAAATTAAAACAATTAATTTTATCTTCTTTTGATTTTTATTTTTAATATTTATTTTATTTATTCCAGTTTTATTTTAGACTCAGGGGGTACATGTGCAGGTTTGTTGCCTGGGTATATTGTGTGATACTGAGGTTTAGGGTACAATGGATTCTGAACATAGTACCCAATAGTTAGTTTAGCCTCCTCCTTCCCTCCTCCTTCCCCACAAGCTCTAGGAGTCCCCATTGTCTGTTGTTGCCATCTTTATGTCCATGTGTACCCAATGCTCAGCTCCCACTTATAAGTGAGAACATGTGGTATTTGGCTTTCTCAATAAATTTTTTTTCTAATATCTAAAGTATATATGCTTATAGAACATTTGGAAAACACTACAAATTATGAGAAAAAAGTGGGAAAACCCATAATTTGATCCCTGTTGACTTTAGGCAGTGGAAACATACTTGCTCATAGCCTTCAGATCTATCTAATTTTTATAATTTTCTTATTATCATACAGAATTTTTCACATAGTAAAATACTGTGAATATTTTCCTGTGTTTATGAAGATTCTGGAAATGAATTTATTATTAAGCCTAGCATTCCTTATTATAATATTCCTTAGAACCTAACACATGGGAATTCTTTGAAGATGGGGCTGAAGTTAAATTCCTCCAGAGGAGATTTTTGTTTGTCAAGGCCAGCCCTTGCAGGTACCATCAATGAGGGGACTATGAATTCATCAGCTCAGAACTGCTTTATTATTTATGAATGTATGTATTTATTATTTTTAAAGACAGGGTCTCTCTCTGCCACCCAGGCTGGAGTATAGTGGCATGATCATAGCTTACTGTAGCCTCAAACTCCTGGGCTCAAGCAATCCTCCTACCCACAGCTGGGACTACAGGTGTAAGCCTCCATGCTTGGCTAATTTTTTTTTTTTTTTTTAAATTGTGTTAGAGACAGGTTCTCACTATGCTACCCAGGCTGGTCTTGAATACCTGGCCTCAAGTGATTGTTCACTGGTCTCCCAAAGAACTGCATTAAATGAAATTCTCCACTTGAGATTCTAACTCTTGCCCTGACATGGGACTGTGGACCTCAAATGCCATGGCCAAGTTGTGCTCACCACTTCAAGGAAAGGGTTTCTTTCCACTTCCCCCAATAGCCAGGTCAAAACAGGCAACTTTTCTTTATGCTCTCCTTCTGGGGACAGGTATAATTCTAATTCACCATTTACAGGTACCTTAATTCACATTGAAAGTGTAACCCCTTGGGGTCTTAACCTTATGCAGGTTAAGGTTGGGGAGAAGAGGGTGTGCATCTCCTGGTAGACTTCTCACTCTGGCTTAGCCGTATCTAAACTTTATATCTGATTGGTCCCACCAGTGCAGCTGTCAAAACAGTGGAAGATGCCCTCTGGGCTAAAGCCTCCCACACCATTTTATTGGCCTTGTGGAATTCCTGACTTTCTGCTAGCTCAGCAATGCATTGAAAACAAGCTTATATTTTGTCTGGAAATTTTGAGTTGGAGAGTTGTTCTGGGTTTCTAGCCCACTCATAATTTAAGAAGTGGAAATGCCAGTAATATATTTAACTAACTATTTTTGGATATTTAGTTTGCCATTACTGTTTTGCTATTATAAGTAAAGTATTTATAATGAACATTCTTGTAGTCTTATCTTTGGGCATATCTTTGATTTTTTTTAAAGCATATTTATAGAAGTAGGATTGCTGGGTCAATAAGTATAGACATTTTAAGGGATTTTGATAAATGCTGCCAAAGTGTACTCCAGAAAGGCTAAATCACATTGTGACTTCACAAAAACGCTCATTTACTGATTTTAGCCTTCTATAGAACATGATTGTGAATTCTTCTGAGACATACACATGGAGCAGACAGGAAGGCCCAGGATGCATTTGGAGTTACTTGAGCTTCAGATTTACCTGGTTATCTGCTGAATTTGGGAAGCCACCAGAAATCATAATGTGCACAAATCCAAGATTCTTCATGGGCTTCAAAGGGAAAGAGGCTTGGGTAGGCTTGATGAAAATGCCCAGAATGTGGCTCTGTGCATCTTCCTGGTGTCAGGAAGCTAGTCCCAGCCAGGCAGGGGAATTGGAGGAGTGTGGACAATGGAATGTGATGTGGCAGAAACGATGCAGCTGGGGCTGCGGGTCACTAAGGCCCCCAGCACCTTATGAGGAGTGCTCTTTTGGAGGCAGAGTCTAGTGATGCTTAAAGAGCCCCAGCTCTTTGGTTGTAAATTCTCTAATAAGCTCAATACTCCTAACAACTCTGGTGAAACCAGGAAATGATCTGTCTTTTTTATCTGTAGCCAAAACCAAACTCTTTTTTAGCCTGCAGGGTTGGAGGATGAGACTCCAAGCATGTGATTCCAGCCCTGCCCAGAGGGCTTTGCTGTGAAAACCACCAGGCTCCAATGTGTATCAATTTGAGTTTTGGAGTTTTATTTTACAGAAATCAAATTTTGGCAATACTCAAGGCCCCATGAAGTGTAATGAAAGCTCAGGAGGACAATATTTAATCTGAATAAATATCTGTTGTCCTTCCTTGGGTGCAGGCTTGTTTTGCAATTAGGACTTTAGAATTTTAACTCAGTGTAATGTATATTTAAATGCACACTGCTTGATGTGCTTTAAAATGGCACGTGTGATCCCTCAGTAACCTATTTCCAGACATCGTTTTTTATTCCGTGACTATGTATATTTGCATGTGTGTTTTAAAACTACAAAATGGTTGTCTGCAGCCCCCTTGGGTTCAGGATGGGTACACTGGAACAGTGATGATCCCCAGGGCCAGAGATGGTCTGGGACTCTATCAGCCAGAGCTCGGCAGGCAGGAAGCAGAGTTCAGCACAGATGGTTCAAGAGGCTTTACTGCATGGAGTGTTTGTGGAAGTGTGGGAAGTGTTAAGGGAATCCACAGTGGAGTTGAGGCCCCCAAAGACCAGTAACAATAGCATGAAGCTATAACCACTGCAAGGCCGGAAGAGGCAAGGAGAGAAAATGGTACAACTGGTCCCAGTGAGATCAGAAGTCATAAAGGAGAGGTCTCCAGACAGGTATGAATTGACCTAGGGACTGCCAGAAATAGTTCAAAGCAGGATGGAGCAGGGCCTGACCTTTCCTCTCCTGCTGGTGCCTCTCCCACTGGCTTACAGGAAGTTAAGATCAAGGGAACCTGGGTAATGCAGTCCATTGGGTCCGTTCCCCTGGGCACAGGGAACAGCAGAGATTGGATTTGGGGCTGGCAGAAGGTTGCATCTTTGTCTCTGGGAGGTCTCAATGCACATGTATTTCACAGATAGTTTTATTTAATTAGTTGTCACTTGCATCATGAAAGAGCGATAGAGAAAGAGAAGAGGAGGAGATGAGAAAACTTTAGCTTCTACTTGGCAGAACAGGGTCAAGGTCATGAACCTTCTCCAAAGCTCTTCCCTTCCCTTATTTGAGCCTGGCTGATATTGAATTATTTACATAGGGAAATTAATGGTGCTGATGTGTGCATCCCAGTAACCTGACATACACCTGGCAGGGATTATAATGTAGAGATTGTGTTTGGGCACAAGTGGTCTTCAGGACCCTGATTGGAGATGCAGGTCAGTAAACAGAGGAGGAAAGGAGGCTCACAGAGCCTTGGTGACTTATTCCAGGTGATAGAGCTTGCACTTGGTAAAATCAAGACATCTAATTATTAGTTCATGTTGCTTACTTCTGGGTGTTGTATAAATTGGGTATTAAATTAAAATAATTACTCCTATGGAATATGCATAGGGATTTGCCCATATCTGGCAAATGAGAGCAGTTCTGGTGCTCATCCAAATGATCTGTGCAGACCTCCTGCATCAGAAGCCTGCCAGCTGGTCCTTATGCCAGCCAGGCCAAGGAGCTCTGTTTCTGAAGTGCAGGGGGTCCTGGGGTCTGGATCTCTATGGTGTGGCCCAGAGTTCCCTCCAAGTCCATTTGGTACAGATTAGTCTTGCAGGATACTCATTTTTGACAAAAGGGTTCTCTTGTCAGAAAAGAAAAATTGGAGAACACTGCATTCTGCATCTTCCTCTTGGAGATTCAAAATGTACTTGGCATATTAAGTCTGTATGAAGTTTTCTGGTTTCCTGGATAATTTTCTTTGAGAGTGAATTATTTAAATGTACACTTTTTATCTTTTGTTTTTCCAACTAGTTATGTAATCCTTTAGTTTGGCCTTCAACACTGAGGACAGTGTATGTCCACTCCATATTCTAAATTACAAAGGAATTTAGGAATTTAAAAGGAAGTGCATTTCAGTTGCTCTTGCACCCATGTTAATTCCTGAGTGTCATGCAGACATTTCTTTACTTTTCCAATTTTCTAACAGTTTGTTGCTTAACATTTCATAGGCAGCCTACCTGGGATGTGCAGCCACGGATGTTTCTCTCCCTCATTCTTTCTGTTTCTCTTTTCCTCTCTCCTCTTTCCTTAGCATCCCTTTGGCTCTCCACTCACATCCCTGGGTCCATGGGCCGTGGGGGAAGGTATTTGCACTATTTAGGTCCTGGGCATTCTTGGAGGATGTGTAGCCCTTCAGACTCTTTAGACAGACACTTATACAAAATGAAAGTTTCTTCTCTAATACTGGCCACTTTTCGCAGCATAATTTAAATATACTGTATGCTAACAAAGTCTGGGGACTCCTAATAGGAGGTGAGGAGGGAAAGGAAAAAAGAAAGAAGGCAATAAATGATGGGGAGAGAAAACCTGCATTTACTTCAACTGTAAATGTGAAAGAAGCATTGACTATTCTTCCTATTTGCAGATGATCAGAACAGGGCAGACATGGTGCCTTGTTCACAGCCACTTGCTGAGGAGGGATTTGGTTGCTGATTGTTCCTTAGGTTTTGGAGGAAGAAGTGAAGATTGGTTCATTGTTAATGATGCTATGGCACACAAGATAGAGTTAAAGCCTATTTCTTATTTTATGTAAAAAGTCATCGTAGGAAATCTGACATAGATTTGCCTGATGTTAAAATCCCCTGCTTGTAATCTGAGTTGCTTGAAACAGTGGTGCTGAAATCCAAAACCAGGTGCAGCTCATCTGGTTTCAGTTGTTGTTTCCACATGAAAGGGCAGGATCATCCACAGGGGTTTTGAGCAAGCCACTGATGGTTTATCATTTTGGGTCATGGTCAGGAATAGCTTCATGGATGTTACTGTTTCATTTATGTGAAGTTTTTGAGTGTCACTGAGCCAGATATTCAAATTTAATTCACATTTTTACGACAAAAATGTGAAAAATGTGACTAATCAGAATGATTCCACTTCCTGTGGAGATTTGCGGAATCATCTTTTTATACAAATCTAATTGTGATGGCTTCATTAAAATGCAAATTAAACTACAAACAACCGAAACCCAGCCAACCATCCAAAACACTTAAGCATTTGGAAATATTTCCGTCCTCTGCTTAAATAGACATTGGAGACATAGAAAGGTGAGTGGTGGGAGAGGGAGGAGGGATGATAAATTACCTAATGGGTACAATACACACTATCCAGGTGATGGTTACACTGGAAGCCCAGACATCACCACTACGCAGTATATCCATGTAACAAAATGACACTTATATACCCAAAATCTATAAAAATAATTTTAAAAAAGAATGAGGGAAATGCGAAACAGAGATCATGCATGTATTTTAATAACCAGCATTTGTGGTGTATCGTGTGATCATTACAGCTTCAATTTGATTATCTGATCTTTGTCTGCATCAACATCAAATGCCCAGAATAATGACGTTGGTTCCTCCATTTACCTGTAGGGCTTGACATTGAGTTTGTAATTTAGAACAGGCTTTCCAAACTTTAGTGCACAGATGAATTGCATGGGAATCTTGTTAAATTGTGGATTGTACTGTGCAATAGGGCCTGAGATACTGCATTTCTAGCAAGCTCCCTGGTGAGGCTGATGCTGGTGTGAGGACCCACTTTAAGTGGCAAGGATTTAGGGGAGGAAATGTAAGGGAATGAAAGGATTTCATCCAATAAAGAATCAGCATACTTATTGCTTCATACATTCATCAAGATGACTAACTTATTCTTGGAAGCTATGCTATAACAAGAGTTGGAAGTGTTTACTCCTTTCGGATAACCAGGATGTTGTATTGATCAGACAACAACATTCTTTCAATGTTCTCACTAATAAAATATTAAGTGTTGTAAATTATGGCTTTAACAGATACACAGGAGTGGAATAACAAAACCTAAAGTTTTAGAAAGCAAACATATCTCGATCATTTTAAATAGAAGGCAGAGAAATACTTCCATATTATTTCATATAATAAGATGTAGAACCAGTATATCTGGTGAATCTAAAGTAATTATCTTGTGAGAATGCAGTCCATAGAGAGAGGTTTTGTCTTAGTAACATGGTTGGTCATTTTTCTGAAAACAGTCCAGCTTTTTTCTACACCGATTTTTCTAATACCTTACAGCCCCTGTGCTTTACACCAAGACCATATGTGGGATTTGATTTCCCTGTGGACATGAAATAAGGCTCATAGGAAGTTAGTTGTTTGTGGTTGTTTAGTTTTACTATGCTTAGTCTTTTCTAGGTATTAGGGTCAAAGGTTTTGAATGAAACTACCTTTTTAGCAGGGCAGAAATAACTCATCACATTTTCAGTTTTGTATTCTGAAGGTTGGGCTTCTTGTCTCTGAAGAGCTTTGGAGTGGGATGTAGCATCCTTTCTTTATTCTCCTTTTTCCCAAAAATTGTTTTGACTATTCTGCATCTTCTTCCTTTTCAGGTGATTTTGAGAATTAGCTTGTTAATTTCTTCAAAAGAGCCAGATCTTATGTACCTTGTCTCTTATGTACCTATGAAATTGGTTGTGATTGCCTTGCATTCTCAATGGAGGAAAATCAACATCTTACCAATAATGATGAAGCTATGTTGTGTAAACTTTTGTGATAAGTCTTGCAGTCATTAAAAGGGGAAAACAACTTCTGCCCTTTTGATACAGCAGCTAGAAATAAATTATTTAGGCAGATAGTGAGGGTAAAGGAGTCCTCAGCAAGGCTTCCCTTTTAACAAAAAACAAAGCCCCTAAATCATTGCTTTTCTAAAAACAATCAGCCTGAAAAATTGAGCTGCCAACATAGATAAGCAAGCTGGAAGCTTGCACAGGTGAATGCCGGCAGCTGTGCCAATAGAAAAGGGCTACCTGAGAACCAGGCATGTTCAACATGGAGGATCCATCTTCTGTTTCTTTGTTACCACAGTGAAAAAGCAGACAACATGGCACTGGCCACGTAGACAACTCAACTGCGTAATAAAAGATTAGGGTGAGGCAGCCAGCTTGTTTGTGCACTATGCAAACGGCACACCTAGTCCTAACCAGTTCTTCACGTGTGCAAGTGGCACACCTTGTCCAACCAATCTTTTGTGCCCTATGTAAATCAGACACTGCCTTCTCAAGCTCATCTATAAAATCTGCATTTCACTATGGACCAGAAGACCTGCTCGGGACCCCCTCTCTCTGCAGCAGAGAGCTTTTCTCTTTCTTTCGCCTATTAAACCTCCTCTCTTAACCTCACTCCTTGTGTGTTCATAACCTTGATTTCCTTGGCATGGGACAATGAACCTTGGATATTACCCCAGATGAATGATGCCACTTCATTTTAGATACCTCCAGTCAAAGGACATATAAAAGGAAAATTAATCTTGGGACCCCAAAATCACTAAGCCAAGGGAAGAGTCAAGTTGGGAACTGTGTCAGGCAAACTTGCTTCCATTTTATTCCTAAATAACATAGCTGTTTAATACAAAGATAAAAAGGCTGCATACCTCCCTCAAAATTTGCCCACAAGGGGCCGGGTGCAGTGGCTCAAGCCTGTAATCCCAGCACTTTGGGAGGCTGAGGCAGGCAGATCACGAGGTCAGGAGATCGAGACCATCCTGGCTAACATGGTGAAACCCCATCTCTACTAAAAATACAAAAAAATTAGCCGGGTGTGGTGGTGGGCACCTGTAGTCCCAGCTAAACGGGAGGCTGAGGCAGGAGAATGGCGTGAACCCAGGAGGTGGAGCTTGCCGTGAGCGGAGATCGCACCACTGCACTCCAGCCTGGGCGACAGAGCGAGACTCTGTCACAAAAAAAAAAAAAAAAAAATTTGCCCACAAGGAAATTCCTAGTAGGCAAAGGACAGACAGAACTCAAAGTCATCACCCTGAGGCTCACATGAGACAAATGCGTATATCTGGTTGCTTCCACTGCCCTATTGTTTCACTAAGCCAGTGAAGGCGTAAGTGACTATTTCTGTAAGTTGTATATTCAGTGGAAGTCTAATCAGAAACTCAAAAGAATGCAACTGTTTGTCTCTTCTCTACCTATGATCTAGAAGCCCTCTTCTCCACCTCAAGTTGTTCTGCCTTTCCAGAGGAACCAATGTACATATTACACATATTGATTGATGTCTCATGTTTCCCTAAAATGTATAGAACCAAGCTGTGCCCCAACCACCTTGGGCACATGTCATTAGGACCTCCTAAGCCTGTGTCATAGCTTGTCCTTAACCTTGGCAAAATAAACTTTCTAAGTTGACTGAGACTTGTCTCAGATATTTTGGGTTCACAGCTGAACACATCCTACTAAACACTTTTTAATAATTATCCTTTGTCAACTGCAGGGCTTATGTTCCTGAAAAGTGTGTGATTGGCAGACCCCATTGTTGTGGGATTAGTATACTCAGGCTTGCTTAGCATGCAAGTTGTTTTTGGTCTGGTGAATTGTACCAGTTTGTTTCTGCACCGTTTCTACACCGTAACGCACAGTGATGCTTTTTTAGGAGTGTGTTGGATTGTTTTAATTCATTACTTCTCATAGTTTAAGTGTACAAAGGTAGTGGAAGATTTTGAGCTAAGAATTTTGAGACCCAAATTCTATTTCTAGATTCTCTGTGGGGAGGGTTATGGGAAACCAGCAAGGGATTTAGGGGCAGTGGAGGCTGCTGGGGACATTTTTCCCCAGGCCTAAAAGCAAGGGGAGGGAGCTTTTATCAAAGCATATGGAGAGGAGATGCAATTATTGGGGCCACCTGAAAGGCAAGGGGATGAGATGGCTGCTGGTGGTGGCTGGCTGGGAGATAGCCAGGGGAACCAGAACCCCAGGCTCTCCCTCCTCCCACCTTTGCCCGCCCTTGCATCTCTTGCTGATGCTTACCATTGGTTGAGACTAGAGGGAAGCCAGAGGGTCTGGGCAGGATGCGGTTCTTAGGGATTAGCTTCCTGGAGCACCCAGCAGTGTGGAGAAGGGTGGAGAATGGATCTGGAGGGGCAACTGGAGAGAATGCAGCATAGAAGTGTCTGCCAGTATTTACAGATGGTGTAAATAGCTAGCGAAATGCAATTCCAGTATCACGTTTTACTTATCTGTATGCAAGGCTGGTAGGTGTGTTACCCAGGGTCACCAGAATAGAATTCTATCCTTCCCACCCATCTATCATGCAGTCATTCTTATATCCCAAACACTGCATCGTAAAACATACCCCTCCGGATACCCAAATAGCAAACAAGAGAATGTGATGATATTGCCCAAAGCACATACTGGTAACACAATATTTCTTTGAAGTCCCAATTTTATTTAAAAAATTCCTGCAGGTTTTGTATCCAACTTTTTATTATAAAATATCCATGTTAATCATATGAACATGGAAATTTCAGTTTGAGAAGCTCAGATTAAATCTGAAACATAGGTCTCCTACAAAATAGTGTTTAATTTTTTTTTTAGAAATTCACTTCATGCAGATCAGACTTTAAAACAGCTGTGTAAAGTGGAAAATCAAAGCACAGATCAAAGTATAGAAATGTATACAAAAATAATTAGTGCTTCACAAATTCATTCATTTGTCTGTTTATTCATTTGTGTTGATTGCCTGTTCTGCTGGTGAGAAGTATTTTCAGCTTTTGGTACTTCCAGAGCTGGAAGCTGTGTGCTCTGACATAGGCAGCCTCAGATAGCCAGAAGGGGCAGCATCTCTCTGCTACCTTCCGTTACCCTCTGTCCAGGTTCTCAAGGAAGGTTATGAAGGCACTCAGAGTTCCTTCTTGAGCAATCTTTAGAAAACGACCACGTGGACAAACTGAACTGAAAATACTGTGTCCAGCCTTCAACTAGGAGTCATTACCAGAGGAAGTAGGGTTTGGTTTTTTGGTCTATTAGCAATCATCCCCCCCTGTATTTTTTAACTTCCATTCAAACCTGCAATGTATGTATAATTTGTTTTGTATCAGGTTATTTTTATTTTTGGATCAATAAACATTAAATATAGAAACCATCGGTGAAATTGCCTTTGTGATCACGCACATCCTGCTGGATCTGTTTGAAATCCTTGGTAATTATGTCCTGGCAGTTGGGGCATATTGCATGCCTTTTGGGGGACCACTTAAGAACCTGTGGAATTTTGGTGGTACCTCACTCTGAGATTGTGCAGAACATCTACCAATCTGAGATTATGCAGAATGTTTTTTCAAAAGTTACGTAAGTACCGTGTAGCCTATCTCTTTTTCTTCATTTATGATGTGTTTGTGAGGCAAATTACCAAAAGGCATCATTTAATAAAAACAGGAAGAAAGTTTGCTCAAAGAGGATGGGTGGCCCTCCTGATGTCACTCAGTGGCCCCAGGTAGGACTGCAGTGGAAATTTTGGTGTGAGAATTCTGGTCACACTATTCTTTCCACCAAAACCAAACCAAATCACAACAGCCCCGCCTCTGCCACAAACAAACTGAACTTTCAAATAGCTTTAAGTCTTGAAAATAAACCTTAAGGGGGAAAAAGCAAGCTGTTCTTGGTGTAAAGCCGGATCCACCCTTATTCCCCAAGCCCAGATTTTCCTGTACAGGAAGACAGGTATTAGCAGATCTGATGGAGGGATTTGGTCAGGTTTGAATGGGGTCACATGGAAGGATTCCATTTCCTGCTGCTACAAAAGTCTGCTCAAATGTGAGAAACCACCAGTAAAGATGATTTCTAGGAATGTAGACCACCACTCTAGGCTTTCTTGGTTGCATTGGCAACATTGCTGGCACATGTATGGTTCTTGAAATTATAGAATTGCTCAAGAGACACTTACCGAGCTGCAGAAAGAGAGTTGCCAGAAAATAATTCTCTAAGCACAGATGTTTCCATAGACTCTACAGTATCCCTTTAGCTCTAAAAGATCCATCTGTATCATAGAAAGTCGAAGATGTGAGCTTGGCCAAACACGTAAGAATCTCTTAAGAATCTCTTCCATTGGATCAACTGGAAGATCTAAGTTCCCTGTCAGACCTTTGATATTGCAACTTAAAGTGAAGATATGAAGTCAAGGAGAAAAGAAAGAATAAACCCTCATTAAACACTTTTCAGATCAAGCTAGGAGCTTTTGCTTGTGTTCTCACTTAGTCTTCCTAGAGTTGGTATCCTCCCATTTCTAAAGATGAAGAAACTGAGGCTCAACCAAGTTAATCATTTTGCAAAGTTTATCCAGCTCTCAAAAGTGATCAAGTGAGGCCCAGTTTTGTTTGATATTAGCACTTATTTTCTTTCCACTTGTACCCATGAAGTCTCTTAAAATTCAGTGGTTCTTCACCTTACAGAAACCAGGAGACCCTTCCTCCCATCCTGATAAAAGGCACAGCCGTATTATATTAGCCACAATTCCAGGCAATTCCTGGACATCTTGGGATCTGTTCATGGACCCCAGATATAGAACCCAGTATCTAGAGAAAGGCCATGGTCATTTGTGTTTTCCTGCTGCTCCTATGGGACACCTTGGTGGCCTGATCCATAATATTCTTACAAGGAGGGGATGTCCTCTTTGGCCTTTTGCTCATCAGAGGCTAATTAGGTTCCTCTAAGTGATGACAGAGTAGGGAGAACATACATTTTGTATAACTTGCTTCCTCTCCTAGGGTATTTGAATTAATACAATAACCTATTTTGGGAGGGAGATGATGTCATATAGTTTCCATTTAACAAAAGTATGGATCAAGCAGTTATTACATTTGAGTTCCTGACAATATGATATGGTTAGTCAGAGTAGAATCTAAAATAGAGGAAAATGACTTAATTGTCAAGGGGAAAGTAGAGGAGTGTGGTCACCAGGCTGTGTTTCTTTCTCTGCTCCTGTTTTTAGGGCATTATAGTATAGTGGTTAGAATCTTACCAGTTTCCTCATTAATTAATGAGTAAAAAATTAATCATTGATTGATACATCATGTTCACATTGTACTTTATGGGTATTGCGATTTCTTCCTTTTTTTCTTTAACAGTATTCTTTGAGACTCTGTAGATGGATATATAGTCTTTGGTATTTTTCAAACAGAATCGCCTGGATTTTTTTGAATAGAGATTCCTGAGATTATTTCCCATGGAACACATTTTGGGAAACACTATTCCAGAAAGATCATGGTAAATCAGAAGGGTAGCTGAAAACCAAATCCTAGCCTTACATAAACTTGGTTACATACCAGCTGTATGACGGAGATCAATTACTTCACCTCTCTAATTTTCAGTGTTCTCATCAGTAAGATGAACACAATCATAGTAACCTAACTCACAAGATTATCAGGAGGATTAAATACATTTTTAGATATAGGACACTTAGATCTGTGCTTGATATATTGTAAATTTCCATAGGTCATAGCTAATAAATTAGAGAATTATAGATTTAGTAAAGTGGGCATTTTTTATAAGAGGAAAAAAAGCAAGAACATATTCTATCTATCTGCTTCATCTGTTTCATACCCATCATCACAAGCAGCCCCTTCTTGCCTTAGGGAACTTACAGCTCCCATTTGAAATCCTGGGTAGAGTTTTGTGGAATTTCTGTTCTACCTGAGTCAACATCTTCTTTAATATTTGTACAGCAGGTCAGCGTTTTTTTATTTTTTATTTTTTTGAGATAGGGTCTTGATCTCTCACCCAGGCTGAAGTGCAGCGATGCAATCATAGCTCACTGTAGCCTCAACCTCCTGGGCTCAAGCAATCCTCCTGCCTCAGCCTCCCAAGTAGCTGAGACCACAAGCACATGCCACCATGCCTGGCTATTTTTTTTTTTTTGTGGGACAGGGTCTTGCTCTGTCACCTGGGCTGGAGTGCAGTGGCACGATCTCGGCTCACTGCAACCTCTGCCTCCTGGGTTCAAGTGATTCTTCTGCCTCAGCCTCCCAAGTAGCTGGGACTATAGGCGTGCACCAACATGTCTGGCTAATTTTTGTATTTTTAGTAGAGACAGGGTTTCACCATATTGGCCAAGCTGGTCTCAAACTCCTGACCTTGTGATCCGCCTGCCTCAGCCTCCCAAAGTGCTGGGATTACAGGTGTGAGCTACTGCACCCGGACAATTTTTCTTTTTTAATTTTTGTAGAGATGAGGTCTCGCCATGTTGCTCAGGCTGGTCTCCAACTCCTGGGCTCAGGCAATTCTCCTGGCATCGCCTCCCAAAGTGTTGGGATTATAGGAGGTCAGTTTTTACATTGCTAACTCATCTTTTATTGGTCTAATGGATGACTGACATGAAAACTGCCTGAAGAATCTGTATAAAGCAATCAGGAACAGACCCGTTCTGTGGCGAATTTCCCAAATGTAGAACCCTCTCTGGCTTTTGTGGTCACGTATGTTTACAGCAGCTCTGATGCAGGATAGATTACTACCAGTGTGGCAGATGTAAGCTTGCTCTCAAACATCTGGCTGGTAGTATATGGAGGATCCCTTTGCCTAGCTAAGGAACATGAGGACTAATTTACATGATCTAAAGAGGTTGGAGATTCATTGCATTATTCTGTGCAATAATGACATGAGACAGTGCTCTGTTTGTGAATGGGGCCACTGGAGAAGGAAAATCTGGTGTTTATCCGAGTCTCATGGGATGACTCACAGGCTTTAGCAGACTTCCACTGGATTTTGGTATAATTATTATACTCTGGGTTGGATACTGAGGATATCAGGTTCATGAAAAAGTAATTCTGGGACAAGGTGACTCAATCTGGAGGGAGAGCCAGCAGGCAGCAACTCCTGGAGAAGAGGACCATCTTGGATGCTAGGACTCAAATCTTTGCCAGATCAATATTCCTCAAGCTATTTTTCCCCACCAATATTTTTTTTTCTCTTGAAGTCAGAGGACTAAATGTCCTGAAATTGAAAGGGTTAGGAAGGAGAGAAGAGAGCAGCATTCTGCAACATGATACCTTTTCAGGTAGATGTGTGATTGGAAAGCAGCCTTGGCAGGTGCTTACTGCACTGCCTTTTAGGGCCCTTCTCACTTACCTCTGTTCCCATCTAGGGACTAAATTTTCTTTTTTCCCTAGTTTTCTAATTCGCAGTTGCCTCTGTCCTTTCTCCCTAGTTTTCTAATTCCCAGTTGCCTCTGTCCCACTTAGGATAAACCTACTCATGTATGAGACATGTAATTACTGTATGTCATTCTCAACCTTTTAAAGTCTGAAGGCCATTCAAATGGGACAGAGGCTGTGAATATTCTCTCTTATCTATTCTTGTTTACTTTCCCAGAAGTGTTTCCCAGAATTGGCAGGAAGGCTCATGCCAGCCTCAGAGGCTTTGATGACGTGATGGCTAATGCACTGTTAAAATCTACTAAGGTAAGAAGTAGATGTCATAGTGGTATAGAAATAAATCCCCCAGAGGGGAAGCTGGAGGACAATGTGAGGACCTTAAAGGCCCATGAACCACACCGAAGGATGCATTTCTAGTGTTTCATCTTAGTCCTCTCACATTAGGGCAAATTAAATCCACTTCCTTAAGTCCTGACACACACTCGGAAAGAGGTCAAAGGACTAGTACCCTGAAGTTTGGGAAACAGTGTAGGACGTGCCCAGCAGGAAGCTTTAGGACAAGCAGCTACCCTGCACTTACCTCCCCTGATGGCCTCTCCAGTCATAAGTTATGGGACTTTGTAGTGTTAGGGTGAGCACAGGATAAGAACTCTTGATGGATAGGTGGGTATATGGACTGATGAATGAATGAATCATCTGGACATGGGCACAAGTAGAAGACCACCCCTCCATGTCCTGTTCAGAAGAGGCCATGGCCTTCTGATTTAGTTTACTCCTGATTAACTACATGGAGAATGTACACATTATTTTATGTGCTCTTCTTTTTTTTTTTTTTTTTTTTTTTTTAAGAACAGAAAGTGTGAAGAGAAAGGTGTCTCCTTGTTAAAGAAGACTAATTAAATTGTGTGATTTTATTCTTGACTTTTAGAGTCTGGCTCAAGGAAGCGTGAGTCACCCAGAGTTGAAAATTTGTCTAGTTGGAGCCCTCATCAAATGGATGAATGCCACTAAGGCATCTTGGTGGCCAACCCTGCCATCATTCTTGTCTCAGTAACAAGCCATGCCTGGCCTTCACCTTGAACTGCTTTGTGGCCTGCAGCCTTTCCTCTCGTCAACTGCCCCATTTCTGATTGTAGGACTAGCTTTTTTTTTTTTTTTTTTTTTTTTTTTTGCTTGGGGTCACACCTTCTCATAGCTTGACTTTTCTTTGATCTTTTCCCCTGATTAACAGAAGTTATTTCTGTGTGGAATGGAAGATTGTGAACTTTATCTTTGACTTTAAATGCCAACCACTTTTTTGAAAGCTGCCAACACAATATTCCACTCCTAACTTAAAATGGTAAGAGAAGGCAATTAAGATGAAATATTCCAAGTTACCATATTCCTGCTTTTCCTTCCTATTTACTTTTTTACTTGCCTATGTCATGATGTCTTTTAGGACTAGATCACAACTTCTGAGCTTGGGGTGAGGGTTGGAGGAGGAGCACACATCCCTAACAGAATATGTCAGAATCTCACTGAAAGGAAGTGGAATTTGAAAAGCTTAGTCAACATAGTGTATTATTTTGCATTTGAAAAACAGCAGCACTAAAAGTAACAACAAAAATCTTACTGTTTCAAAATACTAACGTGTCAATGTAGATGAAATTGTCTTTGAAGAAAAAGATTCAAGTCTTAAACCAAAATGCACGAGGCACTGAACTTTCTTCCTTTTGCCTGTAGGTGGAAGATGTGTCATGTTGATGTCAAAATCTGCATATCAAATACATAAATACATAGTAATCCTCCTGTAATATCAATAGTGCCACACTGTTCAGGTTTAATTGGTGTTTTCAACACTGCCAAAGGAGTGGTTAATGAAAGAGGTCATTTAAATTATCAGCTCACTGTCAAATACTCGTGACATAGAGCAAGGCAAAAGATGTTTTTAGTCATCTCAGTTCTAGGTTTCACTGTCTTTGGTGTCTTAAGATCTTTTCTATATAGCAGATCAGTCTTCCCACCTCCATTGAGGCTGCTGGAGAAAAATCACAAAACTGCTTACATGTAGGCAACTGCACATCATGGTCTTTGCCTCAGTGGGGCCTAGAGTTTCATGTAAAATTCATGTCATGTGTTTCTGGTTCTCATCTTTTCCAGTTCCACATCTGAATCACTCCCCTCTCCTGGGGACCTTTCCCGTGACCTCACCCCAGTGCTGCTCAGCAGATGATCTGGTCATTTACCCCACAGGAGAGATGGATCTGCTGTGTGTGCATTCCTTCCAATTTGGCCTTTACAAAGGCAATCTTCCCTGCCTTCTCAGAAATCCTTCATGTTTCTGAGGAATGGCTGTGCCTCTTCCTGAGTAAGATGGGTCCTTTCTGGTGAATCTGAGTTGCCACCCCCTTTGAAACTTTTCTTACTGTGTGACCCCCTTATAGCTCTTGCCTCCTTTGATCAGTTCCCTCTGGCCTAGAAACAGGGTCAAGTATTGCTCCTTTGATTCTTCATGCCCCCAAGTTCTGGAAAGAGTACCTACTTGCTCTTCTGATTCCTCTCCTCCTATTTGCTCAATCTACTGTGATCTGTTTTCTGACTGCCATTCCACTAATAGCCCTTGGGAAGGATCCCAGGAACCTTCTGGTTCCTAAATCCAGTGGACACTTTCAGGGCTTTTGGTTTTTAACTTGCTTGAGTTCTCTGTAGCAATTGAAACTGTCTCCTTTGGTTTCTATGAATTTGCTCCTGGTTTGACCATACCTCTGGGTCCCCAGTCTCCTGTCAAGGATTCTCTTCCTCTGCCCGTTCTTCAAATAATGATTTTTCTGGACTGTCTTCAGCTCACTTCTTTCTGAACCTCATATTTTCTCTGGGCTTTCTTATACACTCTAGTAGCTTTACTACCACCATACTCTGGTGATTTCCAAAGTATAAGTGTAGCTCAGAGCATCTCTCAGAACCTTGGCCATATCATGCTATTTACCATATCTCTACCTGGATGCCACAGAGCTGTCTCAAACCCTGCATGTCCAAAATGATGTCTAATTTGTTTGAAGGAATCAATGCCTACTCAGTCTCCCCCAAAGAAATCTGAGGTCATCCTTCACTCTGTTCTGTCCTTCATCTTTTTCATCCCATAAGCCATTATGTACTGTGCATTATGTTTCTTAAAGACTGATCTGTTTCCTAGCTCCGGTTCTGTCGTTTATTGCTTGGACTATTAAAAAGCCTCTTAACTGGTCTCATTATTCCTATCTTGCCTTCTTCTAATCTGTCCCTAACATTGTCACCAAGGAGTGCAGACCTCTCCATGTGGCTTCCTCCAGAGAAACACTTCATTGGCTCTCCATGGTCTGTACAAGAAAATCAAAGTTCTGATTCTTACTGCCTAAGCCTTTCTGAAATCTGTCCTCTGCCTATCATGCCACCCTTGTCCACTCCAGTTCCACACCTCCCACCCTGGGCTTGAATACTATTGAAAGATCACAGTCCCTAGAATGCAGCCTGTTATTCCTGCAGCCCCTTAGCCCAGTGTTTGACACACAGTCTTTAGTAAATATGAAGAGGATTTCTTCTTTGCTACTGTTCATTGTGATTTGCATTCTTCACTAGGGAAAATGCCTAATGTAATACATTTATTATGGATTCTCAGAATGTATTTGAAATGTGACTTAGTCTATTTACCTGTTTGATGAGTAAGTCTCTTCTCTGAGACCCTAACTATTGGTGAAGCTCATGTAACTTCTGGAATGGTGAGCGCATTAACTCTAGCAACAAACTATTTAATTTCTAGGAAACTATGATGAAAACTTTTTGTGAAAACAAATTTTTAATGCACTTTTTGCCTGCTGATGTGAGTTTTGGGTCTTCCTGGCAGAGCAAGTTTGATCCTTCTTTACTCTGATGGTCCTTCCAGTGTTTGAGGATGGCTGTGCTCTTTTCCTTGGGTCTTTTCTTCTCCCTGCTAATATACCAAATCATATCAAGTGTTCTTCTCATCACATAGTATCAACTATCTTTGCCTTTTTGAGAGCTCCTTTTTTTGGCTCCAGATTTTCTGTGTATTTGTGCGTTTACCAACTTGTCCACCTCTGGAAGCGTCCAGGACCACTTTCCTGATAGCTGTTAAGTTTTGTTAGTGCAGACTGAGATTACGTTAGATGCTTTGGCAGCAACATCACTTTGTTGGCTCATATTGACGATCTGTTTAAGTCATCCCTTACTTCTACTTAAGGGTGGAAACCACCCATCCCTAACACCTGTCTTGTTGCATTTTGGTTGCAAGTTGAGTAATAAATCTGGTGCTTGTATAGTTAAGTTTTTGTCCTAAATTTTATCCTTGTTGAATTTCATCTTGTTAAAGAAGGTCTTTTGTGAATCCTGATTCTGGTCATGTAACATTTTCAACATTCTCCCTGGCTTTTTCTCAGTATAAGCTTATACATTGGTGAAGTTCAGTGGGGTTAGATAAAAATAACTATAATAATAATAGATATTATTTATTGAGCATTAACTATATGCTGGCCATCATAGCTTAGTATTTCCATGTGTATCCTTGGTGGTTCCATACAACACTGTGAAGTAGGCACTATTAATATCTTTATCTTACATGTGAGCCACTCAATCAGATATAGGTCCCTCATGGTTGCCTCTGGAAGTCTTATTTTCAGTTTATATTAATTTGCTTATCAATATTTTTTGATGGGAATTTTTTTTGCTGGGAGTTTTTAACCAGCTACTAATACATCCACTTAACTTGTACTAAAATCTAATGTGTACATTTCTTACAAAAACTTTATAGTATGTTAAACTCTTGCGTATTTATGTTAATGAATTTTCTTGTTACTTTAACCATTGAGAAAACTGTGGAAAATATAGAAAGTTATAAAGAAGAAAATAATGATCACTCTTAATCTTATCACCCAGAAATAGCCACTATTAACTTTTTAACATAGTTATAGTCTTTTTACATATATACATAATTTCATGTTTCTTATGTTTATCAAGTCTTCCCTAGTTATAATGCCCTATTCTTCCAAAAATGCAGTGTATTCTGCTCCACCTTTCAAAGAAACCCTGCTATAAGTGACAGGAGAGTATTAGTTAATACAGTGATTATGTGTCCTTTTAATATTTATGATACTAGATTCCTGCAGCTTCTGAAAAATAATACATTTACAATGAAAAATAGCATATTTCATATTACTTACATGTAGTATTGGTTTGTGAAATGAAATTGAGTGATATTGTATAATTGGTAATACATGTGTGAATCTGTTTACAATTTTATTTAAAACATATATCTTTATTAATGACAGTGAAAAGGAAGAAATACTAGCACATTTTATGAGCAACTATTTTTAGAATAGAATACAAAATCATTTTTCGTTTAGAATAATTACTTTTGCTCCGAAGAAAATTGACCTCTTGAAGAAATCTGCATGAACTCTGACTTATTGGGTAACTACTTTGATACTTAGGTTTATTTATTAATATAACATTATAAATGTATCTTGGGGAAAATATACGAGCTATGAAAATGTCTAGTTAAAAAAGGGATGTGTATTGTTTATTTTGTTATGCAGGAAAATGAGTTCTTGTATTCCTAAAGTATATTAGTTATCTTCCTTCTGCCCTACTTTTTAAAGGCAGCAAGTACAATTTGTTACTTATGTCCTGTGTCCCAAAGAGACTCTATGCTGTGTCTTTAACTTATCCTTGATTTGTTATTTGTGGACCTGCCTTGTCTATTCCGCTAAAATATACATTTTTTAGGATCAAGTGTTGGGGCCTTGTTTTTTAGTATTTCTGGGTGACCCGTGTTTAGCATGGGGCCTTGAGTATCCCATGATTTCTTTGAGTGTTTATTGAGTTGAAGGGAGTATCAGAAGATGGTGAGACGGAACTTACCATCATCCTGGCTTCTAATACTGTCCCTATGAAGTAGATCAAGGGTCCCCAAACCCTGGGCCTCAGACTGGTACCAGTTTGTGGCCGGTGAGGAACCCAGCCACTCAGCAGGAAGTGAGCAGCAGGTGAGGGAGCATTACCACCCGAGCTCCGCCTCCTGTCAGATCAGCAGCGGCATTAGGTTCTCATAGGAGAGCAAACCCTAGTGTGAACTGCACATGCGAGAGATCTAGGTTTCAAGCTCCTTATGAGAATATAATACCTGATGTTCTGTCACAGTCTCCCATCAGCCCCAGATAGGACCATTTAGTTGCAAGAAAACAAGCTCAGGGTTCCCACTGATTCTACATTATGGTGAGTTGTATAATTATTTCATGATATATTACAATGTAATAATAATAATAGAAATAAAGTGCACAATAAATGTAGTGTGCTTCAGTCATCCTGAAACCATTCCCCCCGCCACCCTCTGGTCAGTGGAAAAATTGTCTTCCATGAAACTGGTCCCTGGTGCCAAAAAGTTTGGGGACCACTGAAGTGGATGAATGCTTTAGTCAGACAGCTTTGGTCTACTGTTCACAAGCAGTTGAGTACCAATTATGCATTCAGCATTGTGCCAGATGCTTTGGACAAAAAGACAAATAAGGCATAGCTTCTGTCTCTAAGTCACGCACAGCCTGCTAAAGGAAACAGTTATATAAAGAAATAAGTGCAGTGTAGCACAACACTTGCTCAAAGCCACACAGCCTGTGAGGGGCGGGACTGGGATTCAGTTTTTTTTTTTTGTTCAACTCCAGAGCTGCCAAGCCAAGATGCTTCCAGAACAGAAAAATTAGAAGTGCTGATAGTTTTGCTCTACTCCTCAGAGCAAAACAACAGCCTTGCTCCATTAACAGAAAATGCACATCTTTCTTTGAAAACATTATTAAATTAAACCATTTTGTTTTATTTGCAAATTAGGTCCTCCAAAAGCTGGGGAAAGCTGATGAGACAAAAGACGAACAGTTCGAAGAATATGTCCAGAACTTCAAACGGCAAGAAGTGAGTCCATTTGTTTAGTTTCTGGAGTGGGAAATTGTTTAAATGTGTTTGTGTCTTAGTATGTAAGTAAAATGCATTAAGATTAAAAAAAGACTAGATGGAGTTGGCACTAACTTGAGAGTAACACTTGCTAATTCTGGAGAATTTCCTATTGAAGACGGGGAAAGAGCCATAGAGAGTAGGTTTTGGAATCCCAGGAGATAAAGACTCTGCTGTCCTGGACTGCTTTAGCTTTTTATAATATTTTAGTTTTTGAAACAGGGTCTCATTCAGATTGCCCAGGTTGGCGTGCAGTGACACAATTTTGGCTCACTTCAGCCTCAACATCCTTGGATTCAGGTGATCCTCCCACCTCAGCCTCCCAAGTAGCTGGGATTACAGGTGTACACCATCATATGTGGCTAATTTTGTTGTGTTTTTAGTAGAGATGGGGTTTTGCCATGTTGCCCAGGATAGTCTTGAACTCCTGGACTCGAGCGATCCACCCACCTAGGCCTCCCAAAGTGTTGGGATTACAGGTGTGAGCTACCAGGCCCGGTCTCCGACCACTGTAATACAGATGACGGATCTATAGGAATGCTGGTGTTTCTGAAGATTTATATTTCATTGAACATTAGAAAAGCAGTAGTTTAACACTTCTGGTAAAATGACCTTAATTGTTGCATGCTTCAAGAGCATGCATTCGCAACAGGGATTATACTAATATCTTCCCTAAGGGGCTGAAAATTGGTTCTTGGTGGGTGAAGAAAACCTTTTTAGTGTATAAAGCATAGATAAACATATCTTAGATAAGCAGACATATAGTATACTTACGGTATTAAAATTTTACAGGGGGTGTAATTCAGAAAAAAAAGTCTTAAAAGACTCCTTGGGGAGATGACAATGAAAAAGAGGTTGAGAAACAGATTGTGATGTTTGTTCCTTTAGTGTATGTGTTTAACAGACACGTGGATATAGAAACTATTTTTAAACTATGTCTTGATCTCTAAGGCTTGGATAATTGGCTAGAATATCTCTCTTTAGGTAACACACGTAAGGGCTGGGGAGGGGAAGATAGGAGTGGGGCCGTCTGAGGTTAGAAGCCTCAAATCTAGAGATCATCTTAGAGGTGGGGTAGGAAGAAGGCAGGCTGAGAAGGGCTTGGGAAATGGGGTTTGCGCATTATAAAGTCAGATTATGTGGGGAACAATATAAGGACATGGATTTCTTTTCCTGCTGTCAGTGGAGTTACCAGTGTCCACAGAGGGAATTATAGCCTCAGAGATGACACCAATAATGGGAAATCATCACAGGTTTTATTTTGCTCCCTTTGCTCCTGACCTTGGAGGTTTCTTTCTTCCATTTGTGTATCAGGGTTCCTGCTCTTTCTCTCACCAAGACATTCTATTTCTTTTCATTACCAAGAGGGATTATACATTTCAGCAGGTATGGAGCCAGGTAGATCAGTTTTGCCAAAACGCATTCCTGAATGTCTCCAGTTTCATCCCAAGACTAAGTGTTGGCATGTGCGATAGGTAGTCAGTTTACCATGAATGGGATAGCAAACGTGTTATATCTGAACATGAGAAAAGGGAGAGGGGAGCTAGAGAACAAAACAGTAACGGAGAGAAAAATTGATCATGGCCAAATGAACAAATATTACAGAGAGCTTTGGCTTAATAAAGGTAGAAAAGAGAATTCCTAGAGAAATGTTGGACTTGGGCCCACAGAATAAGTAGTCTCCTAGTCTCCTCTAGGAGAAGAGGGTCTTCACATCAACTTCTGTTCTCATTTGGTGATTTTTCACACATCTCCTGCGTGTGGGTAGCTCTCAAATAGATCATTGTCTTGGATTGCAGGAACTTCCCATACACAAACTTGTCCATCAGTGCCCTGTGACTTTGCAGGCAATCCCAAATGTCTGCTCTAAAATATTGGATTTAGATTGAAGAAGTGATTCATGTTTACAGTTTTCCCTACCTAAGGATTCACACTGTACCCTTCGAAACCTTGTTTTCCTGTCTGGCATGTCCCCATGGAGCTAATTAATTCTTTGCTCTTGGAGTTTTTCTCTATCACTTTTATGGCACTTTAATGTTGTTAGCACCCTAGAAGGTTAACTTTGGAAGCATCAGGTTTAGTAATGCAGTCATGCCAGGAAGCACTTTGCATTTTCCGATTACAGTGAATTTTCATTGTTTTTTTTTTTTTCCCAGCTTTCTTGACTGCCCCAGGTGAGGATTGTTTTTTGTTGAAGGTACTAGAGAAAAGTGCAATTTGATTAAATCATCAACTACATTGGCAGAATGATTTGTGCCACTAGCAGCAGCAGCATGTGGTGACTTTAAACTGCTGTCCTGCTATCTATTTTGGTCACTATATACAATACTCATCTTCAAATGTTATGGGGCATAGTATATTAGCACCCATGAAGACTACCACCTTAGTTCTCCCAAGAAATATTAGCAGATTTTAAAACGTGTGAAACTTCAAAACTTGGGGAAATTTGAACAAGTAATTCTATTTCATAAGAGTAAGGCAAATAGACTGTTAATATAGGGAATGTTATTTCTCAGGGAGTCTCTTGACCCCATTTGGTTCACTTTGAAAATATTTTTGCATCTAAAATATCTAGCATTTTCCTATCCTCATTTTGATCTTTTTTAATTAGAAAAAGAAAGTTTATAATCATTATAGTGGAGTGAGGAAGGAGAGTGCCTTACCCCTGTTTGTATATTAGAAGAGACAAGGAGAAAGGGAAGGAGGATAGAAGGAAGAGAAGGGGAGGGATTTATTAATTTTCTTTTGAAACATATTAAAGGTTGAGAAGTGTAGCTGAAGACTGATTTTATTAATGCTCTACGGAGAGAAGAATCCTCTTACCCCCAATATGTATTGGTGATCAATTTGCATGTGTTGGGTATGCTGAAAAAGGAGTGGTACTTATGTAGAAACATTAACCTAGAAGGAAGGATCTGCCAAGATTATGGTTACATCTGCAAGGTCTATTATTCTTAGTATTAATGTGATGGTGAATCAGTACTCTGAAGAGACAAAGCATTATCTAAAGGCTACATACTCTAAAGGCATTATCTAATCTAGGAAACCTAGATTCCATATTTTTTCTACGAGTATATATATTTTATATCCCAAAAGATACTATTGATAGTATAAAATGAAACCATATTTGGATTTGTGCATTGTATTATAGTCCCCTGACCACACTCAAGTAGTGCTTAATAAAGAAGTAGACCATTCTAGGATGTTCTAGAATTATTCAAACATTTATGGGGGCTCAGTTATCTTGCTTTTAGATTCCTTTTATAAAATCATAAGATCCTTATAGTTATTGATATATTCCTTGCTTGTTCATGTTGGAAACAAAAGTGGCAGAAAGGTCTGTGTTTGAACTCTGGCTTGGGGCTTTTCTTTATTTTATTCCAACTCTAAGTTTTCCTTTTGATCTCAAACTTCTTTTCCTTCAACATGGTTTGTGTGAGACTGAGAGCATCGATAAAGGGTCTGTACATACTTTGTTTTGTCCATTGGACTCCCAATTGCTGTAGCTTTTGTGGTTCATGTTTCATAAACTACTTAATTAAAACAAGGAGAGCCTGGTGCCATGGTGCGTGCCTGTAGTTCCAGCTACTCAGCAGGGTGACGCTGGAGGATCACTTGAGCCCAGGAGTCCTGGGCTGTTGTGTGCTATGCTAATTGGGTTCCTGCACTAATTTCAGCATCAATATGGTGACCTCCCAGTAGCGGGGAACCACGAGGTTGCCTAAGTAGGGGTGAACCTGCCCAGGTTGAAAATGGAGCAGGTCAAAACTCCTATGCTGATCAGTGCTGGGATCGTGCCTGTAAACAGCCACTGCACTGCAGTCTGGGCAACACAGTGAGACCTCATTTCGAAAGAGAGAAAGAAGGAAAGAAGGAAGGAAAGAAAGAAAGAAGGAAGGAAGGAAGGAATTAGGAGTAGTACATCAGGGAATAGAATGAACTCTTCTACAAAAAACTTGGAATTTTCCATGACAATGCATGCTAAGGAGAGCAAGGATTTTAGAAATCCAGCAGGAAGAACAAAATCTGATTTCATTTCCTCCTCAGAGGGCCTTTCTTCCCCGTTCTATTTTTGGTCTCTTATCAAAGCTGTTAACAAGTAGCAAAATTGACTGGTGTGAACATCACCTGCTTTCAGTTCTACCAGTTTTCTGCTGACAGATCTGTTAATGAGCAGAAAAAAAGGTCCCACTGTGGAAAGAAGGTCCTTGGTTTCTCTCCCTCCTTCCTGCTAATAAACTCGCCCAGTAAGATGCTGCACCTGTGGCAAGTGTGCTAATTAAAAGAAGATACCTTGAGGGCTGGTTGAGCCCAGATAACCAACTATTTGGACACATTTTAGTGAGTGCAGGTGGGAGCACCCTCATCCAGGTCCCATCTAAGAACAATAGTTCAAATAAAGGAGAGAGAGCCTTGGTTCTCCTTCTAGCATCTCCATAGGCTTCCATTCCCTCATTGAAATACCATAGCAGTGTTGTGCAGCTCCTCCATGGCCACGACTGAGTGATAGGCTAACTTTTGTGTAATATGAACCAAAAAGAGAAGAGACCCTGGGACCCTGAAATCCTCTCCAGTGGTGAGAATTCAGACCAGCCTCCCATGAGTTGGATGCTCTAGCAGATGTTTAAAGCTGGGCCACGTCCTCTCCTTAGACTGAACTCACACCTCCTGGACACAGCGATCCTGTTTTGCTGCTTCTATGTTTTTATTTCCATGGGAGCTAGTGCTTTGCAAGTAAACTTAACAAATGCTTGCTAAACTTGAAGCTGAACTAGTGGCAGAAATTATCACTTTGAGTGCATTCCTGGAGTACATTTTTATTTCTGGGATGGAAGAGATGTTGTATATGGTATGTATTTTTGCAAGCGGTTTCGTGACATTTTTAAGAACCTGGTATATGTACATATAAATGACTAAAGAGAAAAATTTTAGAAGTTTTAAGAAAGAGTGTAAAATAAAAATATACTGCCACAGTATATATGTTAATGTGTGGATAAAATTTTAATTTACGATAAATTATACTTACCTTCAGAAGCTTTTTGCAATTTGCTTGAGCAGATAGGCCTAGCATATACCTTAGAACATTTGTTTTTGCCACAGATAACCATGATGTGAATATATTAATGTATCTACCTTTCATTAAATATTAATCTTGACCTTCTTGTGAGATAGCCACTGCCTTGATTAAATGTGATCCCATCAGATCTGTTTTAAATAATGATCCAATTCTAAATGGCAGTATGGAGAGCCTCAGTTGCCCTACACAGCATCCTGTCAGGTTACTAGACCTTCTGGATTCTGAATAAGAACCTAAGCTGGCAAGTTTTGTGCCCTCCAGAGCAGTGTTTTTCAAACATTAGCTGCCTTGAAGTTACCTGGAAGGTGATGGTACAGCAGGTCGCACCCAGCAGCCTGTGCTGTACCAATGCCTTCAATGCAGGTGATGTCTGAGGTGAGGCATGAGAATCTGCATTTCTGACAAGTTCCCAAGTGATGCCAGTGATGCTGATCCAGGGACAACACATTGAGGACTAATGCATTGTATCTACTCATGCAAGTTTTTACAAGTGCTTCCTCTGGTTTGTCCTTGAAACTTCTAATCCTATGTTTGATGTCTATCTTTAGTGTCTATAAATATGGATATAAATATGGATAAAGATTTGGTGGTCATGTTCTGGATTATCTGTGATCTGCATAGATCAAATCAACTAAGATGATCTGATATTTAACAGGCATGATTTTTGAGTGTAGTGATGGAACTCGCTTCTTCCAAGGTTGTAGAGCCGGGAGGCTGGATGCCCTGTTAAGAAATGAAAGTCCCTGCTCACACCTTAATGAGAAGGAGTTTCATGAAGCTCTTTTAAGATAGTCTGGTGTAATAGGGGAAATTATAGAAGGCATTAGAACTCTGGACTTAGGGTCCTGGGAAAAAAATTGATTATCTGGAAAACCAGGTTCAGCGAATACAAGGCCTTGGAAATGAAAGTGTCTTGTCCAGAAGCAGCCGAGGCAATGCTGGAAGGGAAATTTATAGCATTAAATGCTTGCATTAGAAACAAGGAAAGGTCTTAAATCAATAATCTAATTTCCTACCTCAAGAAACTTGAAAGAGAAGAAAATAAACCCAAAGCAAGCAGAAGGAAGGAAATAAAAAAAGAACAGAAATCAATGAAACTGAAAATGGAAAACAATAGAGAAAAAAATGAAACAAAAGTCTGATTCTTTGGAAAAAAGTCAATAAAATTAATAAACCTCTAGCAGGACTGACAACAAGAAAAAAGACACAAATCACCCACATCAGAAATGAAACAAAGGATATTACTATAGCCTCTGTAGCCATCTAAAGGATAATAAGGGAATAATACAAGCAACTTTATACTTACAGATTTGACAACCACAGGGGATCAATTCCTTTACAATCACAAACCACTAAAACTTAATCAAGGTGAAATAGACAATTTGAATAGTTTAATAATTATTAAAGAAAGTGGATTTGTGATTTAAAATCTGAAAAAAAATCTCCACACCCTCTGATAGTTTCACTGGATAATTCTAACATTTAAAGAATTGATATCAATTTTACATAATCTTTTTCAGAAAATAGAAGAGGAGGGAGCACTTCTCAATTGATTTTATGTGGGCTGTATTACCTTGATACCAAAACCAGACAACAATAGTATGAAAAAAAGAAAACTGCAGACCAATATGTCTCATGAAGTTACATGTAAGAATCTTTCAAATATCAGCAAATGAAATCTAACAATGTGTAAAAAGAATTATACACCTTGACCAAATAGGATTTATTCAGGATATGCGAGGCTGGTTTAACATTCCAAAATCAATCAATGTAATTTACCATATAAACAAGGTAAGGAAAAAAATCATATGATCATATAAATTGATGTAGAAAAAATTTGTGACAAAATTCAGCACCCACTCCACAATAAAAATGCCCAGCAAGTTACGAATAGAAGAGAATTACCTCATTTTGGTAAAGAACATCTACAAAGAAACCTAACGTACAGTTAATATCATAATTAATGGTAACAGACTGAATGCTTTTCTCCAAAGATTGAAAACAAGGCAAGGATGTCCATTCTCGCTAATGCTATGCAATGTAGAAGTGGAAGTCCTAGCCAGTACAATAAGGAAAATGAAAGGAAACAAAAGGCGTATAGCTCATAAAGAAATTACACTCATTTTGTCTGCAGATGACATAATTATGTACATAGAAAATCCCAAGACGTCAACGAAAATACTACTCTAACAGATAAATGAGTTCAGTGAGGTCACAAGATATAAGATCAACACATAAATATCAATCACATTTCTATATACTCACAATGAACATGTGGAAATCAAAATTAAAAACACAACTTTTATAATCACTCCAAAGAAAAAGAAATATATATGTGTAAATTTAACAAAACACATACAGGATCTATATGCTTAAAATTATAAAATACTGAAATCAAAAAGAACTAAATACTTGGAAAGATGTACTATATTCATGGATTTGAAGCCTCAACACAGTAAACATGTTGGTTGTCACCAAATTAACCAATAGGTTTAATGCAATTTCCTGCAATTTCTACAGCATGTTTTTTATGACCATAGATAAACTTATTCTAAAATTTACATGGAAATGCACAGACCCTATCATAATTAAAACAATGACAAAGACAAAGTAGGAGGAAAAATTCTTTTCAATATTAAGGCCTACCACATAGGTGAAATAATCAAGACATTGTATTGGCAGAGAGATAGACATGTAGATTAATAGAACAGAATAGGTAACCAAGAAATAGACCCACACAAATATGCTCAACTGGTTTTTGACAAAGGTTTAAAAACAATTCAGTGGAAGAAAGATAACCTTTCAACAAACGGTGCCATAGTAACTGGGCATCCATAGGCCAAAAAACTGAACTTTGACCTAAAACTAACCCTTATACAAAATTAACTGAAAGTATATCAAGAACTTAAATATAAAACATAAAGCTTTAAAACTTTTGGGAAAAAATAGGAGAAAATCTTTGGGATCTAGGGTTAGGTAAAGAGTTCTTAGATTTGCTACCAAAAGCACAATACAAAAGAGGAAAATGTGATAAATTGGACCTCATCCAAATTAAAAACTTCCTTTGCAAAAGAGCTGTTAAGAGAATGAAAAGACAAGCTATGGACTGGGAGAAAATATTTGCAAACTACATATCCAAGAAAGGACTAGTATCCAGAATACGTAAAAGAAACTTAAAACTCCGTAGTAAAAATAAGTTAAACAGTTCCATTAGAAAATGGGCAAAATCCATGAATAGAGGCCGGGTGCAGTGGCTCACGCCTGTAATCCTAGAACTTTGGGAGGCCGAAGTAGGTGGATCACTTGAGGTCAGGAGTTCGAAACCAACCTGGTTAACATGGCAAAACTCCGTCTCTACTGAAAAAAAAAAAAAAAAAAAAAGCCGGGCATGGTAGTGGGTGCTTGCAGTCCCAGCTACTTGCGAGGCTGAGGTGAGAGAATTGCTTGAACCCTGGAGGCGGAGGTTGCAGTGAGCTGAGATGATGCCACTGCAGTCCAGCCTGGGTGACGGAGTGAGACTCTATCTCAGAAAAAAAAAAAAAGAAAAGAAACCATGAATATATATTTTATTGCAGTAGATATGTGGATGGCAAAGAAGAATATGAAAAGATTTTTAATACCTATTTAGCCATCGGAGAAATGCAAATTAAAACCACACAAGAAATCACCATCCATCTCTCAGGATGGCTAAAATAAAAACTAGTGACAATGCTAAATGCTGGCAAGGATTTGGAGAAACTGAATCACTCATACATTGTGTGAAATGATTCATAGCCACTGTGGGAAACAGTTTGGCTATTTCTTAAAAAATTAGACATGTATACCATACAACCCAAAAACTGCACTCTTATGCATTTATCCCATAGAAATGAAAATGTATGTTCTCACAAAAAAATTGTTCACAAATGCCCTTAGCAGCTTTATTTATAGTAGCTCCAAATTGGCAACACCCCAGATGTCCTTCAGGGGGTGAATAGTTAAACAAACTGTAGTATATCCATACTATGGAATACTAGTAAGCAATGAAAAGAAAATAACTACGGCCACACACCAAAGCCTGCTTGAATCTCCAGGGAATTATTCTGAGTGAAAAAATCCAATTCTAAAAGGTTTTATACTGTGGGATTCCACTTATGTGACTCTTTCGGCATGACAGAATTTCAGAAATGGAGTAAAGTTTGGTGGTTGCCAAGAGTGAGTGAGGGGGGTTTGGGGTCGATGTGGTTATAAAAAGTCAATACAAGGGATTCTTGTCCTGACTGGAAAGTTCTGTATCCTGACTGTGGTGATGGATACATGAACCTACACATGTGGTAAAATCGCATAAAACTAAACACACACACACACACACACACACACACACACACACGCACAAATGAGTACAGGTAAAACTGGGAGAAGCTGAATAAGATGGGTAGGTTGCATCTATGTTGTGACATTGTACAATAATTTTGTAAAATGTCGCTGTGAAGGAAGACTGAGTACAGGATGCAAAGGCTCCCTCTCTCTCTCTCTCTCTCTCTCTCTCTCTCTCTCTATATATATATATATATATACACACACACACACAACTACATATATACACAACTATATATTATATATAATAGATGATATATAAGATTGTGTATATATATACACAACTATATATATATATACACACAAGTAACACAACTATATATATACACACACACACAACTGCAAATGATTCCATAATTACATCATTGAAACTTCATTTAAAATATATCCCCTTTCATAGGCTTACCTAGAAAAAGCATACTGCCTCACTGCCTCTGTCAGAACAAACACACTTGAAGGCAGAAGCCACAGACTCACATTCTTGCCAAGATGTGTCAGGGAACATAAACAAGCTGAGTAGGCAAGGTATAAAACAGTAAGGAGTGGTGAGGACTGTGCTGAATTATAGGATTCATGGGACCTAAAGAAGCAGCTGTCAACTCCAGTGCACACGAATCTCAGGAGGATGTGGGCCCCATATTGCCACATCAGATTTTCAAGAAAAGATTAAATTCATATTGTAATAAAAGTTCCCAATTTTATTTTGTATATTTTAAATTTAGAAGTAATTTTAACCTTACAAAAAGCTATAATAATAGTATACAGAACTGCTGTGTACCATTCACCTAGACTTCCCAATTACTGTATCATTCTATCTATATATGAATGCTTCCATGCCTCCATGCCTCCAACCATCTATTCATCCATCCATCCATCCATTAGTATCCAAAAACGACACTATCCTACACAGCAGTAGTTCCTTCTGTCAAAGTCAGTGAATTACCTTTGATCCCGTATTACCATCTAATTTGCAGATCCCCAAATTTTGCCTATGACAAAACTTTTGCTATGCAGAAGACTCTGTGAAGGGGATGAAAAGACAAGTTAGAGGCCCAGAGAAAATGTTTGCAACATATGCCCTAATTGTGTTTTTTAAAGGGCCTGTATCCAATCCAGGGTCACCTGTTGCCCCTAATTGTCAGGTTTCATTAGTTTCTTTAAACTAACTCTGTTGGAAGAGTGTTTCAGTGTTTTCTTGCCTTTCATGATCTTGACACTTCTGAGGAGTACTGCCCAGTGTTTATTTGTAGAGTGTCCCTCACTCTGGATTTGCCCGATACTTTTCTCATAATTAGCTTCGTGTTAATAATTAGCTTCTGGGAAGATTACTACAGAAGAAAGTGATGCCCAGTGTATGCTGTCAGAACACACATCATGTTAATTTGTGCCACTGCTAGTGATGCTAACTTTTATCACTTTGTAATGGCAGAGCTCAACAGATGATATGCAGGTATCTCTAGTAAGATAAGATGATATCTGCCAGGTATCTCTAGTATAGAGTTAATACATAAATATTTTCTCTCAAAATTAATAAATATTTAATAAGTAATATTAATAAATATTTTGTGGGGATATAGTTTGAGACTGTACATGTCCTGTTTCTCATCAAACTGTCACCTACTAGTTTTATCCACTAGTGCTACTTCTTTAAATCAGCTGTTACTCTGATGCTTGCTACATGGTGAATTATTTTGAATTCCTTCTAAACTTATTAATTAGCATTCTACTCAGTGGTAAAATTTTTGAGTATTGTGACATTGTACAATCATTTCGCAAAATGTTGTTATCTCTGCCCTCACTCCTGGTAAAAATTTTTCTTTCTTAATTAATTAATTATATCAGCATGTACTTATGGATTCCTATGTTATTCACTGGGTTATAATACATTACTATTCGTCATTTTGGAGTGCAGTTCCTCCAAATTTAGCCAGTGGAAGCTCCTAGGAGTTGACTCCTTTGTCCTTTTGACAGACCTGCATCATTCTCTGACAACATTTTTACCTTTTTGGTACAATATGTTTCAGGATCTTGTTGTGCTTTCCCTTGCCAAAATAGCTTGGAATCAGTTATTTTTCCAAGAAATCCTGGTTTCTTTTGGTGGAGACTGGGATTTAGAAACCAAGATCTGGGTTCTAGGTATATTCTTTGTTTCTAGGGTATCATACTTCTAGGCCTTCTAAGTGGACAGGATATATATGTGTGTATACACACACACAACACGTGTATATACAAGTATTTATACACACAGACATCTATATTATCTATCTATCTGAAACCGTGACCCTTCCAACTGCAGTTCAGTGTCTCCTGCTTTATTTGGGCTCTCCCCCACCTTCTTTTTTTTTTTTTTTAGACAGAGTTTCACTCTTGTTGCCCAGGCTGGAGTGCAGAGGTGCGATCGCCACTCACTGCAACCTCTGCCTTCTGGTTTCAAGCGATTCTCCTGCCTCAGCCTCCCGAGTAGCTGGGATTACAGGCGCCCACCACTACGCCCGGCTAATTTTTGTATTTTTAGTAAAGATGGGGGTTTCACTATGTTGGCCAGGCTGGTCTCGAACTCCTAACCTTGTGATCTGCCTGTCTCAGCCTCCCAAAATGCTGGATTACAGGCGTGAGCCACCACGCCTGGCTGGGCCTTCCCCCTTTCTAGATTTGTACTTCCCTCTTTGAGAGTGAGAAACCTGCTTTCATTATCTTCAATATACGTATATTTATTTGTGCAGTCTCCCTTATGTAACCAGCCTCCTGACCATGTGGGCCATCTCTTTGTCTCCTGTGCTGCACCAGTCCAGGGTCCCCTGCTCTCTAGCTCTCTAGCTGTAGGCTGATTCATACCCACCTACACTTTCCCCTTCTCTCCCCTCTGGAGGCCTGCTGACCAAGAATCTCTGCCCGCTTAGCACCGTAGCTGAGTTCCCACTTGCTGATGGTATGCCTGCTGCATTCTCTCTGCCCTCACTCCTTGCACCATGCCTTCTGAGAGTCTCCCCGCTATACTCACTCACTCTGCCTGTGCATCACAGGAAGTATCCCGCTTGTTTAAAATACTGGCACCTAATTCAATTTCATAATGGAGTCTGTAAAATAAATCAATGTCAATAGAACAAATTTGACCCATGGGCTATAACAATACTAAACATACAAACATTATTACACATATAAGTGTACTAAAGGATAAGCATTATTAATGCCCCGAGGAAAAGGTAACAGTTAATATATGGCCATATTAACTTAGCGAGCAGTTTGCTTTTTAGGCTTTAATAGGATGGCAGTTATCAATATAAAATGTATGGTTTGGTTGCATTTACTCTAAAAGAATTAAAATGTGGTTCTTGGTTTTTGGAAGTACAAGATCCTTGCTTGAGGTCTCTTTTTTCTCCACCTCATGCAGTGACCCCACAGATCCCAAGCAGCTCATTGTAACCAGTGTTACTCTACCTCATCAGGAGTTTCCTATGATAGCTGTAGTAATACATTTCACAGGGTGGTAGATTTGGCCTTAATTACCCCTGTTCCACTGAGGGAAATCTCAGTAGAATTTTCAATGTCTGGTGACATTTCAGCAAAGAGTGTACATGGGAAGCGCCTACTGAATGTCCTGGTCTCAGATACATAGATACACAGCTAAATTACTATCATGTAAGAAAACTGGATAATAAAGAATGTACTACTGAAGTATACAGAGGAAGAGAGACTCCTGACTGAGGGGATGGGAATCCCTCCAACAGAGAATGAAAATTCTGTAGATCAAGAAAGCAACATAGGAATGGGGTGGATGATAATATTTCCTTTCCTTTAATGAAGTATTAAAAAAAAAGAGATGATGCATGGAGGGGTATGTTCTACTCAATCTGCACTTTTCCAAAAATCTCTCTACCTTTTTTCATTTGTTAAAAAATGTATCTGGCTCCACATATACTTTTTTGTTTGTTTGTTTTGAGACAGAGTCTTGCTCTGTCACCCAGGCTGGAGTGAAGTGGCGCTATCTCTGTTCACTGCAACCTCTGCCCGCCGGGTTCAAGCGATTCTCCTGCCTCAGCCTCTTGAGTAGGTGGGATTACAGGTGCCTGCCACCACGCCTGACTAATTTTTGTGTTTTTGGTAGAGACAGGTTTTGCCATGTTGGCCAGGCTGGTCTCGAACCTCTGACCTTAACTGATTCGACCTGCCTTGGCCTCCCAAAGTGCTAGGATTACCGGTGTGAGCCACCACACCCGGCCCACACATACATTTTTACACAGAAAAATCTCTGACCTCTTGTCTGGGGTAGTTTCCTTAAGATACCCTCTTAAGAATATATATTTACATGACTTGGAGCAAATTCTACTTGTTCAGTGCCCACTCTATAGGACACAAATTATTTGTACCTAGAGTTTGCTTTGGGCTTTCTCTCACATTCATAGTACTAAATCTTTCTTTGGCCATCCCTAAGGATTTGATCACACTTCCCCTTTTAGTTTTTGGCAGAGCTCAACTGCTTATCAGCCAAGTAAATGGCTTTTCTCTTTAGGGATCCCGTTAAGGAGGCTGATTTGAATTAAGATGCTCTGATGTAATTAAAGGCAGAAAGGAAGTTGGTGCAGTGAATAGTTGGTGGTCTATGTCTGATAGTGTAATTTTGGGACTGAATTGCTGGCTTTCAAACTCTTTTCCACTTCCCTCACTGCAGCTACTTCCATATGATTTGACTGCCCTTCCTTCCCGGATCTGCCATCTCCTTATGTTCAAGTCCCATCTTCTTTAAGGTCAACTCACAAGGAATATTCTAGTGGTATTTTCCCCATCCCCTCAGTCAGGAGTCTCTTTTCCTCTGTTTACTTCAGTAGTACGTTATTTGTTATCTAGTTTTCTTACATGATAGTAATTTAGCTGTGTATCTATGTTCTCATTCAATTGTAAAATATTTAAAGGAAGACTCAACGTTTAGTCATTTTTACAAACCTTCAATGGCTTCTAGTACTTGCTAGGTGCCTAATAAGTACATCCCAGTTTTGACTTGCCTGCTTGTCACACTTATTCTCTGTATTTACCCTTTGCTTTGCATATTATGTGCCTCACTCGTTTAATATCAAAGCCCTCTTTTTAAAAACTCTATGTAAACTTTATTTATGACTATACATGCAAAACATTTATAAATGAAACTTTGAAGATTGAAGTCATCACTATATTAAGAGGATAATATACTATGACTAGGGAGAGTTTATTCCTGGAATGTAGATGGTTTGTTTCCCAGATGAATACATTTTTTTTGATAAGTTGATGTCTAATAGAATTTAGGCCATATAAATCATAATTCCAACAGAATGTTTTATAGATATAGTTAAACTGATTCTAAGATTATATGCATATACATATATATACATACACACATACGGGGAGAGACAGAGAGAGAGAGAAAGGCAAAGGAGTTATAATAGCCAAGATGATTTTTTATTTTTTTGATTTTTATTTATTTATTTATTTTTCAACTTCTTAGATTCAGAGGGTTCATGGGCACAATTTTATTCCTTTTATGGCTGCATAGTATTCTGTGGTGTATATGTACCACATTTTATTTATTTAATCCACAACTGATAGGTACCTAGGTTAATTTCATAAATCTGCTGTTGTCAATAGTACTGCAATGAACATGTGAGTGCATTTGTCAACACCCCTCTTTTTATATTGTCATTTACTATACCTCTTTTATCCATTGGAGAATGCCTGACATGGCCTGGGCTTGATCCTAACCTGGACTACAGAGACTAGAGCAAAGTTTTGGTCACTCCTGGTTCAAAAGCTGCCCTAGTTCCATGATGCCCATAGGTATCTGTGGACACAGTTGTTTCAGTCTTCTAAGAATTTTACATGCATTTACAAACAATAAAATAAATAATTTTAATTATGCCTAAGAATGTTTTTCTTGTCTTTAAGTCCAAGTTATGTTCTTCAATTTGTACAATTTTAAAATATTTTTAATATACTGGGTTTTGGAGTAAGACTATTCTCTTATGGGATAATATTTTTACCAGAGAGCCTTAATATATTTAATTGATATCAATTAATTGGTATGAGAAACTTCTTTTGTAATTATGAGTTTTGTTGCCTGAATTCATACTGGATTTCCATTAATCTTTAAACTCAATAATTGCGCAGTATTCTATAAGTGAATTGGTGCATGTCTGCATCGCTGGAAATAAAGTTTACCTAGAGATGCTGTCTTAGTCTGTTTTTTGCTGCTGTAGCAGAATACCACAGAGTGGGTAATTTATAAAGAAAGGAAATTCATTTCTCACAGTTCTGGAGGCTGGGAAGTCCAAGGATGTGGTGCCAGCATTGGCTCTGCCATCTGATGAAGACCATCCCATGGCAGATGGGTGGAAAGTAGAAGCAAGTTAACGTGACACAGAGGAAATTGGGTTGAACTTATCCTTTTTATCAGAAGCCCACTCCCATGATAACTAGCTCGCTGCCATGATAATGGCATTAATCCATTTATGAGCGTGAAACCCGCATGACCTAATCATCTCTTAAAGATCCTGCCTCTCAACACTGTTGCAATGGTAATTAAATTTCAAGATGAGTTTTGGCAGGGATGTTCAAACCATAGAATTCCTTCCTGGTCCCTCAAAACTCATGTCCTTCTCACAATTCAAAATACATTTATTCCATCCCAACAGCCCCAGAAGTCTTAACTTATTCCAACATCAATTCAAAAGTTCAAAGTCCAGAGTCCTGTATAAATCATATGTGGATGAGACTGAATGCATGATTCATCCTGAGGCTAATTCCTTTCAGCTGTGAGCCTGTGAAATCAAAACAAGTTATCTACTTATAAAATACAATGGTGGGACAGGCGTAGGACAGACATTCCCATTCTAAAGGGGATAAATAGACAAGAAGAAAGAGATAACTGGTCCCAGGTAAGCCCAAAACCCAACAGAGAAAACATTAAACGTTAAAGCTGGAGAATAATCACCCTTGACTCTATATCCCATTTACCGGATACACTGTGGCTGGGGTTGGGCCCCCATGGCCTCAGGAAGTCCTGCCCCCGTGACTTTGCTAGGCTCAGTTCACCCAGCTTTAATGGGTTGGAGTTCCATGCTGGTGGCCCTACAAGTTCTATGTTTTCACTGGCAGCCCTGACCCCAGGGCTCCACTATACATTGCCCTAGTAGAGATTCTGTGACACCTCTGCTTCTGTGGCAAGTTTCTGCCTGAGTTCCAAGCTTTTTATGAAATCCTTTGAAATATTATGGGAGGAAGAAGCCATTTCCTCAAAGTTCTTCCATTCTGTGCACCTGTAGAATTATCACCATGTGGACACTACTAAGGCTTACCATTTGTAACATGTGGAGCAGTGGGTTGAGCTGCTCTTGGGGCCACTTGAGCCACAGCTGGGCTGGGCAAAGAGTGCTGCACTGAGAAGTGGGGAGCAGAGTCCCTTGGTTGTCCTGGGCAGTGAGCCTGTGGAGGGTGGAGGGTGCCCCAGGCCTATCTCCCAAAACTGTTCAGCCCTTCTAGAGCGCTGAGACTGTGATGAGAGGGGCAGCCTAGAAAATTTTCAGAATGATTGTGGGGTCTTTCATTGTCTTGATGAATAGCACTTGGCTTCTTTTTGTTCATATTAATCTCTTTAACAAAGGATCACGTGGCTATACCCTTAGCATTGTCTCTCTGACATGCTTTTTATTCTTTACATAGTCAGGCTGTGAATTTTCAAATCTTTTTGTTCTGTTTCCTTTGAATTATAAATTGCATATTTAAGTAATTTCTTTTCTCTAGCATTCCACTATATGTAGTTGAAAGTAACCACACAGCAACCTGAATGCTTTGCTGCTTAGATATTTCTTCCACCAGATATCCTTGTGCATCACTGTATTAGTCCACTCTCACACTGCTATAAAGAACTACCTGAGACTGGGTAATCATAAAGAAATGAGGTTTAATTGGCTCATGATTCCTCAGGCTGAACAGGAAGCATGGATGGGGGGCACTCAGGAAACTTACAATTATGGCAGAAGGTGAAGAGGAAGGAGGTACAGCTTACATGGCTGAAGCAGGAGGAAGAGAGTGAAGGGAGAAGTGCTTTATACTTTTAAACAGCCAGATCTCATGAGAACTCACTCACTATTATGAGAATGGCAAGAATGGCAAGGGGGAAGTCCACCCCCATGATCCAATCACCTCCCACCAGGTTCCTCCTCCAACACTTGGGTTTACAATTTGACATGAAATTTGAGTGGGGACACTAATCCAAACCATATCATTCCTTCTCTGGCCTCCCAAATCTCATGTCCTTCTCACATTTTAAAATACAATAATTTCTTCTCAACAGTCCCCCAAGTCTTAACTCATTTCAGCATTAACTCAAAAGTCCACAGTTCAAAGTCTTATCTGAGACAAAGCAAGACCCTTCCACCTATGAGCCTGTAAAAATAGAAAACAAGTTAATTACTTCCAAGATACAATAGAGATACAGGCATTGGGTAAATATATCCATTCCAAAAGGGATAAATTGATCAAAAAAAGGGGCTATGGGCCCCATGCAAGTCTGAAACCCAGCAAGGCAGTCATTAAATCTGAAGGGTCCAAAATAATCTCCCTTGACCCCATGTCTCATATTCAGGCGACACTGACACAAGGGGTGGGCTCCCAAGGCCTTGGGCAGCTCTGCCTCTGTGGCTCTGCAGGGCACAGTTCCTGAGACTGCTTTCATCGGCTGGTGTTGAGTGCCTGCAGCTTTTGCAGGTGCAGGGTACAAGCTGTCAGTGGATCTGCCATTGTGGGGTCTGGAGGACTGTGGCCCTCTTCTCACAGCTCCACTAGGCAGTTCCCCAGTGGGGCATCTGTGTAAGGAGTCCAATCCCATATTTCTTCTTGGCACTGCCCTAGTAGAGGTTCTCCATGAGAGCTTTGCTCCTATAGCAAAATTCTGCCTGGACCAGGTGTTTCCATACATCCTCTGAAATCTAGGCAGAGGCTCCCATGCCTCAGCTCTTGCCCTCTGCATACCTACAGGCATAACACTGTATGGAAGTCATCAAGCCTTATAGCTTACATCCTCTGGAGCAGTGGTCTGAGACTTCTCTGGGGCCCTTTTAACCATGACTGGAGCTGGAGTGGCTGGGATGCATGGAGCAGTGTCCCGAGGCTGCTCAGGGCAGTAGGGCCCTGGGCCAGCCCACAGAACCATTCTTTCCTTCTAGGCCTCAGGGCCTGTGATGGAAGGCGCTGCCAAGAAGGTCTCTGAAAAAAAATGCCTTCAAGGCATTTTCCCCATTGTCTTGGCTCCTTTTTACTTATGCAAATTTCTGCAGCCAACTTGAATTCTTCTCCAGAAAATGGGTTTTTCTTTTCTACCACATGGCCAGGCTGCAAATTTTCCAAACTTTTACAGTCTACTTCCCTTTTAAACATAAGTTCTAGCTTCAGGTCATTTCTTTGCTCATGAATATAAGCATAGGCTGCTAGAAGCAGCCAGGTGAAATCTTGAACATTTTGCTGCTTAGAAATTTCTTCCACCAGATACCTTAAATCATCTCTGTAGGGCAGGGGCACAATGCCTGCCATCTCTTTGCTAACAAATTACACAAATGACCTTTGCTCCAGTTCCTAATAAGTTCCTCATCTCCATCTGAGACCTCCTCAGCCTGGACTTCATTGACTATATCACTATCAGAATTTTGGTTACAACAATTTAATGAGTCTCTAGGAAGTTCCAAACTTTCCCTCATCTTTCTGTCTTCTTCTGAGCCCTCCACATTCTTCCAACCTCTACCCAATACCCAGTTCCAAAGTTACTTCCATATTTGCAGGTATCTTTATAGCAATGCCCCACTGCTTGGTGCCAATTATTCATATTATTTCATTCTCTCACTGCTATGAAGAACTACCTGAAACTGGGTAATTTATAAAGAAAAGAGGTTAAATTGGTTCACAGTTCCACAGTCTGTACAGGAAGCATGGATGGGGAGGCCTCTGGAAACTTACAATCATGGTGGAGGGTGAAAAGGAAGGAGGCATATCTTACTTGTCTGGAGCAGGAGGAAGAGAGTGAAGGAGGAAGTGCTACACACTTTTAAACAATCAGATCTCATGAGAAGTCACTATTATGAGAATAGCAAGGGGGAAGTCCACCCCCATGATCCAGTCATCTCCCAACAGGTCCCTCCTCCAACATTGGGGATTATTGTTTAACATGAGATTTGGGTGTGGACACAAATCCACACCATATCAATCACCCTCAATTTCTACATTCCATAAAGTCCGCTGGGCATGGACACAACTCAGCTAAGGTCTTTGTTACTGTATAACAAGGATTCCCTTTTCTTCAGGTTCCAATGCCTTGTTCCTCTTTTTTGTCTGAGACATCACCAGAATGGCCTTTACTGTCCATATTTTTACTATGATTCTGGTCACAACCACCTAAGTAATCTCTAAGGAGATTTAGGTTTTTCCTATAGCTCTCCTCTTCTGAGCCCTCACGAGAATCACCCTTAATGCTCTGTTCACAGCCATAAATGCTCTTTTTAGCCTGCTCCAAACTCTTCCATCCTCTATCCATTACCCAATTCTAAAGCTTCTTCTGCATTTTCAGGTATTTGTTATAGCAACAGCCCCACTTTCTGGTATAAATTTTCCGTCTCAGTCTGCTGCTACAATAGAATACCACTGACCAGGTAATTTATAAAGAAAAATTTATTTCTCACAGTCTGGAGGCTATGAAGACCAAGGGCGTGGCATCAGCATCTGCTCAGACATTGGCAGAAGGACAGAAGGTGAAAGCAAGTACACAAAACGGAAAAGAAGTCAGGCCAAACTCATCTTTAATACCAGGAGCCCACTCCCATGATAACTAGGCCACTCACATGATAATGGCATTAATCCATTCATGAAGGTGAAGCCATCATGGCCTAATCACCTCATAAAAATCCTACCTCTCAACACTGTTACAACGGCAATTAAATTTCAACATGAGTTTTGGCAGGGACATTGAAACCATAGCATATACTCTTAGTTGTAGCTGTAAATTTCTGCAGGAGTTCTTTAATGTTGAAAACCATCTTATTGTGTAAATATTTTCCAAATTTTAAAGTGTTTCATCTTAGTATTAACTTTTAAGGAAGTTTTTAGGTTATTTGATAGATGATATCATGTGGAGGCCCATTTAAAACAATAGCAGGTAACTATTGAGGCATGAATTTGCTATGGATTTACTGAGTGTGTTCTGCATGCCAGGAATTGATCTAGCTATTCCAGAAACTTCAGTGAACAAGACAGACAAAGGTCGTTGCCATTGTGGATCTTACATTCCAAAACAGGGAGGCAGACAATAAATAGAGCACAATTACTAAGTAGATTATACTGTCTGCTAGAAAATGATGAGAGCTATAGAAAGAAAACCAAGTAAGGCAAGAATAAGCAGAGCAAAGGGAATGGTATTTAGAGGCCTGGAGGCAGCAATTTTCAAGTTTTGCCTTTTGAAGCAAAGGGGGGTCAAAGACCAAGACTATAGCTGGGAGAAGGAGTGAGGGTCAAAAGAACATTTTCTTAAGAAGGCAGAAATATGTGAAAGGGACTCATTTAGACCAGAATGAAAATGTGGTGATTCATCAGACAAAGGGAAGAACAGCTGATCTGTTCCCTTGAGTAGGCAGGAGGAGAAAGTATCTAATACACAACTGAGGAATTGACTTGAGCTAGGAGCAGGACACTTTTTTTAAGGTAACAGAGAATAAATTCCCTATACACAAATCTTTATCAAAAGGATTCTTCATTGACTCAAGGCATTGTACAAGGCACTGAAAGAAATGAACAATTTAGAGAAAAATTTCTGTTTTGGTCAAGCTTGTGGTCTAGTGCACAAAAGTCTTCTTTCTTTTGAAGCAATTAAAGTAGTAGGGAAAAGATACAGAATCTCTTGATGATGTCACTATACTTCCATAATTATGATATATTTTGATATCCTAGTTTCATCACTTGTCATTTGTGCATGAGTATTCTCTCAACCCAATTGGTATTCTTTGAAGAAATGATTTCTATACCTTTCCACAATCCCATTTTCAGCTAGACTTCCCAGGTTCAATGGGTGTCTCCTGTTCGTTTCTGCAAAAATCATCACCCTGTAAAGCTGTTCACATAGCTTGCTAAATAGTATGAAATTGTTGTGTGATTGGCTATGAGATTCTTAGTTTAATTTAGATATAGTTGTATTCATTATATGGCAAAAAACAAGAGAATGTGGCCACTGAGCTCTTAGTTAAGACTGCCACTCTCCTTGGTAATATTATTCTTATTGGAAATATGTGTTTTGATTACACAATCTTGATTTAAAGTTTTTAAAATATAAGTATAAACGGCTATGATTGCCAATAAAATTGACTTCTGTGGGAGGGAGCAGATAGTGGAAACCTGTAGGTGTCAAAAGAATGTAACGGCCCTTGCTTTTCAAACTGTTCTGCATTTATCTATAGTCTTTCTATTTATTTCATTTCCATCACATCCAATAAATCTCCTCTTTCCTCACTGGCAAGTAAGTCTGCCTACTTCATGGGAATTGTAGGGTGTTGCTGTCCATGGTGCCAGACAGGAGGAAGAAAACAAAAACTTGTTACATTTGTTTAACTTGTTTATCTGTTAACCTCTTTATTCTTATTTATTTTATTTCATCAGTAAGAGCATCTCTTCAGTTCTGGCCTATCTAAATGAAAAGCCTTAATTTAAGCGGAACTAAAAATTGACCCAGTCAAATTGCAGATGTCACAGACATTACTGTGCCATTTCCTATGAAGCCTGTCCCCAGTTTAAGAAATCACTCCTAGAGGAAGCTCTTCATGTTATTTCTCTGATGGTTTCCTTTTATCTGTCCTATTCTGTTACCCGCTTTAGTTGCATTTTACCCTACAATATTAATTAACCATGCCAACTAGGGAGGGTTTAGAGTCCCATTCCTCAGCATTTATTTAGAGACTAATTCCATATATTTTCCACTTCCCCTTGTGAATTAAACTCATTATTTAGTTTGGATGCATCTGTCTCAATGATTCCCAGGTTGACTGTACCATTCTGGTAATGGGATGCAGAGAATGAGGCATATCTCTCATCCAAGCCCAGGGAGACTATCGGAAATGGTTTTGAACAACTGCAGAAATGAGCTGCAGTTGGTTTTCAGATTTGCATGAGTTTTATTGGTTCCCATTGATGGTGATTCTCTCTTATAAGTCACCTTGTAAGCCCCAACATGGATTTTGCCATTGGCATAGCAATCTAAAGGAAGGACATACACTAGAAGGAATGTCTTATGGTGACTGACTGAAACCTGGAACCAGACATATTTTTAAGTGTCTTTTTAGGGATCTCATACTAGAGCTACATACACACTTAAGTGTCCATTAAGTGACAGACACAGTGAAAAAAATTAAAGTTTCCCAATAACCATCACCTGGAGGCTTTTTAAAATACAGATTCTTGGGTCCTATTTCAGACTTATGAGTCAAGTCACACATTTGACTTGTGTCTCTAAAGAGTCGTTCTATGATGTTAACCACTTGGATATAAGCCTGAGATTGCACACATATAATAAAGATAATGGCTTCTTTGATTGCATATCTGCTGGAATATGTTCCCAAACCTGATTAGTTATAAGAATCTTCCAAGGGGCTTTAACAATTTCCAAATTTCCAAGCCTTATTTGACTGGCTTAGGCAAAAGCAGTGACAAAGTATTTTTATATTGAAGACTTTCTACAAAGGACTTTGACATTTAGAAAGCGTTTTGTATATTATCTACTTGATTCTCATGGCAATCCATAATTACAATTCTGTTTTACGTGAGAAAACTGAGTATCTGTCATAAAAATTTTCATTTTGGAAATGAACTTATTCTTTTTTCCTTTAGTATTCATGCTTTCTTGTTTCCTCAGGCAGTAGTTTATCATATTCCGTTGATTTTTCTCATATCCATTGTTAGTTGGTTCTTTTACATCTGCATAAATTGTTCTTGTATACTCTGGGAGCCTCTATTACTGCAATATTCAAAGCTATAAAATAACTTTCTGAAAAATATAACTGTGTCTTTGATACTTAAAAGTACAAATGAAAAAACAAGGAAGCATTATAAATTCCCAAGTAGCTTGTTTTGGGAGGGTTTTTCATCATGCATCTTCCTCATGAAGATATTCGTTTGCAGTATGACATGTAGCAGAACTTCGGTCAATCAAGCATTTATGAAACACCTACCCTTTGCATAATTTATCATTTACAAAGTGTTAGTTGAGTGATAATAGTGTTATCCAGCATTTCCTGAGTGCATGATATGTGCCAGGCACTCAGCAGATACTTTATGTAACTCGTCTCCCTCAACCTTCATGATAGCTCTAGGTGGTGGGTACTGTTATCATCCTCATTTAATAGATGAGGAATCGGAGGCCTAGAGAGATTAAGTAACTTGCCCCAAGTTGCATGGTTAGAAGTGGCAGAGCTCAGATTTTAAGGCCAGGAAGTGTGATCTCAGAGCCTGTAGACTTAACCACTCTGTGATATGAATCACATGGAATAAACTCCATGGAATTATGGGACTTTGAGAAAAACTAGTGAACAATTGATATCTTTATTCACAGATGAGGACTGTATCCTGAGAGCATGGAGAATGGTGCCTTTGGTTACATTATCCTCATTTATCAACAGTTGCTTCTTGTTGGGCAGCTTTATCCTTCATCATCCTTTACAGCCTGGGGCACAGAGGTGGGAGAGCAGGGGTCAAGCTGGTGGGCTCTTGAGGCGGATCATACGGCTAAAATAACTCAGCCTGCCTGAATTCCAATTCTGGCTTACCACCTATTAGATGTGTGACTTTGGGCAAGTTCTCAGCCTCTGTGCCTCTGTTTTCTCATAATAATGTGCCAACCATATGCAATTATTGTGAGGAGTATGAGCTACCAGAATTGTGAAACTTAGAACCATGCCTGGATCAAAGTGGCCACTCAGTAGGTGTTAGACTTTGTGATTATTTTGCCAGATCAAAAACTTTCATTGTTACATCATGGACTGAATTGTGTTCTCCTCAGAGTCATTAGCTGAATTCCTAATCCCCAGTACCTCAGAATGTGACTGTTTTGGGACATAGGGCCATTAAGGAGGTGATTAAGGTTAAGTGAGGTCATATATGTGAGCCTTAATCCAGCAGGACTGGTGTCCTCATAAGAAGAGGGAGAGGCAACAGGGACGCACGCACACAGACAAAAAGCCACACGAGGACACAGCAAGAAGGTGGTCATCTGCAAGCCAAGGAGAGAGGCCACGGGGGGAAACTGCACCTACCAACACCTTGATCTTGGACTTTCAGCCTCCAGAACTGTGAGAAAGCCACTTGGTCTGTGGTTTTGTGTTGTGGCAGCCCAAGCAAACTAATACAGACATCATAAATGGCAGTTTCAGAAACATTCTGGCTGTTGATTAGGCCTGGAGTAATGATAGCTAAGGCCCTTCCTTCTCTACCATCAGTGCATCTCTGTGCCTTGACACAGCAGTTGTTTTTCTAGTCCTTGTACGTGCTGTCTGATTTGGTCACGATAGAATGTTATAGATAGAGCTAGCATCTATACCCACAGCAGGAGACACCGAACAGCAAGTCACAGGAGGAGTTGCTACTGGAAGTGGGGCTCCTTTAAAGTCGCCCTTGATTTTTGGGTCAGCTCTCCGTGCTTCTCCCCTACCAGTATATTAAATACTGTGCTCTAGCTATTAAGGTAAAGGCTGAAAAGATTTTAAATAATGCCCATGATGCACCTTATAAGTCAAGTCTCCTCACACACAGAGAGAAAAACAACTGAGTGGTTTTTCAAGGGTCACAAATTCAAGGCAATAAAGCAGATCTTCCAGCTGTATCCAGTCTGCATGCTGTGATGATTTGATGGCGGTTTAACACACTATGGGTTAGCTTTTCCAGAAGATCCGAATGGAGATCTGTATAAACTCAAAAAAGTTAGTTGGCTTAAGGGAAATAAATGGAGAGATTGTACATATGATTATTAGCTAGATTTCTAACTTTGTTTTGTTGAAGCTAGAAAGTATGTGATCATCAGTCTTCAGATCGTAGATATTCCTGGAATTGGTGACAGGGATAGTTGGAAATTGGGCCACGAATCTTGGATAAAACTGTGGAAACTGAGATGTTCTCTTTGACATTTCTCTTCCTTCCATGCACTCCCTGCCTCATCATCCCAGGAATATGACTGCAAATATCCAGTCTTATTTCATCTTTATCTTGTATCTTCTGCATTAATATCTGTGAAAAAAAGAAATAAAAGAAGAGGAATTGTTTTATGAAGTCAGTGCTGGGTTCTTAATGACAGACAGCTCCAATAGTGCACAGAGCTCAAAGCAAGGAAACAGAAATGTAAATTTCAGAGACCCTGGGCGCTTTTACATCTTCCCATTTAACAGCACCTGAACTTTTCATAGGGAGAGCTCTATTTCTTAGTAAGCCAGGAGTGCCTGTAGTGCTCAGTGGCCTAATGTCTTTGATCATAAGTGGATTCAAATATTATGTTATTAGTCATCTGTTAATCAAGGTGCTGATTATGGCCTCATTAAATCTCATCTCCTTGATAATCTAATTTTCTTCTAAGCTTCAAAAATGATCAGCAAGTTTATTATCATTGCTTTCAAGATTGAGTTAACCTGTCTGAACTCTGAGAAATTGAGCCAGTTTTAATTTTGATATGTTACTTCAGCCATTTTCAAGAGAAAAATGTCATCAAAGGCCAAAAATAATAATGTAACTCTGGGAATGTCTATAGGCTTATGATCACAGATGAGATGACAGGACTCACCTTTGTAAAATTGCAACTTTATGAAGTTATGTCTCCTAAGATCCACCTTTCATGCAGATGTTAGTACTGCTGGCTTTCCACCTGAGCCCTTTTCAAAATGTCAGCTTACAGTTTCTGAGTTGGAGAGGCAACTTAATGAAAAATTTTTCCATACCGTGTGTGATATTTTCTTCCTCTTGTCTTTCTTTTTCTTTTTATAACAAAAGTTACTTATAAACATAAGTTAGTGCTACACTGACCATATATTAACAAGCCAATTCAACAGGCCATTGCCTATTTAACAGGTATTAAACTCCTATTGCTTTGAGATATTTTCCAGACCTGCTTAACCTTAATAATAAAATCCACAGGGTTTGTTTTTTCTTGTGCATTTGGGGCCATAGTGATGCACACCCCTGCCCCGGGGTGTCATGCACATGGTAGTAGGTAGTACATGGGAATGGTGCCCCTAAATTGTGCAGTGGTTGCTGCTGCCCTAAGTTTAGTTCCTTAGAAATCATTAATTCATTCTATGAATTTTGTCCACAACTAAATTAAATTAATGCCTCAACTATGGCTCCTTTCTTCTGGGCAGAAATAACTGAGTTAAAGGTAAACTAACAAAATTATACCTTTTTAAAGACTCTTGAAGTCTTGGCATATGTATTTACTAATATTAATATATTGCAGCGCTTCAGAATTTAGTGTATCTAAACAAAAAACAGCTTGACTCAATAATTTCCCACACCCGTTGCACCTTCATGCAGTTGGATCTTCTCTAAGAAGGAGTATTACTAGGCAATTCAGACAACTTAATTATAATAGACTCCCCTGCCCTCCTGTTGCCATGATCCCTGTGACCAGGACATAGAACAATAATTTCCTGATGTCTTGTAGAAAATGATATAAAGAAACAAGAAGGGAAAATACAGGCATATAATCTCAAGGGTGTAGAACTTTGTTTTCTGCACACACATGTGCAATACATAATTCACGGCTGAATTACTAAAATGATACTTTACAAAGGGATTTGGAATCAGCTTCAAATTCAGTGAAATCTGAGCAATGTTATAAGAATTTGTTTAATTTCAAACATCTGCTATTCCTGCAGAATAACAATCTTAAGGAAATTTTATTGTGCAATAAGTTTTGTACAGGAGAAACTACTTTATGGCATATTGTAGGTGGAGGATTTTTCTCCAGAGCTTTTTACCTTTTTGATTAAGGTAGAATTTTAGATGAAATTCAGTGTGGCTATTACTGAGTGATTCATGAAACCGAAATACTCATGGGGAAAATTAAGAATTTTAATAATTGGAAAAGAAGAAAGTCATTTAAATCAGCCTTTAGTTTATCTGCTTAATTTGAACTCATTTATTAAGCAATTATTGTACAATTTTGAACTTTGTTCCACTCTTATATAAAAAATCTCTTCTAGATTTCTTATTTCATTTAAAAAAAAACTCTGCAGTGTTTCCCTTCGACAAGATGAATCCAGTATATGGATTGGAGCCTGAATTATTTCACTTTATTTCTACTGAAGGAAAAGGCAATTAGTTAATTGTGGGGTTAATTTCACATAACTTTGTTCCTTGAACATTTGAGAAAAGAATGCCCTTCCCTGCTACTTTTTTGCTATTTCTGGATATTCTGAGCAATCCTGGTGACTCATAACCATCCCTTTTCATGGCCGGCTCTGTATAACTGAGGGAACACATCCTTCTGGGTGAGAAGTGAGCCTTGCTTAACTCGGTGTCCCTCACACATTTCCATGGAAGGACCATGACTGGTACAGCAGAATCCTAAAGCAGACAGCTGAAAGCAGCAGAAATCTGTGAAGTTCTGTGTTTCATCCCCATGCTATTTTTTTATCCGACTTCTTAAGAGGTGGCTTAGTGGTTGTAAAATAATGGTTTCTCTTCCATTTCTTTCCCTTCACCTCAATAAATTGATGTTCCAGACAGATCTTTTAGCTTTGTTTTGTGGATGTATGTGCCCTAGACAAACCACTAAATGCCCCCAGATTCTACAATTATCTAGTTTGAGAAATGTGGCCTTAATGGATTCAAGCCCTCCTAATTGTACCTTTTAGGGCTTTTAGGCTTTAGATTGGTTTGGGTCTATATTTGTCCAGGTAAATTTCAGATATTATTCTCTCTTAAATTATCTGAAATCTGATGGGACAAATGATTCTGGAGCTTGCTTCTCTCTCAGTTCCATTCTATCTCTTTCCGTTGCTTGACCACCACTTGGGCTTCCATTTGTGAACCGTTCAGTTTGTCCTTCATCTTTCCAGTTTGATTTTTCTGAAATGTTTCTGTAAATGCTTTTATTTCTTTTCTGTTCACTAATTCTATTGGGCTTTTTATTGTTGTGGTTAGATTTCAGCCTCTCTCCACATTTCAGCATTTCCTCTGTTGATGGTGAATCATTTTACTGGGCAGTTTGGGCTAGGTTATGCCATGGTAGCAACATCTCAGTGGCTTTCAACAACAGAGGTTAGTTTCTCACTCATGAAAATGCAGGTGGTGGCTGTGCTCTGTGGTCCCTTCACTCTGGGATCCAGATTGAAGAAACAAATTCTGTATGGGGAGAGGAAAGAAATGGCAGGAGCATGTGATGGCTTTTATAGCTTCAGCTTGAAAGTAGCACATGTTACTTCCACTTAAGTTTCATTGTCTACAGTCCTACAGCCAAGCCTGATGTCGCTGAGGCAGGAAGTATGATCTTTCTCCAATGACAGATCTGGTAGGGAGTTGCAGCATAGATTGACAATAAAATCTACCAAAGCCATATTTTTTCCACTATTTATGTACTCAGAATGTGACACAATGCTCTCATATAATGGATATTTAGTAGGGGAAAGACCCACTTCTTTTGTTGCAATATGCTTTTCTTGGTGGTATTGAGAACTTCATCCTGACTTCTCTGGGTCCTCTTCATCGACTGCTTTTACTCAAGTGTTTATCATCAGCATTTTCTCTTTATTCTCCTCTTCCTCTCTCTGGAAATAGTTTTCTACTACACTTTGCTGTTTGGAACCCCACCATGATTTGCTTTATTTTCTCTAGCTGATGGAAGTTTGCCATCACACAAACTTTCTGCATGTTTCAACAAGGGAATAGAAACCTTGAGTTTTGATTTAAAACCATGTTGAGACACTAGAAAGGGAGTCAATTGTTTAGCACTTTGATTTCTGCTTTGCCATTCTGAATAGAACCATTCTGTTTGAAGTTCATACGTGCCAGCAAATGGACTCATCCTAAGCTTTTGTCTGGTAGTAACCGGGTTTATAGAGCTGCAAAAATAACCTGAGCTTAACTCAAATACAGAATACCTCACCTGAGTGTTACATAGATTTCAAGGAAATAATGCCACTATACCTGCACAATGCAAGTGTTATATGGAAAATATCCTAATTCAGAATCCCTTTTGCCGTCAAGCATAGTCTTAATTATTTCTTGTCAGTTTATTTGTATTAATCATTATCTTTAAATGTGATGGACATTTTGTTTTTGTACTTCAACACTTTGAATGGCTGTTGCAATGCTAAATGTAATATGCCTTGCAGTGCAATTGTTTTGTTTTTTGCTTATATATTTTAGCTCCCCCACTAGATTATAATGAGGAAAGAGGGTCCCCCCACCACCACTCTTTTGGGCAAATACTAACAATGTTTGTTAAATTGAACATGGCTATTGAAGTTGCTGTCCTATTATTGAGCTCAAGGTGGAGTCCTGTATGCTAGCTCTCTGCAATTTTGTTAAATGACTATGCAATTAAAATGCATGCATGTTTTAAATCGACTTTCAGTTGTAGAGTCATAGCAGCTACTGTTGGTGCTCAGACATATGCCCCTAGTACCTTTTTCTGAGCCCACAAGACTGACGTGCCAGCATTGGCAACTCTTTGCCTGAGGGCTTCTCTGGTTTCTGGAGCCCTCTCTGCTTCTATATAGATATATTGGGGAATTAATGTCCCCTAGGAGCAGCTCTAGAAACATAGCTGACAGGAGATATTGGATAAACGCCTCAGCTTCCTCGCCTTTCAGTTAGGGTATCTATAGGGTGTTTCATTGACACTGTCTTCCAGAGTTCCCGAGTGGAACTGAGGTCCAGTTGCCCACAGTGGTAACTTGCTTGATAACGCTGTCTGTATCAGCTATCTTCCCTTCTCTGCCTCACTTCTCTACTCTCCTATTGGCATTTCTTTGACTAACTCCAAATTAAACTATTTGCAGTCTCATCCTAGTTTCAGAGAGTCTCGGAGTTTCTAAAAAAGTATCCAAACCAAAACAGGCATTCATATGTCAACATTTACAATTTAACAGTTTCTCTATTTCAATGCAGTCCAATAAAAATATAATGCAAACTACATAGTTTAGAATTTTCTAGTGGCTACATCCTTAAAGTGAAAAGAAAGAGATGAAATTTTAATAATGTAGTTTAACTCAATATACCCAAAATATTATTGTTTTAACATGTAATCTATATAAAATTAATGAGGTTTTTCTGGTACTCAGTCTCTAAAATATGTTGTATAAAATACAGTTACACTGTAAATGGAAAATACCCTTACAGTACATCTCAATTGCAAGTACTCAACAGCCATATGTGGCTTGTGGCTACCATGTTAGATAATGGTGATCACTTCCCTGCTATTATAACCCATGTGTCAAAATCTAGAAATTTGATAGCTCTTGAATTAGAAGATGTGTAATGAATTGTATTATCTATTAGCAAAATCTTGCCTTCTCCTTTTGCTCTTTGAAGTGGAACAAAATTTCTATAAATATCTAGACTGATGGACATTATTGCCTTGTTTAGTCTGTGTCCACATATTTATGTTTTTTTCCAAGAATGAGCTTCTGGCAATAGTAACTTTGAGACTTAGCACTTCTTACATGTTTTCATGCAGAATATAGACTAGATATTTAGCATCTGTGCTTGTGTTTTTTAGGCAGAGGGTACCAGACTTCAGCGAGAACTCCGAGGATATTTAGCAGCAATCAAAGGTAATGTGTATGAGTTGTTTACTGCATGTTACTTAGCACAGGTTGTTCTTGGAATTCATGAGTGACAGGATTGAGTGTTAATTACAAAGCCATTTGGCTTCCTGGCAAGATGGATGCTTGAACACAGGTGTTCCATTCCACCACCCACCCCCCCGCCCCAAATTCCCATTGAAATGATAATCAGAATATATAAGGAAAAAATATGTGTGCCCTTATGCTGGAAACTAGAAATAAATGCCACCCACATGCCAGAGATTTCCAGGAAAATTTCTTAGAGTGAGCTTGAGACCTTGTTTAAGAAAAGCTGCAGCCGGCTTACCTCCTGAGGGAGACCACATGCCAAGAGTGGAGCACTCACAGACACGCACCTAAGCCCTCTCACTGGAAGGGGCAAGACATGGTGGCAAAGGTAGGTGGAAGATGATCAGCAAACATGGCCCTGGACTGGCTTTGACTTGTGTGGATTAGCAGCGCTTGCATCCCTACCGACGTGCAATGCACAGGCATGGAGAGGCCCTAGCATGAGTTTCTGGACTCAGCCATGTAAGGCAAGGAAATGAGGCCACTGGAGGAGGGAGAAGAGAGCAATAGGGAGGTGGCTCAGCCTGTGCCTGCTATCCATCATCACGCTGCCTGCCCTGAGTCACAGCCAAGTGTGCCCACGGATATGATGTATCATAAGGCAGATTTTGTGGGGAAAGAATGGATCATCTGACAAGGGGTATTGGGAAAACTGGCCAAACACTTAGAAAACAGAGTGAAATTCTCAACCTCACGCTTTACTCCCTCCTTCCTAATTCCAGATATAGTAAAGATGTAAATATGTTGTTGTACTGGACTCTATTAACTTCAGTAGGGATGGCACCAGGTTCAAGGGGCCGAAGAAGGGACCCAGAGTCAGCAAACAAGACACAGGGTTTTATTAGTGGGAAACTTACATACAGAGTGGGCCCAGTCATGGCAGGGCTGGGCAGGAGTATTGCACAGCCAAGTGGTGGCAGGCTGGGCAGGAGAACTACATCCGTTTGCAAAAAGCAATGCAGTTTCTGTAACATTTTTGCTTAGCATCCTCTACCTAACAACCTCCACCTGGCAACCTTCGTTTAACCCAAAACACATGGCCTCAATCCCCTGTATGACTCACCTTCAATGGGACAGGCTCAGGGCTCAGGTGTTCCTTGTAGACAAGGAATTAATCTCTCGGTTGGCCACTCCCAGATTCCTTAGCTCAGAACTCTGAGCACATATTCAGGTGCATCTACCATACAGGGTGATTCTCAGGGGATGCCTAAGTTATCACTGTCAGGTGTGTCTGCTATGCATCGCTGTGCAAAGAAATGTGCTAAAGTACTAGAATAAAATACAGTAAATTTAGTCTCTAGGCTGTAGAGAAGGTCTTTATAAGGGTTACTTGCAAGGCAGAAACCCATAAATCTCTCCATAAAGATGAAGAGATTTGATGTCGTAAGTATGTAAAACTTAATATGTTTTTTAAAAACACCATTTTGACAACATAGTGAAAGTAAATCAAGATATAAAGAGCTCAGTGAGTAAACTAAATGAAGGTCAGTTGGTTAAATTAAAAATGGGCAGAAAACTCTAAGGGAAAATTAGCCAAAGTAGAACTATAGATGGATGATAAACGCAAAAAAGCCTTATCCTCATGAATAATCAAATAATATTAAGTAGCATTGAAAAGAAGATTTTATCATTTTTCCTCCAAATGTTCAAACACATTACAAATAAAATACTGTCATATTTAGAATTGGTAAAGCTCTGGGAAGTGGACTCCATTCATGTATTGCTGGGAGGATAGCTTTTCTGGAGAGCATTTGGTAAAATCTTTTATTTATTTATTTATTTATTTATTTATTTATTTATTTGGTATGCTTTTTAACATACCAGTTTCATTCTAAGAATTTATTCTCACAGTTTTAATGTGGATGTATAGAACTGAATATAAACATGTTATTAAATAATGAAATAATAAAAATATCAATAATTTAAAAATGGCCAAAATAATAAAAATTAGCAAAATTGATTTTTAAACTAAAAGATATTTATGAATTTTATAGTCCAGGCATATCATTTTAATTCTCATGGCAGCTCTATAAGGCAGGTAGTTTTATTATCTTCATTTTATAGATAAGAAAGTGAGTTACAGCCAGGCACAGTGGCTCACACCACCTTTAATCCGAGCACTTTGGGAGGCTGAGGCGAGTGGATCACTTTAGGCCAGGAGTTCAAGATGAGCCTGGGCAACATGGCAAAACCCTACTGAAAATACAAAAATTAGTCAGGTGTGGTGGCGCATGCCTGTAGTCCCAGCTACTCAGGAGGCTTAGGCAGGAGAATTGCTTGAACCCGGGAGGTGAAGGTTGCAGTGAGTGGAGATCATGCCACTGCACTCCAGCCTGGGTGAAAGAGTGAGACCCTGTTCAAAAAAAGGAAAAGAAAAAGTGATTTTTTAAAATAGAGTTTAAATAGCTCATCCAAGGTTGCATGCCAAGGAAACAACAGGGCCAGATTGCATATTTCGTTCTGTGTTTCTCCAGAGCCCTGGTTTTATCTACTGTCTTTTACTGCCTTTGAACTACGTGACCAATGGTAAGGCATTGGTTTCACAAGTCAGAGTTCATCTATACAATGGAATAATGGCAACCTACTACTATTACTTTTTCATGAGCACTTACTATGTGTTAGAGTCTGTGCTAAGCATTTTAGGCATATTACCTGTTTCTAACTTCCCAACATAGCCATATTATCAATGTCATTAACTTGATTTTACATTTGCAAAGAAGTAAGTCTCAGAGAATTTAACTTCCACAGTTTGATGGAGCTCATCATTAATTACTCCCAAATCAACCTTAAGTATTTGTAACAGTTCAGTCAGAAAATAGAAGCCACTCTAGGTATTTCTTTTATTATTGATTTAGGATTTGAACACGGAAGTCATTTCAAGCACAGGACTTTTTCTGGGTTAGTTGATTTTTTTGAAAATGTGGATAAGTTTGTTGAATGAAAGAGTGAGTTCTCTTTCCCAAGTCTATTTGATTTGGTCTATGCTGCCTCTTTGGTGTGGAGCGTGCTGCTTATAGAGACTGGCATAATTCTTTTCCTTAATGTGATCTAGAAGAATTCCCTGAGGATGAGGCTTGAGCTCCAGAGAAAAGCTGGGTGAAGCATCAGATAAGCCTTTCTGGCAGACGGCACCTGCACTCCAGGGCTAGTGGCCACAGCTCCATATGACGGAGAAAGGAATTCTATCAGCTTTTCCCCATCTTGGGTTTGCTGATTGACTATGTTAACAAGCGATGCTCCAAAAAAGAGATCTCTGCTTAAATTACTTTGTCCACAGCTGATTGGAATGAATTTTTAAACAGGCTACTACTGAGTTTCTCAGAGCCCTTAATATGCTAAAGTCAACTCAGAAGTCCTGTGGGACAGGCAGGAATTCCAAGTTATTTGACTGCAGGACCCTTCTCTCTTCTCAAAGCCTCGTGAAGAATGAATATTGTTCCTGGGAACACATTTTGGGTTTTGGGACCAAACTTGAAAACAAGGTATATGCCTGTGTTAGTCCGTTCTCACGCTGCTAATAAAGTCATGCCCCCAGACTGGGTAATTTATAAAGAAAAAGAGGGTTAATGGACTCACAGTTCCACATGGCTGCAGAGGCCTCACAATCATGGCAAAGGCAAAGGAGGAGCAAAGGCATGTCTTGCGTGGCAGCAGGCAAGGGAGAGTATGTACAGGGGAACTCCCCTTTATCAAACCATCAGATCTCATGAGACTTATTCACTATCACGAGAACAGCACGGGAGAAACCCGCCCGCATGATCAGTTACTTCCCACCAGGTCCCTCCCACAACACATGGAGATTATTACAGTTCAAGATGGGATTTGGGTAAGGAAACAGAGCCAAACCATATCAATGCCTTAAGTAGATCATAATTTACATTTTCAAAGGCTTTCATGGGCAATTTTTCTTGTTTTCCCAAGGACAACTCTGGCTCACTAATCCTGCTATAACACAGGTAGCATCAGGGCAGCATAGGAGAAAGTGATATTTGGCCCTGGAGGGTCATGGGTCCTGGGGCAATTGTGGGAAAATCATTGAGCCTCTTAGTTGCTTTGGGTTCCTCATCTATTAAATGTTTCAGTTCTCTCAGAAGCCCCTAAAGGCCCCAAAACTGGGATTCTGTGAAGTTGGGTTAAATGAATTCTAATCATTTTATTGTGACTGATCTCTGGGTGGCTTCCCCTCTATGGGTCTTTATGATTTCTGCTGATGCTTAGGCTTTGTGAGGCAGATCTTATGCTTGCATTCATTTTAGCAGCAAACATCTCTGGAGCTCCATTTGTGCACCTGACACTGTTCTAGGAGAGGGAGATGCAGAGATGAACAAGACATAGTGCCTGCTTGCAAGGAGCTCACAGCAGAGTGAGAAGACACTTAAATAAAAAGGCCAGATAGGCATAGTAATATGTATTTTAATAGATACGTGCATTGAGTGCCATCATAACAGAGGACAGATTCACACCTTAGGAGAGGCAAGAGACTGGGGCAGGAATGGTTGTTCCAAGGAACTTACACTTGAATGAACCCAAGAAGTGGGGTCATAGGTGGCCATCAAGTCATTAGGTTTTCTAGAGAAAGATAGATTTCAGAGGGACATTGCAGGTGGAAGAAACAACTGGGCCAGGAAGCAGAAGGAAGCACGGGTTCTTGAGGGAACAAACAGAGCAGTGAGATGCAAGCAGAAAACTGAGCTGGATGAAACATGGAAAGGCAGCAGCATTTATATAAAGAAGTGCTTCATGTATCATATCATATGGGGATTTTATTCTATCAATAGACAGGAGAGTCATTGTTAGAGTTATTGTAGACAAGGGAAAACGTCCCATGATCAGATTAGCATTTTAGAAAAATAGTTATTGTGATTGTGTGGAATTCAGGCTAGAAGAAGTGAAATTGCATGGAGATTTAGTAGAAGTTTAGTCCAATAGTTCAATAATACTATTAGCTAACATTTATTGAGCACTTATATGCTAGGCACTGAGATAAGCATTGACATGTCTCAGTTTATGTAATTTTCCCTACAACCTTGTGGCAGGTTTATTTATTAGTATTTTACCTCTTGGAAAACTGAGGTTATAGATGATTAATAATTTGCCTAAAATCACATGAATCACATGTAATGGAACCAAGCTTTTAACAAAGGCTGATTAATTGCAAATAATAGTCTTAATTATTTTGTTATGTTGCCTCCAAAAATATTTTGTATTGTGATGGCTGACAGTTGGACATTTGCTTGTGCCAACTACTTTGCTAAATCGTGTTATGTGGATTAGGTTATCTAATCTAAATCGTAGGTGATGAGTATCTAATCCAGGGAAGGGCAGTGGGCAGGGAAGGAAGGGGCTAGATTTAAGAATCAGGTGGAATTGGTGACTCAGCTTTGGGAGGATGAATCTGGGATAACTTCTAGTTTTTGAACTGGGGCAACTGGATGGCATTCATGAGAACTGAGAAAAGGAGTTGAAGCAGGTTTGGACAAGAAAATTAAGAGTTTGTTTTTGACATGTGAAGTTTGAGGTATTAGTAAGACATCCAAGTGGAGATGTCCAGTAGGAATTTAGAATTGGGAGTCACTGGCATGCAGGTGCAGCAGAGGCCAGACACAGGGATGATGAACATGCCAGATCTTTCTCTAAATGGAGCACAGTGCACGTGGTGTCATTAATAGTTCTTCATTTATGTGTCTTATGTGTAGGCATGACTAAGGGGTAGGGTTGACTATTCTTGAGCTACCTCACCAACTGCCTATTTTATTCCAACTCTTGTTCCCATCCTTGCTCTCCTTAAGAATCTAAGAAAAAGATGCCCACTCTTGCTTTCCTTTGAGGCAGCTGCTGTCTTTTTACACAGCTCTCGTCTAAGCAATGGGACAAAGCTGCTAGATACTTGCAGTATTTTAGACGTTCTTTTAATGGTTTATCGCTGCTGCTTGTTATCATCGTAATTTATTTTAACTGATGTTATTTTTAACTAAAACACATACTCTCAGGCTATTTAAGCAAGGAGTACTTATAAAGTAGTGCAATCTATGCAACAAGTCTTAAAGGATGAAAATAGAAGCTCACAAATTTGGCTGCAAATGGGAATAGACAATGTTATATGAAATGTCTTGGAGAAGGTCCAAAATTTTGAAAAGAGTGAAGTGGTTCCCATCCAGTAGTAAAATAATAATAATTCTTCTGTATATGATGCTGGGCATTTGTCTTACAGTTTTAGAAATCACTAATCTTTTAAGAAAATTTTGGATATTGTATATTATTCAATCTCGGAGGTAGCATTTAGCACCTTTTCTGCTTTGATGTTCCAAATTACTCTGAAGAGAACTTGTATTTTAGCTTTTTTCGCCCATCATACTCTGTCAGAAGAGTAATCCCTAAATCCCTAAAAGCTCTGCCAGTCTGGAGCTAGGCTTGAAGCCTTTCACCTGTGTATCCATCAAAGTGCATCCTATGGAGTAGATGTTCTCAAAACAATTTCCATGTCAAAATGGCTTCTGTCCAAATGATCCATCACCACTTATCCACCCTGTAATTAGTAGTTCTTTTGGCTGCTAATAGACATATTTACTGCAACATCATGCTTTTAGTCTTGATGATTAAAATCTTATATAATTTTATTTTAAGGTTATATTCATGATTTTATTTTTCATCACAAAGATTATTTGGTCTACAGTGCCAAATTTCTTTTTCTTCTCTTAAGACATTGTTAAAAACCTATCTACACAGTTGTGTATAGTTTCCATCAGACTTAAGACAAAGATTTAAAGAAAATGCCAGAAGTTTTTTGGCATCTGGATTATAGAAGGGGGTCCACTAGTGACTAACGCTTGTTATGAATTTGAGGGGTATATTTCTTGATAGAGATTTGCTTGTACTTGGGTGAGGGTGAATTTGGACACTTGGCATAATGTAGCTTCCACCTCAGTGTTGACCATATCATGAGAGAACGCATCCCCCCTTGCTTGGATTCAGAGTGCGATGGGTTGGATTCAGGTTTTGTCTCCTATTTGCTGTCCCTTCACCTGCACGACTCTGTTTCATCAGAGTCCCCAGAGTCTTGAGTCATACTGTTTTTTTCCTACCCCAGACTCTGCAAGGGCTTCGTCCGATGGTGGTCAAGTCTCTTCAGCTCATGTAGGCAGGACACCTCATTGTCAAGGGCTTCGTGGAATGTGCCCAGCGATGCTCTGAGGGAAGGGAGATGTTGGCTGTGTCTAAAGAGAGCACAAGTGCTATGAAACACCAAGTTACATGTGGACTTTTATACATACTCCTCAAGGATGTACTTCTGTCATTTCAGACATCTTTTAGTTTGTCCTTTTCTCTCACAGTTGAACCCAGAATTAGCTACCTCCAATCCAGCAAGAATGTTGAGTTTTCAGTTTAACAAATGATTTTTATCTTAGGATTCACTGACCTTAAGTTTACAGGATGTGTTTTTTATTTCTCATGACAGTGCTCTGATTTTCCTCTCCTCTCCCTGTTTCCAGCCCCCTTTTATCCCCCGTAGTGACAAAGGCCAAGACATCAATGTGGCCAGGTCCCACCTTCCGGCTGTCGGGGAGAGTCTTCTGCCGGAGGCGCATCTCCAAGTCCCCAGCTCTTCCTGGCCCCTTGTTTTGCTCTCAGCCATGAGCTGTCTTCGTGGCTTTTCAGTACATTCATTAACCTTTGTGCAGGGGGTCCTTGGGAGAGACTAAAAGGACTGGGTGATACTTTATGTCACCATGTTGTGCTCAGAAGCATATATCTTTAATGCTATTCTTTAATGTTGCAAACCATAGTTTTGCAACATATCAAATGTATCCCTAATGAAAATTCAGACCCAAAGGCTTAGGAACCCTAAAATTTCTAAGAGTTTTGATTTAAAACTTCATTCATAGTTTTAAATAATACAGCAGATCTTCAAATAGCATTGTTTCATTCAACATCATTTTGTTACAATAATGATGAGAAAAAAAAAAAAAATCTCAGCCAGGGCCACTGTCCGTATGGAATTTGTACACTGAGTTTTCTCTCGGTACTTTGACTTCCTCCCACGTCCCAAAGATATACAGGTGAAGTTTACTGGCATGTCAGTGAGTGTGGGTTTGTAAGTGCACCCTGCGATGATATGCATCTTGTCCAGGGCTGGTTCCCATCTTGTGCTCTGAGCCTCTAGGAGAGGATCTGGTCACCCATGACCCTAAACTGGAGTAAGTAAGTAAATAATTATCTTACTTGTTTTTATTAATCTTCCTTAAATGTGTGTACTGCTCTCATTTATTTCAATGTTCAATATTAGAAGTGTTTTGACATTTAGTTAGAAGTTTTGTGATGTGTCTGTGACGAAAAATATGTCCTGGTAACTTAACTCTTATTTATATGAATTAGCCTTGGGTAAAATTGGTTTCATTATTCATCGTATCAATTAAAGTCACACTTTGCAAGAACCTATAGATGACATTAAGTAAGGACTTACTATACTGGAAAATGACAAACTTTTTTTCTTTGTTCTTTGTAAAAATTTTAGGCCACTTAAAACTTAACCATTTAACCACTTTAACCGTGTTTACCATTTTAGGCCACTTAACCACTTTTGACTGTTATGCCCTATAATCCTATTGATTTTTACTTCTAGTCCCTTCTAAAAATGCTTTATGCCATGTATTTAAATTCATTTAGGACTAATTTTAGTTTGAGAACTCTGCAGTTTTATGGACCAGTGTTCTTAGCATCTGATACCACTTGGCAAGTGATAGCACACGTAATAGGACACACTATGATTATTGTAGTTTTCAGAGTAGGATACTTGTTGATCTTTCCCGAGACCCCATATCTATCATTATCAAGTGAATAATAGAAAATGTGCAATGTGATAAGTCTTAGAGACCCTCAAAGAAAGATACAACAGCAGATACAAGCAGCAGTTGTGCCTTTATAGTTTTTCCTTAAATGTTTAGCAAGTACAATATTTTTCTCTCACTTAAGAAAGTGGAGGAAGGGAGAAGAGAATCCTCACTCATTTCTGTGTAACGGGAGTTGTTTCTCTCCAACACTAGGCATGCAGGAGGCCTCCATGAAGCTCACAGAGTCGCTGCATGAAGTCTATGAGCCTGACTGGTATGGGCGGGAAGATGTGAAAATGGTTGGTGAGGTAAGAGCTGGGGTGGCTTCCATGAGGCTCCCACGACCCTTGCTCAGTCCACCTGTCCCCTGACTTGCTCTTTCCACTTCACAGTCTTAATCATGAGGCAAGACAGTGTGCTCAGAAGGCACTGTGCAGTTCTGCTGCCTGATGATTCCAAACTTAGAGTGAAAAGTGAAGATGGGCCAGGTGCGGTGGCTCATGCCTGTAATCCCAACACTTTGGGAGGACGAGGCGGGTGAATTGCCTGAGGTCAGGAGTTCAAGATCAGCCTGGCCAAAATAGTGAAACCTCGTCTCCACTAAAAATACAAAAAAATTAGCCGGGCATGGTGGCACACGCCTGTAATCTCAGCTACTCAGGAAGCTGAGGCAGGAGAATTGCTTGGACCCAGGAGGTGGAGGTTGCAGTGAGCCAAGATCGCACCACTGTACTCCAGCCTGGGCAACAGAGCAAGACTCCATCTCGAAGAAAATAAAAGAAAAGTGAAGATGATCATAAAACCACTTGGGTAGAGAGCAGTGTTTTAAGATTCCTTTTTGCAAAATAACAATATCATTTTTCTGTCCTCACTACAAGCCTTAACAGCCCATTTCTAGCAGACATGGATCATGGTGTGATTTGTGTTGTCCCAACTTCACCCGTTCATCTCAATCCCCCTATTGACTATGCCTCCCCAAATGCAGGGACAGGAGTTCAGAAGAGCATCCATTCCACTTTAATACCAGCTAGTCCGTTCACAAATCTTCACTTCACGAAGACAAGCACAAAGTCAGACTGTGAAAAGGAATTTGACTTCAGGAAGGCTTTGGCCCTAGACATGTCTTAACACTTGAAATCAGGCTTCTGGCTGACAGGAGTGAGCAAGTGGGTTTTGTTCTCTGGAAAGCAGAATGGACCAGAGACTGAGTAGCGCTGTGTGACGTTGGACCAGTTCTTTGATCTTCTTAGGCTTTAGTTTCCTCATCTACAAAATAAAAAAAAAATGTATCTACTAATAAGACACTTATTGCCTTTGTGTGGATGTCCTCTACCTACTCAGTGTTTGGTACATATTATGATTACTGATGTGAGACAACTGCCAGTCACAGATTGTCTCACATCCAAGTTCTTTGTTAAAACGAAGAGCAGTTGTTTGTCATGTCCTCTACTCCAGGTGAGTTATTGCAGCTCATTTAGGCACAGACGACCTAAATTTGATGTGGCAGCCAGAGCTCAGGGGAAGGTCTGATAGGTGATGCACTGAATGTCTGTGCAGCCTTGGAAAACCTGCGTTAACAGTGGAGTCCTAGGCTGCTCCATGGATATTCTGACACCCTGACATTGAGCTTCATAATCTTCTTATAACTGAGATGCTAACAGAGATTTATTTATGAGGAAAGCATTTGTTGGCTCCTTTACATCTTTCAAAAACTTTCAGGATGTAGATTTGGCCAAAGCAGACCGCACACATTACTTTCAGATGCAATTATTAAGTAATTGCATCTTCTCACATTTCTTCAATTAAAACACAGTATTTCAACATCATGTTGCTAAATACTTTGTAAATTTCTAATTAGTGGTATAACTAAAAATTCATCACAAAAAAATAATTTTTAAGGAAATAATAGAAACTTGTGTTAATAACTTTTCAGAACACCATGTTACCTTCTATGTGTGGCAAAGGTCACTATTGCCATTTCTTTTTTAAAGGAAATGACTGTTATCCTACCTTGGTTCTTGCAGCTGCCCGGTTTTTTGGAATCCTCAGTTGCACATGCAAACATAGGCTCTTGTGATGATGAAGAAACTGAATACTGCATGTTCAGAGGGTCTACTCACGTCAGCAGTTGAGCCTTTCTAAACAGTGGATTTAAATGTTTTGGTTTGCATGAAATTCTTGAATTGAGATTTGTAAAAATTAGGACTACTTTTCAAAGTGTGAGAAAGAAACAAAAGCAAATTTTAAAAGTGTGTGTGTGTGTTTTAACAAGATGAAAACTTATGTGTCACATAGAGGAATTTAAAGGTCGGCAGTCCAGGTGTTGCATATTGGCCCCACAAGTATGAGGGGCCCAAGTTTGCCATTTTTAGCATGCCTTCACGGGCAAGGTGACTCTCTGAGCACTGGCCATCAGCTCTCATTTCTGCATGCCAGTTAGCAAGGAGGATGAAGTCTGGAAGACAGCCCACTCCTTCCCTCTTTTTCAGGACACTTCCTGAAAGTACATCCCATTGTCTAGAACACAGCCACATGACCACACCTGGTTGCAAAGGAGTCTGGGAAGTGGAGTCTTTATCCTAGGTGGCCAAGGGCCGAGCTAAAATGGGAGGTTCAGTTAGTAGGAAGGAAGAAAGGGTAGAGATTGGTGACAAATAGCAGACTGTGTCAAGAGACCTGGAATGTGCTAGTGAGAGAAATGTGAAGATGACATTCTTGAGTACCTGCTATTTGCCTGAAATTCTGTGAAGCACTTTACATTGCCAACTCATATAACTGGGGGAATTGAAATTCAGGGAGGTCTAGTTCCCCAAAGTCACACAGCTGGGATAAAAAGTCCTCTGGTGAGGCAGCCTGGTGTGATAGTCATTTCCTGACTTTCATATCATGGCTTTGAGTTCAAGGAGACAAATCTGAGTTGAAGCCTGTGTCTGTCATTTATCAACTTTATAACCTTGGCCAAGTTATGTGACATCTCTGGGCTTCAGTGTCCTCTTCTGTATTGTGGAAATAACAAAGTCTTTTCTCATAAAACAATTTTTGAGAATGCCTTAACATAGTGACAGTAGGAATACTAGTTGTAATAATAGTAATACCTAATATTCATTGTACGTTTAACATAATTGATACTCCATAAATGGTAAGACCTTTCCCAATATGACTGTAACTTTTCTGTTTTCCCTGGGGAGGCTTCAGAAATGATTTGTTGTTTGTTTCAGTGGTGGATTTTTTTCTGATTTCATGGAGTGCGTCAAAAGCAAACTGTCTTAGTGGAATTATTCTCAGTCTCTTAGCCCCAAAGTCCATCTATAGGGTTATGGGGATCTTTTGAAGTTTCTGCATTCTTTAGTAATTTAGAATCAGAAATACAGTTTTAATGAGCTGAGCTCTGAGCTAGCCTGTTTTGTTAACTAGAACCAGTGGCCAAATTGCCTTAAAATTTTATTGCATTATTAAATGATTCTCATTTTTCCCCTAGCATCTCATATCTGGGAAAGTATTACTTGTCTAATTTTATAGTTTCAGATTTTTTTAGAAGTTTGGTGAAAGGTATCCAATTAAAATAATTCAGCAGTGGTCTCTTTATTTCTTTTAGAAATGTGATGTGCTGTGGGAAGACTTCCATCAAAAACTCGTGGATGGGTCCTTGCTAACACTGGATACCTACCTGGGGCAATTTCCTGACATAAAGGTATTTTACTCTGTGTCTATAAAGGGAAGGATTGAGTGGGGTCATGTAGTTATTGAAACATGGGCAAGAGAAGAATTATTACAAGTCCTCAAACTGACATCAAAGATAGTTGGTAACTTTTCATTTATTTAAGCGTGGGATTTTTATGTTGTTCCTATCAGTTTGAAAAGAAACGTCATTACAGAAATCACATTTCGCTTTTAGTGAACTGCTTCAGCTTTTATTATTCTACAGAAGTCTTTTTAAACCTATAGATATAAAATCATAAACCAGAGCTACCAAAAGTTCCAATCTTCTTTATAATCAAAACTTTTATTATATAGCATTTGACAGGGATTTCCATTAGAATAACCAGTGGTCACAAGGAAGTGAGAAATTTCATTGTAAATATGAGAGCAAAACCTGATCTTTCCTTCTTTACTGTCTATTTTGCATGCATTTATAGTGAACCTGGATAGTTTTTCTCTCACTGAAATTTTCAGGTTGAAGTTAAAGTGTTAAGATATAAGCATTTTAAATACATTTGCATCTGGACCTAAAAATATTGTGTCTGAAACATTGATCTTATTTGACCCTTGAATCTATTACAGAGGTAAATGGACAAGTGAAGGATTGAATATTGTAGATTTGGAATTGACTCTGGAGGTAAAGATGGCTTTTAAACTATCAGGGTTGGTATATGGTAAATGAAACTAAATGGATCTGACTAAATGTGTTAGACCTATTGACAAAATGCCACATAGAGCAAATCCAAACAGTAGATTTTCGATGATGTTACCATATTAGGCAGCAAAGTGCTTTACTAAGTAGTTGGGCAAATGCAACCTAATTAACAGGTGTGAATTGGGTTTTAAAAATTCTCTGAGAAATTAAAAATTTAAATTGTTAAAAATTCTGTAAGACCATGTGCACCAGGGAACATGTTTTGAGACATCTTCAGATAATTTTGATTAGTCACTCAATTTTTGCCTTGGGATTTGTAATGTTTGTGGAGCAGACAGTCTCACAATAGTAATCACTTCAGAGTACTGTTTATTGCATGGCAAATTATTTTCAAAATTATTTTATTTAATTTATATTTTGTACTTTATTGCGGTAAGAACATATGACATGAGATATACCCTTTGACAGATTTTGAACTGCACAATACAGTATTGTTATCTGTAGGCACAGCAGATCTCTAGAACCTATTCATCTTACGTAACTGAAATTTTATACCCATTAATTAGCAACTGTCATTTTCCAACTCTCTCTAGCCCTTGGCAACCATCATTCTATGTATTCTTTGCTTCTCTGAGGTTGTTTGTAGGTCTTTGGAGAAATGTCTATTCTAGTCCATTGCCGATTTTTAAGTCAGATTATTAGTTATTTTTTCTATTGAGCTCTGGGTGTTCCTTTGTATATTTTGGAAATTAACTCCTCATCAAACATGTGGTTTGCAGATCTTTTCTCCATTTCTATAGCTTGCATTTTACTCTTGATTGTTTCTTTTGCTGAGCAGAAGCTTTTTACTTTGATGCAGTTCCTCTTGTCTATTTTTGCTTTTGTTGCCTATCTTTTTGGTGTCAAGTCCAAGAAATCATTGCTAACACCAATGTTTATTTTAAAACATCTTCATTTAGAAAATGAAGCTTCCCCCCCCCTCAACTTTTCTTCTAGGAGTTTTACAGTTTCAGAGCTTACAATTCAGGTCTTTAATCCATTTTTAGTTGATTTTTGTGTATGGTATAAGATAAAGGTCCAATTTAATTTTTTGGCATGTAAATATCCAGTTTTCCCAGCACCATTTATTGAGGAGACTGCCTGTTCCCAGTTCTGTATTCTTGGCACCCTTTTTGAAGATCAGTTGACTGAATATTTGTGGATTTACTTCTGGGCTTTATATTCTGTTTCAGAGGTCTGTATAACTGTCTTTATGCCAGGACAATGCTGTTTTAATTACTGAGGTTTGTAACAAATTTTGAAATAAGAAGTGTAATGCCTCTAGCTTTATCCTTCTTCTTCAAAGTTGTTTTGGCTATTTGGGATCTTTTGTGCTTCCATGTGAATTTTAGAATTAAAAAAAACTTTCTGTTAAAAATTCCATTAAGATTTTGATAGGGATTGCATTGAATCTGTAGATCACTTTGGGTAGTATGGGTATTTTAACAATAGTAAGTCTTTCAGTCTGTGCACCCAGGATGCCATTCCATTTGTTTGTGCCTTCTTTAATTTATTTTTGAATATTGTATAGTTTTCAGTGTATAAATCCTTTCACTTCCACAGTTAGGTTTATTCTTAAGTATTTTAGTATCTTGGATGCTATTGTAATTGGTATTGCTCTCGTAACTTCTTTCTCAGGTTGTTACCAGTGTATAGAAAGGCAACTAATAATTTTTTTATTATATTTTAAGTTCTGGGATGCATGTGCAGAATGTGCAGGTTTGTTACATAGGTATACGTGTGCCATGGTGGTTTGCCGCACCCATCAACGCATCATCTGCATTAGGTATTTCTCCTAAGGCTATCCCTCCCCTAGCCCCCCACCCCCCGACAGGCCCCGGTGTGTGATGTTCCACTCCGTGTCCATGTTTTCATTGTTCAGCCCCCACTTATGAGTGAGAACATGAGGTGTTCAGTTTTCTGTTCCTGTGTTAGTTGGCTGAGAATGTTGGTTTCCAGCTTCATCCATGTCCCTGCAAAGGACATGAACTCATCCTTTTTTATGGCTTCATAGTATTCCATGGTGTATATGTGCCACATTTTCTTTATCCAGTCTATCATTGATGGGCATTTGGGTTGGTTCCAAGTCTTTGCTGTTGTGAATAGCACTGCAATAAACATACGTGTGCATGTGTCTTTATTGTAGAATGAGTTATAATCCTTTGGGTATATACCCAGTAATGGGATTGCTGCATCAAATGGTATTTCTGGTTCTAGATCCTTGAGGAATTGCCACACTGTCTTCCAGAATGGTTGAACGAATTTACACTCCCACCAACAGTGTAAAAGCGTTCCTATTTCTCCACATCCTCTCCAGCATCTGTTGTTTCCTGACTTTTTATTGATCGCCATTCTAACTGGCATGAGATGGTATCTCATTGTGGTTTTGATTTGCATTTCTCTAATGACCAATGATGATGAGCTTTTTTTCATATGTTTGTTGGCTGCATAAATGTCTTCTTTTGAGAAGTGTCTGTTCATAGCCTTTGCCCACTTTTTGATGGGGTCGTTTGGTTTCTTCTTGTAAATTTGTTTAAGTTCTTTGTAGATTCTGGATATTAGCCCTTTGTCAGATAGATAGATTGCAAAATTTTTCTCCTATTCTGTAGGTTGTCTGTTTACTCTGATGATAGTTTCTTTTGCTGTGCAGAAGCTCTTTAGTTTAATTAGACCCCATTCGTCAATTTTGGCTTTTGTTGCAATTGCTTTTGGTGTTTTAGTCGTGCAGTCTTTGCCCATGCCTATGTCCTGAATGGTATTGCCTAGGTTTTCTTCTAGGGTTTTTATAGTTTTAGGTCTTATGTTTAAGTCTTTAATCTATCTTGAGTTAATTTTTGTATAAGGTATAAAGAAGGGGTCCAGTTTCAGTTTTCTGCATATAGCTAGCCAGTTTTCCCAACACTATTTATTAAATAGGGAATCCTTTCCTCATTGCTTGTTTTTGTCAGATTTGTCAAAGATCAGATGGTTGTAGATGTATGGCATTATTTCTGAGGCCTCTGTTCTGTTCCATTGGTCTATATATCTCTTTTGGTACCGGTACAATGCTGTTTTGGTTACAGTAGCCTTGTAGTATAGTTTGAAGTCAGGTAGTATGATGAAAGACAACTAATTACTTTATGTTGATTTTGTATCCTGCAACTATTCTTATTTGTTTAGTAGTTCTGGCAGTTTTTTTGTAGAGCCTTTCGGGTTTTCCATGTAGAACCTCATAGTATCTGCCAACAGGTACAATTTTACTTCTTCCTTTCCAATCTGGATGAATTTTATTTCTCTTTCTTGCCTAATTTTTTCGTTTGAAAAGAAGTGGTGAGGGTGGGCATCCTTGTCTTGTTTCTGATGTCAGTGGAAAGCTTTCACTTTTTCACTACTGGATATGATGTTAACTGTAAGCTTTTCATATATGGCCTTTGATATGTTGGGGTACTTTCCCTCTATTTCTAGTTTGCTGAGCATTTTATCGTGAAAGGATAATGAATTTTATCAAATGCATTTTCTACATCTACTGAAAGGATTATGCGATTCTTATCTTTCATTCTATTAATGTGGTGTATCACATTAATTGATTCTCATATGTTAAACCATTCTTGCATCCCAGGAATGAATCCTACTTGGTCATGATGGGTGATCCTTTTGATCTGCTGTCGAATTCAGTTTGCTGGTATTTTGTAGCGGTTTTTTGCATCTATGTTAATCACGAAACTGGTCTGTAGTTTTCTTTTCTTGTGGTGTCTTTGTCTGACTTTGATATCAGGGACTTAGAAAATGAGGTTTGAAGTGTTCTCTCCCCTGCAATCTTTTTGGAAGAGCTTGAGAAGAATTGGCATTAATTCTTTTTTAAATGTTTGGTAGAATTTGCCAATGAAGCTATCTGGTCTTGGTTTTGTTGTTGTTGGGAGGTATTTGGTTGCCTATTAAATCTCCTTACTACTTAAAGATGTGTTCAAACCTTCCATTTCTTCATGATTCAGTCTTCCTAGGTTGTATGTATCTAGTAATTTATCTGTCTCTTCTATATTATTCAGTTTGCCAGTATATACTGTTCATATTAGTCTCTTAACCTTTTTATTTCTATGGCATCAGTTGTAATATATCACCTTTCATTTCTGATTTTATTTATGTGAGTCTTCTATCTTATTTAGTTTAGATAAAAGTTTGTTAATTTTATCTGCTCAAAAAAAAAAAAAACTCATAGTTACCTTGATTTTTCCTGTTGTTTTTCTAATCTTTATTTCACTTATTTCCACTCTAATCTTTATCTTTCCTTTCTTTTGCCAATTTGGGGTTTCATTTGTTCTTTTCTTAGTTCCTTGAGATGTAGAGTTAGGTTGTTTATTTGAGATCTTTCCTTTTAATGTATGCGTTTATCACTAAAACTTTCCACTTAGTACAGCTTTTTCTGCTACTTGTTTTAGTTTTCATTTGTGCTGAGATACTTTTTAATATCCATTTTGATATCTTTTTGGACCCATTGGTCGTTCAAAATTGTGTTGTTTAATTTCCACACATTTGTGAGTTTTTCAGTTTTCTTTCTGCTATTGATTTCTAGTTTATTTTATTGTGGTTGGAAAAGATACCTGGTATAATTTCAGTCTTCTTAAATTTGTTAAGACTTGTTTTGTGACCCTTCATACTTTCTATACTGAAAAATCTTCCATGTGCAACTTAAGAAATATGTGTATTCTGCTGTTGTTGGATTGAATATTCTGTATATGTCTGTTAGGTCCATTTGATAGTTGCTCAGGTCTACTGTTTCTTTGTTGATATTGTGTCTATAATTGAAATTGTAATTGAAATTGTGGTTCTATCTATAATTGAAAGAGGGGTATTAAGGTTTTGTATTATTATTATATTGCCGTCTGTTTCTTTCTTCAGTTTGTCATTTTGCTTTACATATATAGATGCTTTATATTTATAATTGCTGTATCTTCCTGAGGGACTGACCTTTTTATCATTACATGTCCTTCCATTTCTCTTGTGACAGTTTTGGAATTTAGATTTATTTTGTCTGATAAGGACAGCCATCCCTAATCTTTTCTGGTTACCATTTGCATGGAATATCTTTTTGCATCTCTTTATTTTCAGCCAAGTGTGTTCTATAATCTAAAGTAAATCTCTTGTAGACAATAAATAGTTGGATCTTTTTTTATTTAAATTCATTTAGCCACTCTATGTCTTTTGACTGGGAATTTAATTAACTTACATTTAAAGTAATTATTAGTAGGAAAGGATTTACTGTTACCATTTTGTTCATTGTTTTCTGTTTGTCTTATTGTTCATTTGTTCCTCTTTTCCTCTCTTGCTAATTTCTGTTGTATTTTGTTGTTTCTTTGTATTGATATGCTTTGATTTTTTTGTTTTACTTTCGTGTAACTTCCATATGCATTTTTGTGGTTATTACAGAATTTAGATAAAATATTTTATAACAGTCTATTTTAAGCTAAGAACTAAATTAACATCAATCACCTATAAAAACTCTATACTTTTATTTTCACCACATGTATACTTTATATTGTCAAAATTTGCATATATTTATATTGTGTTTCCATAAATATATTTTTTAGTTATAGTTATGCTTAGCGTTTTTGTCTTTTTGACTTTTATACTAGAATTGAAAGTGATTTACCCACCACTGTTACAGTAATAAAGTATTCTGTATTTGTCTATATATTTACATTTACCAACAAATGTTATACTTTTTTATGCTATTGTTTGCTGTTTAGTGTCCTTTAATTTCATGTTAAAGAAATCTGTTTAGCATTTTTTATAAGGTAGGCCTAATGGTGATGACCTCCTTCAGCTTTGGTTTGTCTAGCAATGTCTTTATCTCTTCTTTAAGAATGCAAGAAACAAGTATTCTTGTTTCACAGTTTTTTCGTTCTTTCATCACTTTAAATACGTCATCTGACGCCCTTCTGGCCTGCTTCTGCTAAAAATCCACTAATAGTATTACAGAGATTCCCTTGTATGTGAGCAAGTCACTTTTCTCTTGCTACTTTGAAATTCCATATTTGTCTTTGACAATTGATTATAATGTGTCCCTGTGTAGACTTTTAGGGGTTCATTTTATTTGGAGTTTTTGGGCTTCCTGAATTTGAATGAACATTTTCTTTCCCAGTTTTGGGAGGTTTTCAGTCATTATTTCTTTCAATAGCTTTCTGATTATTTTTGTCTTCTCCTTCTGGGACTCCCATAATGCATAAATTGGTTTATGTAATGGTGTCCCATAAATCCCTTAAACTGTTTTCACTATTTTGCATTTGTTTTTCTTTTTGTTCCTCTGACCAAATGATTCTTAATGACCTGTCTGAGTTTATTGATCCTTTTTTCTGCTTGATCTAATATTCTACTGAACGCCCCCCCAGTGAATTTTTCAGTTCACTTATTGTATTTTTCAGTTCTGTCATTTCTGTTTGATATTTTCTATATCACTTTGTTTAATTTCTCACTTTGCGGATACATTATTTTCCTGATCTGAGTGACAGTTACTTTGAATTCTCTGTCAGGCACATCATATATCTCCATTTCATTAGGGTTGATATTTGTAAATTTATTTTGTTTCTTTGTTTGAAACATATTTCCCTGTTTTTAAATTTACCTTGGTTCTCTATGTTGATATCTTCATATTAGACAAAACAGCCACCTCTTTTAATCTTTGTGGACTAGCTCCATATAGGAGAAGACCTTCACCAATCATCCCAGTCATAGATTTTGGAAGCCTCTCAAACTTTTGACTATTCTGACAGTTTTCTTTGTTCTTAGCACCCCCTAGGCATCTAGAGAATGCTGGGTCATTTCAGTGCTCTGAGACAAGCAAGACTCATTTTCTTTGGAAGCCATTTTCTTGGGAAGCCCCCAAAGGTTGTATCGTTGGATGCTTGTTCAACTCTTTCCCTGCATAGATAGAAGCAGGAAACTGGGTGTTTTTTACTGTTTGTTTGTTTTATCCCTCAGTTGAGGGGAGGGGCTGTGGCAACTAGTTGTATGGTAGGCCATACTACTTAGAAGTGTGTTTTTATTTGCTTATTTGTTTCCTCCTGCTTGCTCTACACTAACCTAGGGAGAGGAGCCATGGCAAGTGCCTGCATTCATGTTCAAACCTCTGTTTATTCTCTGTAGACCCCAGGGACTAGTGTATGCTGGACCTGACAGCTATCCCAGACAGGCAAGTAGAAGGCACTCCCTTGGGTAGAAGTCAGAAAAGTTGGGATGCTAGATGTGCTGTCCTATTTCTTCACTCTTCACTGAGAAGTAGGTAGCTGGAGGTTCCCTCTTCATTATATGGCACTGTGCTAGGGATAGCAAGAATGTAGCTCCCCTTTTCCTGCTTGTTTCAATGTGGCTGGATTTGCACTTGCCAAGGGTTAAGGAGCTATTCAACGAGTTTCTGGGTGTCTTACAAACAAAAATTGATTCCTGTGTTGGTATTAAATCTGTATGTTTGTGGGGAAGGAGAGTCCAGGGCTTCCTATTCTTCCATCTTGCTACCATCACCTTTATTGCATGGTAATTTAATCTCCTTAAAAGCAATACTTAAGAAATCAGAAGAGGTTAAATTGTGTCTTCCTACCTGAAAATTCCAAAGCAGCTTACAACTTGTTCAAATTATTCATATGATATATGTTCATAGTATGACTTAGCTAAGCAAATAAAGGCTGTGACTAACTAGAGAAGCAAACATCTGAAAGTTTTTTGAGTTTCAGGAACAAAAACTTAGTATCATTAATAAAATGGGAAGATCTTAGTTATTGTACTATATTTAGAAATTGGCCACACTGTCTAGGAGCATGTAATTTCAGAATACAAGCACATACAGAATTACGTTTATTGAAACACAGAAAGATTAAAATAAAATTATGACAGATTATATTGGCTGGTCTTCTCAGTTTATTCCATGTCAGAAAGATGAAGAGCTCAATATAACTTTTCCTTGAGCAATTCTTTTATTGAGGTCCATGGTTGAGGTCATATACAAAGATGATCCTGCAGTTTCTGAACCATGTAGAGATTTGGAAACAATATCATCTAGATCTTTTGCTGGATGCCCTGAAGGTAAGGTAAATATACGTTAAGGTTTTCTATGTATCATGGAAAGAGGCTGAATCTCTCTCTCTCTGTCTCCCTCAAGCCACATTTAGGAAACTGGAGCATACATAGAGGCTATCAACCAAGATAGATAATTGTGAAGCCATATAACACAAGTAACAGTTGAGGAAATCAAAATGCTATTAACTTGTAATAGCTATGCTATTAACTTGGAAAGGAGATAATTTGGAATTGGAAAGTGAGAAGATAGCTGTATTTAATATTTGAAAGAAGTTTTTCTGTGAAAATGGACTTAAGTTATTCTGTCTGCCTTTATTCAGTGAAGGGAAGTTAGAAGTAGATATAGACTCCATCACTTTATAAAAATAGTGTTGAGTGATTATGTAATGAATGAGCTATGATGGAAAGGAAGATTAATCAACTTACATTTAAAGTAATTATTAGTAGAATACTCGGTGGAGTATTTTACAAAAATACTCAGTGGAGAATTTTTAAAGCATGGAACACAGTTGACTTCCTTGCCTCCTATTGAAATCAACAGGCCATGTGCAGTTAAAACCTCAGGCAAATTTCCAAATATTTACTTGAGCCCATCAGTGAGGGCTATGAAGGACCATTCATGAGGGGATGATGTTTAACTTTTCCAGCTGTGATTGGCGGGATACCCTGCGTTATGGTTTCTGTTATGCAGCATTGACATCTGAAATCACTGTTATAATAAGAGCCTGCTTGTCACCAACCCAGGCAGGCTTACAGCTGTGAGCAGTTATTGTAAAATATAGTTTGGATTCTATCTTGGCAGCCATGCATGAGCAACTAAGCATGTATTTACTGCAGTGTACCAAAATGAATTCCAATTTGGGATTATTATGGAAGTTTAAAAAATGTATAATAACTTATTTTTTAACTATAGAGGTTCAGTGCACAATGAGAAATCTCAACAACTTCTTTTTCTCTTTTCAAGAAATGTAAGTTAAATTTATAATGTAATTTAATTAAGTTTCCTATTGGATGGTTAAATAAGAGAATTATATAATTTTCCATTAAAAAAAGCTAATGTGTGTCAACCTTACCCTTATTTAGGAGATTTGGGTTTTCCCCCCAAGTTTCCCAAATATCAGATAGGTAAGGAAATAAGATTGATTTATCTTTTCTAACCCCAAAATGTATGCATCAAAATGAGTGATATTCTTCAAAATAGTCATTTCTACCATGGTAAGCTATCCTTGTAATTGACTTAAAAATTACATAAGAAAATGAGTCACATTATTTACTTTGCTTCTTGTTTTTGAACAAAAATAAGATTACCCAGTGCACTCTTCCATCTTATTCTAAGACTTAAAAGTTATTGATTCATAGATGCTTTCAAAAATCAAATTCATCTTCAGAGAATCAAGATTTGCTACTTGGAAGATATTAAAGGAATGCCCCAGGCTAGAAGGCAAGTCCATAAGGAAGAGCTTTATAAGAGTTTGCATATAGTTACGTAGGCCACTGCTTCAAGGGATAGCCTCCTTTGAAGGTAACACATTTTTGCTAAAAGTAATGAGCCTTGTCACCTTATAGGCACATGGTGTTCACCATACCTAATTGAAGGGTTTCCACTCTACTCTGCCTAGGCTAACTCATTGCATACTTTGAGTGACTGGGTGTGTATCTCCATGCTTTCTGCTAGTATACTAGTTGTAAGTGGTAGGTGCAGGGAAAATGAAAGCAATTAGAAATAGCCAAAGAGGTTAACTGCCCCAACCCACCTCTCACCAGTCCTGAAGGGTGTGTAGAAGAATAGCATAGAGTGACAGGTTGTAGTTGACTCATAAAGTCTGTCAGAGAAATGGTGGGAGCTGTTGGAAGAAGCACTAACCGAGACTGAGAAGCAGGGATGAGATTGGATGAGGTGAGCAAAGAACCCGTGGTGCAAATTAGAGGGAGGAAGTTGCTAACCCTGCACTCACATGACCCTGAGAGTAAGGGGCCTTCTTAAATTTTGTGCCCTGTCTCACCTGCCTCACCCTACTCCTGGCGCTGGTCACTGGGGCCAACTTCTAATTCAGTTCACTTTTGCCACAGACTTGCTGAGCAATTTCGGACAAATTAGAGGTTATCTCATGCAGCTCCACATTTCCTAAAAGTAAAATGGAGATAATCCCTGAAACACTCATTCTGTAGGTTGCTAGAAGGATCCATCAGATGTGACAATGCCTTGTAAGCCATAACCATTTATATTATTGTGTTTTTTTTTTCTTTTTCCTACCATATCAAATTTTTTAAAGCATCTCCTCCTGGGTTAGTTCTTATTTTTCAAATAGCTGGGCATAACTGGACTACGGGGAAGATTTTTTTTAAACTGTAGATATCTAGGGCTTGCCTCAGTCTAATTAAATCAGAATCTCTTAGTGTAGGGCTCAGGAGTCAATATATTTTATGATACTTCCTTATTCGTTCTACTTATTTTTACATTTTTCTCATTTATTTGATGTATAACAATTTATTTAATTGGCATATAATAATTGTTCATATTTATGGGGCACGTAGATACTTCTTTATTAATTTATTTCTTAGTTGCTGCCTTATAATGTATAATATACATCTTTAACATATTAGGTTTAACTTGAAATGATGTATTACTTCATGTATTATTTAAGAACAGTACAACAGTACACTTTCAGTTCCCACCTCCTTTCCTTTGCACTGTTATTGTCATACATTTTTCTTTTACATGTTATAAACCCCACAATACATTAGTTATGTTTTTTTGCTCTGAATGATCAGTTACCTTTTCAAGCAATTAAAAGTAGGAAAACAAAATCTTTTATATTTTACATTGATTTTTATCATTTCTGGTACTCATTTTTCTGTGTAGCTCCACTTCATATTAAAATTCTTATGCTGGCAATGAATTCCCTCAGCCTTTGTTTGTCTGAAAAAAAATATTTCATCTTCACTTTTGTAAATATTTTCATTGGGTGTGGAATTCTGAGTTGGCAGATTTCTTTTAACTTTTATTTTTCAGTACTGTAAATATATCATCCAATGTGTTCTGGTTTGCATGGTTTCTGAAGATTAGCATCCCGTAATTCTTACCTTTTTATTGTATGCTTTTCTTTTATTCTTGATGTTAAGTAGTTTGACTATGATGTATTTAGATGTGTATTGTTTGGTATTTTTCCTTTTTGGTATTCTCTGAGTTTCTTGCATCTATACTTTGATGTCTTCATTATTTAAAAAAAATTTTCAGCCATTATCTCTTGAAATATTGCTTATTATTCTCTCATCTCTTTTTGAGACCTCAATTATATTATGTTAGACCATTTTATATTACATTGTAGGTCTTAGATGCTCAATTCTCTGTTTTCTTCAATTCTTTTTCCTTTTTGTGTTTTAATGGAAATAATTTATTGTGACCTGTCTTCAAGTACACTATTTATTTCCTCAGCTTTTTCGAGTTTAGTAATGGGCCCACTGAATCAATTTTTCCTCTCTGATAACATTTTTAAAATTTCTAGTGTTTCCATTTGATTTCTATTTGACCATTAACGTTTCTATATCTCTTCTGAAATTCCCCATCTGATTATCTTTGTTGTTGACTTTTTCAAACTAGATACTTTAACATATTAGTCGTAGTCATTTTAAAATTCCTGTTTGTTACTTCCAACATCTGAGTCATGTCTGAGTCTGTCTCTGTTGTTTGCTTTACCTTTTCTCATGGATTGTTGTTTTTTTGTTTTTGTGTATTTTGTAATTTTTGATTGAATGCCAGACATCATGTATAGGATAGTGAGTACTGAAATAATATTTATGTCTGGAAATTGGCCAGCCTTTTTGTCAGGCCGTTAATGTGAGAGTTGGAATCAATTAATCAGGACCTGAGCTGCATTGGGTCTTTATTTTTGCTATTGTTACTTCAGTGCACCGCAGCTTTCAAATTCCTCCAGAATTGGACTGCTAATGCCTTGTACTTATATTTTAATATCTGTAATATTTTCAAATTCTTAGGTTGAAGCCTGACTTGGGGGCCCTTAGGTGCTGGAGGGTTTCTCTCAGTGTGGCTGCTGCTTATTAGATTTTAGTTGTCTTTGTATGCCTGTAGAGACCCCTCTGCAGAAGGGGTCTCTCTCCTTGCACTGTCCTCCTCCAGTGGTAGGCCACTATTGCTTGTTTTTTAGTGTTATAGCTTGTAGTGGAGTTAGGGCTGTTTTTGTTGTTGTTGTTTTGTTTGTTTGTTTGTTTGTTTGTTTGTTTTAAATCCTTTCCCGGCCTTGTTTTAGGCAAAGTCAGCCTCATATCTGTGGTTGGATTTGAGCGAGAGTTTCCTTCCCTGCCCAAGTTGGAGCAGTCCACTACTTGTTGTAGGAGTCAGGTCTTGGGCCTAGGAAGCTTTTATGCCCCTTGAGACTTTTTCTTTTACCCTTTTGCCTACAGCAATTATTTTTGCCTAAAATCTAGAGGTCAGAAGGCTCTCCATCTCTACCAGAGCCACATTGGTTTTACTTTTATTGCTCCCCGAGAAGCAGTAGATCTTTGCTTGCACCTGTGGGTAGAAGGGTTTGGTGCCCCCTCCTCAAGCGGCTTAAAGCTTTTTGTTTTTGTGGTTGTTGTTGTTGTTGTTGTTAAGAGGAAATGTTCCATAGAAATGAGCAGGGCTTTACGCCTATCCCCTAGCAGCCATATATCACCTCATTCTCATCCACACTGCAAGGGAATGTCTTGTTCTCAGACTTTCTCATGGCTTCCAATGTTGACCCATGGGAAAGAGCTTGCCCATTAGCACAATCTGTGCCTTTGGCCCTGTGTCTTTGGCCACCAGCTATTCCAAATGACACATTAGTCCAGGGGATTCTAATGAACAAAGTATTGAGAATCACTTGTAGGAAAAGAGATTTCTTGGGAAGTAAATCTGTTTTTATAGAATTGCTGTTGGTGTGAGTGTTATCAGAATTATAAAACCAAATCTAACATAGTTTCCCACTATCTTCAGAATAGAACATTTAAAGATTTCGACTAGAGAATAATGAGTATAGTTTTGCCTTCTCTCCCTGACCAATTCTGGATTATTTTCTGGTCTTTGACTGCAAACTCTGCCCTCAGCTGCTTGTGATTAGCCTAATTATTATCAAAAGGGAAGATATTTATCTAATGGCTTCAACACAAAGGATTGGAGGTGTTCATCTGATTTTCAGGAGTCACTTAGCTAGTGAAACTCCAGCCCATCTTGATCTCCAGTCAAGATCCTCAGCAGCTCTGGCCAAGGAAAGCATTTTGGCACCTGGCTGTCAAAGGGAGACTCTTATGTCCATGCTTCTTTCTTAGTGAGTGCATTTCCTGTTGACAGAATCGCATCGCCAAGCGCAGCAGGAAGCTAGTGGACTATGACAGTGCCCGCCACCATCTGGAAGCTCTGCAGAGCTCCAAGAGGAAGGATGAGAGTCGAATCTCTAAGGTAGGGATTGAGCCCATGGTGAATACCACTCTCCGTATTTTATGACCTGTTGCAGCTTTACTTTTTAAAATTAAATGCCTCCTCTATAAAAGGAGATTGGAATCTGAACAGAATTTAAACTGAAACATAGTGCTTTTTATTATTTTTAATTAAAATAAGGCTTTTCATTATATTGTACAGTTCATATGGGGGATACTGACTCACACATTTTGATCAGAATAAACTTTGACCTACAATGTTGCGGGATCAAAGAAAGTAGTGTGTCTGCACTTCCTTAGATGGTTGTGGTCCACCCTCAGTGCTGAAATGCAGATGCAGATGGGACACCAAGCTGAAATTCTCAGAGGTGACTTTTGATTGTCTGAGAGTACGGATGTGTGGATTTGCATAAAACAAATTTTCTGTTAGAAAACATTTTTTAGTAGCTTTCACCATGTATGTCAGCAAGTTACAGATGCCGACTAACTGAAGTCACCTCCTAACTATACCCTCTTCTTCCAGTCATGCCTTTTCCTATGTGCCTACACACAGCTGCCTGAATGGTCTTTCTACATCGAGATATGTTTCTCAACTGCTTAAGTCTTTTAATGGTTTCTATTGCCTCTACAAAAAATACTTTATTTCTTAGTACAGCATAAAAGATCCTCACAATTTGGCTGTAACTCACCTGTCCATCCTGATCAACTTTCAAGTCTCCTTTCCCCTCCTCGCCTTCTTCCATAAACATACCATGAGCCAGAACTACACATCAGTTTCTGAGCAGTTCACAATAACAAATGCCCTTCATGAGAGGCCTCCTGGATACCAGGCACTCTGTTCAACACTTCATCTACATTAACTTTCCTTAATACTCAAAACAACCTGTGAGGTACACAGTGGTAAAGCAGTCTGACAAGTTCACATGGTAAGCTGGAATTCCATTTCAAGGCTTTCCACCTTTATGTATTGTAATGTCTTTCTTACCCCCTCCTTTAGCAAACATTTTCTGATTCTTTAGGATTCAGTTAAAAAATTACCTTCTCTCTTCTCTGCACCACCTTCCATATAGCATGCTCTATAACACATTGTAAGTCCCTTTTGTAAATACATCCTGTAATGTAATTATTTAGACTTTCCACTAGGCTGGGAATTTCCTGGGGATGCATTCATGTTCAGTATCCATAGCAGAGCTGTCTACATGGCAGGCAGCTAACACATTTTTGTAGAATAAATGAATCAGCCAGAAACTGCAAGAGCAACCATTGTAATCAATCCGGTTTCCAGTTTTAGGGAGTCTTAGTGTTTCATGTTTAATTGAAAAACAAGGATATGCTTTTAACCAAATACTCTCCTTCTCAAAATATTTCCAAGATGCCATAAGACTATTCTTATTTTACATTAAATGATGCTGTTGTGTATAGAAATGGTCTTTCTTAGTGTAAACACATGTTATGTTTCATTCCTAGGCAGAAGAAGAATTTCAGAAAGCACAGAAAGTGTTTGAAGAGTTTAACGTTGACTTACAAGAAGAGTTACCATCATTATGGTCAAGGTAAAAATGTTTCTCTATGGGTTGCACATGTTCCTTTTAGAAATTCAAGATCAGTGAATATCCCTTATCTTGTCTTTATTATTACTGTGACATTTCAACACTGTCCAGTGAAAGTGTTCTTTATCTGCGCTTTCCAGTATGGTAGCTACTTGTCACCAGTGGGTATTGATTGCTTGGAATATGGCTAGGATTAAAAAGGAGGAACTAAATTTTAAACTTAATTTATTTTGTTCTAATTTATTTATATTTAAATAACCACCTGTGGCTAGTAGCTGCCATATAGGATGACACAATTTTAGACCTTGATCTATTTCTCAAGTGGAGACCTAAATCTCAATTAGAGGCATTAGGAGGACTGCCCTTCATCTTGAAACTTAACAATAATATCCTTTCAGTTCTTGGAGGAACTTCCTTTATTCCAAGAGCTCATCTAGTCATCTGGCTTAGATGGTAAGCCTCTACTTTAAGCCCTGACTTTTAAATCTGAACTGTATTTGTATTTTAAGCACCAGATATTCTTACTTACACGTTACTCTGCATTTCTCGTGGAATTACGTGCATTTTGAAATAGTTGTTCTGTTTTTCCTACTCAGTGGTAGAACAAAGAAGTTGTTGGATGAAATAGGACCTTATGATCCTTAATCTCTGTCAGCATCCTCATGCTCCCACCCCAAATTAGCCAGAGTTGTGCTTAAAATAATGCCACGTTATTTTAAATCAGGTCCTCTATTTCTTAACTTCCAACTAGATGGATTTGCCTCTAAAGCCTTCCTATATACAAATTCTAGAGCTTCTATTTACCCACCAAAATTGTAAGCATTTTGAGGGTCTATACTAAAGTTTGCCCATTTTTGTGTTCATCGCTAGTGTTTTTAATTTTTGCCAATAAAAGGCACTCTGTGTTTCTCTCTGAACTGAAATATCTGGATGAAATTTTGGCTAGTTTTTACCTCAGTGTCCAGCCATCACCCAAAGTCCAACATGTGAAATTATGTCATTGTTCATCTGAATTTACTCATTCTCTCTACATCTGCATTTCTTTTTCTTTTTATTTATTTCATTTTATTTTATTTTATTTTATTTTTTTGGTGCCATTATTTCTGGGTTCCGAAACCTCAAAGCTTTGCAATTGTTACCTACAGGAAACCAAAGAGCCATCAAAATAATCAATCTATCATTTTTTGGTGTGGGCTTCTGGATCACTCTCCCTTTCTCTGGTCCCACTGTCCCCACCCTAACCCTCGTCATCCTGTTGTGTATTATGATGGTAGTCTTGCCCTTACATTTCTTTCTTTGACCTCTTGCTGTACACCTTTTCTTTCAGAAGCTCCACCTTGACATCTCTGTGGCCTGCTTAGGACCTCACTGTATGTGCCTAAAGAAGACCTCTTCTCTCCCCCAGAGAGGATTTAAACAACCTGAATATATACAACTTTTAGGGATAGAGATAAAACAAATATCTATTTATGATTTGAATTTATTTAGTTATTCACATTTATTTAAAATCACAAATTATATGATGCTATGGCTTTTTTTTAAAAAATACAGATATTACTTTTTTGCTCTTACATTTCATGGAATACTTTTTTTTTTTTTTTTTTTTTTTTTTTTTTTTTTTTTGAGACGGAGTCTCGCTCTGTCGCCCAGGTCGGACTGCGGACTGCAGTGGCGCAATCTCGGCTCACTGCAAGCTCCGCTTCCCGGGTTCACGCCATTCTCCTGCCTCAGCCTCCCGAGTAGCTGGGACTACAGGCGCCCGCCACCGCGCCCGGCTAATTTTTTGTATTTTTAGTAGAGACGGGGTTTCACCTTGTTAGCCAGGATGGTCTCGATCTCCTGACCTCATGATCCACCCGCCTCGGCCTCCCAAAGTGCTGGGATTACAGGCGTGAGCCACCGCGCCCGGCCTTCATGGAATACTTTTATCCAAAATCTTTACATATATCTTTAGCATCACTTGTTTTTGTCCTTACTTAAGATACTCATCATCTCAACTAGTAGTTCTCCAGAGCTTATCATCATCTTCAACAGCTATTTAGTTCCAAACACAGGTTGTCATTTACATACAATTAAGACAGTTATACTTTTTATTTCCCCTGTAAAGGAATTTTTTATGATTTCTAATGTAATTGCTTAATCGCTTTTTAAACTGATCTTCAAAAAGTCTTGGGTACCACAGTGTTCAAGGCTTTCAATTATGAGATAATACCCCTGGGAAATTGCCAGTGCCAATTATGAAACTTTGGGGAAATTGCCAGAATTGCCAAGAGACAGATATTTATTATTTGCCTTAATATGTATTGGGTATATAACTAAGGTTTTTCTAGTGATCTCTACTACATCCAAAACTAGCATTGATGTTATTTCAGTCTTTTGTGCCCTTCCTAAGTTGTATTTGGTTATTCAAAGTAAAGTAATTGTTGGAGTGTCTCGTAGCGTGAAAGACTTTGTAGGGACTTAAAAACAAAGGGAATATCTGAGGGATAATTTTGGAAAGAAACCTTTCCCCTTTTCTGGTCATACGCAGTATAAATGTTTCAATGCTTTTGAAATCAATCTAATGTCTCACTCTGGCACTTAGGAAATAACATCAGTCAAAACTAGTTTTTCAATCCAGATCCTGCCTTTCGATCAAAACCTGACTTAGGCCTTCCTTTCTATGTAGCATATTTCTTAATGAAATCCAGATTACTCAACCATAATAATTGTGTGCATTGTGTATGCTGTATACCAAAGATCATTTTTTGGAATACTTTCTATTTGCTAGCTGTCATTTTATGTACTTTACATGTATAACCTCTAATCATTACAATTACAGATCTCTCCATTTCACAGATGAGAAGCTAAAGATCATATTAATTAAATACCTTACCTTAGGTTGTTAAGCTTGTAAATCCTAAAGGTAGCATTTAAAAACACTTTGGTGTTTTGTTTTGTTTTCATGTGAATCCTGCTGCTTTTATCTAGGGCCTCTCTTTATCTAAAATGAGATTGCATTTAGTCATAATTTTTCAAGTTATTCCATAAATACATATGTTCTTTAACAAGCCATATTACTCAACCTTGAAATTGAAATTAGTATTTTGTATCTTCTTTGCCTCCTATGAGGAAATGCATAATACTGGGTATGAAGTAATAAACATATTACATGTTAGTTATTAATGCATCAAACTATTTATAATCCTTCAGAATGTTGAGTGGAATGTTCTATATATGCCTGTGAGGTTCAGGTTGACTATATGTTGTTCAAGTTTTCTATTTCCTTACTATCTTCTGCCTTGTTGAAAGTGAGATATTGAAGTCTCCCACCATTATTGGGCTTATTTCTGTCTTCATTTCTGTCAGCTTTTGCTTAATGTATTTTAGGGCTCTTTTGTTAGGTGTATATATGTTTATAACTTGTATATCTTCTTGATGGATTGACTGTTTTTTCTTTATAAACTGTCCTTCTTTGTCTCTAATAATTTTGACTATTTTGTCTGATATTACTATAGCCATTCAAGCTCTCTTTTCATTACTCTTTGCATGGAATATTATTTTTTCCATTTTTAAACTTTCTACCTATCTTGAATTTAAATTGTGTCTCTTGTAGGCAGTATTTAGTTGGATCATTTGTGTGTGCACATGGTGTGTGTTTTATCCATTCTGCCAGCCTCTGCCTTTCGATTGCTGTGCTCAGTCCATTTACCTTTATATAGTTACCAAAATGTAGGCTTTTCTGTCTACTATTTTGGTAATTGCTTCGTGTGCCTTATGTCTTTTTTGTTTCTCTATTCCTCCATTACTGCCAAGTGTAGAAAACTTTCAAATTTTTGGATTTAAACTGATCTTCAAAGATTAGTAGTTCATGAGGGAGAAATGGAACTACTGCTTAGAGGGGGATGCAGGTTCAATTTTAAAAAAGGAAATACTAGAATATGATTGCAGGTTGTAAAGGAGCTTATAGATTATATAGATAGAGATGATAGAGTGGTATCACCAAGAAGGAAGGACTCTAAAGAGAATTCTTGAGGTAAATCTTGTAAAATAAGTAAAACCACCATTTAGTGAAAAGGATATTCTAGGCTGACATAGAGTATGAATAAAGGCCTGTGGGTTGAAGCAGATATCTGGGTTCATGGAACTTTAGTCTAATGTAACTCAGGGTCAGAGTGATAGTGTCTAGGAGGGGCTTGTGGTGATGAAGCAGGAGAAAGATAGGGATCAGATACATTTATCATGCATTCAACAAATATTTATTGACCACCTACTGTGTGTGAAGAACTCTGTTAGATGTTAAAGATTCTGTACTGAAAGTTTTTGTTTGCTTGGAGCTTATATTGAAGGACAGGGAAAGGCAGTTATCTTTAAAAGAAATGAAAAATAAGATATCAGACAATAAGTTCAATGCAGAAAAAATTTTAAAAAACGATAATTTAGTAGAGAGTGACATGAGATGGTGTAACTCAGACTATAGTTTGGATGTTTAGGGAAGTTGTCCCTCAAACAGATAGACAATATGTAAAGAAAAGGAAATTTTGGGAAGATTGAGTCTGGCTTATATATGTTGAGTTGAAGAATCATTAGGAAATTCAAAAAGATATGTCTATTAAGCTAAGTCTAAAGCTTGAAGAGAGGTTTGGGAGTCATTACCATATGGGTGGTAATGATGCCATGAGAGTTGATGAATTAGATGGTCGGATAGATCAAATGGCAAGATGAGGATCAAAGCAGAACCTTTGAGAGCACTAATATTTTATGGAATGTGCAAAAGAAGAGGGGACTGTGGAAAAGCCTTCCAAAAATTAATCAGAGATGTAGAAGGAGCCATGACAGAGGGATATCTCAAAAAGGCAAGAATGGAGAGAATTTTAAAAATGAGGAGTGCCAGGACTATCATTTACAATAGAGGTATCAAGCAGATGAGGACTAAAGAGGCATCACCTTTGGTAAACGTCCAGAGGGGTTTCAGTAGATGTTGGGATCAGAAGCTTGATTATAGGCATTGGAGACTCCATTGGAGATGAGGAAGCAGCAACAGTGTCTGTTATTTTGAGGATTCTAACTATGATGGGCCTGAGGAATTGTGGCAGCTGGTATAGGGAAATTAGAGGGCAAGGGGAGCTTTCTAAAAATAACTTTTGTCATTTTGAGAAGATGGCATAGTTGTGGTAAAGGTGGAATAATTTAGGACTGAAGATATGTGGGGCAAACAGGGGATCAGGACAAGGAGGAAGGGTGTTGATAGGACTGACCAGAGAGTGTTGAGGGGTATACCACAGGGCCCAAGCTTGATAAAGCAGGATGTTCAACCTGATCAAGGGTAGTGGCCTGGAAGAAAAGTGCATTGATCTCACAGAGGTTTTGAAAGAAGCAGGTGGAATGGAAATGAATGAATGAGGGAGCTCATGGCCCAGGAAATTAGGTTAGTGGGTGGGCCACTAATCTGCCCCATTTCAGAGGTGAAATAGTTGTGAGTCATGGCAAGATCCAAGATGTCAGAGGCCAATGCAGAATGTGTATAAATAGAATGCTGGGGTCCCTAGTTAGAGGGCTCATGTTTTGGCTGGATAGTCATAGGGTTGTTGAGATCTACTGTGTTAGTGTTAGGATTTGGTGAGGGAGAGAGGGGAAACCATGAGGCATGCCATTGTGGATTGTGGTTGGGGTTGAGGAGTCTTGCTGAGAGGTTGATATTAAGCTTTGAAGAGGTTTAATATGAGTGCCATTAATCCTGAAATGGAGTGTAAATGAGCTTAGAGGATCAGAAGAGAGCTAGGAAAAAACTCTTCCTCATACTCCATCTCCATAGTAAGTGAAGGACAGCAAGGGTTGCCTCCTCCACTGCAAGAGGGTCTGCAGGAAGCACTGACACTCCCCTCCAGGGAGGCAGATTTCCTTAGGGCATTGCGAAGGGGAGAGTGCTCAGGTCTGCAATCTGTAGCTGTGATAAGCTCAACTTAATTTTTCCTTTATTTCTGAGAACAAAGAAACATCTTAATAAAGAAATTAAGTTGGTTTTGACAGCTAATAAGAAGTGTCCTGAGGATGCCACATTTGGGGAAATGGTGATGTCTCAGAGTCCCTGTGCAAAATGAAACTTTTAAGCAGATAATATCAGAATCAAGAGCCTGGTATGCTGGTACTCTGTGTCTGTATGTTCTTTTTTTTTTTTTTTTTTTTTTTTTTTTTTTTTTTGAGGCGGAGTCTCGCTCTGTCGCCCAGGCTGGAGTGCAGTGGCGGGATCTCGGCTCACTGCAAGCTCCGCCTCCCGGGTTCACGCCATTCTCCTGCCTCAGCCTCCCGAGTAGCTGGGACTACAGGCGCCCGCCACTACGCCCGGCTAATTTTTTGTATTTTTAGTAGAGACGGGGTTTCACCGTTTTAGCCGGGATGGTCTCGATCTCCTGACCTCGTGATCCACCCGCCTCGGCCTCCCAAAGTGCTGGGATTACAGGCGTGAGCCACCGCGCCCGGCCGTCTGTATGTTCTACTGCTGGTTACATTAAGTTTTTACAAGCCAGGGTCACATCGGAATATGCTCTTATAGTGGAATGAGTGCCAAGTTTCTTCATTCACTGGCTTGTTTGTTCATTTATGGAATTTATTCATTTACTCATGCTTGCCGTGTACTAGGTGCTAGGGCTGTAATAGTGAACTAGTTAAAGGCATTCCCCTCTTTGCAGGATCTCTGACTTCATAAATTGGAGAAAATCACTATCAGTTGTATCAAAAATGTTGGACACTTTATCCTAATTAAATACATGCTAGTTAATTTCTAAATTAAAAAACAAAATATTAGAAATAGATGTTTAGTTATTCTAAATAAGATATTTCTGATACTATACCATTTTCTCAGGATAATAATTGATTTGACAACTTAAGATATGCTGTATATCAGAAAACAAAATTGAAATATAGAAGAATGGGACTTCTTTTTTGTTTTTGCCTAATGCATCCAAAGTTAAATATGTTTAATAGAAGTGCCATTACATATTGATAAGAAAAACAATACTAAGAAATAAAAAAATTTGAATAGGTGATTCACAAAAGAAGGAATACAAATGAGCAATAAATAAATGAATGAAAGTGTTAACTTTAATTGAAGAAATATAAACTTCAAAGTCAGTGAGATGCTAACTTTTGGCTATCATATTTATAAAGGTTGTATGTAAGGTAATGTAAGGGACTATAAGTGGCCCAGTCTAGTGCGACCAGTTGAGCAGTCTGACGGTGAACATCAGTGCTTATTTGGTTCACTCCTTTTACCAGCAAATACCTTCAAGAAATCTGTCCTAAGGAAATGAATAAGCTGTGTACAAAACCTTAATCATAGATATTCATTAGGGTTTTATTTACCATAGAAAAAAATTAATAAAAATAAAATAATACTCTCCAGTGAAGTTCAGCTTACACACCTCTTCCATCTGTACCCACCTTCTATTTAAATTGGACACTTCTTTCTGCAGCCCAAGTTTGTCCTCTTAAGCAGATGTTTGCAGCTGTCACAGGGCCCATTGCTCTCCTCTCTTCTCAGTTTCTCTGTTTCTGCCCATATCCACTCACTTTTGATATGTAATCATGTATGCCTTCTTGTTGTAACTTAACATTCCCATGTGGTTTTATAAGCTGCTTATTTCTAATATATATATATACACATATATATAAAATCTGCTTATTTCTCTTACACACACACACACACACACACACATATTTCCATTGTAAGTATAAATAGAGCAGCCCCTCTGGATGCTTCTCTAACTGGATTGTACGTTCCTAGAGACATGTTCACCTACCACTGTGCATGTACCCAGAGTTGGATAGGTCCTTTGTTGAGTAATTGAAGGAAGTAATTGAAGGAAGAAAAGTGTTAAGAATTACTGTCCCAGTTGATTGGGGCCTTGGAGAAGGGGTCATGAGTTGCCACTCAAAGTACCCCAGAAGACTTCTCTGCAAACACTGCGAGTGGGGTCCCTCTGCATAATGTATAGGTAGCCTGTAGGGTCTCTCCTTGCCTGTCAAGCTGCTGCCTTAATTAGCTTCCTCAAATACAGGTGCAAGTGTTCTCCTTTGCCCTATCTCAGACACATCTAGGGTTTGCCCACTGCCTGCCAATAAATATTGTGCTTCGTGGTCTGGCAAGGACCTCTGCCCCAGAGAACCATCTGCTTCCTCACTAGGCTTTCCTCTCCCAGGCTCTGGTCTGATCTTCCTGGGGGCTTACCATTTCCCAAACACACTGTGGAGGATTTTCTTTATTAATGAATAGATGTCTATATGCATGTGTATTTGTATGCATATGAATAGGTATATGCACATGTATTTATGAATAAGTATATGATCTTTTAAAATCAATTAAAAGAAAAATATATGAAGTCAGGGTCACATGATCACTGTAGGTATAGAAATTTAAGATTAAGTCAAATATGTTAGGGATTTAAGTAAAGATAAGCCATAGAAGAAGTTAATCTCATTGCTATTATGAAGGGGCAGCTTATGTTTTCATTTACTCAGTGATGACACGCTCTTATTTTTGATGAGCAGTTAGAATTAATTTACGGGTTTTGTATTTCCTTCTATGAAACAAATTTCAGAGTCCAAACACATAATAATAACTAGACCATTTATAGTTTATAAAAGTTAATAATGAACTTCTCAAATCTTGAAAGCAAGAAACAGTAACTAAAATATAAATAAGTTCTCAGGGCGGGGGTTCCATAAGCGTTGTCTCTGAATCAGCAGCATCAGTTATCACCTAGAAACTCATCAGAAATACAAATTCTCAGTCTTCATGTTCAGACCTACTAGATCAGAAACACACCCTTCAGGTGGTTCTCATGCACACTAAAGTTTGAGAATCACTGTCTTAAGGCACTGAATTTTAGGAGAGGTCATGCTCTATGCCAAAAGATACTTGTTTTTGTTCATTAACAGATGAGGAAATGTTGGGCTTGCTTTGGGTTCAGTATTTTATTTAGTCCAAAGTTATTCAAAATGGTGTAAAAGAAACCTGGGTTTTCATACATTTCATTGCTATTAAAATTATTTTTACTGACTGGTCTTTCCCTCTCTCTTCTTTCCTCTTTGTGTTTCCACATGGCAGACGAGTTGGATTTTATGTTAATACTTTCAAAAACGTCTCCAGCCTTGAAGCCAAGTTTCATAAGGAAATTGCGGTGGTGAGTCATGACGATAATTTTTGCATATGGAATATAAAGTAAAGGAAGGTTTATTTTGGAAGCAAATGAAATGGGATAGAATTATCCAAAGAATTCACCCTTTTGTATGTTTCTTTTAGCAGTGTGTTATTACCCTCGATAACATTTCTACGGTTTTTCATAGTGATCACATAGTTCTTTGTATCTTTTGAAGATTTTGCCACAGTTTTACAGTGTTGTTTCTTTTACCAGGCAGTTTATAAAGTTGGAATTCCCAGTGGTATTTTAGGCTAATGAAAAATTGCTCTCAAAGTATTTAGATAATCAACTCTGTTGTTGATTGCTTTTTGTTGTTGTTGTTCAAAAGGGTGGAGTCAATGTAAACAGTAAGCTTTTGTTTTCTGCCCTGTACTCTGGTTAATAAATATATACATATATATTTAGTTTACTCGTGTTTCGTTTGTTTCAGTTTTGACATAGATTTTAAATTTGAACCGTATACAGAATTTCAGTTATCCTGAGGCCATCCAAGCTATCATAAAATTTATAGCTTCTCAATAAGCAATTTCTTTCTTGGGGAGAATAGCCTGAATTGGCACCAGAATGACATGTGACTAATAGACAAGTGGCCTCTGTCCCCTTAGCTTTGCCACAAACTGTATGAAGTGATGACAAAACTGGGTGACCAGCACGCCGACAAGGCCTTCACCATCCAAGGAGCGCCCAGGTAGGCCCCTGCTCATTGGAGCACCTGTAATGTCCTGCTTGCTAAAATTTCTTCAATCTGTGGACCAGCCTGTACTATTTTATTTATCCTACAAAAGTCCCACAGGAGCCTTTTCACCCTAGAAGCTGACACTAATTTTATTTTTGTGCTTTTACATTTATGTCTGGCCTTCAGTGACCCAACTAGGATTCTTCTTCTTGTCACAACAGCATTGACTTTCTGCCTCTCTGCCTCTCTCTGCTTTCCATGAGGCCTGATAGCAACAGTGTGAAATTTTAATATATAATGTATATGCTTGTTGTAATATATAATTTGTTATGCACTTAATATTTTCTCCGGAGAAGAAAGGAATTCCCAAAGTTTATGACAGTTTGTCTTGATTGTTATCATTGATGCTGACGTCTTTCATGAATCCATTTTGGGAAAGGAAAGAGGAAGTAGGTGAGATCTCATCTTCCTCTTACCTCCTGACTCTTGATCTGGTGAACACTGTGCTGTTTTTGTTTTATTGCACGTTGCATTATGAGTATGCCAGTCAAATACCCCGGAGCCCCAATGATCCATAGGTGACCTGTCTACCTTGCCAGGGTTCGGCTGCACACCAGCTTTCTCCAGTGATTCTGGAATCCTTTTTATTCCATCCTTCGTAGACTTTACGTACTCAGAGATTGAAGGCTAGTGAGCTGGGAGTCAGAAGACCCAGCTTTCGGTTTTCTGATTTTGCAGTTAACTTGCTTTGCCTTCCTTGAGTAAGTTCAAAACCTCTCTGGTTAGAGGTCTCATTTTTTTTAATTCAATAGAAAAAAAAAGATACTATTGAACTACATGGTTTCCAAGGTAATATACAGTCCTGACATTCTATATTTGCCATTTTAATACAAACACTTATTTGCATACATTTATGAAAACACACATAGTCATACACATGAACCAACTTCTACATATGTTAATGTTTGGATCCCTCTAGAGATTGTTAATTTTCTTATTCCCTGCTCTTTGGATTAGCCCTACTTATAGGTTCTGCTATGGTTTCTATACTATGTAAGCAGTAGTATATCTTCTCTTTCTAAGGGAAAGAATATTGCCTGAAAGAATACATAAGAGAGGCAGAGTTACTGTTTTCAGTATGGTTATTTCAGTATGGGGCTAGGCACGAAGGAAGAATTGGAATGGGAATATCAGAATGATATTTGAGTGTTTTAAAAATGAAGTGCATGAAAAAATTTAGGGTTGTTCCCTTACATGGAAATGAAAGGGACAAATTCATCTGAAAATTGTAATGTTGCCAAATGAGATACAGTGAAGAAAAAGCGGGGCCATGACCACTTAATGAATGTTCCTTTCACTTTTTTTCAACATTCCTCTGCAGAATGAGGTGGTGAGTGAGCTCAGTGGCATCTCTATTAAGCTTAGATTGGGGCTATGTTTCCATCTGAGGCCATGATTGCTGGCATATGACCCCAATCATGTGGCATGTCTGTGTTCTCGCTAAAGGACCCAGTTTCCTCAGCCCTTTGAATATGTAGACCATGCTGCTGTGTACATGCTCTTTTATTTTGGGGTACAGACTCTGTTTCTTCGAGCTGTAGACTTTAGAAATTCTTAGAGAGTAGGATGTGTCCTGAGTGCTTCTTAGTCATCACATTTGGGCTGTTCCCGAGCGTCTGGCCGCATGCCAGGAACATGGTGGGTTCTTAGTAAACGAAACTGAATCTTGTCTGATTTTGTTGCACATTTCAAGATGCCTGAGTTGAGTAGTTATTTATAAGGTCTAGAAAGAGAAATAATTAGTGAGTTTATTTCCAAATGTTATTAGAAAGCACTTCTACAAAATCCTTACTAACACTATCCTAAGGTTACCTTTTAATATAAAAGTTACAATTTTCATAGTTTTTTATAGATTGTGACATGGCAAGATTCTCTTGTAAATAGAAAGTGAAACGAGTAAAATCAATTCAGCTTATGTTTGGAAGATTCTTGCAGAACTTGTTTGAAAGAACAGAGGGCTTGCATTACTAAGACCTGAATTCAGATTCACTAAATGGCTGGGTGATTTTAGAGTTTTTATTTTTAACCTATCTATGCCCCACTTTACTACTTGTAAAGTGGGGACAATAAAACATGGCTACTGTGAAGACAAAAGATAATACATGAATGAGGTCTCTGTAGTGCAAATAAATGGTACCAGTTATCACCATCACTGTTGCAATTAACCAGAATTAACCTGGAAGGGGAGAGCAGGACAACAGACAGTACCTGTTAGGCTTCTGGGTTTCTCTGAAATGGAAAACCCCTGATTAGATGAATACTGTTCTTGAGAAGGCCCCTTGCCCAATCCCCTGTGTTCCTCTAGTGATTCGGGTCCTCTCCGCATTGCAAAGACACCATCACCGCCTGAGGAGCCTTCACCCCTCCCGAGCCCGACAGCAAGTCCAAATCATACATTAGCACCTGCGTCTCCCGCACCAGCACGGCCTCGGTCACCTTCACAGGTAGGAAGAGGTCAAATATATTGGGGGATAGAGCTCATGATGAGATGAAGGTGGCCCCATCTAGGATAATCCCACGGTGCCGGGGCTTTAAGAGAAGTTTCCAGTTAGGGAGACTGAGATGTGAGGCTTTAGGCATTGTGATTGTCATGAAGGTATCCACCTGCTTTTCTTATTTGACTTGATATTTCCTCACATGCCCTATATTCAAGTTTTTTGGGACTTCTTACCACGTTCTCGGCATGCTCAGGCGAGCATGCTCTCTCTTCTCCTATCTCTTGCTACAAAACTCTTTTCTTTCAATGCTCCATTTAAATCCTACCTCTGCATGAAACCTTCCCTCTCCTAGTGGTTTAGAGTTGGCAGGTACTGCCAAGAAAAGCGGTTATGTTTATATGTCATCTCACATTTTTTGGTACACCTGGACATTTTTTAGTACACACACTTGCATATGAGTGGCCACTTAATAAAATTGAATTGAAGAAATAATTGAAGAGAAACAATAAGGGCTGGGCAAAGGTAACTGTAGAGAGAAACTACCACCTTTATTCTCCCTATGTTGGGTGAAAATGAAATTTCTGTAGAAAAATTTATAGTCCCCAGTCCAGTTCAAGCTTTCTTGTACAGATGCTGCTTGCCTTACAAAGGGGTTGTGTCCTGATAAACCCATCGTAAGTAGAAAATATTGCAAGTTAAAATGCATTAAATACACCTAACCTGTTGAGCATCATGACTTAGCCCAGCCTACCTTAAACGCGCCGAGAACGCTTAACATTAGCCTACAGTTAGACAAAGTTATGTAACACAAAGCCTATTTTATAACCGTGTTGAATATCTTGTGTAATTTACTGACTATAGTACACTGTAGAACATAATAGCAGTCATTTACCCTCGTGATCACAGGGCTAACTGGGAAGTGTGGTTCACTGCCACTGCCCCGCCTCATGAGAGAGTGTTTTCACACATTCTGCTGAATGCCTATTGCTTTTACACTTTCCTAAAGTCCAAAAAAATCATAGATTGAACCATCATAAGTTGAGGACCATCTATATGTAGTTGAACTAAGGAAAGTCTTGGGAAGATACATGCATTAAACAGACCTTTAAAGTTTTCTACTTTTCAAAATCCTTGAATGGAAAGTGAAATGTAAGCTGCCTATAGTAGGTCTCACCAATTCAAATGAAAAGCTGCTTTAGTTTTGAAATTTTAATTTATTTCCAAAATGAGAAATTATTTTCAGTTTAGTTCAGAAGAGGGTATTGCCCTAGTTTAACCTTTAAAGTATATGTGCCTGGCCCTACAGCTCTGTGTATTGTACTTGAGTTGAGATGAATGGACTCTTATAGCCTCAGTTTTGTTTTTGCCTTGAACCATGGCTTATCAGGGCTCAGAGAGCCTCACAAGTAGACAGCATTCTTTACCTGTATCAGATAGGCTTGCTGCTATATGCAGATACAAGTTTCAATCAGAGCTCAATCTGTCCATGTAGCTCTGTTCATGTGACCTTTCTTCGTGTCTGACACATTGTCTTTGGCTGGATTAATGTTTGTATTTAATGCTTCCTAGACAAGGAAAGGGCCTCCTGTCCCACCTCTACCTAAAGTCACCCCGACAAAGGAACTGCAGCAGGAGAACATCATCAGTTTCTTTGAGGACAACTTTGTTCCAGAAATCAGTGTGACAACACCTTCCCAGGTAAGTGCCTGGTTCAGGGCTGGTATGTCCATGAAAGTCCCATGGTGGAAGGACTCTCAGGGGCTAGCCCTAAAGAAAGTGGCGGTTCCAGAACCAACAACATAATTTTAATTGTCATTCAGGCTTGTTTTAATTACTTGGTTAGTCTGAAGCATTCTTACATGGGAGATGTACGGTATTTGAAAATTATCTTTTTTTTAATTAAGGGTAGTATATACTTATAGAAAATTGGAAAAATATTGAAAAGTGTAAAATGAATAATTTATCTTATTTTTAAAAATTGTTTTATTGATACCAAATATTTTACATATTTATGGGACACATGTATTTGTTATATGCATAGGATGTGGAATGATCGAGTTAGGGTATTTGGGGTATCTATCACCTTGAGCATTTATCATTTCTATGCATTGGTAACATTTCAAGTCGTCTCTTCTAGCTACTTTGAAATACCTAATACAGTGTTGCTGACTACAGTCACCCTAATCTGCTATTGAATATTGGGGCTTATTTGTTCAATCTAACTGTATGTTTGCATCCACTAACCAACCTCTCTTTATCTCCTCCTTCCACCCACACATCCTTCTCAGCCTCTGGTATCTATTATTCTATCCTCTATCTCCATGAGATCGATTGTTTCTAAGCTCCCATATATTATTAATTTGTGGCATCTGTCTTTTCTGTGCCTGGCTTATTTCACTTAACATAATGACCTCCAGCTCCATCCATGTTATTGCAAACAACATTATTTCATTCTTTTTTGATTCAGTAGTGTGTGTGTGTCTATACCATTGTGTGTCTATACCACATTTTCTATATCCATTTGCCCATCAATGGACACTTAGGTTGATTCTCTATCTTTACTGTTATCAATAGTGCTGTGATAACCATGCAAGTGCAGGTATTCCTTTGATATACACATTTCTTTTCTTTTGGATAAGTACCCAATAATGGGATTGCTGGATCTTATGGTAGTTCTATTTTTAGTTTTTTTGAGGAATCTCCCTACTGTTTTCTGTACTAGTTGCACCAATTCTATTCCCACCAACACTGTATAAGAGTTCCTTTTTCTCCATATCCTTGCCAGCATCTATTATGTTTTGTTCTTTTAATAATAGCCATTCTAACTGGGGTACGATGACATCTCAATTTGGTTTTGATTTGGATTTCTCTGATACTTAGTGATGCTAAGCATGTTTTTATATATCTGTTGGCCATTTGTATGTTTTCTTTTGAGAAATGTCTATTTATGTCCTTAGCCCACTTTTTCATGGGATTATTTGTTTTTTTAATTATTGAGTTGAGTTCCTTGTACATTCTGAATATTATTCCCTTGTTGAATGTCTGTCTGTAAATATTTTCTCCCATTCAACAGGTTGTCTTTTCACCCTATTTATTGTTTCCTTTGTGTGCAGATGCCATTTAGTTTAATATAGCCTCATTTTTTCTATTATTATTATAGTTATCTGTGCTTTTGAGGTCTTACCCATGCAATTTTCCTTAAACTGATGTCTTGAGGTGTTTCCCTATGTCCTTTTCTAGTTGTTTTATAGTTTTGGGTCTTATGTCTAAGCCTTTAATTCATCTTAAGTTGATTTTTATATATCAGGAGAGACAGGGATCCAGTTTTATTTTTCTGCATATAGATATCCAATTTTCCCAGCACTATTTATTGAAGGTGTCCTTTCCCCAGTATATGTTCTTGATACCTTTACTGAAAATGAGTTGGCTGTCAAAATGTGGATTTATTACTGGGCTTTGTATTTTGTTCCATTGGTCTACGTGTCTATTTTTATACCAATGTCATGCTGTTTTGGTTACTATAGACTTGTAATATGTTTAGAAGTCAGGTAATGTGATGCCTCCAGCTTTGTTCTTGTAGCTCAGAATTGCTTTGGCTATTTTGGCTCTTTTTTTGGTTTCATACAAATTTTATGATTTTTTCTAATTCTGCTGAAAATGTTGTTGGTATTTTGGTAGGCGTTGCATTGTATCTGTAGATTGCTTTGGGCATTATGGTTATTTTTACAATATTAATTTTTCTGATCCTTGTCCTTTTAATTTTCTTTCATCAGTATTTTGTAGTTTTCCTCATACAGATCTTTCACTTCCTTGGCTAAATTTCTTCCTAGGTATTTTATTTTGTTGTAGCTGTTGTAAATGGTATTGCCATATTGATTTCTTTCCCTTCTGGCTCTTTATTGGTGTACAGAAATGCTACCGATTTTTGTATGTTGATTTTTTTTACATATCCTGCAACTTTACTGAACTTATTTATCAAATTTAGGAGGTTTTTTTTGGGTGGATTCTTTCATTTTTTCTAGCTATAAGGTCATACTATCAGCAAAGAGGAACAATTTGGCTTCTTCTTATCCAATTTGAATGCCTTTTATTTCTTTATCTTGCCTGATTGCTCTGGCTAGGACTTCCAGTGCTATATTGAATGGGAGAGGTGAAAGTGGGCATCCTTATCTTGTTCCTTATCTTGTTCATAGAAGAAAGGCTTTCAGCTTTTCTCCCATTCACTATGATGCTACCTGTGCTTTTGTCATATATGGCCTTTGTTATTTTGAGGTCAGTTCCTTCTATTTCCTAGTTGGTTGAGAGTTTTCATCATGAAGCAGTGTTGAATTTTATCAAATGCTTTTTCTCAATCTATTGAGATAATCATGTAGATTTGTGCTTAATTCTGTTGATGTGATATATTAGGTTTATTGTTTTGCATAAGTTAAACTATCCTTAGATCCCTGATATAAATCCCACTTGGTCGTGGTGTGTCATCTGTTTGATGTGCTGTTGGATTTGGTTTGCTAGTATTTTGTTAAGGATTTTTGCATTTATGTTTATCATGAATATTTGCTTATAGTTTTCTTTTTGTTGTTGGTGTTTTTGTTTGGTTTTGGTATTAAGATAGTGCTGGCCTTGTAGAATGAGTTAGGGAGAGTTCTTTCCTCTTCAGTTTTTTGGAATAGTTTCAGGAGGACTGGTATTGATAGGGTTGGGCTGTGAATTCAACTAATTCTAGGCTTCTGTTTGTTGGGAGACTTCTTTATTTTTATTTTATTATAGATTCAGGGGATACATGTGGAGTTTTGTAACATGGAGATATTGCGTGATGCTGAGGTTTGAGCTTCTAATGATCTCATCACCCAGATAGTGAACATAGTCCCTAGTAGGTAGTATTTTACCTTTGCCCACCTCCCTCCATCCCTCCGCAATCTTTTTGTGAGACCAAACACACAAATGAGGAAGAGGAATGACTCAAGTGGTACTACTGCAGTATACTACCAAACCATGGTGACATATATGTCATTGTATGACATATATATGTGACATATATACACACACACATACAAAATGACCAGAAAACAATTAACATTATGACAGTCACAAAACTTCACATATTAGTAATAGCCTTGAAAGAAAACAGATTAAATTAAAAGATAAACTGACTAAATAAACAGATGCTTTTCTCTTGCTGTTCTTAGGATTCTGTCTTTTATTTTTGCCTTAGTACATAGTCTGACTGTAATATAGCATTGAGAAGACCTTTTTGCATTGTATCTGTTTAAGGATATTTGGGCTTCTTATATCTGGATGGCTAGGTCTCTTGCTAGACTTGGGATGTTTTCAACCTAATACTTCATTAAATAGATTTTCTAGCCCATTTGTTCTCTCTTGGCCCTCAAGGACACGAATAATTCAAATATTTCATTGCATTATATTGTCCCAAATATCAGGAAGGCTTTGTCCATTCTTTTTTATTTATTTTTGTCTCACTGGGTTATTTCAAAGACCTGTCTTAAAGTTCTGAGATGCTTTCATCTGTTTGATCTAGCCTCTGGTTGAAACTTCCAAATGTGTTTTGTATTTCAGTCAACAAATTCTTCAGTTCCAGAATTTCTATTTGTTTCTTTTAAAAAATATCTCTTTGGTAAATTTTTCATTCATATCCTAAAATGTTTTTCTGATTTCTTTGTTTTTCAAAATTTTCTTGTATCTCACTGAGCTTCTTTAAAAGCAATATTTTGAATTCTTTATCTTGTTTCTTTGGAAGTGTCATATTTCCTTGCTGTTTTATGATTCTGTTTCATTGTGTTGATATCTGTGCATCTGGTATAACTTCCAATTTCCAATCTGGTTGCTTCTTCCAATTCTTTGAAATTGGTTTTTGTAGGGGAGGGCTTTTCTCTGAAGATGTATATATGTTGTTGGTTGGGTCGGACATTTTGGCTTTGATTTTGGCCACATGTAGTAGTGTGATCTTTGTATAATTTATTTGGCTGTAAATAGTGTCAGTTGTACTTGTGATTTCCTCAATGACTTAGGGTGCATTTGCTAGCAGGGGGCCAGGGTAAAGTTTTGCTGAGGACAAGGATGCCAGGTTGACCAGTCTTTGGGCCCCAGTGGAGGCAGTGGTAGACTGAGCATTGCTTGTGCTTGGCTCCAATGTGGGTTACACTAGCTCCAGTGTTAGTGAGTCCAGACAGGCTGATTCTTGGGCTCCAGGTGGCTTGCTCAGATATTGGTAGTGGCAGCAGTAGGTTGAGTGTGTGGTCAGGTTCTCAAATCTCTGGGCAGCTGCTGTGATGTGGGTGATGTCAGTAGCGGTGGTGGAGTAACCCACGGGAACCCAAGTGGTCCACTCTGGTGTTGGTGATAGCTATGACAGGTGGGGTGTGCCAGTCCCTTGGCCTGCTGCTGGTGCATTCTGGTGGGTGCCACCTGTGGTAGCTTTGGCAGGTTGGGCTGGCCCAATCTCAGACCCAGGAGGAATATTCAGGTGCCAACAGTGGTAGACTGGGCTGGGAGATTTCCAGGCCCCTGAACAGCATGCTGAAGCACTGGGGTGACAAGATTGATCCAATAGCTTGTCCTGAGGTCAAGCTACATTGACACTGGTTGTGACATGCTGGGTAGGGTGGTTTCCAGCCTGCTGACAAAATGTTCAGGTGTAGGAGGCACCACACTGCCCTGCGGACCTGCTATTAGGGAGGTCAAAGCCTCTCATGGTGGGAGCAGTGTAGGGAGGTAGCTGTGGGACACGTAGTTTCCTTGTGCCTTGGTCCCGCTGCAACCTGCAGCAGCAGCAGTGGGATTTGTCCACAAAGTGTCTGCAAGTGCCTGGCTTCCCCTCTCCCTCTTTGGCCTGGTGGTAGCAGCAGTAGCATCAGCCTTGGCCCCAGGGAGGGATGCAGACCTTTGGAAGCTAGGCTTTCAGAATGGCACCCACTGCAACTGGGGAAGGTGGGGGCCCCTCTAAGGTGGTGTAGTATAGGCAGGTAGCTGTGGGTCTGTGGGGAGTGCAGTTTTCTCATTTCTTGGTTCCACAGCAGCCCTCAGAGGTGCATAGGATTTCTCCTAGCAGTACATGAAAGTGCGAGGCCTCTCCTCTCCCTTCTTGGCCTGGCCATGACAGTGGCAGTATCTGCCCCAGAGCAGAATGCAGTCCTTTTGGGGGCTTAGCTCAGAATGCCTACAAGCTGCAGCCACTCAGGACATGGTTGCCTATGGGGCTCCTTGTGAGTTCTCTCTCTGGAACAATGTCTCTGTGTGGTCCCTAGGCAGCTACCCATGTAAATCTTGAAGCCCATATCAGTTGAGGGGTTCTCCCATAGCTAGGGTTGTAAAAAGATGGTGGTGGGTATGTGGAGTCCTGGGAATTCTCACTTATCTTTTCCTCACATCTGGGAGCTTCTCCTGGATCCCAGCTGAGGAAAGCCTTGCTGCCCTCTCCTTGCTTGCTTTCAGTGCTTCCCATCACTTCTCTGTTGAATCCCAGTGTTCTCTCTTAGGTGATCTATTCACAGTGTGAACATCTACTTGCTATTTTGCTTCCGCTCTGTGGAAGAAGCATGTACTAGTTTTCTTTAGTCGGCCATCTTGAGAATCTCCCAGAATAAAGAATTGTAGGCTGGGCGCAGTGGCTCACACCTGTAATCCCAGCATTTTGGGAGGCCAAGGCGGGCAGATCACCTGAAGTCAGGAGTTCGAGACAAGTCTGACCAACAAGGGGAAACCCTGTCGCTACTAAAAATACAAAAATTAGCCGGGCATGGTGGTGCATGCCTGTAATCCCAGCTACTCGGAAGGCTGAGGCAGGAGGAGGTGGGAGGCGGAGGTTGCGGTGAACCAAGATTGTGCCGTTGCACTCCAGCCTGGGCAACGAGAGCAAAACTCCATCTCAGGAAAAAAAAAAAAGAATTTTAATAATCACTTAAATCATACCACTCTGACATGACCACTAGTGCCCTTTGGTCTGTCTTCTTTTAGTCTTCCCAAATCACTGAGTATATATCAATTTTGCACTATAAAATTGAGACTGTACTATCATGTATTTCTGACCTTTCTACTTAATTTTATTGAGCATATTTTCATGTCATAATATTGTGTTTGCAAAAACATATTTGCCCATAGTATTCTCTCAGTTGGTTGTACCAACCCCTGATTATTGGCCACAAGTTGCTTCCAACTTTTTTGTTGCTTCACCAGCACTTCGATAAACATCTCTTTATATATTATTTCATGTTTATGTCTTCTATTGATTCTTAGTAGAGATAGGAAATGAAATTGAAAGAGGTGAATAATTTTAAGTCTTTTGTCCTTCAACAGGGGCATATTATTTACATGAATTGGCAAATGAAAGTCAGTGTTCCTACTGATTTTGAATATACCTGGGTTCACATATCCCACCGCAGCTACTTGCAGGCCTGTTCCTGCTAGTGGCTGTTTTTTGTGTTTTTTTTTTTAATTGACTCAAGAATTATCATGACTTCCAGAGCTGCCTCTAGTGTCACTGAAACTATCTCTTTTTTCTACAAGTAAAAGACCATACAGAAGTCATGGTGATACTATTTCTTCTCAGTGTTCTCAGGGTCTGGAATAATATTTACATTTTACAAGAGGTGCTAATGCAGTACTATAATTACTGAGTACATCAATCACTACACTATGCGTAATATGCCGATTATAATCACATCATATTAATAATAGCAGAGATGGTGTATTGATAATAATAGGGACCTCAGAAAATAAAAACTCAGACACAATGCAGTGGCAAATCATGATTTTTCATTCTTTTCAAGCACACTTATCAATAGGCAAAATGCTTTGAGCTATTGTTTTCTTTCTTCTGTTGTATGCATAAGATGCTGAGTTTGATAAAATTAACTGGGGCTTGAGATGTGATTTAGCAGCTCCTTTGAGAATGGTGTTTATCGGTGCATGGCCAGATTGTATGTCTGTGGATACCGAGATGCCGCCAGGGATAGCTGTCTTAGTGCCAAAGGATCTTACCCAGCATCTCCCAGTTGTCCTGGGACAAACTTGAGCAATTCTAATTTCCAAAGTTGTACAGTCCCTTTGCATTTGCTACTGCCCAGCTTCATTCTCTTTGTTCGCTACATGAATTTTCGAACTGGGAGTGTTTTAAGGCAACAATACCCTTACTCAGTTGCTTTGACCTGGACCCTCCAAGAGCATCCTCTCAGTTCCATCACAAATAGAGACTTTGGTCACCTAGAAGCCTTGTGTGCTTAGCTGAGGACATCCCCATTTGGTAGACAAGGCAACTGAAGTAGAGACAACATGACATGCAGACTCATTGTGAAGTAAAGATGAGGTTCAGAAGTGTTCTTTCTTTTTAAATGTTTTTTCTTTGTATTTGTAATTTGCTGGCTCATAGGTAAGGACACTTGATGGTGGGGGGAAAAAGGATCAAAGCACTTTTGAAAATTACAGATGCCAGGAGAGTCCCCTAAGTACTTAAAAGAGCATTCGCTTTTGCTGGTACTGTTGAGTGAGAGTGATGGGAAAAGTTAAGAACTGGGGCAGAGGAAGTGCCTTTCCAAACAGAAGCATGTTCCAGCTGCAGCTCCTGTGAGGACACTATTCCCGGGTCTGCTTGCCTAGGCTTTGCTAGTGCTTTATGCATAACCCCAAGGCTGCTGGGAAAGGAATGTGGGAGCTTTCAGTGTCTCTCCATCAATACCTCTTATATCTCACTGGCTGTGTGTCACATCCTTCAGTCTTCCAGGCAATTTTGGAAGAACTAAGCACCAGAGACATTATAGGAGTGCATTTTCGGGGGCACAGCCTTATTTATATTGTTTTCTTCTAATCTGGGGAGGAGTCAGAAAGGGGTTTCTGCCATTTTTCTAAATCTGAAAAGCGACATGGCTCTAGCAGCTGGACCACAGAGTATGACTTGGAGTGTTTCCATGGATTAAATGACCATTTGTCTCATGTCAAGATGTCAAAAGCGGGAGTGAAACAGGGATTTATATTTCTGTCTGCTTTCTGGTTTATTGAGTGACATAATCTGGCTTTAATTAAAAATATACAGATGCTGTCTCTCCCTGAAGCATCTTGGCAGTTTCTTCAGTGGCTTGTTCCTCTGTAGCTATAAATAGCCATTTTATGTTACTTCAGCCCATCCAGCAGTTTCTGATTTGGCAGGTCTGGGATGAGGTCAGGAATCTGCATTTCTGAGGAAAATGCTGCTAATGCTGCTGGTGTTGGCACCACACTGTGGGAGCCACTGTTTAAAGTTATCAGGATTCCACATGGCACTAATCAGTGACCATTAACAAAGCACCACAGTGAATTAATAGATTTATTCCAGAGAAATACCCAGCTGAGTCAAGTGTGTGCTATGACTGACCATTCATAACTGCTCCCTTCAAAACTAGTGTGACTCAAAGTCTTCCATATTTAGGGTAGTTGGACACATACACATACACATGAGTGCTTATAACCTTAGATGTGTTGATCAGATTATAGGTCGAGCTACGTATTATAAGTGAATGAACTGTATCATCCAGACAATAATGTATTTGATAATCTACAGATAAATAGATAAAAGAGAATAAATAACAATACCTGGGAAAAATGAGATGCTAACTGCAAGGAAGTACAGCATTGAAAACTAGACAGCTTTGATGTACCTGAAAAGGTTTTCTCTGACACATATAGCAATATAGGATGATCCGTCTACATTTATTTTAATTTTTTTAAATGAGTCATTTACATTTAGAAGATTGATCTATGTCCCCAGCTTGCTATTTTTATCATGCACTTAATGGGGGAAGAAAAGCATTTGTGTTATTCCTGCCCAGAAGCTCAAAATGTAATGACTGAAATGTACCCAGTCTCAGATGGATTTGTTTGTCTCCTCCACCAAGCACCATCACGGTGATGATTCTCTCCTGAGTGTGTCCTGGGATTGAAGACAGAAATCCATTAGATCTGGAGAGCCCTCTAATGGCCCAAACTTTAAATGTAGCATAGAATTTTTTCTGGTAAATGTTCTTATCTGCTTGTAGGGAGATGCCCCGTGGTTATGACCCAATGGTTTACTTGCTTTTCTGGTTTTGTGTTTACAAAAACAGATCTTCCAAAGGTCCAAAAAATTGTTCCCTATTTTTCCATCCTAAGAACTTAGAAATCCATTCTCTCTCTTTTTCTTTCCCTTCCTCTTTGTGTGTTTGTGTCCCTACATTATTCTTTTAAAACAGCATTTTCCAAAGCATGTTTATGAGGAAAACTAGTATCATTAGATGCTTTGAAAAGGGAGTCTCTGTTTACATGAGACTGAGGGGCTACATCCCTTTTGATTTTTCACAGTTTACATCGGCATGTTTAAGGCTCTGAAAAGTTCTGTAACAAAGTTCCATTCAACTTTGTTTAGGGAAGAATTTCTCAGTCTCTCCTTCACCCCCAAAATATGCTTTCCTAGGAAATGGGTGTTTGGTAAAACACTTTAAGAAATAAAGATTTAAAAGATATTTTGTCCCTGGAAATCAAATCTATTCCATATAAATATGATTCTAACAAGAGATCAAGACAAAAAATAAAGCAATCATGTATGTGTGTATATACACACGTATATGTATATATACATGTGTATATACACATATATATACGTGTATATAACGTATATATGTATATATACATGTGTATATATGTGTATATACACACGTATATATGTGTGCATGTGTATATATACATGTATATGCACACATAAATATGTGTGTATGTGCAAGGTTATTTCTCTCTCTTTTTCAATTCTTGTCCTCAGAAAATGTTTTGGGGCCAGACATGGTGACTCACATCTGTAATCTCAACACTTTGGGAGGCCAAAGCAGGAGGATTGCTTGAGGCCAGGTGTTTGGGACCAGTCTAGGCAACACAGTGAGACCCTGTCTCTACAAAAAAAAAAAAAAATAGCTGGGCATGGCAGTATGTGTCTGTAGTCCCAGCTGCTCAGAAGGCTGAGAGGCAGGTGGATCTCTTGAGCCCAGGAGGTCGAGGTTACAGTGAGCTATGATCACAGTACTGCATTCCAGCCTAGGTGACAAGAGCGAGACCCTGTCTCAAAAAAAAAAAAAAGAAAGTGTTTTGGATTGGCTTTTCTTCTAACTTGATGACTGGATTTTAAATCCAATGTTCACCCTCCCTTTAGGATTATGGCCCTGAGCAAATATTTTTTGCTGGGGACCTCTTCCATATAAAAAGTTGGAGTCACTTGAAATAAGCTTATCAGCAACATTCTGATGGCCAGTCTCAGGGGTTTCCATAAGTGAAATGCCAAGCTGACCAAAAAGAACAGTCTCACCATCTTACCACTCACCCTCCTGGAAACAGGCCCCATCTTCATGCTCACAACACCTTTGTGGATAGGAGCCCTAGAGTTCCAGAAGCATATAATCGACCGTACACATGGAGTAGTGTTGGGGAGTGCTCCGAAGGGGAGATATGGCAACCAAAGCCCAGTCCTGGTACAGGCTCTCAGGATGCCCTGACCAGATGGCACTGCAGCTGCAGCTGGTCCCTTCTGCCAGAGGAAGACTTAGGAAACTGTAAGAAAGGTGCTCAAAAGCATGACGGTCCCCTTAGATTCAGGGCTTGGGGCAGGGTCCCTCTTTGCCAGAGTCTATCTTTGTGTCCAGTGGCAGAGAGGAAGAAAATATTGCCTGTCTCAGGATTTTTTCATAGCAGATACCCCCAACTATTTTTCCTAAATCTTTCTCCAACTATGATATTGCATATTTTCTCTGATCAAAGATTTCCCCTTTACAAATCCAGAGGAATTATCCCTTGAACATCCAAGCTTATTTCTCCAAGCCCTGCTTATCACGCCATAGGAATGCCTACCATGCTCCCATGCAGACATGAGCACAGCCTTTCAATCCTGAGTGTTGGGACCAATTGAGCACCATTGGCTTTTCTACCCTTATGTCTCTGTTTTCCAGCCTAATACTGCATCTTACTTGTTAAGTTCATTAAATCATGCTGTTTTCCCTAGCCAATTGAACTGAAATAGAATTCAACTTGCAGAATCAGTCCATGAAATGGTTTTTTCACCCATGTAATCCTGAGAGGCCAGCCTGCAGTTATGAACATATGCATCTCTCACTTACTGGGTATCTGTAACCTGGTTCTAAATACCACACTGGCTTTTCAACATAACATATTTCTGGACCAGCTGCCTCTTCTTTCTCTTGCTATTTTTCAAAGTAAACATGTTAACATTATTTTAAGACAGAAAGAATTAGTAAGATGAAAATTAGAAGGAAGAAAAACCACACAGTGCATTTCAAGCCCAAATTTAGTCAGTTCATTGCCCTGGTGGATTACCAACATCATTGTTCCATTCCTTGAGCAGGAGTAACCAAGCAGTGCAGTTTATGTATCATCTGGTATTCTGAAAATGTTTTAAAATCATTGGGTCATTAGGCTTCACTATCTTTCAAGGTTCTGACTCCAGAGCTGCTAACAGTGCCTAGGCTTTTTCTGTCTACAGAACAGGGAAAGCTACTAAATATCTTTCTGCAAGGTCTCATTCAGTTTAACCTTGACATCAATCCTGTGATTTACATGTCATTAGTCCTACTTTCTAGAAGAGCAAACCTGCCGTCTTTCTGCTGAACCTTGCCTCTCCTAGTGCAGAAGTGGAAAGCAGAATGCTGTAGGCTATGTGTGACAGCATTGTAAGCACCCGAAAGAGAGCAGTACCGGGCATTCAGTAAATGAACAAATCGATATCACTCTTTCTATCCTTAGTATCCAGGATGCAGGTTCTCTAGAACTCGTTTGAGTGTTGATATTAGCAAAGTTCTTCAGGTTGTTACATATCAGTGCATTATTGGTAAATACCATGATATAGTGGTAGGAGGGCCTTTACTCAACCAGTTTAGTCATCTGTCTTTCCACTAGTCAGAGTAGAACCTCATTATAAGCATAGGCCCTATCCCTCTTCCTTGCTGACTCTATTCTCATGACTGTCAGCCTTTATACAATTAGTCATAATATATGTAAAAGCAATGAACAAAACCCACGTGCTACACTAGGAATGATTTTGCAGCCTACCAACTTGTTCTAATAAAAAACAAAGTCAAAACAAAACAAAGTAGGAAAACAATTTCCTAGAAGGTCTAGTTTATTGTGTGTCAACTCATTCCTAGAGCATTTCAGGATTATGTAAATATAGGTATGCACATAAAGCAAATGTGAGAGAACAATCGATAGGTCTAGATTGTGAGTAAAGGGATCTGCATTATACTATCCTTTTAATTCTCTGTTCAGCAGTCTCCCCTTATCCACAGTTTCACTTTCCATGGTTTCAGTTACCCATGGTCAACCATGATCCAAAAATACTACATAACAGTAAGATATTTGGAGAGAGCAAGCGAGCGAGAGACTATATTCACATTCACACTACATTCACCTTTATTACAGTATATTGTTATCATTGTTCTATTTTACTGTTAGCTGTTGTCATCAATCTCTTACTATGCCTAATTGATAACTTCAACTTTATCATAGGTATGTATGTATAGGAAAAAACATAGTGTGTATAGGGTTCAGTACTATCTGTACCATTTGTGGTTTCAGGCATCCCCTGGGGATCTTGGAACATAACTCCTCCAAATAAGGAAGGACTAGTATACTACAATAAACTTTGTGGAACAAATACTTGGCAACATCATTTTAAATGACTGAACGATTTTCCATTCTAAGACTGCAATATAAAGCACTTGAACCCTGTCCATGTGCTATATGACTCACATTAACTGTAATGTACCCATCTGGAGCAATCTTGTTATAAGCTTCTAACCACGAAGGTAAACTTTCCTAGGCCACTGCTTCATTGTAATTGTTGATGAAATGCTAAAACTTTACTCACTGTTAGAAATTGTAAATTGTGACTTTTACATGAAAGGTATTTCTATTACATAAAAGATAACTTCTGATTGGCCTTGTTCCTAAAGATTTTATTTAACCTCTCTGTCTTAAGCTTCCTACTCTACCTCTTTTGCCTCATTGGGAAGTCACAAGTGTCCAGCACAATACTTAGGATATAGTAAAGGTTTTCAAAATATGTTTAATGAAAGAATAAAAGATGAAAATCTCTAGAAGAAGAAAAGATGAAAATCTCTATGCCCTCATGGTAATCTGGCTTACTATAATACTGTGTTATGATTAAAGAAATTTTGTGTATGGGTGTGTGTGTGTGTGTGTGTGTGTGTGTTTATCTGTCTGTTTGCATGCAGCCATGAGGATGATTTGGAGACTATATGTTTTACTTCTAAGTGGTTTTTTTGAGGTGTTTACAGATTTTATACATTTTATTCAAATTCTAAAGGTTAAGATCCTCAGAAAATGTGTTGTGTGTGTGCTCTGGAGGCTAGATTTCTGGGTCAATCAAATACTTGCAAACTACCTACAGATGCATCACTACTAAATGTTTTATGGCTATAGTTATATATTGAAATCTCTTTTACCTGATATGCTTATAAAAATGATGCCCAAAAGGATGCATAGTTAATGTAAAAAAATAGTAAATTACAGAGAAGCAAAAAGTAAAACTTCAAAAGTAAAAGTCTATTCCCCAGCAAAACTCACTTTTACTAATTTTGTGTGTAAAATGCCACTTTTTTCCATTTAAATAGTAACTGAAATGTGGCCGGGCGTGGTAGCTCATGCCTGTACTCCCAGCACTTTGGGAGGCCAAGGTGAGCGGATCACCTGAGATTGGGAGTTCAAGACCAACCTGGCTAACATGGAGAAATTCTGTCTCTACTAAAAATACAAAATTGACTGGGCATGGTGGCACATGCCTGTAATCCCAGCTACTTGAGAGGCGGAGGCAGGAGAATCGCTTGAACCCAGGAGGCGGAGGTTGCAGTGAGCCAAGATTGTGCCATTGCACTCCAACCTGGGCAACAAGAGTGAAACTCCGTCTCAAACAAACAAAAAAAAAAAATAGTAACCAAAATGTATATTTTTGGAAATGTGATCATTCTATGTCAGGTTTTTAATTTATGATTTTTAGTACAAATATAACAAAAGTATTTCCATGTCAATTTAGTATTTATTTTATTATTTTAAATAGCAGCAGAGCACTGTGTTAAGAGAATGTGCTATGGTAGGTTTAACCCATCTCCCACTATTAGATTTTTTTTAATGTTATTAGTAAGCTCTATTGATGTGTGATTGATCTACAATAAACTGTACATGTTTACATATGCACATATTTGATGAGTTTGCACATATGTATATACTATTAAACCATTACCAGAATCAAGATAATGAATATATGTCACCCCAAGAAGTTTAGAAGTTTTCTGAGCCACTTTTTAATTTCTCTTGCTCCTCCCCATTGGCGCCAGCATCTCTAGGCAAACACTCATCTTTCTGTTGCTATACATTAGTTTGCATTTTCTAGAATTTTATATAAATGGAATCATATAGTATCAGAAAGCATAGTTTTTGGATTACGAAATTCATTAATGTTGTAGCACATATCATTCCTCCTTATTGAGTAGTATTCCATTGTATGGATATATCACAAGTTATCTGATGGATGTTTGAGTTGTTTCCAATTTTTGACTATTATAAACAAAGGCACTATAAGCACTTGTATACAAATATTTGTGTGCATGCATGCTTTCATTTCTCTTGGGCGAATACCTAGGGATAAACTAGCTAGATCATATGTTAGGAATAAATTTAATTTTTTAAAAAATTGACAGATTTTCTGAAGTGTTTGTACCATTTTCTATTTTCATCAGCATCGCATAAGAGTTCTAGTTCTTCCACATCTTTGCCAACAGTTGGCATGGTTAATGTATTAGGCCATTCTCACATGGCTATAAAGAAATACCTGAGACTGGGTAATTTATAAAGAGAAGAGATTTAATTGGCTTATGGTTCTGCAAGCTTTACAGGAAGCATGGCAGCATTTGCTTCTGGGGAGGCCTCAGCGAGCTTTTATTCATGGCAAAGGCAAAGCAAGAGCAGGTGTCTAACATGGCAGGAGCAGGAGGAAGAGAGAGAGGAGGGAGGTGTAACACACTTTTAAACAACCAGATCTCTTGACACTCACTCACTATACAGTACCAAGGGAGGATGGTGCTAAACCATTCATGAAAACTCCGCCCCCATGATCCAGTCATCTCCCACCAGACCCTACCTCTAACACTGGGATAACAAGTTGACATGAGATTTGAGTGGGGACACAAATCCAAACCGTATCGGTTAGTGTTTTTAATTTTAGCTATTCTAGTAAGTGATAGTGGTATTTCATTTTGATTTAATTTGCATTTCCCAAATGACTAGTGGTGTTAAGTATTTTTTCATGTACTTATTTAACACCCATATATCTTCTTTGGTGAAGTGCCTGTTAAAAACTTTTTCTCGTGTATTTATTTTTTAACTGAGTTTTGGGACCTCTTTATCCATTCTGTATACAACTCCCTCATTAGATAAGATTTGCAAATACTGTCTCCCAGCATGTGGCTTTCTTTTCATTCTCTTGGCAGTGTAATTTGGAGAGTAGAAATGTTTTATTTGATGAAATCCAATTTATCCATTTTTTTCTGGATTATATATTTCATGTAACATCTAAAAGGTCTTTGCCTAACCCAAGATAAAAATCGCAAGGTTTTCTCTTAATATTTTTTAGAAGTTTTATTTTCAGGTGTTACATTTAGGCCTGTGACCAATTTGGAGTTAATTTTTTTATGTGGTACAAAGTGTGTGTTGGAATTCATTTCTTTAGAAATGAATATTCCATTGTTGAAAAGTATTCTTACTCTACTAAATTGCCTTTGTACCTTTGTGGAAAATTAGTTGTACCTTTGTGGAAAATCAGACAACCAATTATCTATCTATCTAATATATATGTATATACCATGTATATATGTGTATATATATATGTATATACCATCTATATATGTATATATATGTATATACCGTGTGTGTGTGTGTATATATATATATATATATATGTATATATATGGATATATTTCTGGACCATGTGATTATCCATTGATCTTTTAGCTTACCTTTGTGCCAGTAGCATGCTATATTGATTATTGTCATTTTATGATATCTTGAAATCAGGGTCAGTAGGGTTAGTCTTTCAACTTTGTTCTTTTTCAGAGTTGTTTTGGCTATTCTAGGTCCTTTGAATTTCCATATGAACTTCAGAATCAACTGTAAGTTGATATTGTATTATTTCCTGGGCTGCTGTACCACAACTGAGTGGCTTAAATACAAAACCCCCCACAAAAAAATTCTCTAACAGTTTTGGCTGCTAGATGTCTGAGATCAAGGTGTCAGTAGGGACATGCTCTCTCTGAAGGCTCTAGGGGAGAATCAATCCTTTCTTCTCTCCTAGCCTCTGGTGGTTGCTGAAAGTCCTTGGGGTTCCTTGGCTTGCAGATACATCACTCCAGTACTCCAATATGCACCTTGGTCATCACATGGCATTTTCCCTGTGTGTCTGTGGGCTCTGTGTCTTCACATGGCATTCTCCTTGCGTCTACATATCCAAATTTTCCTCTTCTTACAGGGCCACCAGTCATTGGATTAGGACCCACTCTAATCAAAATCTTTATTTTATTACATTGGTTCAGACCCTGTTGTCAGTTAAGGACACACTTACAGGTTCCAGATAGGCATGAAATTTGGGGGGTGGGGGAAAATACTATTCAAAGCAGTACAGATATTGAATCATGTTGCACCGAGTCTATAGATCAATGATATGTGAGTCATCTGACGCATAGACGCAGTATATCTCTCCCTTTATTAATGGTCTTCTCTAATTTCTCTCTGCCATGTTTTACAGTTTGCAATGTACAGACATTATACATCTTTTGTTGGATTTATCCATAAGTATTTTATATTGTTATTATAAATCATGTTTTTAAATTTGTTTTTTCTGGTTGTTCACACTATTGTCTATAAGTACAACTGGTTTTTGTATATTGATGCTGTGTCTGCAGCTTTGCTAAACTGAATTATTAGTTTCTATAGCTTTTTTGTAGATTTTATTGGATTTTTCTATATATATTATCATATCTTTTATGAATAAAGAAAGTTTACTTCTCTCTTTGCAATCTCGGTGCCTTTTATTTATTTTTCCTACCTTATTTCATTCTTGTACCACCAGAATAATATTGAGTAAAAGTAGTAAAGCAGTCACCCTTGTCTTGATCTTAGAGGAAGAGCATGTAGTATTTCACTTTTAAACATGGTGTTTGTTACTTGTAGGTTTTATTAGATGGCTTTTATCAGATTGAGGAAGTAGCCTTTTATTCCTACTTAAAGAGTTTTAAACAGGAATTAATGTGGATTTTCTCAAATGCTCTGCTGCATCTGTTAAGATGATCATATGAGTTTTCTTTATAGTTTGTTAATATGGTGAATTATACTTATTGGTTTTCCAATGGTAAACCATCCATGAAGTCCTAGGATGAACCCCATTTGGTGATGATATGTTATCCTTTTTATCTGTGTATCTTTTAGTCAGCTTGCTAAAGCTCGGTCTAGAATTTTTACATTCCTGTTCATGGGGAATATTAATTTATAGGTTTTTTTTAAGAAAAGGGTTTTTATGATTTAATACTAGGGTAATGGTATTGAATGAATTGAACTGAAAATCAATTGCTGGTTAAGTTTGTGTTGGTATTATTTGTTGCTTAAAGGTTTGATAGAATTCATCGGAGAACTCATCTGGGCTCTGTTTTGTTGTGTTTTCTTTTGTTTTGATATATTTCTATATAATAGATATAGAGCAGTTCAGGGTATCTATTTTTCTTGAGTGAGATTTTTGTATTTGTAGTTTGTGTTTCTCATGAAATCTGTCCATTTCATCTAAATTGCCAAATGTATTTGGAGTACAGTGGTTCATCATATTTACTATTATTTTTTGATATCTCTAATATCTATGATGATGTTTCCCTCTCTCATTCCTAATATTGGTAATCTGCATCCTTGTTCACTCTCTCTTTTTACTCCAATTAGACTGGCTAAATGTTGATTAATTTTATTGATCGTCTCAAATAACTAGCCTGTGGTCTTATTGATTCTCTCTTTTTCTTGTTCTCACTCTGTCTTTTGTTTTCTGTTTCACTGATTTCCACTCTAATCTGTATAATTTCCAGTTTCTACTTTGGGTTTTATTGCTCTGTTTATGTTTTTTTTTTATATTCAGGGTAAAAAGAAGGTGAGGTTAATAATTTCGGACCTTTTTGTTTTCTTATATGGGAGTTTAGTGCTATAAATTTTCCGTAAGTACTGCTTTAGCAGCATCCCATACATTTTGATATATTGTTTTCATTTCCATTCAGGTTTCCAATTTCCACTTTGATTTCTTTTTTGACTCATTGAATTATTTAGAAGAGTATTATTTGTGGATTTTGCAGAGATCATTTTGGATGATTAAAATATTTGTGGATTTTCTAGAGACCATTCTGTTAACAATTTCCAATTTAATTCCAGTGTAGTCAGAGACCATACTTTATGTGGCTTGAATGTTTTTAAATTAGTTGAAGGCAGAAGTGATTCAGTGACAGTTTTTTCCAGCTGGGACACATGGGGTCTTAAAACAAAGGATAGACTACCAGGGAGAGGAGGAAGGCTGTATCTCACTTGATGAAGCCACTAGGACAAGAGTGGACTGAGTAAGCATATGGCAGCCACCTTCATGCTGTACTCTTTAACAGGGCAAGTTTTTATTAAACTTTTAAGTTCAGGGGTACAAGTGTAGGTTTGTTGCATAAGATAAACTTGTGTCATGGGCGTTTGTTGTACAGATCACTTCCTCACCCAAGTATTAAGCCTAGTACCCATTAGCTATTTTTTCTGATCCTCTCCCTTCTCCTACCTTCCACTTCCAATAGGCCCCAGTGTGTGTTGTTTCCCTTTATGTGTCCATGTGTTCTCAACCTTTAGCTCTCACTTGTGAGAACATGTGGTATTTGGTTTGCTGTTCCTGTGTTAGTTTGCTAAGGACAATGGCCTCCAGTTCCATCCATGTCCTTGCAAAGAACATGATCTCATTCTTTTTATGGCTGCATAGTATTCCATGGCGTGTGTGTGTGTGTATGTATATGATATATATATGATATATATGATATATATGATATATATGATATATGATATATATGATATATGATATATATGATATATATATGATATATATGACAGATATATGATATATATCATATATATGATATATATATGATATATCTGTCATATATATCATTTTCTTTATCCAGGCCTTCATTGATAGGTAGTTATGTTGATTCCATGTCTTTGCTGTTGTGAATATTGCTGCGACAAACGCACAAATGCATGTGTCTTTATAATAGAGTTATACTGGGAACTTTAGCATTGTCTCTGGTGTCTGTGCAAGAAAGAGGTTCCATTGTGTTTATTTGTTCATTTGTTTGTTTGTTTTTGGAAATAAAATCTCAGATAGGACCTTTAAAAAAGAATTAGTTGAGACCTATTTGATGACCCAGAATACTGCTTATCATGTTACATTTCCATGTGCACTTGAAAAGAATATATATTCTGCTGTTGTTGGATAGAATGTTATAAGTGTAAATTAGGTCAAATTTAGTCACAGTGTTATCTAAATCTTTTATACCATTGCTTATTTTCTCTCCATTTGTTCTTTCAATTATTGAATGAGGAATATTGAAGTCTTTCCTATAAAAGTGTGTGTGCTTTTTTATTTTTCTTTACAGCTTTCTTGGTTTTTGCTTTATGTTGAAGCTCTCTAATTGAGTGCATAAATGTTTAGGCAATGATCCTCTTTATCCATGACAATATTCTTTGATTTGAGATCTACTTTTTTTATTGTTAATGTAATTACTACAGCTTTCTTTTTGTTAGATTGGCATGGTGCATCCTTTATATCCTTTTACTTTGAACCTATTTGTGTCTACATACTTCAAGTTAGTTTCTTATAGACAGTATCTAGTTGGGTCTTGCTTTTTTGTACAATTAGATAATCTCTGCCTTTTAATTGCATGATTTAGACTATTTTCATTTAAGGTTATTATTCATATGGTGAAGTTTAAATCTAGCACATTGATCACTTGTTTTCCATTGTCTCTCTGTTCATTTAACCCTTCCATTTCTGCTTTCTTTTGTATTAATTGAACATTTTTTATTCTCTTTAATTTTCTTTATTTACTTATTAGCTATAACATTGTTTTGTCATTTTAGTTGTTACTTTAGGGTTTTAGTGTACATTTTAATTTATCACAGTCTAACTTTCAATTATATGATGTCATTTAAGGTACAGTATAAAAATCTAATGATAATATACTCACATTTCTCCACTTCTGTTTTTTATGCAATTTTTGTCATTGATTTTAGTTTATCTACGTTTTAAACTTCACATTATTTTGTTATTATTTTTGTATAAGCAGCCAATTATCTTTTTAAAAGATTTAAATAATAAAAACTCACATATAGTTACCTAGGCAGTTACTATTTCTGGTTCTCCTCCTTTGTGTAGATGCATAGTTCTGTTATCATTTTTCCCTTGCCTGAAAGATATCTTCCACATTAGTTGTAGTGTGTATATGAGGGTGATGTATTCTTTCTGATTTTGTTTGTCTGAAAATCTTCATTGAATTTTTATTTTAGAAAGTATTTTCAAGGGGCATATAATTATAAGTTGGCAGTTTCTTTTTCTCAGTACTTTGCCTCACTGTCTTTTTGCTTCATTATTTCTGGTGAGAAATCTACTGCTACCTTCATGTTGTTCCTCTGTTAGTGAAATGTCTTCTTTTCTCTGGTTCTTTTTATGAATTTATCTTTAACACTGATTAGAAAATTAGATTATGATTGGTCCACATGTGCTTCATGTGTCTCTCATTCTTTTTGGACTAGCAGCTATGCAAGGCTCTACTTTTCACGGTGAATGGCGGAATACAAACCAACCAACCAAACATGCAAGCACATTTCCAGCCTTTGTTTGCATTACATTAACTAATATCCATTAGCTAAAGCATGACATATGGTCAACCCCACGTAAGGGATGGGGAAGTAAAATCCATCTATCACGAAGCCGTGGCAAGGCTAGGCATGCCGATTATGCTCAAATTGCACATCTGCACTGGAAGAGGTCCGGTACTTTACTGATAAACTTAGATGTCCCAAGTAGAAGACACCTCATGAAACATAGTACAGATGATTATAATTGGCAATGTTTTCCTATTGGAAGATTTTCTCCCACTGTGGTTTCCACAGCTGGTCTCCTTTCTTAGGAGCACATTCCAAGTCACCCCTTGTAGATTTCTGATGGTAAAGCAGTACTTACAATCAAGTTCCCAAAAAGCTAAGAATGTTGAGACCATACCATGTGTACTCTAATTGTGATGAAGGTGTACAGGATTCATTTGTCTTGTTAAGGAAAATTACACTTTTCTGTGTTTCAACATGTGGTGACAGAGTTGTGAGTACGTTCCTGCCCTTTTAAAAAGGAATACTATATAAGCTGGCAAAATCCTTTTGCTATGTTTGTAGCTTTACCAGAATATTCTTTGACATGAGTACCTTAAGGGATAATTCTCAAGATTAAGAGGGCAAAGCTAAGTAGAAGTTGAGCCTGAAAAAACCAGCCACATATTTTGAAGGCAGTCCAATTGGCATTATGGATATTTGATGACAGTAATTTTACATATTCACATGTTGTATTAGTCCATTTTCACACTGCTATAAAGAATTGCCTGAGACTGAGTCATTTATAAAGAAAAAAAGGTTTCATTGACTCACAGTTCCACATGACTAGGGAGGCCTCTGGAAACTTTCAATCATGGCAGAAGGTTATGGGGAAGCAAGGCACATCTTAAATGGTGGCAGGAGAGAGACAGCAGGGGGGAAGTGCCACACTTTAAAACCATCAACTCTCATGAGAACTCATTCACTATTGTGAGAACAGCATTGGGGAAACTACCCCCATGATCCAGTCACCTCTCACCAGGTTCCTCCCTTGACCAAACATGGGGATTACAATCTGAATGATATTTGAGTGGGGACACAGAGCCAAACTATAATCACATGTATGCATTGTTGCTAATGGTAATTAATAACATTAGCTTCCATTTCCATTTTGAGTATTTCCTAGACATTACGTACATGTGCATTTATCATCTTTACTACTCATGGTAATCCTATTAGGTCTTATTAATCCCATTTTATTCATGAAGAAACCGAGGCTCAAAGAAGCTCAATTAATTGGCCAGGGAGAGACAGCTAGCAAGTGGTAAAATTGGGGTATAACCACAGATTGATCTCAATCAAAGTCTGAGCATAGCCCATTATAGTCTGATGCCTCATTTCATCCTTCATCTCTAAATTCCCATTTGAGCTTCCTTAAGGGGATTCATTATGCTTAAAAGGAAATAATGAATATATTCCCATGACCTAAAATTTTATGGAGAACTTGCAGAACTTTGAGAATTCCTCTGCAGATTTTTGGGGTTCCTAATTAAGAAACTTGGGTCTGGGGCATCAGTTGACAGCCTGGCAGGCATTGGAGTCAGAGGTACCAACTACAGTCTTACCTCTGCTACATGGCAGCTGGGGGCCATGACAATAGATCACCATTCAGCCAATTCTCTTCATTCTCCCAAATGGAGAATTGCTGCCATCTCTCCCTCAATTTTTTGTAAGGATTATATTTGAAAAGGCAGGTACAATGCAGTCTGGAGAACATGGCAAGATAAATGCTTTAAAGGCAATAAAGTGTTGTCAACATTAGATTGCACCAAAGTGTGTTAACATGAGGTAATGTTCATATGTGTAAAGTTCTTCGAACAGTGCCTATCATACTCCAAGTATAATATGTTTACTACATTTTAAAAATATAATTTTTACCTACATAAAAGTTGGGGAAAAACAAAGCTTATGCAGATTTTGAATAGGGAATCGGTTGATAGTTTTGTGATTGTAATTAGTAAAGAAAGTAGAGCTCTCAGAAGGGCATTATCCTTGTGAAATTTTTAAAAAGTATATATGGGGAGTTACTGTGCTGCAGAATAGAAAATGCAAGGCTAATAGCATGACATATTAGCAGCTTTCTTCTGCAATGAGTACGGATATGCTAAGGAAAGTATTTAGGTTATACCACCTCGCTTTTCTTTATTTTTATTTTTTTTATTTTTGGGGGGGAATGGAGCCTTGGTCCATCACCCAGGCTGGAGTGCAGTGGCATGATCTCAGCTCACTGCAACCTTCGTCTCCCAGGTTCAAGCGATTCTCCTGCCTCAGCCTCCCAAGTAGCTGGGACTACGGTCATGCACCACCATGCCCAACTAATTTTTCTTTTCTTTTTTTTTTTTTTTTTTGTATTTTTAGTAGAGACAGGGTTTCACCATGTTAGCCAGGATGGTCTCAATCTCTTCACCTCCTGATCTGCCCACCTCGGCCTCCCAAAGTGCTGGGATTACAGGCATGAGCCACTGTGTCTGGCCCTCACTTTTCATACATTTCTCAGTTTTTAATGTCTGTGATGAATATTAATTAGAATAACTCCTATTCTTCAAAAATCTGTCTCCAAAAATCTGTTTTTATGTATACTTTACCCATTGGTTTGACGTTTCAATTTCTAGGCAACAAAGTTTTTTTAAAAAGAATTTTATATTGAATGCTAAACACATGTAATTTAAATTGTATGAAAACTGACCCCAACTCCCTTTTCTGTGATGTACTTTATGGGACTTTGTCTTAGCCTGGCCCTTTACTGTGTAACTTGAGCCTGGGTTATGCTGACTTCAAGCCCACATTGTTTTCATGTATTATGATACCACAAATAAATGAACAAATGATAATGTTTAGTATTATAGATTTTTTTGTATTATCAAAGCAGGACTTTCGTCCTGTGTCTTATTTGGCTTACCTTCTTTCTAATCCAAAAATATTATTAATGGGAGCTCATTTTGCAGCAAATGTTGGGAGGCATGGCTGTCTCTCTCCTCTCTCCCTCCCGTTCACCCTCACTCATACACATACACAATTGAAACTAACAATGCTATGGATGAAGACTGGATCAAATGATAACCAAATCAAGGGGTAGGGTACCAGTGAGGGAATGAGGCCGTTGGGATGTGGTCAGCAGTACACAATGGCACCTTCCTTTTAAAATTTTAGCTTCCCAGAAGAACATCAGCAGTATTGCTATAATGAGTCCAGATCTTGGCCCATTTTATCGATTGGGTCATCTGTAATTTCTTGATCCAAGTTCTCTGAGCTGACAGAGGAGACTCCTTGCATCTTGGTATATTAGGATACATCCTTGGAACATTCTCTCTGTTGACTGGACTTGGAGCTAGACAAAGGACAAGAGCTAGAGCCTGGGACACATTCCAGGGCAACTTAGGTTATACTTGGCCAGAGTTAGTTATTTCCTTCTCACTGCATTTAGCTGAGTGACTGGGTGCATATGGGTGAGCCACCATGCTTATAAAAGTGTGTTTTGGAGATACTCAATAATAATATTAGAGAGAGTATACATGGGCTATATCATGGTCTTATCAGATTCAAGCTAATACATGTTTTATTTTGTTTTGTTGTTTGCTTTAACAGAATGAAGTCCCTGAGGTGAAGAAAGAGGAGACTTTGCTGGATCTGGACTTTGATCCTTTCAAGCCCGAGGTGACACCTGCAGGTTCTGCTGGAGTGACCCACTCACCCATGTCTCAGGTATCAGGTGCTTTTTGGATGTTTGGAGATATTTCATAAACCTCAGTAAGCTCAGTGTGGTAACCAATGATCCCTATACCTTTCATGACTACTATCTATTTTTATTTTTGGTTGACAGATATTTCCTAATAGGAAAGAGGGGTAGAAAGGGGACCTTATCTATATCAGTTATTCTAAGACTCCCATGCCATCAGCTTTCTCTACCCATAGAGCTGGCATAACCATACATTCCTGTTTTCTCCCCCAGAGTAATTGTTACCAGTGCCCACGTTGCACTCAGAACTGTTCAGGTTTACAGGATACATTTTATGGTTTCCCTGGATGAAGCTCTTTCTTTTGGTTTTGGGTTTACTCTTCTTGCTCTTTTCTCTACTTCCCTTCCTCATACTTTGCAAGTTAAAGTGTGTTTGCAATGACCATGAAAGCACGGGCCAGCAGAAGCCGTTTTCAGTGTTGATCGTTCTGAACTTGATGATGCTGTGTTCATCCTCCCCATTGAAGAAGCTCCCCTCCTGTGATCATGGTTATGGTTTGATGGAGAGTCGCCTTGCTTCCCCAAGCCTTTTTGCTCACCACTCCCTCACACTCCATATTTCTTCCTTTCTTATAGTAACTGTCATTACATTCTCTGTCAGAGGATACTGGTGGTAGGTGCCATAATGACCTGTGGGTAGGTCCTCTGAAATATAGTTAGTTTACAACTGTCTGTGCTAATAGAAGGAAGTTAACTCAAAATTTGACAAAACAGAAACTGTTTATATAAGTACTTTGCATATGGTTGGAGCCCCACATATGAATTTAGGCAAATCCAAAGTTGCTAGAGTATGCTTCAAATGAATTAGTACAAGAATATTGTAACATTCAACCTAGGAATTAAGACCTAGCTTGATTCCCTGGCCTTGAAGCCTTCTTGGTATATCACAGTAAACTGCTAGGGAATAAATGGCTCAATATGAACCTTAATAAATAAGGATTATGTCTAGTCCATGCTTTTTTCTAGAATGTGATTGGGCTTCTAAAGGCTTTCCTGTTGTGCAATATGAACAATAAATGTCCAAGGTGTTAATAAAGTAAGAAATTAATAGTCTAAACACTAGCCTTGAAGATGCTTTGCAAAAAACAAAAGGGTCTCTTAGGTGAAAGTTCCAGGAAGCCTCCTGTATTAACTCTCTTCTAGAAGATTCATGATGTGCATTAGAATATTAAAGGCTGAGAAGTTCTGCAATTTAAAAAAACTGTTTATATTTGTTTAACTTAGAGTTTCCCAAATTTGTTTGACCACAGAAATCTATGTTAACTACACTTTTCTTAATATTCATTGGAATGTTCTCTAAAACAATATTTTGAGAAATGCTAAAGTATTGTCAACAAGTTTGAGGGTTCCACCTTGGTGACCAAGAAAAGTACAAAGTGAATGTACATATAATTGAATATACTTCCTTCTCAGAGATTTCTCATTATATAGACAGCCTGCAGAATTCACAGGATTTCCTCTGCCTTACTCTCCATGCTTCTTTTTTTTTTTTTTTCTTTGAGATGGAGTCTTACTCTGATGCCCAGGCTGGAGTGCAGTGGTGCGATCTTGGCTCACTGCAAGCTTCACCTCCCTGGTTCACGCCATTCTCCTGCCTCAGCCTCCCGAGTAGTTGGGACTACAGGCGCCTGCCACCACGACTGGCTAATTTTTTGTATTTTTAGTAGAGGTGGGGTTTCACCATGTTTGCCAGGATGGTCTCGATCTCCTGACCGCGTGATCTGCCCACCTCGGCCTCCCAAAGTGCTGGGATTACAGGCATGAGCCACCATGCCCGGCCCATGCTTCATTTCTTTTGTGGCAGATGCAAAGTTTCTGCAGTGGATGCTGGAATGATTAGTGGGTGAGATTTCATAGCATTTCTGTCTACAAGTTTGAATCAGGAGAGAAACCTCTTTTATGTTAATTCATGATTACATTAATCCATAAATCATGAAACTGTGTGTGGCCTTATGACTAAGAGATTCTTCAAAATTAAACAAAAATGACCTTGGTTTAATCTTCAAAAGTTTTAGTTCTGAAGGACATATATCACCGCAGTGACGGCAAGCTGTGTGTGTCCCTGTGCTCTTCCTCAGGGCCAGGTAATAAAACCCTCTAGCCTCCTGGTGGCCATAACTGAGTCATTACACTATAGTTGTCCTGCAGTCCAGCTTTGATCATACCTCTCCTCTTTTGCTAAGAACAAAAGTCTTGACTGAATGACAAAAAAAGCATAGCACTGTTAGGTCTGCCTGGTTTCTTTCCTCTTCACTCAAAATGACCTCCTTTACCCATCACCTGACCCCATGTTTTCAAGTGGTGTTCTTGCTGCTAGCAGAACACCTCATCTTGTGATCTCTGCAGTATCTGTGCACGCTAACGCATCCTTTCATGATCCTGAGGACTGATAAACATGACATTTCATATTTCCTGCCTTCCTTTTAAAGAAAATAACTGGTGATGTGTGCATTATACAGAGACATGCACTAGCTTTTATGATCTTTGATTCTTTTTTTTTTTTTTTTTTTTTTGAGACGGAGTCTCGCTCTGTTGCCCAGGCTGGAGTGCAGTGGCAGGATCTCGGCTCACTGCAAGCTCCGCCTCCCGGGTTCATGCCATTCTCCTGCCTCAGCCTCCCAAGTAGCTGGGACTACAGGCGCCCGCCACTACGCCCGGCTAATTTTTTGTATTTTTAGTAGAGACGGGGTTTCACCGTTTTAGCCGGGATGGTCTCGATCTCCTGACCTCGTGATCCGCCCGCCTCGGCCTCCCAAAGTGCTGGGATTACAGGCGTGAGCCACCGCGCCCGGCCATGATCTTTGATTCTTAAGTGGCTATGAAGCAATGAAATGAGAATCATCTAGATAATCAGAAAACATATATTAGATCCATGTACAAAAAACTGTGGCTTTCCATGGAGCTGTTCTCTCCTGTCTTAGTCATCCTACGAGAAAATGCTAAGCAAGAGACCAGGCAGGCTGCATGGAGATGCAAGGCAGGCCATGCAGAACGGTTAGAATGGGACCCAACCAGGTGGGTGGGTATCAGAACCACAGGGCCTGCTTTCTATAATACGGAGCCCAAATGAGGCCTCTGCAATCTCAACCGAAAACCATCATATTTTTAAGGTGGCAATGCCAGGCTCTCTAGTTTGCTGTTGACATTTAGTAGTTCAAAATAAGTGCATAAACGTGGATCCATTCTAGTCACAAAGACATGGGCATAATCGGATGTGGCTTTAGCAGCAATTCTCAATCATAAAGGAAATAAGAAAGAGAAGTCTTCCCTGCTCCCCTCACCCATAGTGGAAGCCATTTGAACCATCTGGCCTCACTCCCCGGGATTCATAAGCTTTATAATTAAAATACCAGTAGTAAGTGTAATTCATTCATGTCTTAGGGGGTGCTCTGCCAATTTGTATGATTACCAATTCATTGAGCAGTGTGTTATCATCTAATTTAACATATTGAAGAACTATTTTTCTGGGGCTCATTTACCATTAAGCTGGTCATCCTACATCCTCTTGAATGAGATGGGAAGGAAATAGCATTAGCAGTGATTAGGGCCTGCATTTCCTCAAAGATGTGACAAGCTCTAAAATTTGGACACCTTGTTTACTTCATTTTAATGAGGTGTGTGTGTGTGTGTGTGTGTGTGTGTGTGTGTGTATTAAAATAACCTCATTTGTGTTTCAAATATAGTTTTCTACTCACATAGTGAAAGTTGAGATTGATTAGACCTGTGCTATCCAAAGCTAAGTGCCATTTAAGCTTATATTAAGTATAATACAATTATGTAAAATTTAAAATGTGGTTTTGTTACCCTAGCACATTTCAAGTGCTCAATAGCCACATGTGACTGGTGGCTACCATACTGGATAAGCACAGATATGGATCATTTCCTTCACCAAAAAAAGTTTTATTGAACAGTACTGTACAAAATGCTTAAAAAATGCTTATGATTTCAAGAACTTTTGTCACCTCAGCATTTTTTTATGTTTTAGATTTGTATAACTAACAGTATTTTTGTTTATTTGCTTTCAGACATTGCCCTGGGACCTATGGACGGTAAGCCACTAATAACTCTGTTTTTTCATGTATCTTGATCCCCAGAAATTTGGAAACCTTGTTATATTTTATTTCATTTGCAACAGAAAGAAGACACATACATTTAATGATGATATAGTCCCCTAGAATGATCATTAGGCCACTGAAAGTCTTGAGCATTATCAGAACCGGAAGATGATGGTGAAGGAAGAGTACAGTGGACCAGACTCCTGGGTGAATAATGGTCAATAATTTGAATAATGGTCAAGAGTTTGGCCCTTTGTTTCTTTCTGTGGTGGTTGGTGGCAAAAGGAGCTGTTGCAGTGAAGGACACACACACTTAAATAGAAGACAAGGAAAGTGTGAATGAGAAAATGGAAGAGATGGGCTACTTGGCACATGGTACCATTTTAAAAAAAAGTGATTGTATTCAATGAAGCTTGGGTTAATAAGAACTTGAGTTTTAGAGCCAGATAGCCCTGGATTTTAGTCCAAACTCTACTACTCATAACCTTGAGACTTTGAGCAATTACTTTTTTTTTTTTTTTTTTTTAAGACGGAGTCTCGCTGTTTCATTGAGTGCTGGAGTGCAATGGCACTGTCTCGGCTCACTGCAAGCTCCGCCTCCCGGGTTCACACCCTTCTCCTGCCTCAGCCTCCCAAGTAGCTGGGACTACAGGCACCCGCCACCGCGCCCAACTAATTTTTGTATTTTTAGTAGAGATGGGGTTTCACCGTGTTAGCCAGGATGGTCTCGATCTGCTGACCTTGTGATCTGCCCGCCTCGGCCTCCCAAAGTGCTGGGATTACAGGTGTGAGCCACTGCGGCCAGCCTGAGCAATTTCTAAAACTCTCTAAGCATCATTTTTTTCTCATTTATAAAATAAGGGTAATGATGCCTACCTCGGAAGGTTGTGTGAGGTTTAAATAAGATAATTGTAAAGTATGTAGCATGGTGTCTGGTGTGTATCAATAAAAGGTAGATGTTATTACTGATGTTTTTTCAGCTAATCTGATGTGTAAGGATAACTACTCCATAATTTAGACTTGGGAAAGTGTCACAAACAGAGCTTTGTGGTGGTCTCATTGGTGCTGTGAAATTAGGTGATTGGTCACACACCTCTACAGCCTCATATCCCTTGGAGCAGGGTCTTTGTTTTAGAAAAGCCCTGGTGATGTGGTCTTAAGAACTCAACTTAAGTTGTATGTTTTCTTCTTTTATTGTGAGGCAGAAAAAGGAAAGTTCGATAGATCTAGCTATTCATGGGCAATGCCACTTCTGAATTGACATTGCCACTTTCTTTCTCCCTTCAAAACAAAAAGATGTCTGTCCCTTCCTTCTGCAGTTGCAGGGCTCATACTGCACTCTTTAAGATCCTTGGAGCATCAAGGGAAGTGCTCAAGAAGAGAGATTAAAAATGTCTATTGAAACCACCAATGACTAAGTTATATCTTTTCTAGTGAAAAGTTTTACTCATATATTCACAAAAAGGCATGCATGGATTGATGTTCGAGTCATTTGAATTCTAACTTCAACTCTGTGTTAATTTCCTTGGAGATTAAAAAGACAATGCTATTTTTTGTTATTCCAATATTTTATATCTTTAGTGGAACTGTAACACATTTTCCTTCCCTCGCTGGGAGGGTATGGAGAGGGTGAAGGTATCGTCTAAAAAGAGCTTTTGAACGTTTCAGAGGACAAACTTGCTAGGAATGGTAGCGATATCAAAATGCAAAACAACAGCTTTCTGAACATAGTTGCTCACAGCTATTAATCTTCTCAACTTTGCAAGATTTTTTCATTATGTGGAGAAAATGGCTGCTAATTTGGGGGAATGACATCAAGAGAACTCTGCAGGCAGTCAGACTGGTTAATATCAGACCATTCTCCATCTAAACACCCATCTCAAAGACAGAGCCAAGTATAGGATGAGTTTGGGGAATATTTTCTTCTGATACTGTGTCAAAGTGTGTGCTACTGTGTAATTTCTTGACCTCTAGTGCTTGATCTTATTCCGATGTTCTCAAACTTGCTTATGTGTTTGAAACTTAGCATTTCAGAGTCTGCTAAAGCAGAAGTCATATACTAGCCATAAAACATCCTTGCTGATGCTAGAAAGTGAAAGAGGCTTTCTTTGTGTTTCATTTGTGCCTTTTCTATGGTGGTCTTAAACAATTTTGGAACAAAAATCATTCCTATCACAAAACAAGTTGTAAAATTTGTTCCTAAACCAGTAAAAGCTATAGCCTTCAGCAGAATGTTGACTCTAGACAGCATAGGATTTTATTGTGTTAGTGAATTTTCTCTCTCGCCTTATTGTTACTATTTTCTTTACCCATACAGACAAGCACTGATTTGGTACAGCCGGTAGGTAAATATCCAGATCATTCTGGATTTTTTTGGTATTTGATATGCATTACATACATAGTATATTTTCTAGAATGAACTGTTTCCCCATGGCATTGCTAGTCATAGATTTAAACCTTAAGCCAATGAATGTAATCACTTTCCAGTTTGGTTTTACTGGTGCTACTCGCCTGAAGAGCTTTGTGTTTCTCATCAAATCTTACCATGTTCTGTTTCATCTTTTGTTTTTGTTTTTTTTCCTTTGCTCTTCTGCATACTTTAAAGACTGACTCTTCAGAAAGTCTTTCCTTGTGTAACCTGATCATGGAGGAAACTCCAGACAGTGGGTTGGCCGAAGAAATTCAAAGATCTCAAAATGATATAGGTGCATTTACTTGGGGCCCTGACGCTAGTACAGACAGGGTCAGCCAAGAAGTTACCTCAGGTGGGTTTGGAGAAGACTCTGCATGTCCCTCCGAAACAGAGCAAGACATAAGATTATCCACCAGCCTGCTTTCGTCTGCTGACTGGCCCACTGTAGCTGAAGAGAGTGAGCATGCCCCGGGGCCAGCCTTTCCAGGTGGAAATGAACAACTGCCCCCAAAGCCTGCGCCGGAGGCTGGAGTTGCCATTGCTGCTTGTGTGGAGATGGAGCAGCTGTATGACCCACTTGACTCAGACATGCCAGCCATGGACACAGCTGGCCTGTTCAAAGAAAGTCATGAAGATATGAAGAAGTCAGATGAAGAGGAAGAGAAACAGAAGATGGAAGATTCTCTGTGGGCAGGTGTGGAGGCGTGTCAAAAGGTAGACACTGGAGCTATTGATATCAAGACACTAGAAGGTACAGAGGAATTTGAAGAGAAAGCATGTGAAAGGACAGGAAACAGAGTGGTAGAACTTCTTAATACCATAGGAAAGGAAGACCATAAGACCTTAAAAATTAATGAAGTGGAAACTAGAAAAGATCTAAGAGCAGGGTATAAGGAAAGTACAAACGCCAATGAAAATTATTTTGAGAAAACTGACCTATTAGAAAAGGACATGGAAGGAGGAGATATGGCAAAAGAACTTAGTGACAGAGACCAAGGTCTACATGATGGAATTCAAAAGGTAATCAATAATTGTGGAATGATAGAAGGCTTTGGAGCCAAACCTGCCAATCACCCAGATATCTTGAATCCATCTCTCCAGACCTACTCTGTATCTAATATTGAAGATGGCAGCCCTGAGGGATGGGATTTGACTAGAAAAGACATAAAGAAAAATGCAATAGACACTCCCAACCATGATATGATATTTTACCCAGCACAAGACAGTACAGATGCTGAAGAAATTCAGTGTGAGACTGTGTTAAATGCTCTTGTAGGTGACAGGGATAAAAATCAGGCTGTTTTATCAATAAAACTTGAAGTAGAAGCTCAGTCTAGGACTGACCTTAATTATTCTCTGGGAAGAGATGCAAACAGAAGAGATTTATGTTCATGTAAGGCAGAAAGTTCACTAATAGAAGGGTCTGAAAGAACAGTAACTGAGAACCGTAGTCATACTGTTAACTTGCCAAGAATTGCAGAGATAGACTCTTGGGGAACAGATCCAGGTCAAATCTGGCAGCCAAGCTTGGATTCAGCAATGAATAATTTGGATATAACAGGATTCTCTGGTATACCAGATGGCCAAGCAAGTGGATTTGCCAGTTGTCTGGATTCTATTAACCACTGGCCTATCAGAGATACAGAAGGCTTAGATAATAGCTGGACACATTCAGATGTAGTTGAGCACAAGGAAGAACTGAAGGTGGACTTACTAGCAGGTGATTGTAGGGAACAAGCCATTGCTAGCTGCTGGGAACAAAGCCAGGAGATAGCAAGACCATTGATTTTGGGGACCTCCTGGAATGCTAGCACTGAGAGTTCTGCTAGTTCCCGAGACCAGGACATCAACAACTCAGATTTATCTGAAGATGAAATTGCTAACCAGAGATATGGATTGTTGTACCAAGAAATAGAGGCTGACAAAGACGAGGTACTTACCCTGGTCTGTAGCATAGACTAGCCAAAGACTTCTGTAGGCTCTGTTTTTCCTCATGTCTGTCACCTACTTCATTATCCATCACTATCTTCTAGGAGGCCTGATCTCTCTAACAGATTGTCATGTACTTCTTGAAATCTGTGCAAACCAAACACAAATAGGTTGACCAAAAAAAAAAAAAAGCAGCAGCATCAACAACAACAACAAAAAGAACCCAACAACATAGACACATACACACAAAGCGGAATGATTGTGTTGGGAATTAATGACAGTCTATGTTACCATCTCATTTTCTGAGTTTATTCTCCCTACTTTCACTTTTACTATGCAGGTACTAAAAATGTGCTAAACCAAGAGCAGCACAGACTAATTTACTGTTCCTGAAGTGGTTCCACTCCAAAAAGAACACACGAAATGTTTCAACCCAGGCCCACTGAAACTGTAAAATATCATAATTGCTGTTCATCAAAATGATGCATTGTAGAAACACTGGAGAAGTTTCTTCTAGATTCTATCAATGGCCTGAAAAACAAGCAATTTAACTCCTAATGGCCCTTTTCTGGAATCATCTTCTCATTATAGAGAAAGTGGGTTTTGGTTGGCACCAAGCAATAATGCAGCAGCAATAATTGTAAAATTAACCTTTCTTTTTTTTTTTGTCAGCCTATTTAAAATCATACAGTGTGGCCTTTGCATTTCCTAAGTTCTTTCATGCACAGCAACCTTTTGTATTATTTTAAAACTTGTGATAGTCTTTACTTTCCAACTTGTCTAATGGATATTTACTGGTCCTACAAAATGATAATGAAAAATAATAACACAATCTGATTTTCGTTTCTGTTTAGGCTTCTGGTGGTTCATTTAATGGATTCACACAGGTAAGGAATCTGTTTTCTTACAAGATCCATCTGCTGAGAATGATGCACATTTTTTTCAATGTGGTTTGGTTCTCTGTGCCACTAGTATAGCGTAATGATTAAGAATATCAGCACAAAATTGGACCCCACTACTTACAGACTGAGTAATGGAAACAGAATAGTAGCAACATTGTATGATTATTGTGAAGATTAAATGAGCTATGCAACAGAGTGTTTAGCCCAGCAGGCTAGCACACACTAAGTTCTCCCTGACTTTAGTTTAGCTTTTATTAATATGATTAGCTATACCATGGGCTTCTACCTTCTACCGATTCCTCTACTAGAAATTAGAAGTTGTTCTGATCTGAGAGATCCACTGGATTCAGCTGTTCTAAAGAAGAGCTAGGATTGTTTTGAACTAATGAGATGGATCTTTAGAAAATGTGAGAGGGTTTTAGGAGCTTCCTTCTAGAGATTCCTATAGGAGCCACACTGCACAGAGCCTTACCTCTTCAGCAGTTCTCCAGGAAGGAGCTGTTGGAAGATCAGAAACCATAGGCTGGTTGTGTCCAATAAGGCAGTATTTTTCTTGAGAGTCTGTGAAAGAGAAACCACAAGATGAACTGTCCCATTAGGACAGTGTATGTGTATGTCCCAACAGGTAGGCAGGTGTAACCTGTGTAAAAGGCCGGCCACATGGCTCTCAGGCTCCTGGATCAGTTCTGACAACCTCTTCAATGGAGACCTCAGACAGGCTTGTCTGTGATGCCTGCTTTGTCTCAGAATGTCAGACATGCACAGTTTCTAATAATTTAGCATTTATAATTCTCTAAATATATATTCATAATATATTCATAAATAGAATTCTGTATTTAAAGGTTTCATTATTTTCCCATGTTACCTGTAAAAAGATAAAAACCCACTGATATTCCCACATCCAAATACAGATACACACAAATACAAAGAGACGTTAATGCATCTCTTCCATCTTCAGAAAATTCCTTTGAAAGGTTATGATAGGCTCTGTCATCAATTTCTCATTCTTTTCAGGTTTGTATTTCCATCAGAGTTATTAATGCACATAATTTTAAAAGTAACAACTTTTATAAGGGCTTTTATTTTAAAACTTCAGACCACCATACACTCCCTTCATTTCCTGTTTCTTAGAGGTAAATAGTTTCACTTCCTTCAACAAATTCTCTGTTTCCGCCCTATATGTGTGCATGGGTTTCTTATAATGCTGCTTCTTGATTTCTAAAGTATTATCTATTGACTCATCTCTCTGGAAGGTGAAGACTTAAAGTATTTTCCACCTCCTACCCACCCAATTCGCCCCCTCTTCTGCTTCCTGCCCTTCCTCTGATAGAGTTCCATCAAAGCCATCCAGGCAATCTGTGGTAATGTAATAGTGATGAAAATGCTATTAACAGCCAAGTCATGAATTTCACATTTTGTTTCATGCCAACTTTTTGTTTTCCTTTGTGGTAATTATAAAAAAATTGTGGGTCTAATTTATTTGCCTTTTGATTGATATGCTTAGTTTTCTAGGTACTTATCACATATTCAACCCCATACTCTATAGTTATACAAATCTCCTATTTTGCTGAAAACACTAGACATTCAATCAGTTTCATCTTCTTGAAGAAATTGCCTATCTGTCCTCCTCTCCTGGGCTGCTGTGGGCTGAACTGGGTACTCTATGACTGTGACTTGCTGTAGAGCTGTTCTCACTGGCTCTTCCATCCTGTTGGTCATGGGGACTGCCTTCACCTCTCTTTCCTGTCCTTCCACTGTTTTCTGATGCAAGTTTTCTCATTTGTGGTTTAATCATTCATTTGGGTGGAGCACAACCTCCAGTAGCTTTCTGAAAAAAGTGCATACACAGAAGGTGTATATTTGTGACGTTACACATCTGAACATGTCCTACATATATATTAATATACTGGACTGCTAGTTTGGGTATTATATTCGAAGCTGTAAATCATTTTCCCTTATAATTTTACAGCCATCGCTCCACTCAATCCTACCACCTAGTGTTGCCTTCAAGAAACTGTCATTTTGATTCTTGATATTTTGTAAGAAACCTGCTTCCTCTCCTCATTCTTTCTCTCTATCTCCCTCCTCCTACCTCTTTCATCTTCCTTTTCTCTCTTTCTCTCTGGAACTTTGTAGCATCTTCTTTTTACTTCAGTGTTTCTGAAATGTTTCAATGATGGGCTATGGTCTGAGTCTCTTTTCATCCACTGTATAAGCCTTTTTAATCTCAAAATTTATGGGTTTTGGTTTGGGAGAATTTTAAAAAAATATTTCATGGCTTTATCTTTTTTTTTCCTTTGTTCTCTCATTCCATAACACTTCTCTTTTTCATATTTTAACTTCCTGACTAGTATTCTATTATTGTTTCTTTGCTGTTTCCTTTTCTCTGTTGTCTTTCTCTACTTTCTCTGCCAACTATTCTAACAGGTTTTTCACCCTATAATTTTTTCAATTTCCAATAACTCTTTTTGTTTACTGCATATTTATTTTCCAATAGCATCTTCTTCTTGTGTCATGAATGATTCTCTTCCATTATATCTCTGAAGGTATTAATAATCATTTTGAATTATTTTTGCAAAATCTTTGTTTCTTCCTCTTGCTTAACCCTTTCTATTCCATCTCTCTTTTATATTTGAGACTTCTCAAATGTTTGGTGATCTTGACTGAATATTCATATTTAAAAGTGGGATGCTGAAAAGCTGACTGGAACCTTGTACAGGTAGATAGAGTTCATTGACTGTGGGCATTGTTGCAGGACTTTCTGGCTTATCTTTTCTGTTGGGGAGCCACTGAAGTCAGATTCTTTAGGCATTTTTTTTCCTTTGGGCTGGCCAGATTTCCCAGGGAAGATTTATTTTGTCTCCTGTCTGTGAAGTTCAAGTCTGACTACTAGTGTAATGGAGGTGATTGGGGAAAAAATGGGAGCAGAGTGGCGAGAGAGGGGTGCATGGTCTCAATATTTATTATGTAAGTACTCAGTGCTTCTACCTTCCTGATGTGCCTGTGTGTTCCCCAGTCCAGGGACCCTGTTTCAGCCTCTATATAATTAATCTCAAGTCTTCTGCTAGGGTAGGCAAGGATGTTGCTTGGTGTTCTTAGTAGGTAAGAATATCTTGAGGTCTGATGACTTTGTAATAGACTTTTACTATTCTTCTGTTGTTACCACCACCCTCACTCCTGTTTCCTGTGGCTCTTTATGCTTCTAATTTTTCACCACTGGGAGTTCTAAGGAACAAATCGGACTGATTTGCAGCATTTCTAGCATCACCTTAGGATACAGATTTCTTTGATCTACCAAGTTACTACTCTTTCATCTGCTTTCCAATTTCAACATTTTGTTGTTTCTATCTTTCTTCTCATTCTTTTCATTCTTATAGGTTGATGCCTTAAAAATCCCTTTATTGTTGTTTAGTTTGGATTCAGGAGGTAACAGAGGCAACTGCATGTGTTCAAAACACCATCTTCAACCAAAAGGCACTGGCTCATCTTTTCCGTTAGGCATCCCCTGATGTCAATTTCTTCAGGCATTTTGTTTTTTTCCTTGAGCTGGCAGATTTCCCAGGAAAGACACCTGGGTCTCCTGTTTGGAGGGTGCAAGCCTGGCTACCAATGTAATGAGAGATGAAGTTTCCTTTAGAGATTACTTTTCCTTTAGATTTCCTCCAGCTTGATTTGTTTAGGTCAATGAACATATTTTATGAAATGTTAACATATGGTTCATACATAACCCATAGAAGGAACACTTAAGTAATATAGTGAGATTGAATTCACAACATTTAAAAAGTTTAAATTTTGGAGCTTCAACCACTAACTTCTGATTTGATATCAACGGCCAGAAGAGAAGCTGTGGACTAAAGATGCCCCTGAAGCCAGTGGCCTCTGTTTAATGACTCTCATAGTATTCTGCTAGCAGAGACTTATATTTAGAATAACTATTATTAAAACTTACTTTTGCATGTTTTGACTTAATGATTTAAAATAAAAGGGGACTTGAACATGTTTCAAATAATATTTATTGAGGCCAGGCATGGTGGCTCCCACCTGTAATCCTAGCACTCTGGGAGGCCAAGCTCGGCAGTTTGCTTGAGCCCAGAAATTCGAGACCAGCTTGGGCAACATGATGAAACGCTGTCTATACAAAAAAATGCAAAAATTAGCCAGGCGTGGTGATGTGCGCCTGTACTTCTAGCTACTCAGGAGGCTGAGGTAGATCGCCTGAGCCCAGGGAGGTGGAGAATGCGGTGAGCATGATCATACCACTATACTCCAGCCTGGGGAACAGAGGAGACCCTTTCTCAAAAAAAAATTAGATAGATAGAGTGTCGATAGATAGATGGATAGATAGATAGATAGATAGATAGATAGATAGATAGATAGATAGATACGTAGGCAGACACAATTGATGGTAGCTGATTTAAATATCTTTAAAAAACATCTTCTATTTTTATCCTTGATTTTCAGCCCCAGGATACTTCATTATTCACAATGCAGACAGACCAGAGTATGATCTGCAACTTGGTAAGTTGATTTGGGTTTGTGCTCTCAGGAAGTTGTTAGTTATCACTGAATGTTCTAAAGCTGATCATTCTAGGCTGTCTAGAGTTTGAATATCCAGAATGTGGTTTCTGGATCCTGTACTTTTCTAGAAAACAGGAGAGAATGTGTCTGTAAAACCTCAGTGTGACTTTGCATTTGGTTATTTCTATTCACACAGGCACAGTGATTCCAGCAAAAACTAGTCTCCTAATGATGAACCCCAGCAGAACACAGTGAATCCATTAAAGACATGTATATTTCCATGTGAATATAACTTAAGTTCCAGTATTTAAAGTGAAATTGTCTCAAGAATTCATGCTTCAAAATAAATCCTTGTTTGTTTCTTGAACGTGAAACTACCCCATTTATCATCTCATCCCTCCACTTTGTGAGAGGTAGAAAGCAGTAATGCATAGTAGAGTTGTGATTCCTAATTTGATACCAAATGAGAAGAGAGAGAAAAGCTTAGTTAGGGGATGAGTAAGAAATAGAAATAGTTACTCCTGGCGTTAGAGAAGATTCTTAAAAGATCAGTGTTGCAGTTATGATGGGAAACATTTTTAGCAACAGCTTAAAGCTTACTAGTAAAGATGAATGAAGAGACCTTAAGAGATATCACTTTTGAGCATGTCATTGCTACACTTCAGAGGATTTGGGCTCTTTGAGGACTAGTTCATGAGGGTTATTTGTAGCACTATGGTTTTCTCATGGGAATAGTGCATACTTATCCTAGCTCCTGCCTTTCATATTGGATGCTTGGAATTGAGATTAAATAGAATGATTTCTTTTAAACTATTTTAAGTAAGGAATTCTCTTCTGGAAAGTTTGTCTTCAAGGCTGGTTTGATATATTTGCAAAGACAGGTGTGTCTCTCATACCTTGTCAATAGATTGTCACACTTTTGCCTTTTGGGCAACCAGCTGAAAGGCAGAGTCTCTCTGGCCTGCAAATAAATATTTAAATGTTTCAAATACAAATTATACTTGTGTTAGTAATGGAGCCAGTGAAGCTCATTCTTCATGTTCATTGGTGATTCTCCAGCTGAGTGATGAAGATGGAGAACGGAATTTTTAATTATCAATCATGAATGGTTTATGAGAAATGGAGAAATACCAGTATAAAAGGAAAGGCAATTGGTTATAATTAAACTCACACCTACTACACGGATGCAAAAGATTCAGGTCTAGAATTCAGTGGTTTTTAAGTTTCAGTGAACCTTTCCCTGTCATCCATGGCTGGTCCTAGGAGCTTCCATGCTTGTCTTTCTCTTCTGTTTGTATGTATTCTCTGAAGCAGACATCTTGCCCCTTCTTTCCATGGGGAACTTAGCTTTGTCATGTTCAGCATTGCAAATGCTGCTAACCTTGGTCCTGCCCTCTGATCTAGGAAATCACAGTGAACTGATGTCTCCCAGTGAGTCGTGATTGTACACGATCTTCCCAGGAGCAAGAAAACGCCCCAGTGTTTGGCTCATTGACTATTCTGAGCGAGGTAGGGGGTGAAGTTGGTAATCAGCTGTACATCTCCCAGCCTGCATCATACAGCCCCGCAGGACATCTTTTGAGTACAGGTTTAAACCCTTTTGAATCAGTAACTCTTGCTCGGGGCTCAGGGTTGCCTCTAAAGCCCTTTGGAGTTCTCACTAAATTAGTTCTCTCAGGATTGGAGAAACTGGATACAAGGCCACATTGGATGTGACTAGACTTCTGCCCCTGCTGTCCCAACCCATCTCCTCTTCCTCTGTATTGACCCGCCTTTCATCTTATCACAAAGGATACCAGAAAAGGTGCTGCAAGGCTACACTCCTCATTTTATTCTAAAGGAATAATTGGTTTATGGTCCTCAGAGTTAAACCATTGTGGCATCTGCTGCCACCAATATCTGTAAAGGATGTACCTCTTCTCTGAGTGTGTAATGACTGCTACTGAAGCAAACAATAGGAAATCATTCTCAGCACTCCAAAATAGGTGTGGCATGGGATCAACCCATTTGCAATGTCTTTCAAGGGAGGCATCTTGTAGGAAAAACAGTGAAGGTAGGGCACAATTCCCACAGGACTATATTAAATCTCTCCACAAGCGGTTGCTCACATTTTATCTTTGCTTTTCCCTCTTTCTTGACAAAATACTTAGAATTTTACATTATCTTGGAATAGAAAGGTGGCCTCTATTTCTAAATTTGGGTAGCTGATTTTATATATAACCATGCTTCATTGTTACTCATCATTTAGTGAGCTATACTATCCTCCTGGAATTTAGGTTAAGTTGTAATGCCATATTGTAAAATTTCATGTGTTATTGTCGTATGTGAAACATCTTGTGACTTGTGGGGAACATAAGCAATCCTATGTTCTCTTTATACTAGACCACAGCTGCACTGTCAAATTTCAACAAGCAAATGCAATTGGGCTCATTTATAAAATCACCCTAGCTATTTATTCTTGCCTTATAAAAAATGTCAGAATTTCTTCAGACTTCTAAGAAACCCAGACTCTGGTGCAAATATTTTTTGCATTTTAAGATATCTTTGCATTTTATAAAATATATGATGTTATATTTCTTTGGCTCATGTTTTAAAACATCTCTTGGCTTCTCATCTGGCTTCGATCTTACTTCTTCCATAGAGTAGACTCAGTTTGCAGTGAACAGCATCTGCTCGTGGATTTCTTGGTGTTTTCTCAAATTACCCTTTTATCCTTCATTGTGAAGGTCATTTGATACCAGGCTGTCATAGCAAATCACCTTGACTTCCCAAATGGTAAGATCATTCCCTGAGCACTTACAGTATCTATTTGCTGTTATGAAAACTTGTTCCACTATGAAGATAATTCTTTTCAAACAATAAAAGTGAAGTATTTTTCCATAAAGGACTCTTGAGAGCATATTAGTGTGAATTTTATCTCATTCTTCCTTAAAAATTATGTCAGGCCACCTCTTAAAGCTGAAAAAAGCCCATAAAAATCAAATGTCTGCACACTTGTCTACCAGTCCCTTGAATTTATTATGTCCTTTTGAAAAGAATAGTCGTGTGATCCTGGCATGCATAAAAATGGAATGATTTGGTGGGAAACATAAGACAAATACTTTGTGTATTTGTCCAACACTAGGCTATTCATATTCATTTTGTATTATCTCAGCATAACTTTTCCAGCACTTCTCTGTGGAACTTGCCATGTGCACTGACTCAGATAAATGTACAGGACAAATAGAGGTGTGTTTTGATTGCTTATGGTGAGTTGGATAGAAGTTACTGATTTCTCCAATCACAGCATTAATTAGAGACTTCTTACTCCACTGGGAAATCACTTTTAAACTTTTTTTAGTTTAAGTGTTCTGGTGATAGAAAAGGATCTTATGAGCCCTCTAATGGCCATTCATTTAGTGAAAGAATCATACTAGATAAATATGTTTATTTATATTAATAAGAATGGAAAAAGAAGGAATATTTTCAGTATTTGTAGTAACATGCATTGGCTGTGGTGCTTTTAATGGCTTGCTGTTAGTTTATATTGCTAATTTTAAAACTAAAAAGGCCTTGATCTAAGAGATGCCAGAAGCCTGATTCAGCATATATGTAATTGAAATCAGGATGATGTTTATATGTCTTGTTGGGACAAAAAGACCTCACCCTGCCTACACAATTCAGGGGGTATAATTGAAACCATGGAGAATACTGCCCTGTGGTTCTTTAAACAACTATTATATGAAATAAATGCATTACTAAGGATTTTGTTGGAGGGAGAAAGGGAAAAAGGGACTGAACAGGAATTTACAACAAGGCAGTAAAGTATCTATGATTGTAGTAGCAAATAGCCAGGTAGCTGATTCTGTTCTTCCCAGCCTTGGAAGTGGAACACTAGCTTCATGGTGACCTGTTGGGTCAAATGAATGCATTTTAGTCTGACTATTAGAATGACTCTTTGATTTTTTTGGTGCAATGCATATTCATAAAACTGAAAGGCCCTGGAACTGTGTGCCCTGCGATTTCTTCCTTACTCCTTCCCACTGGCAAGTAATTGTGGGTCCTCCTAGAATCCTTTCTCTCTGTCTCTGCCTCCGTCTCTGTCTCTATCTCTGTCTCTCTCTCTCTCTCTGTCTCTGTCTCTCTCTCTCTGGAAAATAGCAGAACCTCTTATAGCTATCATAGGTAAGTGGGTAGTCAAAATGTTGCAAGTAAGTAAAATGGGTAGGTAAAATGGTAAGTCTTGCCTGACTTCAAGGGAAATGACAGTCTTGATGATGGTAAAGCAGAAGCTTAATAAGATTTTATTTCTAGTCTTTTCCATTCTCTAAAAGCCTATGATGGCAAATGGGGGCTTTTCTCCAGCACGGATTTCATGAAGCTAGTTGCCTATGGGATGACAAAGAAAATCTTAATTGTCCAGTATTCTGTAATGTTATCTATTTACCTGTTGAATCTTTTTCCTCTAACCCTCAAAACAAACACTCCAAGGCTGAATCTGAACAGGCTCCACCCACAGAGCCAAAAGCAGAGGAGCCTCTGGCTGCTGTCACACCTGCCGTTGGTCTGGACCTTGGAATGGACACTCGGGCTGAGGAGCCAGTGGAGGAGGCAGTGGTGAGCACCACCTCCCTCTCACCCTCCATCTGCCTCGCTGCCACAGCCATGCTCATCTCATGACCATATGCATCGCTCTCATCTTTGCCTCACTTGGGCCAAACATGCTCCATATCTGTCGTAGCTCCCAGGTTCAAATAGCCTTCATGCCTGTTCTCTTTCATTTTTTATTAAGGAAGATATCCAGATAACTGATCTTATGATCTAAAGAAAACTGTACATAGCCACAGGTATAGCACAGTAGAAGGGTTGTAGAACTTGCGAGTAATCAGACCTGTTAATGCTTTGTTCTACCTGTGACAGCTGGAGACGTGCCTTTATTAGGGAACTTGCATGTGATAAACAGAATAATAACTTTGTTCATTGTGTGTACATATTGATTACTTACAATATTAGTTTCATAGGTTGGTTAAGGTCCAATGAGGTGTTGAAATCCCATATCACAACTCCATGAATCTGTAAGGATTCCTATATGCACCACCATTTGCTCACAATTAAGTCTGCTGATGACTCATAATAATACGGACCTTGAGGATGTTTTGTTTTTGTGCTGGGATGGGGATCCATTTGTCTGCCTGGAAACCTGCTCTTACCCTAATCCATGCAGCCATAAAGAACACCACATTGCAAACTGGGCTGAGCTCTGATATGTACCAAGTAGAATTGGACATTGTAATACCCATGAAAGTGTAGAGTACCAAATACCCATGGCGAGTGAAAAGTCATTTATTTATGAAATGCAGAAAAATGTCTTCCAACAATTTCAATCAGGGTACCATTTACCCTTCATAGACTGTACAAATAGGAAAAACAATTTCTCTATTACCAAAAATAACATTCCCTAGATTAGATACCTAGAGAAATGAGTCTTACTTCATGTCGTTGGTGCCTTAAGTCATTTTACAGGGAAAATGGTAGGTCATCTGTCACATCAACAGTTCATTAATCAAGTAGAAAAATAAATAATAGTGCAAGATAGTAATGGAAAATACTTAAAGCTGGACTGAATCTCTCCTAGAGGCATTGCTTGCAGGGACTTTAGACCAGGGAGTGCTGTGTCCAGGGCCACTCCCAGATTCACTGGAGATTTCAGCAAGTCCATGCAGACAGTGCTTTTTCACTTGGTGTCCAATGGTGATCTGTCTACTCACCTTAGCTTTAAGATTATTTAAATAACAAAGGAAGGGAAAAATGGAGTTTAATTTTTCGTTACTATTATAATTAAGAAGATAATTTATTTTTAAAGGAATGTGGATGATGCCAGGGAGTTAAAAAGATATTGATTTAGGTTTTGAGGGAAATTGTTTTGATTCTGAAAAAGCTCTCATCAAATCCCTATTTTGAACAGCAGCACCAACTTCATCTTCACCAATGTTTTAAAACTAGTTCATTGATTTTATGCCCAAGACTATTCAGTGTAAGGCTTAATGCCATCATGCCCATGAGCAGGGGCAGCATTGGATGTTGTGCAATAGATTGGAAATGTGGAATAGACAAGCTACTGTGTTCAATACGGCTGAATGTTGATTCTCTATGATCCCTTCTAAGAGTGTCATGTTCATATACCTCCCACACCCATCCTCATTTCAACAAACCGATCTAAGTAGGCTTTTGTTTTTTTCAGAATCCAGGTTTATGGTTTTCCAGTGGACAATATTAGTGGCCACCAATTATTAAGTACCTACTATGTAATAGCTAATATATATATATATATATATATATTCATATGTTTGATCATTGTTTAAACTAAGGGTAATATGAAAAATATTCAACACCCTGTGGCACAGGCACCAACCATCACTCAAACCAGCTTCCCTCATGTTGGGTAAGCAGCTGTTTGGAAGAATGCTTCATTCTGAAAATACCTTTTCTCCTGAAGCTCACAGGTGAACTGTAGAGAATCAAAAATTTTGATTCCTTGTAAAATATAAGGCAATTTACAGTCTAATGAAGGATTCAGGCACTTCCTGAGATCCATAGGTGATGCAAGAATCATAGGTGCAGAGCTCACAGTGTGATCCACGCTTTCCACAGAGAAAAAATTCAAGTTCATTTCTCCATATGGACTGAAAAATAATAGTAACAATGTTAACTAAGAGGAGACAGTTTACAGCAATTTAGTTTGCCTAATGGTCATCAGTAGTGGCTGCCTTCCATGTTTTTAACATGGACATACTTGGATGAAATCAATTTTTCCCCTCGTTCTCCCTTCTCCTTAGGAAAATAGAATCAGATAAAATGTATTTTTGTTTCCTAAAGTAGATTTATAGCTTCTTCCTTCCGGTCATAATAATCTAACATAATATTAGGGTTATATTTCTCTGGAGAAAGGTCTATTAGGTTGCTAGATACGTGGTATTTAGTTGTAAAAACAAAAATCCACATTGTGTCCCTAGCATTAATTAATTGGCTGGCTGTGGTTGTCGTCAGTCAGCGTTGAGTTGACATGACCTTTTGAGGTAATCCCTTTCACTACTGAAATGTCACCATAATTATTAGTTCAAGTTTTGACAGAATGCATTTCACCTGAGATGAAGTTTGTGATTGTTCTGGTTTTTTTTGTTTGTTTGGTTTTTGTTTTGTTTTTGTAAAGAGGCACGTATAATTTCAAACATGGGAAATTTTAACGGTGTTTCCAAAAGAAACCTAGGGCTTTTAAGAAAAGTTTAATTATTACATTTTTGTTTGTTGTTTTATTTCTCATATAGGTAGTATTGTCTTCAGTTTTTCCCAACAACATCAAATTTTACTGGTATGTCTACAGGATGCATTTAAAAAAACAACACTCTTGTCTTTACTTTTCCAGATGTTTCTATGTTATGTAAATAATGAAAATATTTGTTAGAAAAAAAATGATTTGGGGCCAGGTGTGGTGGCTCATGCCTGTAATCCCAGCACTTTGGGAGGGCAAGGCAGGCAAATCACATGAGGTCAGGAGTTCAAGACCAGCCTGGCCAACATGATGAAACCCCATCTCTACAAAAATACAAAAATTAGCCTGGCATGATGGCAGGTGCCTGTAATCCCAGCTACTTGGGAGGCTGAGGCAGGAGAATCACTTGAACCCAGAAGGCAGAGGTGCAGTGAGCTGAGATCTTAACCATTGCACTCCAACCAGGGCGACAGAGTGAGACTCTGTCTCAAAAAAAAAAAAATTCAATATGATTTCAATATTCGTTTCAATATGTGTTAGAGAATCAGGTTGTAAAGCAGGTAAAGATGAGCACAGAGCCAATTCATAATGTATTATTTGGTTACAATTAATTATGGTTAGATTTTTACCCACATTTATTCCATTTTTTTCTAAAGAGGCCCCTTCTAATTTTCTCTAAATTTCTGTCAGTGCCTGTATTTTGCTTAAATGATGTGAATTATACCAGTGTTCTTTTTTGCCTATTATTTTTTCAAAATAATGCCGTGTAATTAAATTTAGAGTTAGCATAGTTTTTAGAACATATAAATGTAAGGAAGACTGTGGTAAAGACGTTCTTAGAATTGTTGGGGAATCCTGGATTATGAAACATTATTGACCCATTATTCTGGGGACAACTTTGGTTTTTGCTGTGTTTTGTTTTTTAAAAATTTTACCACTAAACTTGTCAAGACCAATTTAAACCAACAAATATATACATATCAGAATTGCCAGACTATAGTCTATCAACTTCATCTTGCTAGAATATTTCTGTCTGAACAGAATGCATGTGCTCACTTCCTCTTTTACTCAGTTGACAGATATATTTGAGTCCTCTGTAGGTGTCAGGCTCTGTTCTGGATCTGGAGAATACAGAGATGTGGTAAATAGATATGGCTCCTGCCTCCTAGTTTCCACAGACTGGTGGTTGAGATGCACGTTACACAGAGGTTGAGGTGTCCTTCAGTGACACTCATGTTCACGGGAAACAGCATTTGGGTTTTATCCTTTTGCAGAGTAAACATGAGAGCTAGCGTTTCCCCTGTGCCTCTAGATGTGATCTCTCAGTATGTCAGAAGAAGACATTGAAGATCAGAGGAAGCCAGGAAGCTTGAATTATTGTCTGCCCTTATTAACATAGAATGATCTTCCAACTCCAAGGGCTTACACTGAAGCATGCTTTAAGATGTCAAGAAACATACATATGGATTTTTCTTTTTTTTATGAGAACCTTGGAGATGGATGTTCCTGTTTACCTTTCTTAGAAAAAAAAATCACAGAATTGGTTATTTTCTGAGTTTGATTGTATTCCCATTAGCAAATAGTTACATTTTCAATGCCCCTCAAACTAAATAAGTGTCTGTTTCTCTCTTGTTCATGATACCAAGCACACAGCAGAGTGCATAATCCATGCCCATCAAATTCTAAGTCATTGATTTGTTAGTTAGTTGACAGTGCAGTCTTGGGGTCCTTAAAGGGGCTGCAGTTTGATTTCTTAAAGTACAAATATGTATATGGTCATTTTCCTTCTCTTTTTTTTTTCATTCAGATACTTTGGCTTTTTTTATATTTAGGAAAAGCAAGCCAGTTATTATGATCAAAAGCAATGTCAGTTTTTTCATTCTGCCCCACAGCTCTGTGACACCTAAGCCCCACTTACCTCAAATATAAAATGGAGTTAATAATAATCACCTTAAAAGTTTCCCATGAGGGCTTAGAAATAAAACATGTTGTCAGTTTCAACATCTGTCGTGCAGAGGTTATTAGTTAATGACAGTTTGGTGATATCATTATTGTTATCATCGTCATGAAAAGTTGGTGAGAAGCAAATAAGCAGAAGCATGTGAAATATGTACTCTGGGGAGGAGAAAGCAGCAGAGGCAAAGATAACAGCCCCCTCTTCCAGTGTTGCCTCATGTCAGAAATGGCAATGGACCCAGTCCCTGTTAGATCTCCATCAACACAAATTTCCATGTGGTTCCCAAACAAGCTGTGTCCCATCAAAATTCTTTGTCCTTTCTAAGAAGACTTCCCCTTTTCCAGGCACCTTCATACTCAGTGAATGAATAGGGAATTTTTCTATCTTCATTGCCCAGGAGATGTGAGTATTCAGAGAACTGGCAGTGCCCTCTCAGCTGCGTCCTCCTTCCATGTGGTTGTAGAAGGAAAAAGAAGGGCAGATGATCTACAAACATGATACATCCAAATCTGATACAAGTAACTGAACCTAGATCTTTCTCTCTGTCTTTGCAGGAAGTCATAGGGAAGAGATAAAATTAGCCAAGAATAAAGTGAAAGTAACAACACAGTGATCAGTTCCCCCAACCTCACAGAGCAGGTTGATCTGGGTTTGTAGGTGGCCATCTCTGAAATATGGGGCCACTGCTGTTTTGAGATGTGGCTGATATTAAGTATTCATTAACCACCTACCAACTGCTAGTAGCGGCATCTTCCCTGCCTTCTGGAGTGTGATTTCCAAAGCCCCATCTCAAACAGGGCCAAGTGAGACTTTTTAATAAATGTCATTGTTTATTCAGAGTGTTGTTATAAATCTATGTGAACATGAACTCAAGATTCAGGTTGTTCTTCCACTATTGAGGAGCCATTTTTAGGTGATAGATGCCCAGTGACTTTTAAGTATTACTTTTGGCATGTACTTTTCTTCTGAGGTGAAATTCACATAAAATAAAATTAACCATTTTCAAGTAACAATTAACTGGCACTTAGTACATTCACAGTGTTGTACAGTCATCACCTCTATCTCGTTCCAAAACATTTTCATCACCTCAAATCACAGCCCCATAGCCATTAAGCAGTGACTCCCATCTTCCCCTCCCCAGGCCCTTGGTACCTGCCAATGTGCTATGGATTTATCTATTCTAGAGAGCTGATATAAATGGAATCATACAACACATGATTATAAGATGGTTTTGTGTCTGCCTTGGTGTATACTTTTTGTCACATACTAAATCTAGAGCTTTAGCTTGATATATTTAATATGACTAGTTATCATTAGCTTCAGGATAAGAAACTCTTATTCTGTCTTCTGAATATGTATTGGGCCCAATTCATAATCCCTCATTGAAACCATTCCTGGTCATCAACACAATTGGGTAGCCTATGTAAGACCAGACCCATTCAGATGTTAAAAAGACAACTCTGTTGAGATAATAAAGCCCCACCCCAATATGAAGCCCAGTCCCACCCCAGAAATCAGAATTTAGACCTACAAGAGCCTTACAGATGTGTTCTACTTACTGGCTCACTCCTCTTCCCCTACAGGTGGCAGTGTTGGGATTTGTTTAGTCCATGGATAATATGGAACCAACCCCCTAGACCATGTGTGCTGAGTTCTCATTCACTTCTTGCCTGTTCCTGTTCTGTCCATCCCTCACCTGCACGATAGAAAGGCCCTTGCATGAATCCCTCCTGCTAGCCCTCCACAGACATGAGCTGGACCTTAAACATGATCAGGAAAAAGTGCTTGATTTGAGATTAGAGATCCCTTCCTTTTCCCCAGCAAGTTGCCTTGTGTTCCAGCATCGGTGCTCAAGCAGTTCAGATACTGCCTTTGAGGACTACTGTGTGTGTCCTGAAATGAAGGAGTATGATCAAAGAGAGTAAGGTGATAGTAAAGAAGGCCATACTGTGATAAGAGATACTAGGGAGCAGTAGCATTGTCATGCATTCTCTCACAGCAGTCCCGTGAAATAGGATTATTTAGGCATCAGGTCCCTCGTTTTACAGATTAAGAAAACGGACACAAAGAGATTAATTGATTAACCAAGATCACACATCTAGAAAGTAGTGACATGTGATTCAAATCCTGGTATTTTAAGCCATAGCTGTCTATCTCCTGACTACTCCAGATGCTTTTAAAAAGAGGAGGTTTTATAAAAATATATTTATCAACACGTCTCATATCACATCTAACTAAAGCCGTTAGGGTCACAACTTAGGGTCCAAGTGGACACAAAGACTTCCCACAACGAATGCTTAGACTTGATGGATGTTCCTGGTTTGTGGCTGAGGAGTTGAAATGAAACAGAAACTCTGTGCAGCCTCAACCTTGAGCTTCTCAGAGATAATGTGTGTCCTAATCCTCCACTTTGGCGGCAAAGCAAATTTCAAAGGGGATGTATTTGAAAGACCTTGAATTAGGAATATGGGGAACTAACTGCATGGTCAACCAGTGAAGTGGCCTTAGGGAAATCATTTTACCCTCTGTGCCAGTTTTCTCATTCTTCCTTTAAGAGGGTTGTACATGATAACCTCTTCCTGCTCCCCCAAAATCAAAATGTATTACTTTAAAAATTCCTTGTAGTAACAATTCTTTGTAGTAACAAGAGCACCCTGTGTTTATGGCTTTTTTCCAGCCTCTGTTTGCTAGGCCATCGGGATGACATATCATTGTGGAGTGGCTTTTACTTACTAATGCCATGGCCAGTTCAAAGGCTGTGAACTCAGAGGTTGGCAGTCAGGCCTTCCAAGTGTGACTTTCAGCTGCCTGCCCCTCCTCAAGCTTCAGGCCCCACACTGCCATCTGGGTTGGGTCCCAGGTTGCACGGTGAGATATATGTCGTGCTTGACAGGGTCAGGTTTGGGAGTTTTGCCAACAAAGTGTAATGACATTCAGGTGATTTGCAGATCACTGTTTCTCAGTCTAGTCTCTGGGTATGTCTGGCAGCCTTCCCTCTGCCTTCTGCCAACCTGAGCCTGGGCCTGCTTAGGAGAAGGCAGTTTGAGGTGTAACAGCAGGCACCTTACATATCATTCAAAGATGACATAGCCAGCCATAGAAAAATGCTTATTGTACCATAAATGTGTCTTCCTTAAGCAATCTCTTTAACAAACTATTTGCAATCCCCATTGAAGCTGTCCACGGCGGCTGCTCCAAAAACTAGTATGTGCTTATCTCCTCATCTCTGAGAGAGAACAATACATGGTATTTACGTTTGCATTAAAAGATAAGTCCCCTTTTCCTATCCACTTCTCCCCTATGCGTTGCGGATAAATCACTAATTAAAACTTTAAATACTGATCTGTATTATTATTGGATATACTGACACAAACTTAAAGGCCAAATTAACCAAAAATTCATTAACTTTGGGATCTCTGTAGAAGACTTTAATTTTTGAAGAAAGTGATGGAGCTAGTTCTAACAGACGTTGCCATGGCAACAGTGCTGCCTGCAGTTGAGTTGCTCTGGGACCCGGCTGCTGAGGGTTCATGATAGGACTGCAGGCAATACCAGGAGAGCAGATTGAAAAAGATGATTGAGCTGAAGGTTGTGAGGGGGACACCACTAAATTCCTTTATTAGAAAAAAAGCGCATAAATGTGTCAAATGAAATTTGCGGTATCAAGTGCCAGCTTTGAAAGGAACGCTACTAGGGACCGGGGGTACCATGAGAGAGCTTGCCCCTACAGTCACACTGAAGGAAAATTATGACCTGAATTGTTTTAAATATAGTTCACGTGAAGAGATTTACCAGTCACCAGCCTGTGCCATAGTCCAATCATCTTCTATTTGGGGCCATAATGAGGATCTGGATACCCTACCTACCTCTTGGGCTTTTCCTTAAAATGGATTCTGAAGAAAATGCTGTATTTTCATTAAAATGCCAAGGAACTTCAGACAAGTCAAGAGCTCAAGTTGGATCTAGAATTAGAGATGGGCAAGAAAAGGCAATGGTGCCCTGCAGCCAGAATTCCCGCTGTATTTATTCTCCTTTGTTACTTTTCCCCATGAGTTTACACAGCTAGGCCCAAAGGGACTTCCTCCAGCTCCATAGCAAATTAGTGGAAGAGTCAAAACTAAAACCCAATCTCTAGTCTGTCTCTAGTGCTGCTTCTACTTTATAATAGTTCCTCCCTTCTAAAATGAGAACATTGGGCCCTATGGTCCTTCCAGCCATGGGATCAGATTAATCTCTAACTTGTGAACATAGCTATCAATGAAACTTCTAAATGTTCTCAGTTGTAGTTCTGTAGTGCAATGGATCAACTGGTCATCTTTTCCACTTTTCCAGCCTGTACATAACTTAACGATGAAATCCACAGGACAAAAATGAAATCTATAGAACAAATACAGGACAAAATAATGTAGAATAATAAAGTAGGCAAAAGTAATGTAGAGAAATTCTTTTTTTTTTTTTTTTTTTGTGATGGAGTCTCGCTCTGTCACCCAGGCTGAAGTGCAGTGGCGCAATCTTGGCTCACTGCAAGCTCCACCTCCCAGTTCACACCATTCCCCTGCCTCAGCCTCTCTGAGTAGCTGGGACTACAGGCACCCACCACCACGCCGTTGTATCTTTAGTAGAGACAGGGTTTGACCATGTTAGCCAGGATGGTCTCAATCTCCTGACCTCGTGATCCACCCACCTCGGCCTCCCAAAGTGCTGGGATTACAAGCGTGAGCCACTGCGCCCGGCCTAAGTAATGTGGAGAAATTCTATCAAACCAAACTCTTCTTGATATCTTTTTATTGTATAATTTGCTATTGATTAAGAGGCATTTTGTGATATGTTTGCTTTGATGCCCAGATAGTATGTGTACATGAATAAAGAAAAAAAATTATAATCTATGCATCTCACTTTAAAGAGTAGCATTCCAACAATTTAAGTGAATGTATCAACTGTTTATAAGAATACACTCACATTCTTTGTCAAACATCACTTGGGAACCAAAGATTATTTAGGAGGTCTCAGAATTTCCGTGGAACTCCCTTACTTGAGAGATGTGTGGTCTTCTTGGTTATGGGATGGTGTGAGAAAACACAGAATTTAGAGTTAGACAAACTGTTTCAGTCCTTGTTTACTGACTAGGTGAGTTACTTAAACTTGAAGTACTAGTTAATTTTTCTTGAAAATGGGGGAATATTTAATAGGGTTGTTGGAAGAATAATGTGTAATAAATGTAAACCACCTGAGATACAGTCTGGAAAATTGTAAATTCATGATAAATATCCATTTCCCCCTCAGTCTACAGAATGTGCATATATCAAAACTGTCAAGCAGAAACCTGCTTATGAATCAGAATCAGAATTATTATTCTCCATCTTTGGGGTAAATCAGTAAGCCTTGAATTCAGTGGTCCTGTAGTCAAATGTCTCTGTAAGAGCAAATGCCAGGAAGATGGCTGTTCTCTAACTGTAGTATAAAGTGTTCCATAGCCATGGAAGAATATCATTTGGCTAAAATTTAAAATATATATGTCTTTATTCTGTACTTATGGCTTGTATAATTTACCTTAGTGTATATTTAATTTTTTGAATTTTTTTAATTTAAAATTTTTAAATTTTATTTTAGATCCAGAGGGTACATGTGCAGGTTTATTATATGGTTATATTGTGCAATGGTAAGATTTGGGCTTCTATTAAACCATCACCCAAATAGTGAACTTTATACCCAATAGATAATTTTCCAACCTTCAGCCTCCTCTCCGTCTCCACTTTTGGAGCTCCAATGCCTATTATTTCCATCTTTATGTCAATGTGTATCCACTGGTTAGTTTCTACTCAAAAGTGAGAACATGTGGTGTTCTCACTTTTATAGGGAGAAAGAGAGAGAGAGAGAGATTTTCCCTAATAGATTCCTCTCTCTCTGTCTCTCTCTCTCTCTATATAGATAGAAAGCTAGCTAGCTAGATAGATAGATAGTTAGATACAGATATATCTCTATATCTATCTATCTATAGATAGATATAGAGAGAGGGAGAGAGAGTAATTGCTGGATGCTAGATAGATAGATATAGATAGATATATCTCTATAGCTATCTATCTATGTCTATATATTTATACACACACACACACACACACACACACACACACACACACATATATATATATATATATATATATATATAGAGAGAGAGAGAGAGAGAGAGAGAGAGGAGTCTATTAGGGAAAATTGGCTTATGCAATTACAAGGCAAAGTCCCACGATTGGCCATCTGCAAGCTGGGGACAGAGAGAAACCAGTAGCAAGGCTCAGCCTAAGTCTGAAAGCTTCAAACCAGGGAAGCTGACAATGAAGCTCTGTGTGATGCCAAAGGCCTGAGAACCCCCAAGAGGCCACTGGTGTTAAGTCCCAAAACCTTGAGTTTTGGGCAGTAGGAGAGAAAGCAGGCATCCAGCACGAGAGAGAGAGAGAGAGAGAGAGAGAGAGAGAGAGAGAGAGAGAGGGAAAGGGAGAGAGAGAGGAGAGGAGAGAGAACTCAGAGCAAGCAAGCTTATCCCCCTCTTCTACTTGGTGTTCCAGCCATGCTGGCAGCTGATTGGATGGTGCCCATTCACATTGAGGAGGGGTCTTCCTCTCCCAGTCCACTGACTCAAATGTCAGTCTCCTCTGGCACCAACCTCACAGACACACCTAGAAACAATACTTCACCAACCATCTAGGCATCCCTCAATCCAGTCAAGTTGACACCTAATATTAATTATTATAGCAGTCTATAAATTTTATTTATCCTTTTAAATAACCAGCTTTCTGTTTTGTTGATCCTTCGTAAGATTTTTTTTAATTTTCAATTTCATTTAGTTCCGCTCTGATCTTTGTTATGTCTTTTCTTCTGCTAGCTTTAGGTTTGGTTTGTTCTTATTTTTCTAGTTCCTTGAGGTGTGACGTTAGATTGTTAATTTGAGATCTTTATATCTTTTTGATGTAAGTATTTTAACAGTATAAACTTTCCTCTTAGCATTGCTGTTGCTGTATCCCAGAAGTTTTGATATGTTGTGTCTCTATTTTCATTTGTTTCTATTTTTTTATTTTTACCTTAATTTCTTATTTACCCAAAAGTTATTCAGGAGCAAGTTGTTTAATTCCCAAGTATTTGTGTGGTTTTTAGAGTTTCTCCTGGTATTTATTTCTAATTTTATTCCACTGTGGTCTGAGAAGATGCTTGGTATGATTTCAGGACTTTGAATTTATTGAGACTTGCTTTATGGCTAAGCATATGGTTGATTTTGGAGAATGTTCCATGTGCAGATAAAAGATTGTATATTCTGCAGTTGTTGGGTGGAATGTTCTATAGATGTCTATTAAGTCCATTTGGTTAGAAGTACATTTATGTCCAGAGTTTCTGTGTTAGTTTTCTGCCTTGGTGATCAGTCTGATGCTATCAGTGGGGTATTGAAGTCCTCCATTATTATTGTAGTGATGACTATCTCTTTTCTCAGGTCTAGTAGCATTTATTTTATAAATCTGGGTGCTCTGGTGTTGGATGTATATGTATCTCTCTATATATCTACATATATATATATAGGATAGTTAAATCTTCTTGTTGAATTGAACTCTTGTTATGATATAATGCTGTCTTTGTCTTTTTAATGTTATTGGCTTAAAGTCTGTTTTATCTGACATAAGGATAGCAACTCCTGCTCTTTTTGTTTCCAGTTGCATCATATATCATTTCCAGCCCCTTTACTTGGAGCCTGTGGGTGTCATTACATGTTAGATGGGTGTCTTGTATGCAGCAGATGGTTGGGTTTTGTTTTTTTAATCCAATTTTCTAATCTATAAGTGGAACATTAAGGCTATTTATGCTCAAGTTTAATATTGACATGTGAGGTTTTGTTCCTATCATAGTGTTATCAGCTAGTTGCATTATAATCTCAGTTGTGTAATTGCTTTATAGGATGTGTGAACTTTGTACTTATGTGTGCTTTTATGGTGGTATCATCCTTCCCCTTCCATGTTGAGAACTCCTTTCAGCATTTCTTGTATGACCAGTCTAGTGGTGACAAATTCTTTTAACATTTGTTTGTCTGGGAAAGACTTTATTTCTCCTTCGTTTATGAAGCTTAGCTTGACAAGATATAAAATTCTTGGCTGGCATTTTTTTTTTCTTTAAGAAGGCTAAAAATAGGCCCCGAATCTTTTCTGGCTTATAAGGTTTCTGCTGAGAAGTTGACTGTTAGTCTGTTGGAATTTCCTTTGCAGGTAAATTTGACACTTCTCTCTAGCTGCCTTTAAGATTTTTTCTTTAGTGTTGATCTTGGATACTCTGTTGATTATATTTCTTGATGATGTTAATCTCATATAGTACCTCCCAGATGTTCTCTGAGTTTTTTGTATCTGAATAAATACTTCTCTATCAAGATCAGGAAAACTTTTCTGAATCATTCCCTCAAATATGTTTGAGGGAACATACTGCACTCCTTTGAAGGTGTCAAAACACTCTGTCTTTTTGTATTGCCAGAGTTCTTCTGCTGATTCTTTCTCATGTGAAGAAGCTGTCACTTCTTATTTTTAAATTAGTCATCCTTTGGATGGGACATTTAAATTTTTACTCTTTTTTCCCTTGAGGATATGGCTGTGGAGTTTGTTGTATATGATTGTTTGGCTTTGTTTCTAGGTGCTTTCAGGAGGCCAAGGCTCTACATGGGTTCCTTGGTTATGGATATCTGTTGTGTGGTGGCTTTCTCAAACACTGCTTGTTGTAGCAGTATATTGGGTGTATGAACTGATACACTGTCTTCTGTGGGGCTGGGAGTGTGGAGGTCTCAAGAAGTTTATCTCATACATTAGCACTATGCCCTTCTGCAGCAGGTTTTTTATTTGGTCTTCAGTCTCCAGTCCAGTAGGTGGCACTTAAGGATGACAGCTGGCTTACCCTTGGGTAGCTGGATGATGAATGGAGGCACCTGCCCTGACAAGGGTGACAGGAGGAGGATGTGCTGAGCTCTTGGGGATAAGGGTTAGGGGGCTGCAGCAGCTTCCCATCCTAGATAGGCAGGGATGTGATTCACTTTCCTGTTGCAGGACTCGTGACCTTCAGTTCACATAGATGCTGTCCTTTGACTCCAGTCTGCAGTGTGACTGAGGTCTGTGAAAGGACCTCTCTGGTGGCTATCAGCAAAATGGCCTTGGGGCACAGCTTCTTCCCCCAATCCAGAGCAGACAGCTCTGTGACTTGTCTGTCCTCTGTTGCCACCATGCTGCCCACTCTGTTTAGGGAGGGGAAGATGGGCTCTGCCCTTTGTGCAAACCCAAATGGCATAGGCTCACTTTCACTGGGGGTGCGGCCATCTGGAAATGCACTGAAAAGGCTTTCTCCAAGTGCACTTGCCCAAGGCCCCAGTAGGGGAAGTCTGCTCTGCATCCACAATGGTGGGTGGGGGAAGTGGGAAATGGCCTCTTTTCCATGATCTTTCCCAGCCACTGGTGCTACCCCTTTCAGAAATCAGCACCATGCCTGCATTTCCTTTGTTCCAAGGGGCACTTTGGCAGGCCGTATTCCCCCTTCCCTCGGGGCGGCCTCTGCCAAGAGCTAGCTCTCTGGAGTACCCAGAGCTTCCCAGCATCCTCCCTATCAGTCCCCTATCATTGCCAAGTCAGAGTGGGTTCTAAGGTATGTTTGCAGGGGTCTGGTGACACAGACAGGCAGGTTCTTCAGGCAGGCAGTGACCTACACTGGGTGCACAGCCGGTATGGCACCTGCCATTTCAGTGCAGGCCTGCGGGGAGTCCGAGTGCACCTGGAGGAGCTGGCCACTGCTGCTCTGTCCTCAGGAAGTTCTCAGATTGCCACCAACAGCATTGCCGAAGGTCACAAGGGCAGAGGTGCTCTCTGACAATTTAGTGGTCAGCAGTTTGTCACAGAAGGGAGGGGAGTAGAGAAGCACCCCCACCTACCCTTTCTGCCGAATTCTAAGTTCCTTAAGAGTCAGTCTCTGCCAGACTCTCGTAGCTTTCCTTTTTCTACACCCCAGCTTATTTCCATGGGAACTCCAACAGGTCCTGGCTCTCTTCTCTCAGCTTTCCATTCAGATCATGGCCACTCGTCTGTAACTTTGATCCCCTTTCTGAAGAGAACTGGCTTCTGACGTCTCCAGTCAGCCATCTTGGAAAAAACAACAACAACAACAAAAAAACCTTGGAGCATTTTTTTAAAAAAATGAAATTTATCATTGGGATGTGTAAAAGAAGATTCACGAGAAAGCTGAAAACACTTAAAAATCACTCAAAAAATCAGATTCACTATTACTAGTTTTTTTTGTTTTCATTTTAATGATTTTACTCTTAAAGAAAAAACCCAGCATATAGAAAAAGAAAGTCAACATTTCAAAAGTATATTCTAGAAATGTTAGCTAAACCCAAGATAATTTTCCATAAAACAAAGTATAAATGGATCCTTGACGCATAATACCTGAGCCAGGCAAGGGAAAATATCTGAGAGTGTCATCCATCTCCACCCTCGATCAGAGACAACTCGCATCTACCCCGCCATGAGTATGGGATTCCTTTCTGAAGCATCCAGGCCATTTGGGGCCTGCTGCTACTCTCACAGAAGTATATCCTTTGACACATATATTTAGGGGATTCAGAGCAGGTGATTCTATGTCAAGACTTGATAAATCCCTCTCCAGCTCCTGTTCTGAAAAGGATATCTAAGAGTCCCCAGATAGCGAGTAAAATGGAACAAAGAAAATGTTTCCACGTCTACTGTAAACATCAAGCCTATAGAGATTTCTCCTGATTTGAGAAAACTAAGCAAGTAAATACATTTTTAGATTAGCAAACACCTATAGAGCAATACAAAAGAAAAAATAATTATTGCATGCCAGAGTTAAAAGTTTCTTTAGAGAACATGCAACAATAACAAAAATTACCTGACATACAAAGACAAAATTTGAAAATTGCCTTCCTTTTTGTTGTCAGTAAAACTCAAGATGACCTCGATAGGTGAAACAAAAGATGAAGGGTGAGATGATAAGGCAACCATATTGAGAAGAAAAGAAAGTCACTTTGAAAGGCAGATGAAAAGGGAACTCAATAACATGAGAAAAGATTTTAAGGGGAGGAAATGTAATATTAGAATTAAAATTTGCATGAGATGTGGTAAAGACGAGAAGCAACACTATAGAGAATCGATTTAGTGATATGAGGACAAGCTGGAGGAGTTCTCCCAACACATAAAGAGAAGCACAAGCAAAGATGATAGATTTAGGGACCAAGGAGTGAAGATACAGCTCATGGGTAGAAGTTCATCCTGAAGAAGAGACTATAAGAATGTTACAGAAGCAGAAGTGGCCAGTATAATAGAAAAAAACATGCTCAAACTGAAGTTTTCCTAGTTGATGGAATTCCTGCATGTGGATCATAAGAAATCACCAAAAAAAGCAAACTTAATGGGGAGAGACTACATTGAAATGTATTCTTTTAAATATTTGAGTTTAAAGTTTAAAAAAAAAGTTCTGCAAGCATCTAGGTTGGAAATAAGAAAGCACTACAAATGAACAACAATTAGGTTGTTCTCTGACTTATCCATATCAGTACTAAAGGTCAGAAGCTATTAGAACAACATACAAATTTTGAGCACAAAGAAACACAATACAGTAATTCTACCCCAAGTCAATAGTTGGTCATGTAGGAAAGCAGCAGAAAGACATTACCAATTACATAAGGTGCTAGAGACTTTCCATAGAATTCCTAAAAAGCATTTTATGAAGCTATATTGCAATTGACTGGAAGATGACTCAAATCAAGGCAGATAGGTGGGAAGACGTGATAAAGCAAATGTGGTGACATGTCTATTGAGGATCCTAGGTGGTGGGCACTTGGAAGTTCATTGTATGATTCTATGTTTTTGAAATTTTTTAAAAATTTCTTATAATGTTGAGCAGAAACCCCCAAAACATGTTTAATGGAGACATCATAAAGAAATAGAGCAGTGTTTAGTATTTAAATTATTGAAATGTGTAACCTAATAATTGTTGGGTTACAAACCAAAGATCTTTCTCACAGTGTTAGAGTAACATTTAAAAATGAAACCAACTAGTGTTTAATGCTAATAGAACTGTTAAATAACTTGATAAATAGAATAAGCAATAAAGTATTATATATCCATTACTATAACTTTTCTCAGAAACATGACTCATGTTTTGTAAGATAAACCCTTGTATGATTAGAAAATGAATACAACTAAATATATCAAAATGTTACCATAAATTATTTCTTTTATTATTTTAAAATTTGTTAGAAAAAAATTTTTTAATTGCTTTATTAGAAAAATGCCTATGATCAGTTACAATAACCTACTTTATAAATAAGTATGGAATTTCATGCTGGGCAGAAGGATAATGAAAGTATCTTCAATTGTCTCATCCCGACCAGTTGCGTGATTGACACACTACTTTCAGGCATTGGTCAGAGCTAATATCACAAAGAAAACAAGCAAATAAGTAAATAAATGAGTGAATGAATGTATGAATGCATGACATAAACCTCAGAGACGACAAGTTCTCTTGAGCCTATCACTACTCTGACATGTTTGGGGGTCTTGGTCCTTGTTGACCTGCTTTCATAGCACCATCTCATAGCAGGACTGGCTAGTTTCTGTCACCCAGTTGTGTTTCCCTATTTTACATGATTGATAACCTAGGCTATTGTTGCATTTCATTCATGTCATTACATTTCCAGAAAATTTTGCTAAAGCAAATTTAAACTGGTGTTTAGGGGACCCTGGCATGAATGCCATAATTATGTGGCTTTCCACTAAGGAGATGATTGAGACAGAAGATTAGAAAGCAATGAGGGGCTGGGCACGGTGGCTCATTCCTGTAATCCCAGCACTTTGGGAGGCCAAGGCAGGTGGATTGCCTGAGGTCAGGAATTCAAGACCAGCCTGGCCAACATGGTGAAACCCTGTCTCCACTCAAAATACAAAAAAATTAGCCAGGTGTGGTGGCAGGTGCCTGTAATCCCAGCTACTCGGGAGACTGAGGCAGGAAAATCGCTTGAACCTGGGGGGCGGAGGTTGCAGTGAGCCAAGATCACACCATTGCACTCCAGCCTGGGCAACAAGAGTGAGACTTCATTTCAAAAAAGAAAAAGAAAGAAAAAAGAAAGCAATGAGGTATGTATGGTGCAGAGAGCCACCACCTACTCTCTCCAGAAGGTTTTGTGCTGGTCGCTGTGATTTCTGTGTGATGGACAGGCGGTTTAGCAATACTCCTAGTTTCTGCACCTCATAGACCTCATGGATATAGTAAATATGTGCCCAAGGTCAAGGAGAACATTTTTAGTCTCTGTTTGCAATAGCTGTTTCCCCCATAAATATATTTGACCAATAGATAGTATAGGTTGGGCAGAAGATAGGATAATTGTGTTTTTCTGAACATTTAGAGTGAAGAGAAACATTTGATAGCACTGGGTATGAAAGGCTTGAAGTACTTTCAGCAGATTCAGTCCCTGGTCTTTGTGAGTAACATTTTTTAAAAAGCAAATGGTAGTCATTTATCATTGTGGTTTTTCCTAGCAGGTATAACATGTACTGTAGCAAGCAGAGCATAGAAAATGTTTTTTCTTTTATAGCTCTACAAATAGCTAACAAATTGAAATGCATGACAACAACAATAATAATAAGAGGTATAACTTTCATTGATGAAAACCTTTTTACTCTTTCCTTGATTTTATCTACAGCTAACACCTAATCTGAACAAATGGGTTCCTGTTTTCCATTGTATTTTTATGTTGTTCTATTCTTGCGGTCAGTAAATACGGCATTGGAAGTATTTTGGTAAGAGCAAAACATCTGGACCAGATTCCAGACATAAAGGGAGGACTGATGCCCCCTGATCATCAGACTAGTGTCAGAAACAGAAAGCTATGAGGATACGCAGATAGTGGATGATCCTTCTCTGTTTATGTAGTTTTTAAGCCCTGTAAAATCAACGTGGTAAGTAAACAGCAGCTGGAAAAATGGGAATTCATTACTAATGGACTCAAAGTAGGGTGTAGGAGTGTTGTTTGTTTTCCAAGTAGATCATTAAAATTGTTTGGCTTCTCTTTAAAGTCTAAAGTGCCAATTCCTTAGCACCTTACCTTTGCCAGAGTTGTTAATTTCGGTATTTTCCTGATATTTATTTATCATTCTTAAAATTCGTTTTCTGCATGCTGCAGTTCTTTTTTATGTGACAAAAATCACAGCTGAGGTGCTGAGGCTGAGGTATTTGCTCCTACAACGTCAGGAACGTCAGAGCAGTCAGGCAGAGCCTTTGGCCGCCACCTGCTGGTGGTTGGTGTCACAGCAGCTAATACCTGTTTTTTATTATTTTATTTTATGTTTATTTTTAACTTTTGTGGGTACGTAGGGGGTGGATATATTTATGAGGTACGTGAGATATTTTGATACAGATATATGACATGTAGTAATTACCTCAGGGTAAATATATCTATCACCTCCTTAAGCATTTATCCTTTTTTTGCATTATAATCCAGTAATATTCTTTTAGTTATTTTAAAATGTACAATAAGTTATTGTTGACTGTAGTCACCCTGTTTGTGTTATGAAATACTAGGTCTTATTTATTCTTTCTAATTATTGTTTGTGCCCATTAACCATCCCCCCTACTTCCTCACTACCCTTCCCAGCCTCTGGTAAGCATCCTTCTACTCTCTGTCTCCATGAATTCAATTGTTTTACTTTTTAGCACCTAGAAATAAGTAAGAACATTCAAAGTTTGTCTTTCTGTGCCTGGCTTTTTTCCCTTAACATAATGACCTCCAGTTCCATCCATGTTGTTGCAAATGACAAGATCTCATTGTTTTCTATGGCTGAATAGTACTCCATTGTATATATGTATCACATTTTCTTTATCCATTCATCTGTTGATGGATACTTAGGTTGCTTCCAAATCTTGGCTATTGTGAATAGTGCTGCAATAAACATGTGAGTGCAGATACCTCCTTGATATATTGATTTCCCTTTTTTTTTTGTTTTTTTTTTTTTGAGTATATACCTAGCAGTGGGATTGCTGGATCATATGGTATCTCTACTTTTAGTTTTTGTGTTTTTTTTTTTTTTTGAGGAACCTCCAAACTGTTCACCATAATAGTTGCATTAATTTACATTTCCACCAACAGTATATGAGGTTTCTTTTTTCTCTACTTCCTCGCCAGCATTTGTTATTGCCTGTCTTTTGGATAAAAGCCGTTTTAACTGGGGTGAGATGAGATCTCATTGTAGTTTCGATTTGCATTTCTCTGATGATCAGTGAGGTTGAGCACCTTTTCACATACTTGTTTGCTATTTATGTCTTCTTTTGTGAACTGTCTATTCAGATCTTTTGCCCATTTTTTAATTGGAATTATTAGATTTTTTCCCCATAGAGTTGTTTGAGATCCTTATGTATTCTGGTTATTAATCCCTTGTCAGATGGGTAGTTCACAAATATTTTCTCCCATTCTGCAGGTTGTCTTTGTTGATTGTTCCCTTGGCAGTGCAGAGGCTTTTTAACTTGACGTAATCCCATTTGTCCATTTTCGCTTTGTGTGCCTGTGCTTTTGGGATATTACTCAAGAAATCTTTACCCAGTCCAGTGTCCTAGAGAGCTTTCCCAATGTTTCCTTTTGGTAGTTTCATAGTTTGAAGACTTATATTTAAGTATTTAATCCATTTTTATTTAATTTTTGTATATGGCAAAAGATAGGAGTCCAGTTTCGTTGCCTGCTTAAATTATCTAGCAAAGGAAAGGTGATAACATGTATATTTAGTGATGGTAAAATCTTATACAACCAAATTGATAGATATCTAGAGACAAGTTACAGGTTAATAATAAACATTATGTTCGTATGGAACAAGTTTAAAAAATCACCTGTGGCAACACCATCTATAGGTCATGGAAAGATATCCTCTCCCAGAGATGTAGTATCAATTCAACTGAGACTAAAAGCCAATTAGTAATAATGTGTGGTTGGAACATATATGTATAAAAGGATTTATGCATAATCACTTGGGAGAGTAGCCCATGGAATAACATCCTGTCTGCTTTTTCATCTGTAGCAGTGCCTCTGCTGCATGTGTGTGTAGTGGTGGTGTCTGCTGCTCTGTTTGTCCATACCGTCTGCATGTAGATAGAGTCCATCTGCTTCCAAGCTGTTGAAACTAGTGGGATATTCATAGGTGTGATTTTCCAGACAGATGGAGAGAATAAGCTTGTAATCATGACACAACTTATTTTCTACATTTGAGCTCATAAGTTTATTGCATGCACATTTTCTTTCAGTATAGTTTTTAACATAGAAGAAACTTTATTAGGTCCTTAGTGTCGTAGAGAAATCCTGTTAATGTCTCCGACAATAAAGCTATGAGCAATTGCTCCTTGTTCTTCTCAGGATTAAGATGCCCTACTAATTTATGTTCTGATTACTATTCTCTTGACAACAGTAACAATAGCATCCATAAAAAGGTCGGTGCTTATTTAAAACAGTGATGAAAGTCTATTCGATTTCAAAATAAACTTTTTATTATAGGAATTTTCAGCCATTTGCCAAAATATAAACCCTCATGTACTTGTTACCCCACTTCAATAATGATCAGCATTTATAATTCACTTTAAATAAGTGTCTGTTACAATTCATGAGAAATCATTACTTTTGTGAACCCATATTGTATTAGTCCATTTTCATGCTGCTGATAAAGACATACCTGAGACTGGGCAATTTGCAAAAGAAAGAGGTTTATTGGACTTACAGTTCCACATAGCTGGGGAGGCCTCACAATCATGATGGAAGGCAAAGAGGAGCAAGTCACATCTTACATGGATGGCAGCAGGCAAAAACAGAGCTTGTGCAGGGAAACTCCCATTTTTAAAACCATCAAATCTGGTGAGACCCAGTCACTATCATGAGAACAGCATGGGAAAGACCCACCCCCATGATTCAATCATCTCCCACCAAGTCCCTCCCACAACACATGGGAATTATGGGACCTACAAGATGAGATTTGGGTGGGGACACAGAGCCAAACCATGTCACATGTACTTTCATGACAGGGCAGAAAGAAGGAAGTATGTCATGGCTAGGGATTGCACATTTGGAGAGCCACATCCTCGTAATAGGAGATTCTCATAAGAGAGGGAAATAAGTTTCTAAGAATATGAGTAAATACTTGGACATATAATGAGTAGTATAGCTGTTAACATTTCTTTTTCATTCCCAAATAAAATATTATCTTATAGAAAAATGTACTGTATATATTCTGTAACAGGCATTTTTATTTAAACTATTACCTGTACCTTTGAGCCAGCAGAAACGTTTTTAAAACTGCTTTGTTATAAGTGTAGATGTGTGGTTCATGTTCTTCATCTCCGATTTCTGATGCTCACTCGGAGGTACTCTTCATTGTCCTTTTCTGTTTTCTGAGTTTGAAAGTTAATATTTGCAATATTAGGGCCTTCCTAACTTAAGATGTTGAACTGGATAGAATGTATTCAACAAAGAAAAAATAGTTAATCCTAATCCCATCAGATAGTAAGAGCCATTTTTGAAATATGTGTCCCGGATATATTATATAAGATCAACCTGAGATTCTTCTAACATAGTCTTTCTCACGTGAACCTCTCAAATCAAGTCTGCCAAGCTGATGTTGTCAGAATCCTGTTTAAAGAGTTGGACTCCAACCCATTTGTTCAAAACTAAAATTTCTGATTGCATTTCCTTTATTTCATTATCTCAAATTTTAAATAGTACTTAAAACTCTTCTTCTGTGTTTCTACCTTAGAAAGAAAATTCTGACTTTTTTCTATTTCACTTCTCCTTACTGGACCTAAACTATGATTTTGGCATTTTGCCTATAACAGGCTCTACAGCTATTTGGAGCATTACCATGCATATTTGATTACAAAAATGATTTCCCCTTCATTCTCGAGGGTTTTCATTGAGAAAGCTTCCTTATGTATTTTTTTTTCCTGTGAAAGTGATTTGGCTTCTGGAACCTTCCTCACAAAGATTTGAAAGTTTATACTAAAATGCACTCTTTCTAAATTTTGACTTTGTGTGATGAGGATGCTTTTCTGATATGGCTTTTCTCTCTGACCCAGGCCACTTCCATCCTGTGACCCAGATGTGCCATGTAAATCAAAAAGTGACCAAGGCACGTCTTAGTCATGGAGAGGCTTATTTAGCCAAGGTTAAGGATGCACCCAGGAAAAAGAGACACGAGTCAAAGGAGGATCTGTGACGTGTGCTTTTTCTGAAGAGAGTTTTGAGAACTTCAGTATTTAAAGGGGAAATAGCAAGCAAGAAGGAAATAATTTTTTTAAAAAGAGGGTGGTTAGGCAATGAGGCAAGTGTCACATTCTTGTGAGGCTCTGATTAGCGCTCAGTGAATCTACATTTTACATGTGAAAAGAGGGAGTGGGGACAAACTCACTCATGCCTTCATCTCATGCTCTGTAGTTCTGCATGTTACATAAGATGAAGGAAGTGTGTGAAATTACAGCCCTGTGTTTGGGAACAAAAGGAAGGTGGTTTTCGTGTGACTCCGTTCCCAAGCTTAGCTTTCCTTTGGCATGGTAAGTTTAAGGTCCCGAGATTCAATTTTATTTCTTTCACTCCCCTAAGGCCTCATTTGTTGCTTCCAGCCAATAAAAATGGAAATAGCTTGTGGAGAGGACCACCTACACCTTAAAAGCCATGTCTTTGGAATGGTGTATGTCACTTCCATTCTAATCCCATTTGCTACACCTGACAGCAGGGAAAGCTGAGGAGTGTAGAATTGTTGGGAGCTCAGCAGAAGAGAAGTCGGAGTGTTGATGAATAGATGGCAGATTCTGCTGTACCTAAATCCTGGGAGTGCAAAGAATGTTCCAAATCTGAATAGCCTCCACAGAGGGGAGATTAGAAATAGGCTTGAGTTTGACTCCTGGCAGAGGCCCATGGAGATGCAGACGTGGCCTGCTGGTTTCTGCCCTGCAGATCATACCTGGAGCTGATGCTGATGCAGCTGTTGGAACCTTGGTGTCAGCAGCTGAGGGGGCCCCAGGAGAGGAAGCAGAGGCGGAGAAGGCCACTGTCCCTGCCGGGGAAGGAGTAAGTTTAGAGGAGGCCAAAATTGGAACTGAAACCACTGAGGGTGCAGAGAGTGCCCAACCTGAAGCAGAGGAGCTCGAAGCAACAGTGCCTCAGGTGAGTGTCCCATGTCGCAGCCAGGGGAGCTCCTGGGAAGTAGCATGGGCTGGGTGCTCTGTTGGTTGGTTCATGGTGATAACTCTTTGGATGTATAATAGGTTTGTAGCAATTTTGTGACTCCACCAAACAACATTATTATCAGATTCTCAGAAAGACTAATCCCAGCTGCTCAGTATCAGCATTGCAATGTTGCATATAGGCCCTCAGGGCCTGTGGCTGACTGGGCCTAAGCATGGAAACGGGAATGGGAAACTGGGGTGACGTGGAGAAAGGAATGAAGCAGGACAGTGAAAAGGATGAGAATGGAGCCGGGAGAAAGAGAATGTGATGAAGTGAGCACTCAGCCCAGGGAGAACTCAATAGTATTTAGATCTTATTATTCTTATTACTGTTTGGTGGTTATTATTATCATTAGAGTGCCCCAAATTCACCATCAGGCCCCTTTTACCAAGAGCCCACCACTGGGTGGCACTTTGAGAAGGGAAACAAAGGGACCAGGGCCATTAGGTCCGTGCATGAGGCGGGAGGGGGCCCTGCTCGGCACTGCCTCAGAGCAGCATTGAGAGGCCACAAAGCCACATACTCTACCACTGCGAGGGCCTCCAACCCCAGGGCCTGCCTCCATTGTCTGGTTCTTCGGTATTCTAGAAGGCAACATTAAGAGAGGGCTTAATGGTATGCATTGTTTTCTTCTGATGATTTTACTCCCAATAAGTTTTCAAAAATTTCTCCAGGGTTACTTAAAACTTGAAACTGAATTATCCCTTTCATTATCCCTTTTTGGGCTGGGGGCTGAGGCAGATAACAGTGTTATGGGAGAAGGAACTTAAAAGAATATTCCTTTTTCCCCTTAGATTTTCTCATCACAGTGCCCAGAGTGTTTTTGTGTATGTTGTTCTACTCATGGAAAGACGGTATTATCTCTCCAAGTTGACGAATGTTAGTGCTCTAGTCTGCTGATAGCAGAGGGAATATAGAAAGACTCCCGTTCTGCTGATGAAACTCCCCTCCATGCTCATCTTTGTTAAACAAATGAAAGGGTGGTCCTAATCCTTTGGTTCAGACACTAGAGTACTTGGAGTGGATTGTGGAGGTGTGGTCCCTCCAGCGGCCACAGCAGTGTGGGGCTGGAATGATAATCACAAGCGAAGGACTAGTGGATGATCTCCAAACCCCGGCTGGATCTTCATCAGCAAGCATGGTTCAGGCACTGGGGGCCTCCTGGGACTGGGGGAGGGGAGGAAGGGGCTCACAGGAGGTGAACTGCCAACCGCAAGAGTTAGGGTTCCGTGGGACAAGAACCAGGCTGGCCTGCGGGGCTGGGCGTGGTGGCTCACGCCTGTAATCCCAGCACTTTGGGAGGCCGAGGTGGGCGGATCACGAGGTCAGGAGATCTAGACCATCTTGGCTCACACGGTGAAACCCCGTCTCTACTAAAAATATAAAAATTAGCTGGGCGTGGTGGCAGGTGTCTGTAGTCCCAGCTACTCGGGAGGCTGAGGCAGGAGAATGGCGTCAACCCGGGAGGCAGAGTTTGCAGTGGGCTGAGATCGCGTCATTGCACTCCAGCCTGGGCGACAGAGCAAGACTCTGTCTCAAAAAAAAAAAAAAAAAAAAAAAAAAAGAACCAGGCCGGCCTGCATTGACTCCTCCTGCAATCCCTCTCAGGATGGCCTCCCTCACCCTTCAAGACTCTGTCTCCCATCCCCTATCCCTCCTCCCAATTCCCACCGAAACCTCATGCTTACCAAACTGCCTGGCTATTCAAGGATCCAGAAATTAATTCCACTAAGGGTTTAGGCCTCAGGAGGAACAGAAGGAGGCTGTGTGGCACAGCGGAAGGCCCAGACCTGAGTCTGGCTAGTGGGGAAGTATGGAAGTGGCAGCCCCAGCTTTGGGCTGGGGGCTAAGGCAGGTTGTGCAGGACAAGGAGGTTCTGTTTTCCAGGCCCTGCCGGGCATCGCCACGGTTTTTCTTCCCCCAGGAGAAGGTCATTCCTTCGGTGGTCATAGAGCCTGCCTCCAACCATGAAGAGGAAGGAGAAAACGAAATAACTATAGGTGCAGAGCCCAAGGAGACCACCGAGGACGCGGCTCCTCCGGGCCCCACCAGCGAGACACCGGAGCTGGCTACGGAGCAGAAGCCTATCCAGGACCCTCAGCCCACGCCTTCTGCACCAGCCATGGGGGCTGCTGACCAGCTAGCATCTGCAAGGGAGGCCTCTCAGGAATTGCCTCCTGGCTTTCTCTACAAGGTATTCTTATTTTTTAAGTCTCATTTATCCTTTTTTTGCTTTAAGGCCCTTTTGCTCAAGCCTTTGGTTTTCCAGTTTTTACTTTTACTTTTTGCAATTATTATTTCTGTGAACTGCTTTCCCTTCACCACAACATCACTTGGACAAGCCAGGACTACAGTAATAGATTTTCATGTTTTAACAAAGAATAATTAAAGGGAAGTTCACCACAGGGCAAACAGTATGCCCCTGGGTAATGAATGGGAGAGTCTTTTCCAGCCCTCCCTCCTCTCTACTCCCCCAGGTGCCTGTGAATCTGTGGAGCCTGGCTCAGACCAGGCCTTGGAATCACCAAGAGCTCCTGACTCGGCTATATCCCCTGGGGGTCGGGCAGCAATCCTTCAGTCAACTCTGGCACCTTGTAGGGTGCATGACACAGAGTAGGGAGCCCATAAATATTTGGTAAATTAATGGATTCATGTATGAATGAACTTGCACCAAAAGGCAGAAAAAAAAGGCGGCTAAGTTAATGGGAAGAAGGTTTTGCTCAGACAGGCTACTTAGAGCCTTCATAAACCAAAGGGTTCTTACCAAAAAAACTTAGTAAATACCTAAAAACACTGGCTTAACCTAAGTGTTTCCTGTCTCAGATGTTTCCTGATAGAATCTGAAAAGGAATTTTAAGTTTTTAAATTTGATTTTACATTTAAAAATCAGCTCTTTTTCTTCTAAAGTGTAAAATGTTGTATCATTCTCTCTCTCTCTCTCTCTCTCTCTCTCTCTCTCTCTCTCTCTCTCTCTCTCTCTGTCTTTGTCTCTCTCCATTAGAAAGTAACTGCTACCTTGCTACCTCTTGTGGGGACAGGGGTGGCTATAATGGATTTATGAATAAATTAATTTGGAGGAAAAGCTAAACCTCTAGATAAGGGGTTGTTTCCTGCCAGGTTCCGTTTTAACTGGAGCACAAGCAGTCCAAGAAGCCTTGTGCCAAGCACGGCTGGAGCTTGCTGGGCCCATTCTGGCCTCCTCACTAACTGTAGAATAACCTAAGGCACCCCATATAGACCCTCTCTCTGGGTATCAGTTTTCCAATCAGAAAAATTAATTTAGGGATAACATAATCCATTTCCAGCTCTGACAGCTTGTGATTCTATGAATATGCTCAATGGCAAAATACACACTTTAAAAGCCAATGTTTACTCTCAGGGGTGGAGTTGAGGGAAAGGTGGGAAAAATAAAATCAGCCATGACAGTAGAGTGATTCAGACTGGGTGACAGACGCATAGGGGTTCATTATGTTATTTCTTCTGCTTTAAAATATTTTTCTATAATAAAATTTTAAGGAAATCTTTTTCAAAATGGGAAAGGAAAAGAAACTGGTTGCCATTGTATATAAGGTAGGATAGGGAAGGAAGGAAATATATTTACACAGAATTGATCACAGAGTTTTATTTAGTAGTAATTACTGTATAACCTGCAAGTGGTGGTTTTCCTTATTATTATTTGACAGAAGCTGGGGTTAGAGGAGCTTTAGACATTTTGGGTTCCAGTTAAACAACAAACAGTAATAAAGCATCAGCGATAATAAAATGCAAATCTCTAACAAAAATAAGATGAATTAAAATTTGATTAATATAGTGCTTTTCCCTGTTGTAGAGGGCATTGCATTACTATTAATAAATATACATATGAATGGCCTCATATCAGAGAATAGGACTTCCCTTCTGGCTTTAGAGGCCTTCTTCCTCCTTGGGATATGGCAAATATCTTCCTCTTTTCATCCAGGTTGGAGAGTGACTTGTAAGAGTGTCTGCTTGAAATCTGGCTGGGAAATTGATTTTTATGTATTCTTATCTTCTGCAGGTGGAAACACTGCATGATTTTGAGGCAGCAAATTCTGATGAACTTACCTTACAAAGGGGTGATGTGGTGCTGGTGGTCCCCTCAGATTCAGAAGCTGATCAGGTAAAAGAAAAGATAGGAAGATGCTTTGGGCTACGTTGATTTTTTTCTGAGGGTCTGTTGGACACAATCACTTCCTAAAGATGTTTCTATTTTCTGAGATGCTACAAGCCATCTGAAAAGGGCTTAAGGGCTTGTGACAGCATAGATCATTAACGAGGTTTCTAGGACACCCTTTTGGGATGCTGTTGCATTCTTTTTTTATATAATACAAACAGTTGACTGTTTCTTATCACGTAACCACTTTCTGGGAATGTTATCTCTGTAACACCTGTCTTCAGGAAATGCAGACACTATGAATGTGAACTAAAAGACCCCTTCAAAAGTGGTTGCCTCTGGGTGTGTGGATATTGATGAGGAAAGAACCTGGGGAACCCTCTGGAGTGATGGAAATGCTTTGTATCTTGAGAGGGATGTCTGCATGTATTTGTCAAAACTCATTGAACTATATATACCTAATCATCTCTGCATTACACAGTATTTAAGTTATACCTCAACTTAAAGAGATTCTTTAAAAATATCACTTCCTAAAAGAGTGGTCTGATGTAAGGTACTGAGAACTCCCATCTTGTTCTCATTCATAAAATATGTGAGCCCTTGAAATGGTATGCAGAGCAAGTAAATGCATCTGTAAACATATTTTTCTGGAGAGAAAAACTCTAACTTCCATACTATTCTCAAAGAGATTTATGAGCTCTCCCCTTAAAAAATAAATTCAAGCATCACTGCCTTTGAGGTTAAGACTTAATATGTTCAACATTTTGTTCTTTCTTTTGACAACACACTTACCAAGATACATCAGGTGTTGGGTCAAGCAGTCTCTACCACAATAAAATAGATTGGAAATTTATATAACAATAATCTGCTGGGCAGGGTGGCTCATGCCTGTAATCCCAGGACTTTGGGAGGCCAAGGCAGGAGGATCACTTGAGGCCAGGAGTTCCAGACCAGCCTGGTCAACATAGCAAGACCTCATCTCTACAAAAAATTTTTTTTTTAATTAGCTGGGTGCAGCAGTGTGCACCTGTAGTCCTAGCTACTCAAAAAGCTGACATGGGAGGATCACTTGAGCCCAGGAATTCAAGGCTGCAGTGAGCCATGATCACACCACTGCACTCCAGCCTGGGTAACAGAGCAAGACCCCGTCTCAAAAAACAAAAAATTAATAACAATAATATATCTTTAAAAGCCCCCAAAGATTTAAAAATTTTAAAATACACTTCTAAATAACCCATGGGTCAAATAAATCATAGTGTGAGTTAAAAAAAAATTTCATAATGATCATTAAATAGAAATTAAATAGAAAAATGCATAGAAGGAAGAAAATAATAAAAATAAATTCACAAATGAATGCAATAAAGGACTATAACAGATAAAATTGATAAAGCCGAAAGTAGGTTTTTGAGAGGATTAACAAAATTATTAAAACCTTAGAAATACTCAAGAAAGAAAAGTCACAAAGCATAAATTACCAATACAAAGAAAAGGTGTCAGCATCACACATCTCAAAGATATTAAAAATCCCATTTATAATGGGATTTTTGTCTGCATTAACCAGAAGTTATTTTGTAAAGAAATAAAAGGAAAAAAAGTTAGTCTTTTATGTTTACCACCATGTTTACCATTTCCAGGTCTTCATTCTTTCCTTAAGTCCGAGTTTCTATCTGGTCTTAATTTCCTTTCTGCTTAAAGAACTTCCTTTAGCTATTTCTGAAGTGCTAGTCTGCTGGCAGCAAATCTTCTTGGCTTCTGTATATCTGAAAATGTCTTTATTATTCTTAATTTTTAACAATACTTTCACTAAGGTAGAAATCTGAGTTGATTTTTTTTTCTTTCAACTCTTTAAACATGTTTCATTGTTTTCTGGTCTCTATTGTTTATAATTAGAAATCAGCTGTCATTTGTTTAATATTGCTTCTCTGTATGCAAAGTGACTTTCCCTGACTACTTTTAATAAATTTCGCTGTATCTTTGATTTTCATCAGTTTAAATATATTGTGCTTGGGTAGGTTTTTTTTTTTTATGGTCTTCATACTTGAAAATCACTGAGATCCTTAGACTTGTAACCTAATGTTTTTCACTACATTTGCTTTTTATCTTTAATTTTTTTCTGAATTATTCTCTTTGTTCTTTTTTTCTGGGTTTCTAATTATACTTAAGTTGGACTTCTTGATAGCTAAGATGCTGTTCTTTTTCTTTCACTATTTCTCTCTGGTAGTCAGGTTGGATAATTTCTATTGATCTGCCTTCAAGTGCTATGAGTGTTTCCTCTGCTACTTTGAGTTCGTAGTTAAATTTATCCAGTGACTTTTTCATCTCAGATATTAGATTCTTACAATTCTTCATTTCCATATTGTTATTTCATATGGGTTTCCATTTCTTGGCTGAGATTTCCCACTTATAGTCTTTCATTATTACTGTCTCTCAATTTATATACTTGAACAAATTTATAATAGCTGCCTTAAATTTCTTACTGCTAATTCCAACAGCTGGGCCATCTCAGGGCATATTTCTATTGTTTGCTTTTTAATCTTTTGGTCATATTTTCCTGTTTTTCCATGTCTAATAATTTTTTAATTGATACTAGACATAGTAGGTAGACCATACGTGGTAAAGAGTCTGACTCTGTTTTCTATATCTGAAAATTGCTTATTTTTGTTTTAGCAGACATATAAATTACTGGATAATTCCCTTGAATTGATGGGAGTTGGTTTTATACTTTGTTAGGGTGGGTCTGTACCCTTTATGCATGCACAGCTTGGGGGTCAGCCCAGGATTTCAAGGCAGTTTATCCACATACGTTAGGATACCCATCCCCCAGTGATTCCTTTCTTTTCAAGATAACCCCCCTGAGTGTACAGCTTCTCTGGGAGCCTTACACTCTATGCTGTGAATGCCCCACATCACACTGAGTGAGGATAATCCTCAGGGGAAAAGCTGTATCAGCATAGATCTCACCCCTTGCAGTTCTCTACTTTCAAGGGTCAAATACTTTCTAATTTCTGCCTCCTTTTGGTCATTTCCAGCATCTTCAAATAGTTTTACCCATTATTTATACCCATCCCATTATATATAAATTTACACTTTATATATTGTATAACCAAGAGTTGTTTGTTTATATAAATAGTTGCATATGTGTATATATAGATATTTGGAGATATATAGTTATTCCAATGTTTTTAATTATTCTCTCCAGAAGGAGTTGTCTAATACAAGCCATTCTACCATTACCAAGACAGGAAATCTTTTTCTACCACATATTTTAAGCAGTTAATATTTAATTTTTTATATTTTCCTCAGCTAAAGATTGATGTTGGCTAATATTCTTTACAAGTTGTCTTTCAGATTATATGTGTTGGAATATATCTTGATTGTGGGTTTGTGTAGTCCTTTACTTGTTTTCTTTATTGAAACAATTTTTAAGTGCTTAACTCTACTTGGCTCCATTAGATTTTTCACCTACTGTAAATAAAGTCAAATATAGACACTTGTGGGGGAAAAATGACCTTTTATATGCTTTCTAGAGCTTCAGAAAATATTTAGCTATCATCTTTTATTTTAAGCATAGCTTTGTCCTTCACATATATGACATCATAATTTTAAAGAGGGCACTTTTCCTCATCAGCTAGGATATTATCAGTTATTTTATTGAGTCGTTTTTTTCCTCAGCGGTTTTTTTCCTGCCTTCAAAAATTGGGCTGTCTAAATACTTATATTTCTTGTCTATATGGCAGCATCAATTTAGAGTCTCAGATTATATCAAAAGGGAATGAATTCAGCTTCTTCATTTAATTTTTGAGGCCTCATTTTATCTGATATACTTGAACTATGTTGGGGGTTTGTTCAGACTAAACCTGGCCATCCCTCATCTGAACTGGAATTTCCTTTCTGCACTGGTTAACATAATAAAGATAGTCATTTCCCACTCCTTGCACTTCCTATGGTCTCATTTCCCACTGTTCCTTTCAACACAGCTTTTCCAGCTAGACTCTGCTTAACTTCAGGAAGCCAAGGGCAGACCACAGCCTCTGTTTCTCAGTTTTAAGTATCATCTCCCATTCTGCATGACCATATATGGATGGGTTCTTTACCCTTTCTGGGGCAAACTGTTTCATTTTTGTGATGGCACTTCTATATGACAGACAAATGTTTATGAGGAATAATTTATAAAGGATATAGGAGCGCTTCCAGCAAGAATGCCATGACATCCAACTGCTTTGTAGTTTATATAAACTTGAAAAATTAGGTATTATAAAAACAAAAATAGTAATATAAGGCAACACACATCTAGCTTTTAGTATTTGATGAGCCCTACATCTACATAGGTAGTTTATTGGGGTTATAGGATATGAGCTGGGGGTCAGAGTTCTTTCTTATGAGCAAGTGGCTTGGGATGAAATATAAGATATTCCATGGCCTCATCAGTATTCCATTCTAACCCAAGCAACCTCAAACCTTTTTTACACTGTGACCCCAGAACAGGTCATGCTCTTGTGCATGAAATGCTTTCACATGGTATTCCTGTCTTTGCACTGGTTGTAATTGTAATCCTTTTCTCCTCTTTAAGAACTCATATTATAATCCAGTTAATATCAATTAACTATGCTTTGTACAGTCACAATGTACAAAGCATTAGCTATACTTTATACAGTCAATAAGTCATTGCAAATGTTTATTCCTTCTTTTTCTTTTTCTTTTTTTTTTTAACTAACAACTTATTTGGGATAGGCCTTCCCATTGATCACGGCACAGCACTTTACCTGTAATGTGACATCCTGGTTCAGAACCACAACACTAATGTAACACATTATTAATTAATTGTGGCAGTGTGGATTTTCCAGTAGTTTGCTGGACCCTGAAAGTTCTGTCATTGTTTTTCAGGATGCAGGCTGGCTGGTGGGAGTGAAGGAATCAGACTGGCTTCAGTACAGAGACCTTGCCACCTACAAAGGCCTCTTTCCAGAGAACTTCACCCGACGCTTAGATTAGGGCAACAAGTACTGCAAGAAGGAGCTCAGTTACGGGGTTTTTAAACCTTCATGAAAACCTGAAGAGTTCACTTTTGTTATTATGCTCTTAATGATTTACAGACTGATGCCAGACAAACCTTGGGAAGATGTATCAATGGAGCATGTGTGCAAAAAAATGTAAGAGGAAAAAAAGTAAATTAAGGAAAAAATCCTCACTCATTCCCATGTTGTCAATAACAGGTTTGTTTGTGCTTTGTCCAAGCTGTGGAGACTCTTGTACTTGATCCCCTCCCACCAATTCTAAAGTAGCTTTCTCCAGATCAGACTTTAATTTCTCTGCATCAGGTGTATCGTATTGAGTGGCTGCCCTGCAGAAGATGTGATGAATTATCCTGTAGTACAAGATTATCTTATTCCCCTGCCCAGGTGTGAGCACGTGCTCTCGCTCCCTTTCAGGTTTACTATGTTTAAAACTAAACTGCTGCAAAAGTTCTCAATGTTCTTTTCCAACACATCTATATATATATGGACACACAGTCACGCAAGCTAGTTCCCATGACTCCTGGATCTATGTGTATGCAGAAGGCTACATATACATAGTTGCTTCTTTCCTTTCCATTGTAGCTCTTTGCCTCTCAATTGTCATTGATACATGCATTGCTCTTATTCTGTCTGGCATTACAATTGCAGTTTTGCCTAATGGCAAAACCAGCCATCCCATTGGCAAAAGAGTCAACAGTATCTGTGTTTGTACTGTGCAGTTTTCAGGATGAGATGACAGATAGCACGACTACACTGAGGCACCCTCAGAGAAGGCAGGGCCTGATTTATCTAGCTGTCCAGCCGCTGTGGCTGGAGGTAGGCTAGTTGGGATGGGCAGCTAAGCAGTCTTCTCTTCTGCCTTTATGAGATTGGGTAGAAAGATGGGGCATATTCATCTACCCCCAAAAGAACACTATAAAAACAGCTCCTCTATATTTCCACCTCTTTCTATTTATGCAACTCATCTTCACAGATTGTTCTAAAGTAAAATAGATGGTGTATGCTGTATCCACAAATCATCTGTAACAATTATGTTTTCAGTGCTGTGTCATTCCAAATAAACCTTTGGTAATCTTCAACGATTACCCTAATTCCTTTTGATGAGTCTTTTTTTTTTTTTTTTTGGAAATTTTGTTCCAGTCGGATACTCTGCTTGAAACAGTTGGTATTGGAGTTGTTATTTGTGCAGAAATATGCTTGTTCTTCCACTAGGTTGCACTCCACGCCCCCACCGCACCTCCCCACTTCTTTCATTCCAGTCATTGCTGGTCACTCGGTGTTCCCTGACATCCAGCAATTACTGCAGCACCAATAACAGCTGCCAACGGAGAGCCCTTAAAGGTGCCGGCTGTAGACTCCCAGTCCGTGAATCACTGATAATCTTACGACCTTCATAATCAGCAATTTCTTCTCACACCAGCTTCATTTTCTGGTCACTTTCCTTTTTGGCATGTTTATGTTCGTAGGTACATAAAAATTAGATCAGTTGGAATAGAAAAGTGAATTCACTTGGCCATTATTTCCAAAAGAGAATTCTTAACGCAAATCCTTTTAGTTGATTTGGACTCTTTTCTGCTAATATAATTCTTTATACAACATAGGCTGATCAAGAATGTATATTATTAGACTTTTAGATTTAGTATGTATTCCTGATTCATGGTTTGAATCTTCCTGGTGTATTACTGACTTTGTTGTTTTAAGTGTGAATAGGGAAATAACTGTTTTTGAGCCAAGATTTTTCCAGGGGCTAATATACAGAGAAGCTGGGTCATCATGAATGCTATTCTAGTGCAAGAAAAGCAAATGTCACTGCCCAGGAGCATGACTGATAATTCAGCAAGTGGAATGCAGCAATGTAAGATTCGTAATAGAAAGCCACTCCTGACAGTAGAGTACACACAGGATGTTAAAAGCCAAGACTGAAAAATTCGCTCTAATAATAAAATGCACCTAATGTTCTGCAAAGATAATTGGCTTGCCACATCTCCTGGAGCAGAAGATGTGATGAATCATTCTTAAATTCCTTTCACCCTCCTGCCCACAGTGGCTGCTCACAGTGTACAGTTTGCCAGGACATGGCCCAGATAACTGTAGCCCTAGATGAATGTTCCTAGATGAATGTAACAAGTTCTTCTGAAATGACGTGATTTTAATTAGCTATTTAGTCCTGTTTTTTAAAATGCCTTTGGATTTTTTTTTACACTAAATAAGAGTTATCAGATTTTTTGTTTGTTTGTTTCAGGAATTGCCAAAATCCAAGAATTCCTAATGCATTGAAAATGAAGGAGATGGAGGGGATGGGCGTGTGGTGGTGGCATTCCCCAGAAATGTCCTTGAATGTGGAGTGAACATTGTTTTCCATTTCAGTGGATTTTCTAAGGAATGTTAGTTTCAAGGACTTTCTGGGATTACTAGTGTAAAGTTCTTTCCACTTCTCTTTCTCAGTTATTCCGTTCAAGTTCTCACACCACCAACCCATCCTAGGCACATCACCCAGTCATATAATGGCAAGTTTGTATTGTATCCCAAATGGCCTTGAACCAGGCCTTGGTCCTTTCATTTTTTTTTTTTTTAAACGGAGTCTTGCTCTGTTGCCCAGGCTGGAGTGCAGTGGCGTGATCTCGGCTCACTGCAAGCTCCGCCTCCCGGGTTCACACCATTCTCCTGCCTCAGCCTCCCAAGTAGCTGGGAGTACAGGTGCCCGCCACCGCACCCGGCTAATTTTTTTTGTATTTTTTAGTAGAGATGGGGTTTCACTGTGTTAGCCAGGATGATCTCGATCTCCTGACCACATGATCTGCCCACCTCAGCCTCCCAAAGTGCTGGAATTACAGGCGTGAGCCACCACACCCAGTCAGGCCTTGGTCCTTTCTGAGCTTCCTCTCCATGATTTAAGATTCTTCTTAGAAACCCAATGTCATGCAGACCTTCAAATAGTTATGAGTCAGAACTGTTTGGAAAGAAAGCCAGTAGTTCTTATTAAACATACACCTACCTGGCATTCCTACCAATATGACAAATAGTCACTCATGTAAACCTGTGTGATGCATATAATTGCAAAGTAAAATTGCCTGGCAATTTGAATTTTTTTTTTTTGAGACAGAGTCTCGCTCTGTCGCCAGACTGGAGTGCAGTAGAATGATCTCAGCCTACTGCAACCTCTGCCTCCCAGGTTCAAGCAATTCTCCTGCCTCAGCCTCCCAAATAGCTGGGACTACGGGTGCGTGCCACCATGCCTGGCTGATTTTTGTATTTTTAGTAGAGACAGGGTTTCACCATGTTGGCCAGGATGGTCTTGATAACTTGACCTAGTGATCCATCGGCCTCAGCCTCCCAAAGTGCTAGGATTACAGGTGTGAGCCACCGCACCTGGCCAGCAATTTCAATTTTTAACACTATCTCAGGGTAGCCAGGGCCCCTGGGACAGGTAAAAGCTCCCATACCATGCTGTTGCATTGCTTCCACCACGCCTGCTCTTCCTGACAAAGCTGGGGTGGCTTTGGAGTCAGCCAGAAAACCATATCCATCACATCTTAGGCTGCCCAGTGGAGTGTGCACGTTTAGAATTCTGAGCCCTCTTTTCTTACATAAAGAAGCCTCTAACCAGGTCATTGGAACAATCCCAGCATGACCCCATGGCCCATTCAGATGGCCCATTAAAGAAAATGCCTTCGGGAAACTACAAAAGTTATGAGAACTCAATGAGTTTAAAGATGGCGGAAGCTCAGTGCTTTATTCCATGCAAAATTGCATGGCTGAACACCTTGAAGCCTTAGAAATAGACTGGCCAATGGATTGGCCTTGATAGGACTCTACTCCTCTTTTCAAAGGAGCCCAACTAACAGCTGCCTTCTGGTTTTTACTTGGAACTCAACTAAAAACCTTACAAACGTGTCAGAACTTGGAGATGAGCAGATCGCACAGCTTTTCTACACAGTGCTGTAGCTACCGTCTTCCTGGTGTGAGACTTTCCTAGGACTTCAGTAAATGGAATCGGACATTTGGTAACAGCACAGAGAAGACAATGACCAATATTCTCTTGGAAGACTTAGAAAATGGAGATCCAGGTGGTTTTGTTCATCTTTGAGCCCTGCAGGTGCATCCCTGTTTGATGATGATCCTGTCCTGAATCACCAGGAGGAGACCGCCTGGATGTTCACGGGCAGCGTTCTTCAAGGCACACAGTAGGGGGTTGATAAGTTGTTCATAAAGCCAAATAAACCATGCGCGAATAAGCTTAATATTCCATCCAAATATTTTGTGACTCATTGGTAATACCTTTTAAGGATCACTTAACAAGCAGCAGCAAATAGTGACTTTTTCCACTTAAAAGATATTTGAGACATAACCCTTACATCTATGCAAATTGAGAGGAAGGCCAGGTAGGTACCCTGAAGCTCTTTCCAAAGAAATCTAAATTTTATCTTTGTTTCCTAAAATCCAGTTAATTCCCAGTCCCCCCGATCTCAGGTCAAACACTCAGGTTGTTTGATTCTTGAGGGTTGGGTCAGAATTGCATGCTTATTTCCCTCCCTGCTGCACTCTGATGCCCTGTAAAACCAGTCCAGCCCAGGAGTGCCTTGTCCATACGCACCTTGCCACATGGCTGATACCCTACACCCTCTCCCACCAGTAAATATTAAACTCTGTGTCATTATGCTCTGCTCTCCAAAACCCTACCAGTGATCACAAAGTGCTGTCTGTGGCATTTGGAGATGCCACCAAACTTCCAATTCTCCCCCAAGATTCCAAGATACGAACTTTCCTTGTTTTCTTACCTCTCTTGTTGTTCCTTCTCTGTTACTGTTCCTAATTTTTTTTCCTCCTTCCTGTGGTTGCTGGAAGTGGGGTGGGGCAATAGCGACCTGTCCTTCAATTTGTGTTCCAGTTGTCCAAGGAATGTTGCCTTTGGAGTGTCCAATTATTGCTTCCAAGTCCACATGTTCATTTGTTCATTAAAATATATCAAGCACCAGCTAAGTGTCAGTTACTGTACATGGGGACCGCATTCATAAGATTTAGACTTCACGCTTGAGGGACTTCCTTCCAAACCCCTCCATGGTGCGTCACTGAGGGGCTCCTCCATTCTTCAGAATCTTGGGCCTGAAGACTTGGGAGCTTCCTTTGTGCATCATTTTCCAGATTTGGGGCACCTGCTATGATTTCCCTGCAAAACATACAACCTTGCACTTTAATCTAGTCGGGGTTCTGTTCTTCACACTGACAGAGAAGACAAATTGGATCCTTGTTGTCTCCCTTGCCACCTGACTTCTTGTCTTCCTCGTACCCTACTGCCCACCCATTTTAAGTACCCAACAGGTCCCCACTCCCTCCTCGCCTCTCCCTCTCAGAAACACATACACAAATGATGAATATCTGCTGCATGTCATACCAGATCCAGGAGCCTCTGCTTGGTCTTCAGAGCTGAACTTCACCTCTTCCCCAGTATTCATCCACTGCCTGCTTCAGAGGCGTCTCCTCAGCACCCCACCCGCCTTCTCCCCCTCAGCTATACACCTTTCTTGCCGTTTTGCAAAACCCCTCTCCTGGGATGCCTTCCCCTCTCCTGTTGGCCTCTAATCCCATCCCCCAGGCGTAGTCCAAGCCCTGTATCCTCAAAATCCCCCGTCCTCTCATCCTTCTACATTCTTTCCACATTTAGAGTAAATATGATACTCCCTAGCCCTTCATTTCCCCTACCAAGAGGCACACTGTCTCCAACCTTCTCTGCATGCTGTATTCACTTCTGGATCTTGTATACTTGTGTGCTGAGTGAACGAACAAGAGGCTGATTGAACGATTAGTTCAGGGAAGTCCAGAAACCCTAATCCCAGGATCAACATGGAATAAAATTTGAAACTGAGTGTGAGAAGAAAATGCAAAATACTTCTGTGATATTGGAGAGGGGAAAGTTTTCTTAAATGAGACTCGGAAACACCCAAAGTATATGGGCAAAAAAAAAAAAAAAAAAAGAGTTTGACTCCAAAATTAAGAATTTATATTTAATGAAAAGATATTTGAGATAGTTAGTTGGTAGACAGATGATAGACTTGCCTAAGATATTTGTACCATCCCAAATTCACAAAGGATAAATGTCTAAAGTACACAAGGATCTCATTCAAGTCAAGAATAAATGAATAATTACTATTATTAGTTTGTTTATATCATTTATATTTATTTATATTTATAATATGGCAATAGTTAATATAATAATAACATTCGTTGACTGTCGTTTGCCATGCATTGCATGTATTATTTTATGTAATCTTTACAAATCTATGAGGTAGTTGCTGTTTTTACTTATTACAGGCAGGGAAGCTAAGATAGAGTTACATGAGGAAGCTTTCTCAAAGTCACACAGTCAATAAATGGCAGGGCCAGGCTGTGCCCCAGGCAGGCTGGCTCTAACATAAGTCCTAACTCCAGCCTCCTTGTTGGTATGTTTAGAGGACATGAAAGGTAATTCACACTTCAGTGAATACTAAGTATAAAAAAGAACCTCAGCTTCCTAATAATCAGACCTGTGCCATTTTTTTTGTTTTTGTTTTTAAGACAGGTTCTCTGTTGCCCAGGCTAGAGTGCAGTGGTGCGATCTTGGCTCACTGCAGCTTCTGCCTCCTGGGTTCAAGCAATTCTCCTGCCTCAGCCACCAAGTAGCTGGTATTACAGGTGTGTGCCACCATGCCCAGCTAATTTTTGTATTTTTACTAGAGACAGGGTTTCTACTAAAGGCCTAATTTTGTATTTTTAGTAGAGATGGGGTAGCTTGATAGCTATCATATTGGCAAAAAATAAATAAATAAAGTTTCTGATAACACCATAGCACTGGTAGCATTTAGTGAAGATGTGAGTGTGTGTTCCCCCTGACCAGCAATGCTGGGAGGAACTTCCCAGGGAAAGGCTTGCACGAGGAATAAGAGGACCCTGTGAGGGGTCCATCACAGCTCCCTGCTGATAGCAACATGCCCATGTTTGGGGGAATGGATGGATGGAATGCAGGGGCTGCCAGCTGTGGAGCGGTGAGCAGCAGAAAGGAGCATGAATGAGGGGCATGAGCTGGTGTGCAGACGTGGATAGGTAGAAATGGCATGCCATTTACATGGATGAAAAACACAGTATTTATGAACAATTCTATATACAGTCATGCATTGCTTGACAATGAGGAAGCATTCTGAGAAATGTGTCCTTAGGCGATTTCATCCTTGTGTGAACATTGTAGAATGCAACGTTGTAGAACACAAACCCAGATGGCACAGCCTACTACACAGAGGCTATAGGTGTAGCCTGTTGTTTCTAGGTTACAAAGCTGTGCAGCATGTTACTGTACTGAGTGCTGCAGGCAACTGTAACACATTGGTAAGTATGTGTGTATCCAAATATATCTAGACAGAGACAACCTACAGTAAAAATAGGATATAAAATTTTAAGTACTGTAACACCTGTATAGGGGAGTTACCATGAATGGAGCTTGCAGGTCTGGAAGCTACTCTGGGTGAGTGAGTCAATGAGTGAGTGGTGAGAGGATGTGAAGACCTAGGACGTTCCTGTACACTCCTGTAGACTATAAACACTGGACACTTAGGCTACACTAAATTGATCAAAACATACATTTCTTTCTTCATTAATAAATTAGCTTTTGCTGACTGTAACTTTTTTACTTTAGCAACTTTTATTTTTTAACTTTTTGACTCCTAACAACACTTAGCTTAAAACACAAACAGGCCAGGCCCTGTAGTTCACGCCTGTAACCCCACCACTTTGGGAGGCCAAGGCGGGTGGATCACCAGGTCAGGAGTTCAAGACCAGCCTGGCCAAGATGGTGAAAATCTCCACAAAAAATACAAAAATTAGCCAGGCATGGTGGCACTTGCCGGTAGTCCCAGCCACTCAGGAGGCTGAGGCAGAAGAGTCGCTTGACCCCAGGAGGCAGAGGTTGCAGTGAGCCGAGATCACACCACTGCACTCCAGCTGGGCGACAGAGCAAGACTCCGTCTCAAAAAAAAAAAAGAAAAAGGAAAAGAAAAACAAAAAAAAATTATACAGCTGTACAAAATATTTTCTTTATATCCTTATTCTATAAACTGTTTTCTATTTTTAACATTTTCACTTTTAAAACATTTTTGCTAAAAATCAAGACACAGCCACACATTAGCCTAGGCCTACAGGGTCGAGATCTTCAATATCACTGTAGTCCAGCTCCACATCTTGTACCCACGGAGGGTCATCAGGGCAGTAACACACATGGAGCTGTCATCTCCTAGGACAACAGTGCCTTCTTCTGGAATTCCTACTGAAGGGCCTGCCTGAGGCTGTTTTACAGTTAACTTTTTTTTTTTTTACAAGTAGAAGTTGTACACTCTAAAATAATGATTAAAAAGTATAATATAGTAATTACATAAACCAGTAACATGGTCATTTATTATAATTTTCAAGTATGTACTGTGCGTAGCTGGATGTGCTAGACTTTTATACAACTGGCAGTACAGTAGGTTTGTGTACACCAGGGTCACCACAAATGAGAGTCGTGTTGTGATGTTATGATGGCTACGATGTCACTAGATGACAGGAATTTTTCTGCACCTCTATCATCTCATGGGACTGTGGTACATGCGGCCCATCGTTACTGAAATGTGATGAAGTGCATGACTCTAGTCTTCACAGATACGGAGGCTCTAAGGACAGATATCAAATACATTAGACTGGGCACCTATGGGGGAACAGGAATAGGGAATGAAGGAGAGAAAAGAGTAAAATAAAAAACAAACATGCAAAACTGTACATAACTGGCATGGATTAATGGTGATAATGTACCAGGCACTGAGAAATATGACAGAAAAATATGAGAATTAAGGTTTTAAAAAACAAGCAAAAAACAAGAAGATACCAAGCACTGATTTCAGGATAACTCCCTGAAGCCTCATATTTAAGCTTTGAGACTTAATTTTGGACAATCCAAAACAGTGGTTCCAATGAGTAAATCACAATTAGGGTAATCCAAAGAGCTCTCTTTCTTCAGTTGTCTGTGGAAAATGTGACATTTTCCTTCAGGTAAAATCCGTGTACACTGGCTGCCAGCACAGAGCCATCTGGCTGGCCTTGGCCGCTGGGCATTGGTCTTGGCTTTGTCCCACCCCCGCAGCAGCCTTCTTCTCCAGGATGGTCAAAGCTCACCCAGAGCAAAGATGCTCTGCACTCAGGAACACTGGATTCAGGCATTGATCCAAGCCCCCGTGCAGCTCTGTGATATAAAAATGAGAGGAGGGAGGAGAACTTGTCTTTTAGCCAAAACATTTTCTAAACCACAGGCAGTTACCATGTCCTTCAGAGTCAAGGCACATTAGGTACAAGGATTATTGATAATAATCCTTGTAATTTTTAAGACCACAAAACATTGAAACATTGAAAATTATAAATAGATAACATCAAAGCATGGTGGGAATTCTATTTTGTATGCATGTTTAGACTAAGGATCTTTTCTTTTTTTCCAGACTGGGCCAGAACCAAGTACCTGTAAGAATCAGCACAGTTCAGCCTTTTGTATCAATTGCAGTTGTGTCCATGTATGTGTGTGTGCATTCTTGGGTACATGTGCACACACCTGCATGTTACCTACACAAACCTCCGTGTTCCCATCCTTCTTAGGTGGGATTTTTGAACACTGCATTTACACTGGCCTGAAATAAGTTTGTTAAAGTCATCGGCCTCATGTAGTGGCCAGGCTGGGCTGCAAAGCCATTGGCTATCCAAACATTCAGAAGACCTTTAGGAATCAATGTTTTTGTTAAGGAGTCTATATAGAATAGGCTTTTCCTAGAGCAATGTTGAGTCAAGAGGAAGCAAATAACATGCATTATTGTTGGATCAAAATAAAAACTAGAAGCTTCCATTTTTCATTTCACCACACCTATTCCTTCAATATCCAGTTTATCAATTCAATTCAGAATCACAATTAGAACTAGAAGAGACCAAAAACATCACCCACTCCTCTGATTTTGAGGCGGGGGAAATGACAGCCCTGCAAGAAGGAGTCTCTTGCCTAAAACTATCAAGCACATAAGGTGTGCAGTTGGAACCTGCCTTGCATTTGGGGACCTTTCCATTCGTTATACGAAGTCTTTGCCATTCGTTGGGGTCTAATATTGGGGTAATATAACATGTATGGTATACCTCGAATGGCCAGGAGGGGGTGCTACAGGTTTGTACAAATAACTAAATGCAGTCAAAACACTACTTCTTTTAAAGCATGAAGCTGGGAGTTGAAATCAAATCGGAAATATAACATTTTGTATCAAAATGCAGCAGCTTCATGAAGACAGAAATTAATCCCTGAATCATAAACAGCCAAGCAGTTCCCTTATGGTACAGGCTCTGGAGACTTGTCTGTTTGGTTCAAATTCTTGGTGTGCTGTTTATTAGCTAGGTGACCTCGAGGAGTTATTTAACCTCTCTGTAAGCTTCAATTTCATCTGAAAAATGGGGATAAGTAACACCTATTTTCTGCTTGCAAGAAAAGAATAAATATATACAATGTTTGACACTCAAAGGGTATTTGCTATCATTTAATGGATCAAGAATTTCTGCTATGACTTTAAAAATTAGTCTTTTAATAAAAGGCCATTAACTATTTACTTAACAGTGCTAGAGGAAATTCCTATGACTTTTTGAGGTCCACCATAATTAACTGAATGAATACTATTCAACAGTATCTTAGGTTGTTTTCTTACTGGCAGCTGAGAGTGACCCTTGAGTTTCTAAAATCTTTCTGAAATTTTCTTCATGGTCTCTTATACTTTATAACTTAAAAAGAAATATATATAATATATATACATATGATATATGTATATATGTTATATAATTTATATATATATATATACACACACACACGAATATAAATGGCCGGTAGCCAGGATTTTGGAATTTGTTAGACTTCAGTTGAAATCCAGGCTCCATTATTTATTCGTCAAATGACCTCGAAGAGTTTAACCTTTTTAAGATTCCAACTCTCTCATCTGTGAAATGTGGTTGATTATATCTCCTTTGGAGTATTATTGTAAGAATTAAACTGTGGTAAAGACTAGCTTAGATATCATTTAGTTTAGAAATGAACAAGGTGGCACAACCCCTGGCCCCAGGAGATGAATGGTGTATCCAGGGTAAAGGTTATAATTGCCAAGTACAGTGACTTTCCCAAGGACATACAACCTCTAAGTGGCAGTGCTTGGACTTTTATTCTGTCTTTTCCAAAGCAATACATTCTTGAAACTAAAAGTTCTCAGGCCAGACTCTCCAAAGTGTCCCTATTTGGCAGCTCCATCTTGAGAAGTAACCTCTCCCTTCCGCACACTCTTCGTGGGATTGCATTGTTGGCTGCTCATCCTGGGCTGAGGCCCATGACCGGACCATTCCCAGGGCACCAGGCAGCCACAGGGCCTGTAAGAAGAGCAGGCAGGAAGTGAAGCTTTGGCTGAGGTTTCTGGGACACACTTAACTTCCCTGGAAACGATGCCTGACACCGCCTGGCCACAGCACTGGCAGGAGATGCTGCTGTCTTCTGGGAACATGCAGCGGCCAGTGAGCAGCACAGGACACAGGAACGTAAACTGGGGACCCTTCATCCATCCACTCTGGCTTCGTATCTTCTCCATTGTCCACTCCTATTTTAGCCCGGGATGATCAGTGATGATGTGCATGAGTTACTCATTCCCATCTATGCCCCAGCCCAGACTGAGCATATACAAACCCTGTTCTTTGCAGAATTTTTCATTTTTCCTTTTAATTTTCTATGGAAAGAATATATGTTATATAATTCAGCCTTATTGACACCCTTATAATAGCCTTCTAAACTACACACCTGATCATTTATCCCATCCAAATATACATATATTTGATACAGGGTCTCACTCTGTTGCCCAGGCTGGAGTGCGGTGGCACGATCACAGCTCACTACAGACTTGACCTCCCAGACTCAAGGGATCCTCCCACCTCAGCCTCCCAAGTAGTTGGGACTACAGGCGTGTGCCATCACGTGCAGCTAAATTTTTGTATTTTTTGTGGAGACTGGGTTTCACCATGTTGCTCAGGCTGGTCTGGAACTCCTGGGCTTAACTGATCTGCCTGCCTCGGCCTCCCACAGTGCCGGGATTACAGGCATGAGCCACCGTGCCCAGCCTCATTGATACACATTAAATGCCTACTACGTTCCAGGCCTTGTGCTGTGTGCTCTTGATACTGAGGTGTGTGCCCCCTTAAGCTCATTGAAAACACTATTGACCTGCGTCACTGCGGTCACAAAGTGATACAGAGAGCCCAGACAACCATTTAGAGGTGAGGAAATTCTAATAATTCATGGTAAGCAGATTGTTTCCCATAGTGTTGCTAGGGAACATCTCACAGCAGACTGAAATAGAAATACAAGCAATTGTCTGCGCACTAGAACTTTCTCCCCAAGGCAGTGCTATTTTTTTAAACAATTCTTCTATCATCATCATCATAATGCTGACCTCTTGATATGTAAAGGTACAATTACGAGGAGAAGCAGAAGAACATTTACATCTGTGAGTTTGCACCTCTCTCCCACCATAGTGAGCAGATCACACCCTCAGGACCCCAGAAGACTGGCAAGGAGGACTTGATAGAGACAAAAGGAGAGACACAAGAGGGGACAGAGTGTTCATATGAAGAGGGAGAGGGCATGATATAGAGACAGTGACGGCAACAGAAAGTAGAAAGTTGAAGAGGGACAGAGAGCAGAGTGGAAGTGAGAAGGAAAGAAAATGACTAGGACAGTGGCCATACAAGCAAAAAGAGCAAGAGACAGAGACACGTGGAGAGGTATAGTTCTCTATCATGGCGGGGGAGAGAGAGAGAAAACAGAGAAAGAAATACAAAACACAGAGAGAGGGTGAGAGACAAAGGGACAGAGAGACAGCGAGAGAGGGAGGGAAGATGGAGAGAGAGAAAACAACAGAGAAGAGAGAGAAACTGTGATATAAATATAGCGACAGGGACAGGGACAGTGATGGAGAGAGACAGAGAAATAGGGAAAGATACAAGAAGAGAGAACTGGAGTTAGGGGGAGAGATAGGGAGAGAGAGAGAACGATAGACCTGTGGAGACAGAAGCATACACGTGGACACACAGAGTGCGGCAGTGTTAGGAAGATAGAGATAAATATACAGAAATAATGGTAAATATTGAGATAGAAAAATATATATAAAGAGAAAAAACAAAGAAATATGCATATTTATATATTGTAAAAATATACATAAATGTATTTATACATGTATAATATGTTATATATAAAATATTATATATATTTCTATACAAAAAATTAGCCGGGTGTGGTGGCGGGCACCTGTAATCCCTGCTACTCGGGAGGCTGAGGTAGGAGAATGGCATGAACCAGGGAGGTGGAGCTTGCAGTGAGCCAAGATCGCGTCACTGCACTCCAGCCTGGGCGACAGAGCGAGATTCCGTCTCAAAAAAAAAAAATTATATGTATTTCTAGCTTTCCTTTTCTCTTCATATATTCTATCTGTCTGTCTGTCTATCCATACTATTGCCACAATAACGCCATGTAGCAAATATCCCAAACTCAGTGGCTTAGCACAATAATCATCTACAAATTCTTACAAATGCGTAGGTTTGCTAGACTGTTCTGCTGATCTAAACCAAGCTCATCTGATCTTGGCTGGGCTTGGCCACATGTCAGGCAGCTGCTGGGTTAGCTGGGAGGGGGACTGCCTGGTCAAAGTGCCTGGGTCTGAATAAATCAGCTCCACTACACACAGGGTTTCATCCTCCAACAGGCTAGCCTGGATTTGTTCTAATGACAATGACAGAAAGCAAAGAGCTAGCAGAAGCACATCAGGCCACTTGAAGCCTCAATTCAGAACTGGAGCCCTATGAGTTCTTCTTGTATTTAAAAAAAAAAAAAGGCGGGGGGCATAAACGGCGCCTCTTAATCGAAGGAGCTTTGACTTATCAAGAATGAGTTCCACTTCTGGAAAATTTGCAGTGAGCCCACACTGCCTTGTCTGGCTCACAAATGCAACTATGAACCCTGAATCTGAGGACTTTGAAAAATAAATGATAGCAAGTCAACTGGAGAAGGAAATCGGAAAGTGAAGCACTATGAATTCCCAGTAAGTTTCTTATTTATTTTTCCTCAATTATCCCCTGGCCTGTACTCAGATAATCAGAGTATATGTACAAAGATAATCTGAAATGCAGAACTGTACACCAGGTGAGGACAGAGAGAAAGGGGGACTCTCTGTGGTCAGAGAGCCCTGGTTTTCTGTTTTTTGTCCTTTTCCATTCTCTCGCAGCCCCCAGGCAATCTGAGTGGCAGTGGCAGCAGCTATGGTGAGCCAGGAGCCTAAAGCTCTTAGGAAAGGGATCCTTCTCTCTGACCAGGGAAGCTGTGGCCCTGAGAGAGAATCCTGGTGGTTTTTGTTCTCTATCCTCTCACCACTTGGCCCTGGAGGGAGACACAATGGTGGGAAATGCAGTGTGCTAAAGCCACACCTGTCTGGCCAGACGACTGGAGGGGCATTTCCTGTGAACTAGAAAGTATTGCAGAGCTTGCAGAGAGAAAGAAGATTAAGCAAGAAACATCATGCAATGATGTCTGGACTCCTGGGCTCACCCACTAGCTGTGCATGCATAAACGTGACCCTAAACAGCTCCAAAGCCAAAGGCCTTGCAAACCGAAGCAGGAGTAGGCACTGCCCAGGTCCTAGAATGGCCACTGGGTGGCGCACACACAGGACAGGTCTGACAAGACAAGTACTGCAAAGGCTGGAAAACGGAACTGACTGGAACTGCCCACCAAACACCAGTAGGAAGTTGTAATCCCTAACTGCGTCAGTTGCCTGCTAACAAAAAAACCCCCTCCACATTCTGTGTAATATTTAAACAATGCCCAGAGCTCTATAACATGATATTCAAAGTGTACAGGATTTAATCCGAAATTACTCCGCATGTGGAGGACGAGGAAAATCTTAGCATCTCCAAACGGAAAAGCCAAACAACAGATGCTAATCCTGACACGACACAGGTGTTGGAATAACAAAGACTTTAAAGGAGCTATAGTGACCACAGGAAGAAATGGAAAGAGAGGAGGAGAGAAGGAGGTAGAAAGTAAATAGATAGGAGAGATACAAATAGAGAAATAGAAAAAGAGATGAATAGAGATAGGCAGATAGAGAGACAGAAACATAAAGATATGAACAGAGTAAGAAACAGGAGCACTAAAGCAAAATAGAGGAGACTGAGAGCTGTAAGAGGGAGCTATAGAAGGAAAAATGTAAAGGGAGGAACAAAAACGGGACAGAGAAAAAAGAAATATGGACATAAAGACGGAGATGGAAGGACATAGTGATAGAAAGCAATGCAGGAGATAGAGAAATAGAATAGTAGAGAGAGAAATAGAGCCAGGGCACGTGAAAGCTATAAAGCAATTCATGGTAGTTGTCTAAATTCAACATATCATTACGGTTGCATAATGCTAATATTCTCATTTTAACATTTCTCCTAAATTTATTGGTTGTAATACTTCCACAAAAGAACTTTCATTCGGCCAGGCACAGTGGCTCACACCTGTAATCCCAGCACATTGGGAGGCCGAGGTGGGTGGATCACTTGAGGTCAGGAGTTCAAGACCAGCCTGGCCCACATGGTGAAACCCCATCTCTATGAAAAATATAAAAATTAGCTAGGTGTGGTGGCGCGTGCCTGTAATCCCAGCTACTTGGGAGGCTGAGGCAGGAGAATTGCTTGAACCCCGGAGGTGGAGATTGCAGTGAGCTGAGATTGTGCCACTGCACTCCAGTCTGAGACACAGAGCGAGACTCTATCTATCTAAAGAAAAAAAAAAAGAACTTTCATTCTTAAGCTCTGTGGTATTCTAAAATGTTTGTACAGAAATGGCAAGGTAAATGCTTGATTATTTTCTTTTCTGTTTTCAGAATGAGATGGTGTCTTAGCAACCTCCAGAGGAGACTTTATTTTGCTATATTATGTTTTTCAAGAATTTGTGTAGGTGTTATTCTTTTGGTGCTTAAAATGTCCTACCGATGGTTAGTGAGAGCCACTGCCGTTGTTTTTATTTGAGTAGAGTCCAAGGCAAACCAACATGCCTGACCCTCAGTCCTGTTAATAAAGCAGGCTCAAGCCTTCTCAGAATGGCCCTGGGTGGACTTGCAAATGTGGACTTGCAAATGTGAAAAGGAAGGTGGTTCAGGGCCCTAATCAGAAGCTTCCTGGCAGGACCAGGTTCTGGCAGCTGCGTTGGCTGCTGAAACTCTGAAGTGCAGGATGTGAGCCTGCTGTGGGACTGCCCTCTCCCAAGGGCCATGACCAGCTAGCGCCAGGGTCAGCTTCCCCCACATCTGCACTCCCTCTGCTGTGGGCCTGAGCAATCCATGCCCCTGGCTCTCTCCTGAAGAGGGCCTGCTCTCAGCTGCCACAAGAGGGCGATGGAGAACGGGCCTGAGCAGAGAGGCAGGAGCTCCTCTGCAGGTCCTCCCAGGAACCACCGCTTCTGGGAGGAAGGCTTGGGAGTCCCCTAAGACACATCCTCAGTCACTTCTCCCTGCCTGTGACTCAGGAAGACCAGCTCCTCTTACTGTCTTCTGTGCTAGGGATCACTTCCTTGTTGAGTGGGGCCTGAGTTTTAAGAGGATCTTCTGCTCCTCTTCATCTGGTCCCTTTCCTTCCAAGGCCCCAGAGAGGAAGGCATGCGGTGGGCCCTAGCGGTGCTTCTAGCTTTCCTGTCTCCTGGTGAGTGCGCTGCCTACAGAGAGGATCACGGGTTTTGTTTTGTTTTGTTATTTTCTTCTTTTGCAAGGAGCGACATACTAAGAAATGCCTCATTATATTTTGTGTTGTTCCCATTGCAGCCAGTCAGATATCTTCCAACTTGGAAGGGAGAACGAAGTCAGTCACCAGGCTGACTGGGTCATCTGCTGAAATCACCTGTGATCTTCCTGGAGCAAGTACCTTATACATCCACTGGTACCTGCACCAGGAGGGGAAGGCCCCACAGTGTCTTCTGTACTATGAACCCTACTACTCCAGGGTTGTGCTGGAATCAGGAATCACTCCAGGAAAGTATGACACTGGAAGCACAAGGAGCAATTGGAATTTGAGACTGCAAAATCTAATTAAAAATGATTCTGGGTTCTATTACTGTGCCACCTGGGACAGGCACAGTGATTCAGACACTGAAAATCTGCCTGTGGTTGCTTCTGGTACACAAGATAGACCAGCCAACTCTCATTTCCTGCCCTGAATTTACTGTATTCTGTACAAAGAGAAACACAGCTTAACTCCTGATCTCCCCTGCAATATCACACTCCCCTGGCAGCAGCTGCACCCTGTTCCCCACCCTCCCCCAGGACTTTCCTGAAGACCAAGCTGCCACCTCCAAGCCTCAGCTAAGCAGCCTGGCTGAGAGCAAGTTTCTCTCAGCTCTCCTAGAACATGGGGAAGGCCCACTCACTCTGCTTCCTAGGACAGACAGGTACAGCTAGGGTCCAGCTGTGAAGCAAGACATTTTGGACAAAAATGGGAAGGGTATTCATACTGAATCATACATCCAATAATGGTCCAGAGATCGCAGCTGAGAGTGGTGCTTATTCCTTATGTCTATAACAATATAAGCAATACTATAATGACCACTAAAACACTAGGCCAATATATGCAGTTGAACATTCTCTCTCTCTGCCCTCCCTTTTATTCTCGCTCTCCTTTCTTACTTCCATGCTTGCTTTTATCATTTTCTCTCCCTCCCTCCCTTCCTCCTTTCCTTCCATCACCCCACCCTCCTTCCTTTCTTTCCTTCCTTCCTTCCTTGCTTTTCTCTCTTTCTCTCCTTTTTGTGTACATAATCACAATACTTTTTCCACAAAATCATTTGAAATAGTTTTTCTCTATTTGTTCATGCCAACATTGATATAGCTGCTTTAATTGTTCAGTTTCATTTTTATATTTTGGAAATTTGTGTATTATTTTGTTTTGTTTCATATTTGTTTTGTATACGTAAAACATTTAGTTGGAACTGAAGTCAAAATTATAAAAGATGACACATTTGAAGATTTTAGCTTCCATTGTAGACTTCTCATTCCTCTTTTCTCCCTGACACTATAGGTAACAATATTTTTATCCGTTTTCTTGAACTTTTTCACTCTGTCATAGCGCAGTATGTATCAATTCTATTTCAATGCCATATTTATATTTTTGTTCCTATATTTGGTTTTTATACATTTTAATCAATCTTATATTTTCCCGTGTCTGGATTGTGTGTCTTACTTCTAAAGGTGCACATACTTCATAAGTATGCATAAAGACGTCCATATCATTTATTTGAATGTTTTTATGTGTTGATTATTTAATGATGGCATCATTGATCTATCAGGAATTTTTATACAATAATTACTGTATTAGTAATAATAATACTGGCCAGGCCCGGTGGCTCATGCCTGTAATCCCAGCATTTGAGTAGTACAGTCGTTAGGAATACTTAGGCCGGGAGATTGCGACCAGCTTAGCCAACATGGTGAAACCCTGTCTCTACTAAAAATACAAAAAATTAGCTGGCTGTGGCGGTGCACACATGTAATCCCAGCTACTTGGATGCTGAAGCAGGAGAATCTCTTGAGCCTAGAAGGTGGAGTTTTCAGTGAGCTAATATCACACTACTGCAGTCCAGTTTGGGCAACACAGTGAGACTCTGTCTCAAAAAGACTAATAATAATAATAATATTGATGGTAAATATGGGTACTGACATTCTGGTAGTTAATGTACTAAGCACATTGCATGCATATTGTATTTAATCTACACAGAAACTTCATTAAGGATTTAAAGTACTGTTGAATGTAACATTAGAAATTGGGGGGTTAATTAACATTCCCTAAGTCATATACTTTAATTTGATAATGATTGCAATCCAAGCTCTGTGGTTCAGAAAATGAGATTTGTTAATTCGGTTTGCATTCCCCCATCGTAGGAGTACTAGCATCATTTTACAACTTTACAGTTCATTTATATTTCTTCTTTTGAGAATTGCCTTGTACACTCTTTTCCTATTCTTCTATTGGAGGATTAGTTTTTTCTTATTGGTTCGTAAGAATTAATATACACCATTTTAGAGATACTGACCCTTTATCCAATGTGTTGAAGATATTTCTCCTCATTTGTTATTATTTACATTTGGCACCTTTTGGAGAATTGAACTTTGAAAAAAACAAAATCTATCAATTTTTCTATGGTGTCTACTTTGATGTCAGGTTTAGAAAGGCCAATCTCACCTAGAATTTCTATGCAATTCATCATCATTTAAGTCTAATGATTTTCTTTTTATTACAACTAAATCACTATTTGTAACTGGTAAGGTAGAAATGCAGCAATATTTGTTTCCATATGGTAAGTCAATATCCAAAAGAGAACTTATGAAATAATTGACTATTTCCTTGTGGATATTAACATATCACTTTATCACATGATAAAATATTACATACATGCAGCTTTCTTTCTGGATTTTCCACTGTG